>NC_000011.10:13185000-13810000 GCF_000001405.40 Homo sapiens
AGTAAATGTAAAAACATTTCTGGGGAAATCCCACTCCAGATTTCAACCTAGACCTTAGGAGCATATAGTCCTTCTTGTGGTGAAACCAGGAGATTCTTTTGTGTCATAGGTTCCTCCTCCACCCCCCAACCCCTTCACTCACACACATCTGCTGGGCAGGGACAGCAGGACTTCTCCAGCTCCAAGCCACTGCTGGAGCTCCCTTGGCCTGGGGTGGAGGCAGCAGTATGGGAGCAGGAGGGTGGGGAGTAGGGAACAGGTGGGCGATTGAGAACAGGCACTGAGGACTCATGGGCCAGGCCTTTTGACAGTATGACCCTCAATAGAGCAAATTCTCTGTCTAGGTCACTATCTGATCCCTCTCTTGCTTTTCTACCTCTGGTTTTAAATCTGGCCCAGTCTCCAGGCCCAGCCAAACCTAGTAAGCAAGAAGGCAATAGGTTGGGTTGTTTAGGGTCTGTGATGGTTAATACTGAGTGTCAACTTGATTGGATTGATGAATACAAAGTACTGATCCTGGGTGTGTCTGTGAGGGCTTTGCCAAAGGAGATTAACATTTGAGTCAGTGGGCTGGGAAAGGCAGAACCACCCTTAATCTGGTTAGGCACAATCTAATCAGCTGCCAGAGTGGCTAGAATATAAGCAAGCAGAAAAATGTGAAAAGAGAGACTGGCCTAGCCTCCCAGCCTACAACTTCCTCCTGTGCTGGATGCTTCCTGCCCTCAAACATCAGACTCCAAGTTCTTCAGTTTGGTGACTCAAACCGGCTTTCATTGCTCCTCAGCCTATAGACAGCCTATTGTGGGACCTTGTGATCATGTGAGTAAAAACTTAATAAACATGTATATATTCCATTAGTTCTGTCCCTCTAGAGAACCCTGACTAGTATGGGAAAGAACAGATGTTATGCTCATCCGACAGGTTAAATAAACAGTGATTAGGAAAGGAATTATTTATAAGGGTTAATGGAAACCAGAAGGCATGGTGACACACCTGGGGCTCACAAGGAAAAGAAGCCATTACCACCCTTAGGCCTGAAGGAACACAAGAAGGGAGAGGTTACCAGAACCCAAGGAGAATAGCTGCAAGAGAGGGAGGTTGGAATGGAGCTGTGGCCATCAGTCAAAGGAGACAGCACACACATTACCTGGTGAAGGAGATTCAGGAAAACAAACAACCTGCCCCTATTCTCTTCCTCCTGGCCTCTGATTTCATGTCTGTGCCTTCCATTGGCCAAACCTAACCAGAAGGCAGAGGGCAAAGGAGTCATTTGATACAGTCCTCAAAGAGTGCAGAGCAGGTGGAGATGGGTTTAAAGCAGATCCGCAGGGCCATGTGAAAAATTTATTAGAGGATAGGAGGGAAGTCCTGCATAATAAGATATGGAGAAACAAATACAATATGTATTTATTTCAGGAAGACATATCCCAAAAGAAAAGAGACAAGAAGCATAGAAAGTTGCTGGGCTGCACATGACCTGTCCTTCTCCCTAACTTATCAGCCAGAAAATCTACTCCCTCTCTTTGCTGAAGGAGGAATAAATGAGCGGGACTGAGAAAGCCAGGTATGCTACTCTAGTAGATATTCTTCCCATGCAGAAACATGAACAAAGAGAAAGAATGTTCTTCTCCAAGACCCACTGATATGGTTTGGATGTTTGTGTCCTCCAAATCTCATGTTGAAATGTATTCTCCAACGTTGGAGGTGGGACCTGGTGTTCACATGAGACCTGGTTGTTTAGAGGAGTGTAAACTTCCCCCTTTCTCTCTCTCATGCCTGTTCTTGCCATGTGACATGCCTGCTACTGCTTTGCCTTCCACCACGATTGTAAGCTCCTGAAGACCTCACAAAAGCCAAGCAGATGCTGGCACCATGCTTTCTGTACAGCTTGCAGAACCATGAACGAATTAAACCTCTTTTCTTTATAAGTAACCCAGTCTCAGGTATTCCTTTACAGTAACACAAATGGACTAACACAGAAAATTGGTTCTGAGGAGTAGGGCGTTACTATAAAGATAACTGAAAATGTGGAAGTAGCTTTGGAACTGGGTAACAGGCAGAGGTTAGAAGACTTTGGAGGGCTTAGAAGAAAACAGAAGATGAGGGAAAGTTTGGAACTTCTTAGAGACTGGTTAAATGGTTGTGGCCAAAATGCTGATAGAGATATGGACAGTGAAGTCCAGGCTGACAAGGTCTCAGATGGAAATGAGGAATTTATTGGGAGCTGGAGTAAATATTGCCGATGTTACATCATAGCAAAGAACTTGGCTGCATTATGTTCATGTCCTAGGGATCTGTGGAAGTTTGAACTTAAGATGATTTCGGGTATCTAGTGGAAGAAATTTCTAAGCAGTGAAGTGTTCAAAATGTGACCTGGCTGCTTCTAACAACCCATGATGAGATGTAGGAGCAAGACAATGACCTAAAGTTGGAACATATTTAATTTCTAATTTAAATTTTCTAATTTTCATTATGATGTCTTATTTAAGCAATTATTTATTTGGAAGGGTATCTCTAAACATTAGGGATTTTTTTAGAGTTATCTTCTAGTTTATTTTATTATTGTTTATTTCTGACTGACTTCCACTGTGGTTGGAAAACATACACTATTATTTTAATCTTTAGAAATGTGTTGAGATTTCTTTATGGATCAATAAATGGTGAATTTTGATAACTTCCCCTTGTGTATTTGAAAACATGTATTCTGTAGTTGTTGGATGCAGCATCCCACTGCACGTAAGTCAGATGCTATTTATGTTAAGTTGTACATTTTATTGCTCAAACTTTCAATATCTTTACTGACAATTTTTTCTCCTCATTCAAATAATTATTGGGTACCAATCTCATTATGATTACAGATTTTTCTGGTTTTACATTTAGTTTTAATCAATTTTTGCTTAATATTTGTATGTTATTAGGTACACACATTTCTTTATTTTTAACTCTCTCACATCCTCTTATGCTATCATTATCATGTATTTTTAATTCTACTAAATTTTCTAACTTTATAAGAAATTATTATTTTAGGTAGTATACATTCAGCTTTATTAAACATTTATCTTTTATGTTGCTCTTTATTTCTGCATTTACAGATTTTGAGGATTCTTTTTCATGTACCTCAACAACTCTCTTTTAAATTTTTTATTGTGGGTCTGCTGGTGATAAATTCTTTGTTGGTTTTTTCTTTCTTTTCTGTTTTAACTTTTTTTCATCCATAAACTTTTAATTTTCCTATATTTTTTAGAGAATGTTTTTGCTGGGTATATAATTAAAAGTTGGTAATTATTTTCTTTTAATACTTTAAAGGAATCACTGCATTCATTGTCTCTTTTGCTCTCATAATTTATTTTTATGTCTGCTGTTGATCTCATTGCTTCTCTAAAGGTAATATGTTTTAATTTGTCTGGGTGCTTTACATTTTTTTTTAGCAGTTTTTACTTGCCTTTTTTGGTAACACTTCTTAGCAGTTTTTACATACCTTCTTTGGTAATAATTCTGTAGATTGGTGTTTTTCATCAGTTTTTTGAAAATTTTTGGCCATTATCTCTTCAGATATTGCTTCTGATATATTATCTCCTCATTTATGGGACTCCAGTTACACATATCCCATATTTATTGACCATGTTTTGTATGTCTGTTATGCTCTTTTCTATGTTTTCTATCTTTTTCTTCTCCCCATACTTCCTTCAGTCTGGATAGTTTCCACTGAGTTTTCTCCCTTCAGTTGTGTCTAATATGCCATTCAAGCATCTACTGATATTTTACACTAGCTTTCTGTCACAGAATCTTCATTTGATTTTTTTAAATAGATTCCGGTGTTCTGGTAAAATTCTCCATATTGTCATTTATTTCACTGAACTTATTCATCACAATCATTTAAATCTGTGTCTAAAAATTTATGTGTCCATATCACTTGTGGGTCTGTTTCTGTTGTCTATATTTTTCTCTTGATTTGAAGTAGTTTGGTATTATTTTCTAACATATCTGAAATTTTTTGATTAAATGGTAGACATTATGTATTAAGAGCTCTAGAGGGCCAGGCACAGTGGCTCATGCCTGTAATCCCAGCACTTTGGGAGGCCGAGGCAGGCAGATCACAAGGTCAGGAGATCAAGACCATCCTGGCTAACATGGTGAAATCCCGTCTTTAATAAAAATACAAAAAATTAGCCAGGCGTGGTGATGGGTGCCTGTAGTCCCAGCTACTCGGGAGGCTGAGGCAGGAGAATGGCGTGAACCTGGAAGGCGGAGCTTGCAGTGAGCCAAGATTGCACTCCAGCCTGGATGACAGAGCGAGACTCCATCAAAAAAAAAAAAAAAAAAAAAAAGCTTTAGAGATAATTTGAGGTTCCCAATTACCCTAACTTTCTTCAGAGAGAATTAAAGTTTTACTTCTGGCAGGTAGTTTGAGTAGGGGTTATGGCTTGTCAGTTTTCTATTAGCCATAACTCTTGAGTTATGGTAACTTCTGGCATCTCTGCTAAACGTTTGATGTGTTTCCAGGCTTGCTTTCATTCATTCATTCTTTCTTTCTTTTTTTGGTTGGTTTCTTTTGAACTCTAATGTGTATCTTTCCGGAATCCTCAGATATCTGAGAGTGCTACTCAGCTTCTCAGACCCTTACCCCAGATTTCTCAGCATCTTGATCATTCACTGCTTACGAATGAGCAAATTATTCAAGTGGGAAATATCAAGCTCACTTTACAGCATTTTACTTAGACATTTTAGTCTCCAAAATCTTGGCTGCCTTTGTAGCTTATCTCTCTGATTTCTTCAAATAGATATTTTTTTTAAAATCAGTTCTTAAGCTGTTTTGGGAAATAAGTTCTGATACAAGTGGTGAGTCATAATCAGAAGCAGAAGTAACCTGGGGAGATTAAAGTTTTAAAAAATATTTGGGCCCCATGCCCATATATTGTGACTTAATTGGTCTGGAGTGGAGCCCAAGCATTGGTATTTTTAAAAGGCTCCCCAGTGATTCTAATGTGCAAACAAGATTGAGAACCACTGGTCCAAAAAAAATTACAAACTGATGGCCATGACCAAATATCTTCTCGGACAGAGGAATGTTAGATCTACAGAGTGTTAAAAAAATTTAAAAACTATTTTCCAACATTTAAAAGTTGGAAGATTTTACAAAAAATCTAGATGGCTTGTTTCTCTTATACACTATAACTAGAAGCTTCGGGAACATTGGCTCCAGTTTCTCATAAAGAGCTGTGCTGAATAGTAGCTTTTTCCCTTAGACACAGCATGCAGTTTCCAGTTTGCCACATCCTCACAAATCCCTTTTGTCTTATTCCTTATTTGCTTCACTCATTTACATTACTGGCCTGGTCTTGTGGTGAAGGGCTAGAACTTAATCATTGTTCTGTATCCTTTACCTGATTTATTTTTCTTTGTAGCATTTATAACTAGCTGACATTATATTATAAATGTGTCTGTTTATGTTCTCTATAGAATGTTCTATGAAGGCAGGGACTTTGTTTTGTTCACTGTTGAGTCCCCAGCATTTAGAACATCTCCTGGCACATAATAGACTTGCAAGCAATGTGTGTTAAATAAAGAATCACACAAATGTGAGGTTTTGGTCCTTGGTCTAGGGATGGAAGCATAAACACTATGATGGGAAACTGGCTTTCTTGAAGTGGATGTGTTAATCTATTTGTGTTGCTTTAAAAGAATACCTGAGACTGAGTAATTTACAAAGGAAAGAGGTTTACTTGGCTCACTGTGCTCCCTGCTGTGAAGGAAGCATGGCACCAGCATCCATTCAGCTTCTGGTGAGGCCTCAGAGAGCTTACAGTCATGGTGGAAGACAAAACAAGAGTAGGCATGTCATATGGCAAGAGAGGGAGCAAGGGAGAAAGAGGAGAAGGTGCCACACTTTTTTAAACAACCAGATCACATGTGAACTCAGAGTGAGAGCTCACTTGCTACTGTGAGGAGGACACCAAGACATTCATGAGGGATCCACCCCCCCCATGACAAAAACAACTCCCACCAGGCCCCCACCTCCAACGTTGGAGATCACATTTCGACATGAGATTTGAAGAGGACAAACATCCAAACTGTATCATTCTACCCCTGCTCCCTAAATCTCATGTCCTCATATTGCAAAATACACTCATCCCTTCCCAATAGTTCCTGAAAGTCTCAACTCATTTAAGCATCAACTCAAATATTTCAAAGTCTCATTTGGAACTCAAGGCATGTTCGTTCTATCTAATAGCCTACAAGGTCAAAAACAAGTTGTTTACCTTCCAGATACAATGGTGGTACAGGCACTGGGTACACACTCCCATTCAAGAAGAGAAAAGTAGGCCAAAACAAAGGGGCAAAACGGCCCCTGCAAGTCTGAAACCCAGTGGGGCAATCATTAAATCTTAAAGCTCCAAAATAATGTGTTTGATTCAATGTCCCACATCCTAGGCATACTGCTACAAGAGGTGGGCTCCCAAGGCCTTGGGCAGCTTTGCCTCTGTGGATTTGCAGGATGAAGGCCCTGTGGCTACTTTCACAGGTTGGAGTTTAGTGCCTGCAATTTTTCCATGCTAAGGTTGCAAGCTGCTGGTGGTCCTACCATTCTCAGATCTGGAGGGCGGCAGCCCCCTTTCCACAGCTCCAGTAGGCAGTGCTCTAGCAGGGGCTCCAATCCTACCTTTCTTCTCTGCACTGCCCTGGTAGAGTATCTCTGTGGGGGCTCCACCCCTGCAGCAGTCTTTCTCATATATTCTCTGAAATCTAGTTGGAAGCTGCCAAGCCTCCTTCACTCTTACATTCGGCACACTTGCAGGCTTAACACCAAGTATAAGCCACCAAGACTTATGGCTTGCACTTTTTGGAGTAGCAGCCCAAGCTATACCTTGGCCACTGTAAGCAATGGCTGGAACTGAAACAGCAAGGATGTGGAGAACAGTGTCCCGAGGCTGCACAGGGTAGCAAGGCCCTGGGCTTGGACCCCAAAACCATTCTTTCCTCCCAGGCCTCTGGGCTTGTGATGGGAGGGGCTGCCTCAAAGATCTCTGAAATGCGTTTGAGACCTTTTTCCCTTGGATATTAACACTTGGCTCTCTTTTAGTCATGGTAAGCTGTCTAGCAAGTGGTTGCTCCATATACTGCTTGGATTCTTTCTCTACCACAGGGCCACACTGCAAATTTTCCAAACTTTTATGCTCTGCCTCCTTTTTAAATAAATAAAAAAAATTAATCTCAAATAGTCACAAGAGTGGCAAATTAAACTCAATGAAGCTCAGGTCATAAGCAGTGTCTCACACCTATAATCCTAGCACTTTGGGAAACCAAGGTGGGAGGATCACTTGAGGCCAGGAGTTCAAGACCAGCCTGGGCAACATGGCAAGACCCTATCTCTACAAAAAAAAATTAAAAATTAGCCAGGCACGGTGGTATGCACCTCTTGTCCCAGCTACTAAAGTGGCTGAGGCTGGAGGATTGCTTGAGCCCAGGAGTTAACAGGCTATCGTGAGCTATGATCACACCATTGTACTCCAGTCTGAATGACAGAGTGAGACTCTCTCTGTAAAAAAGAAAAAGAAAGAAAAAAGAAATAATAAACTCAGTGAAGCTCAATAAACTCAAATTAAACTTAAATTAAGATCATTAAAGAAGGGAAAAAATAAGATAAAAACAGATATTGATAAAATAGAAAAACAAATATTTCACAGAGAAAACCAACAAAGGCAGAAATCTGTTCTTTGAAAGAATAATTAAATTGATATACCTTTAGCAAGAGTGATTTTTTAAAAAGGAAGACACTACTTGCCAATACCATAAATTTAAAAACTGGTAGATTATTTTAGATCCTAGAGGCATTATAAAAATAAATACATACTACAAACAACTTTGTCGCTAAATTTGAAAATTTTAGATAAAATAAATAAAGTCCTAGAGAACTTTATTTATGTGTACTCACAGTGCACATAGTGGCTTCTGTTATCCATATCAAATCCTGACTTCTCTATTGATTTTGTATCTAGCCTTTCAAAAGCAACAACAAAAAAGAAAATTAAAATAATCCTGTATCTTTTTGCAAATTGTCAGTAATTAAAAACCTCCTTGTAAATAGAACTCCAGCACAGATAGTTTCACCTTTATAGAAAAAATTGTCAATCTTTATATAAACTTTTCAGAACATAGAGGCAGAGGAAACATTTTCCAGTCTCTTTCATGAGATTGGCATAATCTTGATACTAAAATATAAGTAGAAAAATAATAAGAAAAAATTACATGCCAATATCTTTCATAAACATAAATGTAAAATTCCTAAAGAAAAGATCAGCAAGTTGAATTCAGAAGATAATACATCAAAATCAAATTGTGTTTACAAGGTTATTTAACACTTGAAATCAATCAATATTATTCAGCCAACTAACAATAAAAGAGAAAAATAATGTTATCTTAATATATGCATAATTACATTCAGAAAAAGCATTTCATAAAATTCAACATTCATTCTTAGCAAACTAAGAATAGAAGGTATCTTCCTTAATCTGAAAAAAGGATATCTATAAAACAACATATAGGAAACACCATTCTTAGGAGTAAAATGTTTAAATCTTCTCCTTTCAAATTTAGAACAAATCCAGCATGCAACTTCTATTCAAAATTGTATTGGAAGTACTAATCAGTGCAATAAGGAAAAAACAAAAACAAAAAAGAGAAATAAAATGTATAAGGATAGGAAAGGAAGAAATAAAACAGTCATTCTATGCAGACAACATGACTGTGTAGGAAAAACAGAATCTCCCTACAGGTAACCTATTAGAATTCGTAAGTTAATTTGGCAACATTGCTGGATCAATAGAGAAGTCAGGGTTCAGTAGTGAAAACTGAAGCCACTACGTGCACTCTGAGTACAAAGAGGTAATATATATTTAGGAGCTTGCTCACTCTTTGAGGAGCTGGAGGAATAAAAGTTAGAGAAGTTGTTATCATAGGTCAGAAGGGCTGCAACCGAAGATCAGAACGGTGGCACCAAGATTACAGCCTAAGGCATCAAAGCAGGCAGATGCTTATTGAAAGACCTACTGAAAGGTGCTAAATCTCTGAGACATTACTGAAAGGTGTTAAATCTCTGAGAAGTTTACACCAACTGCTTTAGTCTGCATTAATGAAATGAGTTGTCAAAAAATTTCCTGAAGCGACTGTGAACTGTGGGCCAATATGTTTGGCTGCAAGTGCCTCTAAAAGATAATGTCTTACTCTTTATTTCTACCTTCCAAAGCAAGTGCAACTTCCTTTCATTGGCATCCAGAACTATACAGGTGAGGAGAAATGGAAGGTAGTGTGGTGCCAATTTATTAATAGACAAACATATCCAATGTTTCAAAAATTCCATAGTAGTTACCCATATGAAAAGCAGATGGAAAATTAAATTTTTTAATGATTATAACAAAAAAATCTAAGCAACCAGAAATAAACTTAATAAAGATGTGCAATACTTACACACATAAAACTACAAAACCATATTGCAAGAAATTAAAGAAGCCTAAATAAATGGAGGAATAAACCAAGTCCATGGAATAAAAGATACAATATTATAATGTGTCAATTCCCTCAGATTGCTCTATACAAACAGTGCAACACTAGTCCAAATCTAGGCAACATAAAATTTGAAATTTACTGATTGAAAACTGTATCTGAAATGCAAAGAACCAAGAAGAATCAAGGATATCTCAAAAAAATAAAAAACAAAATTGACCTACTCACCCAGATTTCAAGACTGCTTTATAAAGCCACAGCATTCAATGTGGTAATGACACAAGAATATGGAAATAGATCAATAGAGCAAAACAGAGATTTCAGAAACAGACCTGCAAACATGTGAACAGTTGAGTTATGACAAAGTGTAGTGGAGAAAGGATTGTCTTTTCAATATATCATGTTATTGTTTGTATCCCAATACTGAAAAGCAAGTAAATTAATTCCTACCACATGTCATGTACAAAAAAATATATACCAAAAAAGGTAGATTTTAAATCTAAATGCAAAACCTTCAAGAAGATAACTCAGGATATCGTTATGACCTTGGAATAGGCATTTTTTTTTTTTTTTGAGACGAAGTCTCACTCTGTTGCCCAAGCTGGAGTGAAGTGGTGCTCGCTCACTGCAACCTCCACTTCCTGGGTTCAAGCGACTCTCCTGCCTCAGCCTCCTGAGTAGCTGGGACTACAGGCACACACCACCATGCCCAGCTAATTTTTGTATTTTTAATAGAGGCGGGGTTTCAATATGTTGCCCAGGATGGTCTCAAACTCCTGACCTCGTGATCCGCCCACCTTGGCCTCCCAAAGTGCTGGGATTACAGGCATGAGCCACCACACCTAGCCAGCAATTTTTTTAAATAATTAATTGTTTTGTATTCTTAAATGGTACATGAAATGTGCTAATCATAAAGGAAAAGATTAATAGATGGACTACCTTAAAATTAAGAATTTTTTTTTATCAAAAACCTTATTAGGAGCAAGAAAAGGCAAGCCACAGAGTTGGAGAAGGTGTGGTTAATTGTTTAATGGTCACAAACTCCTATCCCAGTATGCAGGCCTTTTGTAATTGATGTTGCCTTTCCTCTCATACAGAGATGGAGTCTAGTTCTCCATCAGTGAAACTTCAAATCAAATGCAGCCAGATGAGTAAACTCAAGCAAAACAAGCTGAGCAATCACCATTCAACTCACAAAATTACAAAAAAATTGATAAATTGTTTTATCAGTGCTTTGTCTTTGTTATTAATTGTTACTAAACCATTACCACTTAGTTTTGGGGTATTTTGTTATGCAGCATCACATAACTGAGCTAGAACCCTTACAGTAAGAAAAACATAGGCAAAACACTTGAATAAGTACTTCCGAAAAGCAGTATACAAATGGCAAATAAGCATAGAAAAATATTTTGAACTTCATTAGTCATCAAAGGAATGCATTAAAAAACCATAATATAATACAAGTAAACATCCTCAGAATGGCTAAAATCAAAAAGACTAGCAGCGTATCAAGTGTTGACAAGGATAGAGAACTCTCATACGCTGCAGGTTAGGCTATAAATTGCTACAAACACTATCATAACTATTTTGCAAGATCTAATGTAGCTGAACATTCAAAACACCTATGTCCCAGCAATTTCACTCTTACACATATTCTCAACAGAAATGTGAACATATATTAACTAAAAGTCACATACAAGAATGTTCATAAAAAATAGGTCGAAGATCTGTATAAAAGAGCTAAAAGTATAAATTTTTAGAAGAAAATACAAGCATAAATCTCTGTAACCTTGGAGTAAGCAATAGTTTCTTACATATGACACCTAAAGCACAAGCAACGAAAGAAAAAAAGATAAATTGTACTTTATCAACATTTAAAATTTTAGTGCTTCTTTCCCCACCACACCTCCAAAAAAATGGTAAATTAGAGGCTTTCAGCATGCCTCAGCCATTTGGAAATAGCAAGATAGTGCATAAAGATCGACTCTGTGAGCTTTAATTCAAGAAGGAAAACGAGAATCCACCAGAATCGTGAAGGACACTCTAGATTCCGGGAAGAAGAATGCAGGCAAATGGCACCCATCATGGATGGTATCTGGATGACAAAAGTGAGTGAATTCCTAGTACATGAGAAAGGCAGAGAACCTCTCTCTTTGACTCACCTTTCCACTGGGGCTCTGAGCAACCCAAGCCCAGAGAGAACACTTTGTTTCTCTCAAGCTCTGGAGCTAACTTGAGGAGTGACCTGGAGGCACTGAGAGGGAAAGATACAGGGAAAAGCTGCAGGCATTTTCCCAGACCCAGAACCAAGAGCAGCACACCATTTTTAATCCAGGCATATAGAAAGTCAGACATTCTTTGGTGACCCAGCAGCATGGCCATGCAGGCACTTTAGTTCAGGCTAGAGATTGGAGTGCCTGCTCTGGAGCAGGATAAGGGCCTCCACAGTCAGAACAGTGGAAAGTGCCTCAGTAGTAGGCACTGGAATTGTGCTCTCCCCTGATGCCGGCCTGTGGTGGGAGGAAAGCTGCTACTGCTGCAGTTTCTCCTGATGACAATACTTGCAGCCAGGACCAGCTTGACAACCTGGAACTGCTCTGCATGTGTCATTGCTGGGTGCCCCAATATGCTCCCCTGAGATCATGCTATAGCAGGGCCCTCTCTGCTCCATGCCTAGAAACTAGAATTCTGGCGCCATGAAAAATCTGAATGTAGTGACACCACCAAAGGGTCACACTAGCTCTCCAGCAAGAGTTCCTAACCAAAAGGGAAACTAAGAAATGACAAAGAATTCAAAACATGGATTGCAAGGAAGCTTAATGAGTTCCAAGACAAGGTTGAAAATCAGCAAAAAGAAACTTCTAAATCAATCCATGAAATGAAAGCGGAGATAGAAGTCTTAAAAAGAAATCAATCAGAGCTACTGGAATTGAAAAACTCACTTAAGGAATTTCAAAATACAATTGAAAGCTTTATCAATAGACTGGACCAAGCAGAAGAAAGAATTTCAGAGCTTGAAATTCTTCTAATTCTAATCCCATATTTCTTGAAGACTTTTGCTCATTTTCTAAATTCTTTTTTCTTTATTTTTGTTTAACTGGGATAGTTTTCAGCATTCTTAAAGAAAAGAAATTTCAACCAAGAATTTTATATCCTGCCAAACTAAGCTTCATAAGCAAAGGAAAAATAAAATATTTTCCAGACAAGCATGCACTAAGGAAATTTGTTACCACTAGACCAACCTTACAAAAAGTCCTTAAGGGAGTTCTAATCATGGAAGTGAAAGAAGGATACCTGCTATCAAAAAAACACAGTTAAGTACATAGCCCACAGACCCTATAAAGTAACCACATAATATAAACTACAAAGTAACCACTTAACAACTTGATGATAGGATCAAAACCTTGCATATCAATATTAATCTTGAATGTAGATGCTCTGAACACCCCCACTTAAAAGGCACAGAGTGGCAAGTTGAATTTAGAAAAGAAGATCCATCTGTCTGCTGTACTGAGGAGACTCATTTCACATGTAAAGACACACATAGGCTCAAAGTAAAGGGTAGGAGAAAGATTTGTCACACAAATGAAAAACCAAAAAGATCAGGGGTTTCTGTTCTTATATCAGATAAAACAGACTTTAAACTAACAACAGTAAGAAAGGACTAAGAAGGGCATTACATCATGATAAAGGGTTTAATTCGACAAGACTTTACTAAATATATATGCACCCAACATTGGAGCACCCAGATTCATAAAACAAGTACTTGTGGGCCTATGAAAAGACTTAGTTGCATAATAATAGTGGTAGACATCAACACCCCACTGACAGTGTTAGATCATCGAGGCAGAAAACTAACAAATAAAATCTGGACTTAAATTCGACACTCAACCAATCGGACCTGATAGACATCTATAGCATATTCCACCCACCAACCACAGAATATACATTTTTTGCATCTGCACATGGAACATACTCCAAGATTGACCACACACTTGGCCATAAAGCAAATCTCAATAAATTAAAACAAATCAAAATTATACCAATCATACTCTCAGACCACAATGGAATAAAAATAGAAGTCAACAGCAAGAAGATCTCTTCAAGACCACAAAATTACCTGGAAATTAAACAACTTGTTGCTGAATGTCTTTTGGGTAAACAATAAAATTAAGGCAGAAATGAAAACATTCTTTGAAATAAATGAAAACAAAGACACAACATACCAAAATCTCTGGTATGTGGCAAAAGCAGTGTTAAGTGGAAAGTTTATAGTGCTAAACACCTACCTTAAAAGAGAAAGGTCTCAAATTAACAATCTAACATCACATTTAGAAGTATTAGAAAAAACAAGAACAAACTAACCCCAAAGCTATCAGAGAAAAAGAAATATCTAAAATCAGAGCAGGACTGAATGAAATTGAGACCTCCAGGACCACACAAAGAATCAACAAAACCAAAAGTTGATTCTTTGAAAGGATAAACAGCATTAATAGATTGTTAGCTAGAATAATAAAAAACAAAAGAGAAGATCCAAATAAGCACAATCAGAAATGATAAAGGTGACACTACAACCAATCTCACAGAAATGCAAAAGATCCTCAGAGACTATTATGAACACCTCTAAGCATACTAAAATATCTAGAGGAAATGGATACATTCCTGGCAAAACACAATCTCCCAAGACTGAATCAGCTATAAATCGAAACCCTGAACAGACCAATATCGAGTTCTGAAATTGAATCTGTAATTAAAAAAAAAAAATCTACCAAGTAGAAACAGCCCCAGGCTAGATGGATGTACAGCTGAATTCTACCAGACACACAAAGAAGAGCTGGTACCAATGCTAAAACTATTCCAAAAAATCCAGGATGAGGGACTCTTTTCTAACTGATTCTATGAAGCCAGCATCACCCTGATACCAAAAACTGGCCAAAAAAAAAATACAGTGAAAAAAAGGAAAAACTATAGGTCAATATCTCCAATGAATATGGATGCAAAAATCTTCAGGAAAATCCTCAACCAAACTCAGCAGCACATCAAAAAGTTAATTCACCCTGCTTAAGTAGGCTTTATTCCTGGGATGCAAGGTTGGTTCAACATATGCAAATCAATAAATGCGATTCACCACATAAACAGAATTAAAAACATAAAACATATGATCATCTTAATAGATGTGGGAAAAGCTTTTGATATAATCCAACATCCCTTCACAATAAAAACACTCAACAAACTAGGCATCAAAGGAACATACCTCAAAATAATAAGAGCCATTTATGATAAACCCACAGCCAGAATCATACTGATGGGCAAATGAAAGCATATTTGGAAACTGGAAAAAGACAGGAAGCCCATTCTCACCACTCCTATTCAACATAGTACTGAAGGTCCTAGCCAGAGCAATTAGGCAGATGCATTAGTCCATTCTGACATTGCTATAAAGAAATACCTGAGACTAGGTAATAAATAAAGAACAGAGGTTTAATTGGCTCATGGTTCCACAGGCTATATAGGAAGCATGGTATCATTTGCTTCCGGGGAGGCCTCAGAGAGCTTCTACTCAAAGTAGAAGGCAAAATGGGAGTAAGTATCTTACATGGCAGGAGCAGGAGACCTCCAGACCCACACAAAGAATCAACAAAACCAAAAGTTGATTCGTTGAAAGGATAAACAACATTAATAGATTGTTAGCTAGAATAATAATCCTCAATGTTGGAGGTGGGCTTGGTGGGAGGGGATTGGATCATGGGGGTGGATCCTTCATGAATGGTTTAGCACTATCCCTTTGGTGCTGTTCTTGTGATAGAGTTCTCACAAGATCTGGTTGTTTAAAAGTGTCTCCCCTCCCACCAAGCCCACCTCCAACACTGAGGATTACAATTGCACATGAGATTTGGTGGGGACACAGATCCAAACCAAATCAGCAGGAGAAAGATATAGGCGGGGCATGGTGGCTCACACCTATAATCCCAGCATTTTGGGAGGCCAAGGTGGGTGGATCACCTGAGGTCAGGAGTTCGAGACCAGCCTGGCCAACATGGTGAAACCCCACTCTACTAAAAATTAGCCAGGCATGGTGGCATGTGCCTGTAGTTCCAGCTACTTGGGAGGCTGAGGCAGGAGAATCGCTTGAACCCCAGAGGCAAAGGTTGCAATGAGCTGAGATTGCGCCTGCACTCCAGCCTGGGCAACAGAGCAATACTCTGTCTCAAAATAAATAAATAAATAAATAAATAAATAAATAAATAAATAAATAAATGGTATACAAATAGGAAAAGAAGAAGTCAAACTATCTCTCTTCACTGACGATATGATTCCATACCTAGAAAGCCCTAAATCTCCACCAAAAGCCTCCTGGAATGGATAAATGACTTCAGTAAAGTTCCAGGATACAAAATTAATGTACAAAAATAGGTAACATTTCTATACACCAATAATGCTCATGCTGAGAGCCAAATAAATGATAAAATTCCACTTACAGTGGCCACAAAAAAGCAATAAAATACTTAAGATTACATCTAACAAGGGAGGTGAATGATCTCTACAAGGAGAACTACAAAACACTACGGAAATAAATCATAAATGACACAAACAGAAAAACATTCTATGCTCATGGATTAGAAGACTCAGTATGATTAAAATGACCATACTGCCCAAAGCAATCTACAGATTCAGTGCTATTCTTGTAAACTACTAACATCATTTTTCACAAGACTATAATAGAAAAAACTATTCTAAAATTCATATGGAACCAAAAAAGGGCCCAAATAACAAAAGCACCTAAGCAAAAAGAACAAAGCCAAAGGCATGACATTACCTGACTATACTATAAGGCTATAGTATACTATAGCCTTCAAACTATACTATAAGGCTACAGTAAACAAAACAGCATGGTACTGGTACAAAAACAGATGCGTAGGCCAATGGAACAGAATAGAGAAGCAGAAATAAAGCTGCACACCTACAGCCATCTGACATTTGACGAAGTCAACAAAAATAAGCTATAGGGAAAGGATTCCCTATTCAACAAAAGGTGCTGGGATAACCTGCTAGCCATATGCAGAAGAATGAAACTGGATTCTTACCTTTCACCATATAAAAAATTAACTCAGGATGAATTAGATTTAAATGTAAGACCTCAAAATACAGGAATTCTAGAAGAAAACCCAGGAAACACCTTTCTGGACATTGGCCTTGAAAAAGAATTTATGACTAAGCCCTCAATAGCAATTGTAACAAAAACAAAAATTGACAAGTGAGACCTAATTAAACTAAAGAGCTTTTGCACAGCAAAAGAACTATCAATAGAATAAAGAGACAACATACAGAAGAAAATATTCACATAATGTGCATCTGACGAAGGTCTAATACCCAGAATCTATAAGCAACTTAACCGAAAAAGCAAACATTTTTAAAATGGGCAAAAGATATAAACAGACACTTTTCAAAAGAAGATATGCAAATGGCCAACAAACACATGGAAAAATGTTTAACATTACTAATCATCAAAAAAATGCAAATCAAAACTACAATGAGAAACTATCTCAAACCCGTCAGAATGACTATTATTAAAAAGTCAAAAACAACAGATGATGGCAAGGCTACAGAGAAAAGAGAACACTTATACACTGTTGGCGGGAATGTAAATTAGTTCAGCCACTGTGGAAAGAAGTCTGGAGATTTCTCAAAGAACTTCAAATAGAACTAACATTTCACCCAGCAATCCCACTACTGGGTATATACCCAAAGGAAAATAAATCGTTCTACCAAAAAGACACCTGCACTTGTATGTTCATCATAGCACTATTAACAATAGCAAAGACATGGAATCAACCTACATTCCCATCAATGGTGGACTGGATAAAAAAAATGTGGTACATATATACCATGGAATACTATGCAGCCATTAAAAAATAATAAAATCATATCTTTTGCAGCAATATGGATGCAGCTGGAGGTCATTATTCTAAGCAAATTAATGCAGAAACAGAAAACCAAATACTGCATGTTCTCATTGATAAGTGGGAACTAAATATTGGATACTCATGCCCTTAAAGATGGCAACAATAGACACTGGGGATGACTGGGGGAGGCGGGAGGGAAGGGGCAAAGGTTGAAAAACTATTGAGTACTATGCTCAGTACCTGGGTGATGGATCAATTGTACCCCCAAACCTCAGCATTATACAATATACCCAGGTATCAAACCTGCACATGTGCCCCCAAATCTAAAATAAAAGTTGAAATTATTTTTAAAACGATTAGAAGAAAAATTATGTAAAATTTATAAGTAAATAAATAAATTGGTGCTTCAAATGATAATATCAAGAAAATGAAATTATAACTCACAAAATGGGAGAAAATATTTGCAAATCATATATCTGATAAGTGATTAATATCTAAAATAAGTTTTAAAAAACCACATCACTCAATTTTAAAAATGGGCAAAGGATTTTAACAGACATTTCTCCAAAGAAGATATGCAAATGACCAATAAGCACATGAAAACATGCTCAACATCATTAACCATCAAAGAAATGCAAATAAAAACCAGTATGAGACATTACTTTACACCTATGATGATGGCTAAAAGCAATCCATACAATTATTATTCGTCAATTAAATTTTTTTTAAAAAAAGACCACAATAATGAGTGTTAACAAGGGTGTGAAGGAATTGGAACCTTCATACGCCACTGATGATATCATAAAATGATGAAGCCACTTTGGAAAACAGTCTGGCAATTACTGAAAATGTTGAATACAGAGTTACCGTATGACCCAGCAATTTTACTGCTAGGGGTATATCTCCAAGAAAAATGAAAACAGGCCAAGTGTAGTGGCTCATGCTTGTGCTCCCAGCACTTTGTGAGTGCAAGGCAGGAGGATCACTTGAGGCCAGGAGTTTGAGACCAGCCTAGGCAACATAGTGAGACCCTGTCTCTACAAAAAAAAAAAAAAAAAAAAAAAAAAAATTAGCCAAGTGTGGTGGTGTACATCTGCAGTCCCAGCTGCTTAGGAGGCTGAGGCAAGAGGATTGCTTGAGCCCAGGTATTAGAGCCTTCAGTGAGCTGTGATCACACCACTCTACTCCAGCCTGGGCAATAGAGTGAGACCCTGTGTCTAACAAAAAACAAGAGTGAGAAATGAAAACATATTCACAGAAACATTTGCACATAAATCTTTATAGCAGCATTATTCATAACAGCCAAAGCTTGGAAACTACTCAGATGTCCATCAAATGATGAATGGATAAATAAAATGTAGTATATCTGGCCGTATAATGGACTACATTTCAGTGATAAAAAGGATTGAAGTACTTACTGACACATGCTACAACATGAATGAACCTTGAAAATGTTATGCTAAGTGAAAGAAGCCAGTCAGAAAAGACCTAATAATGGATAATTCTATTTACATGGAATGTCCAGAATAGGCAAATTTATAAAAACAGAAAGTAGTTTAGTAGTTGCCTAGGGCTGGGAGGGCCTGGTGGGTGGAAATGAAGAGTGACTGCTAATGAATACAGGGTATCTATACTATTTGGGGTGATTAAAAAAAGTTCCAAAATTGATTGTGGTGATGGTTGCACAACTCTGTGAATATTCTAAAAGTCATTGAATTTTAGACTTTAAACAAATGAATTATGTAATGGTGAATTAAATCTCAATGAAGTTGTTACAAAAAAAAGAATGTCTGGAAGTAGATAGTAGATAGTGAGTGTAACTAATGGCATTGGATTATATCCTCAAAATGATTAAAATAGAAAATGTTATGTTATATATATTTTATCACAGTAAAATTAATTTTAAAGAACGTTTATAACAGCAGTGTGAAAAATAGCCAAACACTGGAAACAACACAAACGTCCATCAACGATGGACAAATAAACTGAGGAATACCCATACTACACATTCTTGCTGTGTTCATGCTATACAGCAATGAAAGTGACCAAATTCCTGCTACCTGTATCAACATGGTTGAATCTCACAACAATAACGTGAAAAAAGAGAAATCCAACAAAAAGAACAATACATTACATGTGATTCGAAAACAGGCAGAACTATCAATGGTGTTAGAAATCAGAGTCATGGTTGCCTTGAAGGAGTAGGGCAGCACCTGGGAGGGGACACCTGGGTACTAGTGATATTTACCTTCTTACCCAAAGGATGATTACACAGGCACGCTTAGTGAGTGAAAATCCATCAGACTATGCATGTACGATTTGTACAATTTCCAGATTTGTTTTCAAAATTTATTTTTTTTAAGTCTCAAAAATCAAAGTCCCCCCAGTAACTTTAATGCATAGCCAGGTTCAAAACATTACCTTCTTTACTGTGTCACCAGTACCTTCTCAAGGACCCAGTAGAAGACAACTCCAATTCCAAAATTATTATTTTCTTTTCACTCTCTCATACACAGCAATTCATTGTCTCCCTCTCTGCTCAGGAAAACCTTCACTTTTTATAGGCAAACAAATCCATTAAGGTGTGTCTTCAACAAAAGGACTTTTTTTGGGGTGGGGGGGACAGAGTCTGGCTCTGTCACCCAGGCTGGAGTGTCAGGGCATAATCTCGGCTCACTGAAATCTCCTCCTCCCGGGCTCAAGTGATCCTCCCACCTCAGCCTCCTGAGTATCTGGCACTACAAGTGCACGCCACCACGCCCAGCTAATTTTTGTATTTTTTGTAGAGACAAGGTTTCACCATTTTGCCCAGGCTGGTCTTGAACTCCTGAGCTCAAGCAGTCGGCTCACTTCAGCCTCCCAAAGTGCTGGGATTACAGGCATGAGACACCGCACCTAGCCAATTTTTCCCCCTTAGTGAATTTCTGTCACCATACTAGGCTAACAACCTGAAACTGCAGCAATATTTTCTTTCCTCCCATTACTTTTATAAAGTTCTCAGCACAACAGTTAGTGCAGAATAAACATCGGGAAAAAAAAAAGAAAGAAGATATGAGGTCAGGAATCTGGAAAATTAAGAGTAAAAATCTGAAGCTGGAAGTACCTGATCAAACTTAAGAACTGAAGGAACCAAGCTGTAGAGAGGGAGGGGGAAGCAGTGAAGGTTAGCAAGCAGTATTACCAGCGTCTGGCCTGCCCTGAAATCCACACAAAAGTAAAATGTGACCCTTTGTGTTTCACTTCCTGTGCAGATGGTGGGGGAAGTGGGGAGAAGTCCCAAGAACTGTGCGACACTGCAGCTATTGCTTGAAACTGCCAAAATTTGGAAAGGCACATTCTATTTGCATTACTTTGCATGCAAAGTGTGTATGAGCAGCAAAGCTCCATTTCTGTTTACTGCCCAGCTTCTCCTGTTTTCAGGCTTGACTGGCTAAATTTTGAAAAAGACTCCAGCAGAGACCGCTTGTACGCACCAGTATCTGTGTTCTCCTCTTCCACCTTGGACATATACCTAAATTATACTTCCCAGCCTTCTCTGCATTCAAGTGAGGACTTCTGTCTGGGTTCTGGACAATGGATTTTACACAGAAGGGATGTAGACCACTAACAGGCCTGACCCGTGAAATCTCCCCAGTGTGATACTTGCTCTTTCCCCATCTGCATGGAGAAGATCCCTCTGACCCAGAGCAGGGGGATGTCTCGGTATGAAATAGCCTGAATGAAGGTCCCTTGCCCCATCTATCCCTATGCAAGAAATAAATTTATTCCTTGTAGTTAAAGCTTGGGGCTATTTGCTGCCATCGTTAGCCTCTTCTGACTAATTCAGAGACTATGGTTATCTCTGTGTCATTCTGATGTGTGTCTTTCTCCCTGATCTCTTAGTACCATGTCTCCCCACACAGCTATCTGGTGGCCCCAAGTCTCCCATATCTAAGTGAGCCTGACTTTTGGAAGAACCCCAGAATCTCTGCTTACTTCCTTTTTCCTTCTATCCCATTCTAGTAACTAATCAAGCATAAAACCAGAGCGGTTAGGTGAGATGAGAATGGAAGCGCATTCCAGAAGTGTTGGTTAGGCTTCCTGAACTAGAAATTCTACTCATGGGAATTTATCCTGAGGAGATTAATCAACATAAACAAAAAGATGTTCCTCGAAGTATTAAGCACACTAACAAAATAATTAGAACCTGCCTAAATATTCAGTTGTGGGCCGAAAGGTTAGTAAATTATGATCAATTCACTCACCTAAATATTATGAAGTAATTAAATATGACAACTAGAAAGCCTACAAGATGGAAAAATTTATTAACGTATTATTAAGTGTAAAAAGCCAGAATATAAAAATGTGTTTTCACAATAGTAAGCAATATGTAAAATGATGCATGCAGCCTGGCCCTGCTAGGGTAAATTTATTCAGAGAGGCATCCAAATGGTCAGACCAGCAGCCACTCACAAGCACCTGGGCATCTCAGTCTTCAGGGACAGTTCATTGTGGATTGGTTTATAATTATTCCTGGAATTGCATCTACATTGCAGACAGTTTCATTCCAAAGAAGAGCCTGGGCCAGCAACGAGAACTCTGTGGAGTAGTAGCTGTCTGATTCTCTGTCCCAGGAGAAACAATGAAAGGCACCTTGGCACACTCCCACTAATCAGAGGTGGGGAAACACAAAGTCACATCCCCACCTCAGACACAGCTGGAACCCCAACATACTTGGATGGCCTAGGTCTTTACCTCCTAGGCCACGTGGTCAGCTGGAAGTGGCACTGCTCTGCCTCACTTGCAAATGACGAGGCCTCTCCCGCATCAAAAGTGTACTCGCTCGGGAGGCTGAGGTGGGAGGATGGTTTGAGCCCAGGAGGTTAAGGCTGTAGTAAGTTGTGATCACCCCATCCTGAGTGACAGAGAGAGACCCTATCTCTAAAGGACAAAGAATTAAACAAACAAAAACCAAAAAAAAAGTCTAGTAGCTGAGCCATGTCCTCAGGACACACCTAGGAGAAGGAATAAAGGAATCAGTGCGTTTGCAATGGAGACAGCTCCTCCTGGCTGCCTTGGGGTGAGATTCGTATTCTAATGGGTGCAAATCTAGAATTAAGTTCTATGCCTGATGAGAGGGTTGCACAAAAGACCAGAACAAGTGAAATATTTACCCTGTAGCATCGAGGATCATTGGAACATCTTTGCAAGGGATGTAAAAGGTAAGGGTTTGGAGTTTCAGGTGTGACAGGAAGAAAGAAGATGAAGCCCAGGGTAAGAATGCAGGGGAGGAGGGGCCGGGTAGGAGCAGAGACAGCAAACCTGAGGAGCAGGAGGAAAGTAGTGAGCACTGCAAGAATGGGAGGGAGCAGGGGGTGCTTTTAGAAGGAGTGAGTTATGCAGCACAGGGCCAGGCCTGTGGGTGCAGGCGCTTGCTCCTCCAGCCTTGTCCCCCACCCAGATCTGAAGGCTCCGTGCTCTCTCCCGCTTCCCCACCATTTTCTCTGCCCAAGTGCCTTCTGCCTGCTGATTGCCCTTATCTTTTTAGACTTAGCCCAGCTGATACCAGCTCTGTGAAGTGTTTCCCGATATTCCTCTCTCTCCCGACTTCCCTCTCTCCCCGAGTTAAGGACTTCCTGCTCTAGTGTCCCCGCAACGCCATCCACAGACCTCACCACAGCAGCTATCGCATTGCTGTAATTATTTCAAATTCCTCTTCCCCTACTAAACTGTGAACTCCCTGGGCAGGGGCCATGTTCTATTCATCTTTTCACCCCTTGCATGGGGCCTGACAAATAAGAAGTGTTCAAAAAGTCAACTGAATGAATTGAAAAAAAAAAAAACAAAACATTTCCTTGGATTCAGCTGAAAAGGCAATTGCAGTAATTTGAATTGTGCAATTTCCATTGTGTCGCCTTTGAAAAACAGTTTCACTTTTCCTCCTACTACCGATGACTCATTCCTGGGGCAGATAACACACATTTCTGAGGTGCAGAACTTCACTACATCAAATCTTTTGAAAATCTGTTTTTGAGTGTTCTTGTCTAAAGAGAAAAACATGATGAGCTTTCGTAATCCCTCAACTCAGCACTGAGTGATGGAATACTAAAGATGTTTTGGAAACCCTTTGATTACTGCAAAGCATACAAAGAAGAACGGGTGGGTGAATGATAAAAATAAAACGCTAGCATTGGCTACATGCACTGATCGCTTAACAAATGGTAGTTAATGTCAGGCATTTGGCTAAGTGATTAGCCCCATTTTCTCACTCAATACACAGAACACCTTACGAGGTCACCCTGATTGTCCCCACTCAGACAGGGAAATTGAGAATCAGAAAATGTTGGTAAATTTCTGTAAGCGGCAAAACCAGCATTTGAACCCAGACCTGTCTGATTCCAGAATGGTGCTGTTAACAACGAGGCCCCTATTTCTTCTAGACTGAGAAGGCACACACTGAAGTTGGATGCTGATTTTTGACAAGCCAGTGTCTAGGCAGGGACCCCACACAGCACCCCCATCCAGGCATTTCTGGGCAAACATGGTTTCAAATGGGCAAAGTGAAGATGAACATCCGCCCTCACATGAAACCTACATGATAATCAGCTGGCTTCTTCCAACTGCCCCTCTCTGCACCAAGTGCAGCCCTGGTGGCCTTATCTCCTGTCCACCCACACATAAGGGCAAAACAAAACCTTTTCTGCTAGGAGCAAAGATTCTAGCTCACTGCTTAATTACAACTTATTGCTCCTTGTCCCAGCAGTACCATGGCAACAAGTAGCATTGGCACAAGAATCAAAAGGGAGAAGTGTTGCCTAGCAACATAGTAGAAAAAGCTTTAGGATTCTGAAGGCCCGAGTTCTAGTTCTGGTTCTGACTCCCTGGGGCACTGTGGATAAGACCCAACTCCTCTGATCCTCCGTTTTTTGTCATCTGTAAAATGGGGGCAACTCATTCCATACATGTAGGATTGCTGTCAGGATCATTATTTTCGGGAGAGGAAAATTATGCCATGGATTAAGGCAGAAAGGGGAAAATGTGAAAGACTTACTAGGCCATGACATACTTTAGCCACTCCATGAAGAGTATACATTGGTAAAGCCTTTTTGGAGGTCATTAAGTAATAGCAGTCAATATTTAAATGTAGGTACCCTTTAACTCAGCAACTTCCTCTCTAGACATTGGTTCACGAAGATACACATAGGAGGTGAAAAACTGGAAACTACCTAAACGGTCTATTAAAGAGGGACTATAATAGATCAACACAATAGAACACTACAGAAGTTTTAAAAAATGAAGGAGCTTTTCTTTACTGACACGGAGAGACTTCTAACATACAATGTTTAGTGAAATGAAGGCAAGTCACAGACACACACACACACACACACACACACACACTCATCCATTCACAAATATACACAGGAAAATGCATGTCAGAAAGCCTGGAAGGACCTATGAGAAAATGTTAACAGTGGTTACCAAATTACTTCTCACTACTCCCCAAATAGGCTGTTTCCCCGCTACTTTTGCAAATGCCATTCCACCTCCCTAAAACGCCAGTCCTCCTTTCCACCTTCTGAACCCCAGCCCATCCCTCAGAGAGTAGGTAAGCAGCATCTCCTCTCCAAAGCTCTGCTGGTTCCCATCAGTGGACTTTACATCTCCCTCTGTGTCTGTATTGTCCCTATCATAACATTGAATTTTAATTATTTGTTTATGTATCTACACTCCCCCTTCCCAGTAGTCTATGAGCTCCTTGGGGAGCAGAATCACGTCTCATTCATCTTTGTTCCAGCAGGGCCTACCCAAGGCCATTAGTGCATTGAATGGAAACAAGAGGTTAAAACATGGTCAGAAATGAGAACAGCATGTGGAAGCTGTGAGCCCCAGTTTTTTCCAAAGCACCCTCCCAGACCATGCTTTCACGTATATTCATAGCTCAGAAGGTGTGCTCCAAGGACAAGAGGAGGAGAAAGTCAGTTTACCTTGATTATCTCTGTAAAGAACAACAACAAAAAAAAGAAAACAAGAAAGTCAGAAAGCCATGGATAAGGAGTGAGCTGGGTAAAAATTGCTTGAAGCAAACAAACAAACAAAATCCCAAGAGGTGTGTATGCATGTCAGCAAGTCATCCACAATCTGGGCAGCAGGTGGCACAAGTAACCTAGATTTCTTAGGCCACTGCAGAAGGAAGCCGCAGAGGTAAGGATTTGGAGAAACTGGGAAGCTGGGAGCATCATCCCAAGCCACTCTTTTGCCTGCCTGATTGCAGTACAAGACATAAAGGCAGTCCTGTGAGGATTTCAAGTCCTAGACATCTGCCTTTCCAACCACCATCCTTCACCCTCTTAGTCCATCCTCCACCCTCTTCAGTCCATCCTTACTATGGCCAATTTTGTTATTTGCCAACCTGCCTTCCTTTTTGAGGAAAATGAGCATTTCCATTCATATCAGTGGCAGTGAATATTCATAAGACCTCTTCGAAGGGAAATGTAGCAGGGCTGATCAAAAGAACACTTACCCTGGAGGAGACAGATAATAATTCCTTAACAGATCTAACTGCAATCATGGATTGGATGTTCATCATTATTTGATTTTCCTCTTCTGGGGCAATGGATTCATAAATTATTTTAAGGGTATATGAGCAGATAAACAAGTTACCTTGACTACTGACTATAGTAAAGGTTGAATTTTGTATATTAATGTAGTTATTTTGATAAATTTGGTAGTAATTATTATAACTTTACATAATAAATTTATGGAAAATATAGACATACAATTGCATAAAGCTAGGTGGGCTAATTAAGTACCATCATATTGCTGGTGAGGGTGGCTGTTATTATTATTACACAAAATATATTTATTCTTTGAACAAATATTTATTAAATGCTACATATGCAAAAACTACTTATGAAATGACCATCAAGTGCCAGGTACTGTTTTTGGTGCTGGGAAAAAATAAATCAGTGACAAATTCTCTGCCCTTATGAAGCTTTCAATGTAACAAAGGAAATAAATACATATATATTATTGCCATATACATACACACATATATGGCAAGTGATTATAACTGCTATGAAAAAAGAATAAAAGATTATAAAAAAGAAAAAAGAAAACTATTAAAAAAAGAATGATGGAGGCTGTTATTTTTAATTGGGTGCTCAAGTACTAATTGTGCTACAGACTCAATGTTAATTCAAAATCATACATGATTCCTACCTCCCCAGGACTCTACTGTCAGTGAGAGAAAGAACCACTACTCAAATAATGACACTATAATATAATTCTCTATTGCTATTGGTGCCATGAAGAAGTACATGCATGGTGTTATGAAACTTCATAAAAGATAAATGTGACCTGACTTTTTTAGGGAAATCAGGAAAGATTTCCCTAATAAAGTAATGCTTGCAATGATATATGAGGCATAAGTAGAAGTTGACTAAACCAGGGGTATGAAGAATATTCCAGGTAGAAGGAAGTGCTCTGCAAAGGCCCTGTGGCAAGGGGAAAATAGGGGAGTATGAAGAAGGGATAGAAGGCTGGAGTGACTAGAGAAGAGAGAATGACATGGGCGGAAAGGCGAGAGGAAACCTATAGGCAATAGTAAAGGTTTTGTCATTGTCCTAAAAGAAATGAAGAGTCATCATGGGTTTTAAGCAGAGGATGACATAATTAGATAGCTACTTCAAAAAGATGACCACAGGTGCTCTCTCGAGACTGGACTGAAGGGACTCAGATTAGATACAGGATGGCCCAGTTGAGAAGTGATAGCAATAGTCCTTGAAAATAATAATGTTGACTTGGACGAAGGCTTCTACTTGTTGGAGATCAAGAGAAATCAAGAAAAACAGTGAACTTGAGAAACTTTTAGGAGGGAAAAGAAACAGCCCTTGGTGGTAAATTGAAGACAGGATGTACAAAAAAGGAGATACCAGCAATGGCTCTTAGGTTTCTGGCTTGTGCACCTGGATGCACGGTGGTACCACCCTCTAAGACAGAGAACTCTGAAAGAGGAGGAGGTATGTGGTAAAAGATTATGGGTTTGGTTCGGGGTCTGTTGAGTTTGAGCTGCCTTTGGGATTTCCAAATGAAAATATCAAATCAAAAACTGGATCTGCACACCTGGAACTCAGAGAAGAGGTTGAGTCTGGAAATACAATCATCTAGGTCCTCTACAGATATCTGAAGCTGTGGGTGAGGATGTGATCACCTAGGAATAGATTACAGAGTAAGAAAAGGGAGGGACACCAGTATTTGATGATGAGAATGGGACGTGTAAGCCTGCAAAGGATACAGGAAAACTAGGGAAGACACCAGGAGAACATTTCATTTTTAAAGCCGAGGGAAGAACGTTTCCAGTAGGAGTAAATGATCAACACTGGCAGTCTCTGCTGAGAAGGCGAGGAATATGAGGCCAGAAAAATGTCCCTTAAATTTCATGACATGGAGGTCATCAGTGACGTGACCTGGAGCTGTTTTGGTGACTGTGGGACCAGCAGCCTGCACAAAATTGCTGAGGGGAGAGGGAGAGAGGACGAAAAATAGAGACAGTAAGGAGAGACAGCTTTTTGGAGGAGCTTCACAGGGAAGGAAATGGAAGAAACAGATGCAAAGGAAGACCATAAGAGAGGTGCTCCAGTCTTCCGTGGCATAAAGGTGGTGGTGGGCAGGAAGATGATGGCAACATGGAGGACAAGAGAGCAAAACAGCATGATCCTCAGTGGTTACAGAAACAATGTTGTGGATACAGCACTTGGGAACCAGGCGGACAGTGACAACACCTTCCAATCTATGGCTGTAGAGGGCAGAGGGATGCATGGTGTCTTTAGGGCAAGCCAGCCTGTTGTATCAGGAAGGAGCAGAGAAAAAGTTGAAGATCTAGGGGTGGTTTGGTGGTTATGGAACAAGCAATTCCAGAGGGCTCAGTCATAAGAGCTTTGTAGGTCAGGGGCTAGGGCAAAGGCAGGGCACGGTGGCTCAAACCTGTAAACCCAGCACTTTGGGAGGCCAAGGGGAGCAGATAACAAGGTCAAGAGATCAAGACCATCCTGGCTAACATGGTGAAACCCCGTCTCTACTAAGAATACAAAAATTAGCTGGGGGTGGTGTCATGTGCCTGTAATCCCAGCTACTTGGGAGGCTGAGGCAGAAGAATCACTTGAACCTGGGAGGCGGAGGTTGCAGTGAGCCGAGATTGCGCCACTGCACTCCAGCCTGGTGACAGAGCAAGTCTCAAAAATAAATAAATAAATAAGAAAATAAGAAAAAAATTTTTAAAAAGGATGCATCATTAGGGAAGGGATAGCTGAGAGGATTTAGGCTTGGGTTTTTGGCAGATTAAAACAGGGACGGCCAGCATTGAAGATTTTGTATCAACTGTCTCTTCAAGGAGGGTGTGTGCACAGGTCTACTGGCTGCAGATGGGGTGGTCTCTTACTCTAGGAAGCTCTAGGAACATCAAAGCTAGACAGATTGAAAACAGCGTTAGGACTGCTGACCACATACACAGCCCAGGTGACGGTAGACTCAAGAAGCTGAGTCTATAATAACATGGAGATAATGCTCAAACCGTGAAATTTAAAAAACCTTACCACAATCCTACTATCTTACAAGTCAGAGCTTCATTGTTTCTTAGCTTGCCTTCCTTCCAGATTTGAATTGACTTTTTACGTACGGTACTTATAACGTACACATAGTTTGAGATTTGCCTTTTCCCCACTCTTAACAGGACATCAAGTATTTTCCACATGGTTCCATCTTAATCTTCGTTAATGTTCAGTATGGTATGAATAATTGCTGCTCTCGCCTGGGGATGTTTTTGTAACACATGATCATTTAAACACTCCTGCCCCCAACACAAGCATGTGCACACACATACACACACAGATAAAGACATTCTCTATGCAGAGAATAGAGCACCTCTAATGCATTACATATTATCCACAGCCCACTAATATATCTCGAGAGCTGTTCATCCTTTCTTAATCTTTTCTCTTTAACATTTGGAACAATTAGCAAGCTAGCTGCAACCCCACCCCTTTCTCGCCCACTCAGGAAAACATGCAAGTGAGTGAAAATGACGTTATTATAAGAATAACCTTGAATCCACTCCAGTTTATAACAAAAGCAGCTCATTTGAAAACTTTGGTGCTTTTACTATTAATAGTGTGAATTCCTTGCTACACAGTTCAGGCCTGAGTGCAACACACCAGTGAATCCTGCCACTGTCGTTGAGGGCTGCTGGCCTCCTGGGGAAGACAGACACTAATTCAGCGTGATGGGAGCACAGTCCACACCCCCACCATGGGTCATGGAGAATGCATATCTTCTCAGAAGAGCTGACATTTGAGCTGGCTCTTGAGGGAGGCTGGCATTCAGACCTGGAGAGAAGGCCATTCCAGGTAGAAGAAAGATTATCTACTGAGGCTTTGAGGCCTGAAAAAGTATTACCCAGTTGGAGACTGGTGCACATTCTGCAGTGGCTTAGAGAGCAGAGGGGTGTGTGGTGTCCTTAGGGCCAGCCAGCCTGTTGTACCTTGTGCACAGAGGGAAACATCTGAAGATGGTACTGGGCAAGAGGCCAAGTGAGAAGGACCTTGTAGGATCCACTGAAGGGTTTTGACATTTTCCCATAGGTTTGGGAGCCACGGAAAGTTTTTAAGCAGAAGATGATGTTATATAGGTACACTTTGGTTTGGAAAATTCCAGCAAGAAGGGTATGGGCAAAAGAGCACAGGGGAGAGAAACTGGAGGCCAGGGTAGAAGAGCTCAAGAAGGAGGTCAGGCAGTGCGGGTGGAGGGGCAGGTAGATGGGATCAACTTGGGAAGTGACTATTCTTTGAACTTAAAAGATTGAAAGCAAATGTAATGGGCCTGATGGTCATCTTTCTGTAGGATCTCTGCATTATCCCCACTGGTATGATGCTTGGTCAAGCGGGTGACCGCACCCTGCCTGCAGTTTGTAACACTGCGTCATGACATTGTCAAACATCACTCCATCACTCCATGACTGAGAACTGAGTCATGGAGTCAATTAGAAGGCTTCCTAAAGTGAAGGGCTTTGGGAAGAAATTTTTAATTTTTTACAAAAACAAAAATCAAAAATATTGTGAGAAAGAGATTTTCCCCAAACAACTCCTTTGCCAATTTGTTGATTAATAGAATTAGCAGGGGTGAAAAAGTCATACGGACTCAAATTTGAATCTCTGATCCACTTACAAGTTTTATGACTTTGAACAAGCTACATAATTTGTCTGATCCTCAGTTTCTTCATCTAGAAAAGGGGATAAAAATTCCCACCTGATGTCCGGGCAGGGTGGCTCACGCCCGTAATCCCAGCACTTTGGGAGGCCAAGGTGGGCAGATCACCAGAGGTCAGGAGTTTGAGACCAGCCTGGCTAACATGGTGAAACCCCGTTTCTACTAAAAATACCAAAAATTAGCTGGGTGTGGTGGTGCACACCTATAATCCCAACTACTTGGGAGGCTGAGACAGGAGAAACGCTTGAACCCGGGAGGCGGAGGTTGCAGTGAGCGGAGATGGCGTCATTGCACTCCAGCTTGGGCAACAAGAGTAAAATTCGGTCTCAAAAAAAAAAAAAATTCCTATCTGAGGTCAATGGTGAAGATTCAGTGGGATAAAATGTGTAAACACTCCTCAATGCATATTCCCCGGCCTCTGCCTCAGCATTCAGTGTGGTCCCGTGAGAGTTAACTCATAGACCTAAGAGCCATCGAGAGCTGAAAAACAAAGGGTTTGGAGGGAGAAGCTAGTGGGTGTACTCCCAGGCAGAAAGGGAAGTAGGATGAGATGCTCCCCATTAAGGCTGACTAATTTCACTGGAATCCTGTGAAGGACAAAGGAGGTTAATTCAGTGAAATCTCTGGAGTGTTTCAAAGAAACACTGTGTGTGCCGACAAGTCCCCTTCAAGCTCAGCAGCCTCCTCTGGTGGGGGTGGGATTGCTGTGGGTGTGACAAGGGGGCTTCTCAACAATGCTCTGAATTCTGATCATCCAGTGCTGCTTCCCTGCCTGCCAGGGACCAGAGCAAGGGGAAGCTGGGATGGCCGTTGGGCTGGGCAGGGCAGGCTTCCCTGTGGTGCTCCAGGCTGCAGTGCTGGGTTTGGGGAGGTTTCTGAGGGTTCAGAGGCTTAGCAGGATGGAGTGACAGCCCATGGCTGACTCACTGCCCAAGAGGCTGGCAGCTTGCAGCAGACCAGCCGGCGGCCCAAGGGTGAGCTCATAACCACAGGGATCCTGAGCAATGCCGTGTCACCAAAGCCAGCTCTGTCTGTGGGGCAGAGAGGCCCCCTGTCTGGGACTGAACTTTCTTAAAGATCACTGGCTATCCTTAAAGATCCACAAAGATCACTGACTCCAGAGAGGGGTCCAAGGGCCGCTAGCTGCTGTGCCCTTGGGTGCACCCAATGTCCTGCCATTTTACCTTCTATAAAGGCAATTCATAAAATGGCTAATGACAGATGATGTCATTTCTATGCCTTGCTGAGAAGTTCACATGACTACATTCATAAGCAGAACTCCGTCCTTGGTCAGACACCCTGCCCCTATTTGGGGTTTGGAAAATATGGTTACTGTCAATATGCTAAACTGAGGCCTTCCTGTCTGTGGTAGAAAAATCCACAAGGCATGGCTTGATTAACCTAAGAAAAGTACCGCCAGCAGGGCTGCCTACCTTGCAGAAAGTGTCTCTTCCTGAGGCAGGCAGCAACAGAGAAACACAGAAAATACCCACACATGCACACACACAGATACACACGGTGTCTACAGGACCAAAAAAAGGAAAATCCCCGTGAAAAAATTAGAGTTTTCATTCATCTTGATGATCCATTTGGGTCACAGAATAATAGAGGAGGTTAATGGTGTAGCTTAAGGACAAGCAAACACCAAGAAATGCTTTAAAAGAAGGTACCTCTTGGTTGCGGGTGATTTTGAAGTAACCAACAGTTCATGTAATTTGCTATTCCAAGAAATTGTATCAGACTTGCAGGAGTAAATCTATTGCTGACTTCTATACCTGGGATCTGGGAAGTCCTTGCTATCCTCAAGCACTTCCCCATCAGCTTGTGATGTTCTGATGTTTCACATTAATGAGGCTTCATTTGATTTAAAGCTTTCACTCCTAGAATCTTCTTTCAAAATGTTCACTCAGTACATTGTGTGAATTACAATATTTGCATTACCAGCCAGCTTTGATTGAGTTTAAGAGATAGCTGAGTGCAGTATTCTATTTGATTTCCCTTCCTTTATTTCCTTTGCTCCTTCTTTTTTCCTCTTCCTCCTTTCTTCTTCCTTCACCCACTCTCTCCTTCCTTTATTTTATTCATATATTTATTTTATAGATATCTAATGAGCACATACGCTGGGAGTAGAGAACAGTATCTGAGAGTCTGAGGACATGGATCCAGACCCTTTTCCTTTCTTGGGCATGACTTAAGACTTGTTTTTATTGGCAAAAAGGGGATAAAAATGAGACCAGCCTCCCAAGGTGGTTTGTCTAGTCCTTCGTTTCCCCTAAATGTCCCCCAAATGTAATCATTCTTATCAAAATGGTGTGACTGGAGGATCAGAGTGTAAGCTCTATAGTTAGAATGCTCAGATACCAATCCAAAGCTAAACTACCAGCAATGCCACCCTGGACAATTAGTTTCTCTATGTCTTAGTTTCCTCATCTGTAAAATGAGGCTAACAATAGGTATCTAGGCCAGGTACAGTGGCTCATACCTGTAATCCCAGCATTTTGGGAGTCTGAGATGAGTGAATTGCTTGAAGTCAGGAGATCGAGACCAGTCTGGGAAACATGGTGAAACACTGTCTCTACAAAAAATACAGAAATTAGCCTAGAGTGTTGGTGTGTGCCTGTAGTTTCAGCTATTCCAGAGGTTGGAGGGTCACTTGAGCCCAGGAGGTTGAGGCTGCAGTGAGCTGTGATTGGAACACTGCACTCCAGCCTGAGTGACAGAGAGAGACCCTGTCTCAAAAACAAAAACAAAAGGCCCCCAAACAATAGGTATCTACTTCACAGGGTAATTGAAAGGATTTAATGAGATAATTTCTGTTATTGTTGCTATTATTATTGTTGGTGCCAGAAATGTGAAAATGAGAAGTGAGAAAGACACTCTGGGAGGGAAGCCCAGCATAATGGATACTGACAACATGGTGAACTAAGTTGTAAAATGAGGTATGTCAAAGCACAGCAGTAAGGTTTAACTTTTGAAGAGAAGAATAAAGAAAACTTCACCAAGGAGGTGCCCAAAGAGGAATTTAATGGGAGTTCACCTGATGAACACAGATAAAACCTCTGTGTTAGAAACTATCCCATTACTGGGTATATACCCAAAGGACTATAAATCATTTTACTATGAAGACACATGTTCACATATGTTTATTGCAGCACTATTTGCATTAGCAAAGACTTGGAACCAACCCAAATGCCCATCAATGATAGACTGGATAAAGAAAAGGTGGCACATATACACCATGGAATACTATACAGCCATAAAAAAGAATGAGCTCATGTCCTTTGCAGGGACATGGATGAAGCTGGAAACCATCATTCTCAGCAAACTAACACAGGAACAGAAAACCAAACACTGCATGTTCTCACTCATAAGCGGGATTTGAACAATGAGAACACATGGACACAGGAGGTGAACATCACACACTGGAACCTGTTGGGGGGTGGGGGACAAGGAGAAGGAGAGCATTAGGACACATACCTAATGCATGAGGGGCTTAAAACCTAGATGATGGGTTGATGGGTTCAGCAAACCACCATGGCAAATGTATACCTATGTAACAAACCTGCACATTCTGCATATGTATCCCAGAACTTAGAGCAAAATTTTAAAAAAGTAGAAAACAATAGAGAAAAATATTTGAAATAAAGGATTTTTTTTAATAAAAAAAAAAAAAGAAACAGGCTCATCACTTTCCTCTCATCACGGACTCTCCACTCATGAGGCCTCCATTTCTGATATTTTACACCTCCTGTTTCCTCCCATTCCTCCTCCTCATTGACACAGTCATGCCAGTTTCCTCTATTCTTTTCCACACCACCCTCCTGGGCTCTTCCACCAGCACCTGAGCCGAGTGCCTGACTCCTATCTCCTCTTCCCAATCTCCCCCACACGCTGTTGCCTCCACAGAGATTAATCAGGGCTCAGGAGAGGGGGGAAAAAAAAGACTTTTCACTGTCTACTCTTGGGATCTTTCCAATTTTGTATCATGCATATGGATTACCCATTCATAAAATATGAAAGAAATTTAAAAGTAAATGAAAAACGGAGATAAAGCCTATATTCCTTATCTATTTTGTCTCATCTGAGTGGGCAACTTGGGAATCTTCCCGACCTAGAGTCCAGAATCTGCTGGCTCTGCCATATAAGGTTTTCCTCCTTGTAGGGAAGAGACATAATGGCTTCTTAGCCACCTCAAGCAGGTCTACCACTTTTCCCAGACAGCAATTGCAGATAGGCTTTGGGAGAAGAAAACCGGTAATGACAGCTAGTCTTCTGTTTGAAGTCCCTCTTTGTTTAGAAATCCCGTTTGCTTGGCTTTTAAGTTTTTGAGAAATAGGAAGAAAATGTTTCATCCTAACCCAGATAAGGCAAAAACAATTTGTGTCACCATGAGCTGGTGATTTCAGCTCCTTACCTAAGAAGCCTTGCCAGGTTTGAGGTCTAAGGCAAGGGCAGGAAGCAGCGTGGGTAAGGCTAGGAGTAAGACCCTTTCACTCATTTGCTCTGTGGTGTTCACAATTTCTGTTTCTTTCTGATCAAAAGACTCCAAAGAGTATGGAGGCTGCTACAGTTTTCACAGGCCCTCCCACAGTGGACTGAAGAAATCATGAAATTGCCAGACCTTTCTAAACCCTGCACAATATTAAGCACAAAGTGATTAAACAGAAGTGACTCTCAGCACCGTTGAGAGCCAAGATCTTTAATCGCATCCCACAGGCCGTGCCCCAGTGCTTGTCCTGGTGCTGATAAGGGGCCCCTTTCTGCTCCTCACCAAGGCCTGGCTCTTCCCAGGCCCCTTTCCCCACCCCCAAACATAGCAAAGCCCCAGGGCCCACCTCTGCCCCTGGAGCAGCATTCAGAAAACCAAGGTACATGACTGCCAAGCCAAGGGGCAAGAGAGGGTGCAGGATCAGGTAAGTGAAGACAAGAGAACAGGCCAGAGGTGGGATGTGGATCTAGGAAAAAATGCTGTGGTCTGTAAGAGAGAAATCTGAGTTGCAATCAGCAAGAAAATGTGCTTCTAGCAATGGCCCTCCCTCTGTTCACCAATCTTTTATAGTTGCCAGTTTATCTCCCTTCTCCTCCCCAAGTCACAGTCTGACATTTGTCATCATCTTTTTTTTTTTTTTTTTTTTTTTTTTGAGACAAGGTCTTGCTCTGTCATCCAGGCTGGAGTGCAGTGGTGCAATCACAGCTCACTGCAGCCTGCAACTCCTGAGCTCAAGCTATCCATCTTAGCCTCCTGAGTAGCTGGGACCGCACCTGGCTAATTTGTTTTATTTTTGGTAGAGATGAGGTCTCACTATATTGCCCATGCTGGTCTTGAACTCCTAAGCTCAAGCAATCCTCCTGCCTCAGTCTCCCAGAGTGCTGGGATTACAGGCATGAGCCACTGCACCTGGCCTCATTGTCTGACACTTGTCAACCCAATTTCAGGTTATAAACTTGAGCCAGTTACAAGCATTTATCCCTGTATGGAGGGAAGCTTTGACGTAATTAATAGGTCTTCTAAAAGGTTTCTTTGGTTTCTAAACAAGATTTTCTTTTCCCATTGTTGAGTGTTTAATATGTATATATGTGCATATATATATGCACATATGTGTGTGTGTGTGTGTGTGTGTGTGTGTGTGTATAGTTGTTGTTGTTATTGTTGTTGAGATGGAGTTTTTCTCTTGTTGCCCAGGCTGGAGTGCAATGGCGTGATCTCGGCTCACTGCAGCCTCCGCCTCCAAGGTTCAGGTGATTCTCCTGCCTCAGCCTCCCGAGTAGCTGAGATTACAGGCATGTGCCACCACAACTGGCTAATTTTGTATTTTTAGTAGAGACGAGGTTTCACCATGTTGGTCAGGCTGGTCTCGAACTCCGGACCTCAGGTGATCCGCCCACCTCGGCCTCCCAAAGTGCTGGGATTACAGGCGTGAGCCACTGCGCCTGGCCTAAAATACTGTTTTTTTTAACAAGTGAAAGTAAGCATCACCCATGCAAATGTCAATTGACTTGAAGCTGGCGGAGGGAGGGATGCCTTCTGTCTTGAGACCTCAGTGCATGCTGCACATCAGGGAACTGAGGGTTCAAAAGGCAGGAGCAGGGCTTCTTCAAGGCTCCTACCCATATCTTCTTTCCTAAGGCAAAAAAAATTTCAAATTAGTGTTTGTTTTTCTTTCACTATCAAGGGCTTTGCATTTTCAAGCGAAGTGCCTTCTACCAAGAGGAATGTTATAATCCAATTCAAGGGGATTTCAGCTCACGAAAGAGGATTAGGAGCCATTGGGTAGATGACAAGTGGCAGCATATTTCCTATCAAGAGCCTCTTAAGATTTTTTTTCCCTGACTGGGAGTTCTGCTGTCTCTACCGTAAGAAGCTCAGAAGAGACATATTAGAGACACAGGCCGCCTTCTCTCCCCAGTGCCCCTGCCACATTGTCTTGCTATTTGCTGCAGATCATAAGAGAGTGCATGGCCTTTTCACACTTTGAGGCAAAACAAAAATGCCTGAAAACAAAGACCAAAATGATAACCAACCCCCAGGCTCCTGGGCATAGGTAGGAAAATGAACAAGATCTGAACCTAATCTGTTCTGATTGCTATATATCTGCACCTGGCCAGCCACCTTGTCCCAGAAAAGGGTAAGACAGGGAACATTTTTTCTCCTGAAATTTCAGCTTGGAACACATTCCAAGCTGGCTTCTCAGGCAGGAGCTGTCAAACAAGATGCAAAGAGACACCAGCAACAGAACCCAGGACGACGGAGCCCAGTTCCCTGGCAACTGCCTACCCAGGCCTGGCTCTCCCCCAGAGCTGGGCCTCCCATAGCATTCTTCCCTGTGATGTGTTACCTGGAAGGAAGGGTGAGCAGACAGACTTTTCCAACCTCCCCTCTGACTCACAGAACAAAAGAGGGCTAATTGTTTTTCTTTTGGATGAGCATGTAGACCATGAAAAAAGCAGCCTAGTGAATGACAGAGTAGGGACTTGGAGTCAGCCCTGTCTGGGCCTGGTTCTCACTATTGCTTTCTAGCAGCGTATACTTCTCCAAGCACTAGATCCTTCGCCTGAAAGGAGAAGAGGAATAATACCAACTTAGTGGGTCACTATCAGAGTTAAAGCAAATATGGCACAGGGCAGGGCCAGACTTAATAAATGTCTGCTAAATTTGAATTATCAACTGTAAAAAATGGGCAGAGTCTATTACAACCAACTGAATTTGTGCGATTCAGGTTGCTTTCAGTTTACTTTATTTTTATGGTTTCTAACTCCGTTGGAGTTAAAAGAAGATGGAGACTTCCTCCTGTATTTCTTCAACTTCTAAATAAGCCTCCTGTTAAATTCACAAGGAGAAAGGCCATCATCTAGACAATATCCTCTTGGCACCCTCTAGAAAGCTACTTGCTTGTATGATCAATTTGTCCTCACAACCAGGTTAATTTTCAGGCTCCCAGGAGCCAGCGTGATCATTTCAAACTGCACTGTTTCAGGGTTTAGGTGACAGGCTTGTGCTTTGGTCCTCGGTTCTATCAGACCTTTCCATCAGGCCTTTCTCTAATGCTCCCACCCCCATCCCAGGAAGGCTGTGAACTGAGGATGCTCCCCTGAGTTTAGGATGCTTAGAATGAAGCTCTCACTTCTCCTCCCTCTGAGTACCTGCCCTAGGGCTTGGCTGCAAACCAAGACCCTGGAACCTCGAAACAAGCCACTCCCTCTGCCTGCAGCTGAGGTGGAAAACGTCCCAATGTTACCAGTAAAACGATTACATCTTTTACTCATATGTTTTTCTCCCTGTGTATTTCTGCCAACGCATTTTGAACTGAACAGGCTTTTTAAAATGCTTTTCTGCCTTAATTCTCTTGCCTCCTTTTTCCTGCTCCCCCTTCTCCAGCTTTTGTTTATTGGTTTGGTTTGCTTATTACTGCATTGCAATGATAGCCCCAGTTACTAGTCGGGGTATAAATAGGACATGCTTCTTTTTTGCCAGGACGAATCAAGAGTTAAAATAAAGAAGCAGCTGTTTTTCACTCATTCATTTCAGGACATTTACTGAGCAGTGACTGTAGTCAGGTTACTCTGCTACGGAAATGAAGATGAATATGGCATGGCTGGCTCTCAAGGAGCTCAAGGGTTGGGGCAGGGACATTGACTCCAGGATTTGTGAATAGGATTCAGAGGGTCTGTGACCCCTGAAATTATAAGACAAAATTTTGTGTGTATATACATGCACACACACGCATGCACACATGCACGCACACACACACACCCCATCTGTATACATATTATACATATATACACATATATATGTATATATATGTGTATATATATATATACAGACAGTGAATTTTTTCAGGGAGAAAATTTCATAGCTCTTATCATATTTTCAAAGGCATCCAGAGTATAAGACAAATGGGGTTAGGAAGCAGTAGGCTAAGAATTATTGGTCTACAAGGAGATACGGACATATGAATGAATCGTTAAGATGCAGTTTCTTGCAGTCCCCTTGATTGACTGATTCTCTCTTTCTCTCCACATCCAATCTGTCAGGAGATCCTATTGGCTCTATCTTGAAAATATATTGCAAATTTATTATCGCCTCACCACCACCACCACTACCACCCTGGTCCGCACTATCATCTCAGCCTTGAGTATTACTTCTGCCCTTGTCCCTGCAATGTATTTTCGACACTACAGAAGCCAGCCCAAGCCTTTTCAAGGATGAAGCAGATTATTTCACTCCTCTGCTCAAAATGCATCAAATGCTTTCCTGCTTACAAAGGTTAAATTCCAAACACCTTTATGTTCCAAAGGACCAATGTGCTATGTCCCATCTCTTCTCCTTCTCTGACCTGAGCTCTGACACATTCCCTTTCACTCAGTCATCTCCAGAGTTGCTTCCTGCTATTCCTCATACATCCCTCATAAGTGCCTCAGGACATTTGCACACCATTGCCTCTGCTTGCAACTCTCTTCCCCAAATGTCAGTTTGGCTTACTGACACTTCATTCAAATCTCTGCTCAAATGTCACTCGATTAAAAATATCCTTCATGTCCACCCTAGTTAAAACAGCACCCCATTTTCTCTCAACCTTTGTTTTCTTTTTCGTCTGATATTAAATTATGTATTTGTTTATTTTCATATTGTCTGTACACACACATACAAGAATGTAACCTCCTTGAGATCAGGGATTTTGTTTAGTTTATCACTCTATCTGCAGCCCCGGGTCTATAGAAGCTGCTTAATAAATATCTGTCAAATGAATACATGAATGAACCATGCATAAGTGCAAATGCAGTGAAGTAACAAGTAATAGTTTTATGTACAAAATGCCGCAGAAGCACATGAAAGAAGAAGCCGCTTACACTGCTTTGGGAAGGTGAAGGAGAGGAGCTTGCCAGGCAGAAAAAGCTTCCAGAAGAGGCAATGCCATATCAGCACATTATAGGATGAGGCTGTGGAGCCAGGGCTGTCGAGAAGGGTATACTAGGCAGGAGAAAGAGCATAGGCTAAAAAGCTGGGGTGGGGGTGCCTGGAGAAGCATGGCCTATTGGGAACTGAAAGTAATTCCAGGAACACTGAGCATTTTCAGTGATGTAAGACTATGCTTGGAGAAATTGCCCTGTGGCTATAGGCAAGACAGATTAGAGCTGAAAGAGCCCTAAGGCGGGGAGCCCACTTAGGAACCTGGTGATAGAGATCGACTGAAAGACAAAGAGACCAGAACTAAGAAGGAGAGTAGAGATGGAGAGAAAGAAGTCAGAATGAGAGAAATGGACTCTGGGATCTACTGCATGTGAAACGAAAAAGAAAAAAAGTCTAGGTAACTCTAACTCTCGACTAACAAACACACAGCCCTAGTGTCCCCAGCCTCCTTCCCCTGCCCATTGCAAGGCTCATTACCCATGTACTCCTTCTCTCTGAGGCATGACTTGGCCTTCGAATCCTCCTCAACACAGAGCATCAGGCCACTGTTACATATTAATCGGAGTTGATAGTCAAATGTAAACCTGTTTGTCATTTGCGATATAAGGTTTCTACTTTGAGTGACTCTGTGGTGCTATCATGAATTGAAATAGTAAAGAAAAAGAAAGCTTTGGTAGGGAGGATTTAAGTTAACTTTGACCATGTGGGATACAATAGTTGTGGAAATATAGATGGAGATATTCAGCCTAGTGGAGGACAAGGGAAAGGGCAGCGAAATAGCTCTCAGAACTCAGCTGCTCTACATCCCTCCCTCCTTACCACCTCCAACAGTCCTCCAAACCTCCAGCCTCACGCCCACAGGGCCATTCATGTTTGGGGTCCTGCTCTACTGCCCTAACTTCATCATATGGCCCTTACTGCCTTGCAATTTATGTTCCCACCACTTCTTTCAGCTCCCTCCATGCCCCTCTTCTTTCTCCACCATGCTTCCTCTCCCATGGGACATCCTTCCCCTCTTCTCCAGTCTTCTAGCTTGGTCTGATTAATGCCTATTCATCCTTCCTCTGCCAGTTTAGATGCCACTCTCCTGGAGCTCTTCTATGGCACTTGGCCTCCTTGTCATAGCAGAGCACCATCCCCTGTTGCTGGGATTGCCTGGTCATTCGTCCAACAGCCCATAAGCCATGCGAATGTGAAGGCCATGCATCTGAACACAGGGTAGTATCTCTCCATCTGTCATTTCCCCTCTGCAATCCTAGGCTACTGCTAAGCCTACCCTTAGTGTCACCTCCCACATGCAACCCTAGGCACATATCCACCAACCTGCCTATGCACCAAGCACCCTTTTGTCCCTTATGTGCCAGCCTGAATTGGAGTAGAAAGAGATAAAGATTGGAAATGGGGAATTCAGGAGGCCCCAAACAACTTATGATTCACCAAACTAAAAGAATGTGACACTCAGAACTGCCTCTCACCTCCAAAGGGAATGAGAAGGTGTTGGTGACTCTTAGGTCCCTCAGATTTTATTTTCTTTTGGTCCTTCACTCACTGGCAGAGCAGAATTCGTAGGGTCTAAAGTATGAAGCAGAGCTTGAGTCCTGATTGGTTCCCTGGGAGAAATTTGGTTTTTAAGGTAGACTTTCCAGATCTGAGACGTCAGCACCTCTCATTTTATTCTTCTTAGGTAAGTCTCTAAAGGTACCTGTCGGGAGACTAGACAACCAAAGAGCACAGTCTCTAGAAGCTGCAGAGAACCTCCCCTTCTAATTTCTGCAGGAAGGCATTTCTCTATGAAGGACTTGTTGAGAAAGAAGACAGCTAGGAATGCCAGTACCTAGTGCATTTGGGACTCATTACATTTTTGTAGGAAATAGCAACATAGAAGAATGCTGCTTTGGGCTGGGGAGGGCTTTTTGGGGAGGAATTGAGGCTAGTGGGAGAACATATAGAGACAACGACATGGAAAGTTAAAAAAAAAAAAGAGAGAGAGAGAAATCAGTGGAGGCTTATGATCACTGAAATTAATGGGAGTCCTGAGAATCTGATAGTCACCTTTTGTATACCTATCTTGGGTTACACATTTATTCAACAAACATTACCTGAACAACTGTAATGTACCATGCACTGTACTGCATGTTAACCAAGAAGTGGCAGGAGCTTCTGTGGTTGGAGATGCTTAATGTACAGACTGAGCACAGTACTGACTGCTTAGGACTCTGGTTAAAGAATATAGTTGTTGCAGTCTGACAGCTGTGTTCAAATCATGGCTCTGCCACTTACTAGCTGTGTGATCTTGAGTCAGTTAGTAATCCCAGGTTCTAATTTATAAAATGGAGATAACACTTATATCACAATGTTGCTATGAAGAATAAACGAGATGATAGCACATAGTAGGCCTTCTTTAAGTGCTTGCTTTTATTATTCATGTATTTACTCAGTACATATTTATTGGGGACTCCATGTATTACTATTATTGCAAATCATATGCCTTCTTGCTGTCTAAACACACTCTATCAACCTCTGTCTCCATTTTTTCAACATCTTTGTGAAGACGGGGGGGACAGAAGAACATTCACCAATTTAGAATAAGAGCATTTGCTGACTTGTCTAAACAGGCACTCTACCTGACAAATAGTTTTATTTTTTTTCCCCAAAAGGAAAAAAATCCGTCTCTCATTAAATCAGTGGGCAGGATGCCTTCTTCCTCAACTGACAGCTGACATTGCTGGCAGCACTTCTGTGTAAGCATCTGGCAGGTGACCACTGAAGGAAGCCACGGACGTGGTTGGTGCAGCCCTGACATGCATAGACAGCCAGGCAGACTTGCCAGTCACCACCCACTTAGAACCCTCTGCTGCTGGTGGATGCCACCAGCCCAGCCAAGATCACACATCTAGACAAGGCTCAGGTTGTCCCATTGTCATCCAAGGACCAGAGAGCCACAATGCTAATCTGGCTTCAGTGAGAAAGAATGCACAGGGAACATCTCCAACACATACTTCAGGTATGAGCACACACATGCACACGTGCACACACACAGTCAGAGACAGAATGATTGTTTCTAAGCAAAGACATTCTGCAGTAAACCTAGAGTGGATCCTAGCTAAACAATAAATGAGCTATGAAAGACATTCTTGGCAGAAGTAGAACCTTGGAATATAATAGGTAGAATGTTAGATGATATTATGAAATTAAGGTTCATTTTCTTAGGTGTATGAAGGGTACTGTGCATGTGCGAGATTGGGAAATGTATACTGAAGTACTTAAGAGTGAAGCATCATGGCATCTAGAAATCAATTTCAAACAGTGCAGCAAGATAGGCCAACAGATAATGCAATTATGGCAAACTGTTTAAAGTTGTTGAATCCAAATCAAGGGTTTGTTGGCCTATTCTTTCAATTCTTCTTTATGTTTGAAAATGTTAATAGTAAGAAACAGAGGTAAAAAGAATTATAAAGAAAGAATTAGCCACAAAGTGCTCAAAAGCTGAAATTTTCATAATGTTAATTCACCTGAGATGTACACAGGTTAATAGCATGAATAAGAACGGTGTAGAGGAATATCTGGGGGCGGGACTAGATTCTGCAGACAACAGGGGAAATGGCAGAGCCACACGTAATCACATGATGAACATCTCTAAAGAACTTTATCCTGTTGACTCCTCCTCTTACATATTCTCACTCAGGCTTTACGAATGGCCCAATGAATGAGGTAGGTGTTATCATGCTCTGGCTTCTTACAGTTAAGGGAACTAGAACTCAGAGAGATTAAAGTCAGTTACCCAAAGTCATGTGACACATAAGTGACAGAGCTAGGATAAAACTGGTGTCTTCTAGTCTGAAACCTTGTGCTATTTTCTCTACATCATGTGTTTTCATGTGGGTTCTCCCAGAAGCAGGCCTTGATACAGGGATTCTAGTGCAGTGAGTGTATTTGGGAGGTTCAAGGACCAGTACTGGAGGAGAACGAAAGTGACAGAGCAAAGAGAAGGAGACTGGCAGGAGTGTAGAGTGAGCCTGCTATGGCAGTGAGCAACTGGAGCTGAATTTCATGGGAAAAATCTGGGAGACAGTATAAAACACATGCCTCACAATTATCCCACCCAAGGGGTGAAGGGTCTGGAATATTTATGCCCCAATTAGCAAGAGTCATTGGTTGAAGGCTGCTCCCAGGAGTGATAACTCCCCTGGCACTTCCAGCTTGCAGCAGTTCTGAGACAAAGTCCTCAGACACAGAGACACAGATAGAAGCCTGGCCCATGCACCCTGGCTCAGTACGGTTTGAGGAATGTGACTAACAAACTGCCCACATCTGCTACGCCATGCTCCAGGGAACCCAGCCTCCCCTGCTTCCTTCTCCTCTTACCAGCCAAGTACAAGAAGTAGAGATCAGCTCGGACTCCAACACTGTCCAGGGAGATCCAGCCCCTCTTTAGAGTGAAGCAAGATTTAAAGGCACTCGTTTGAGGCATGTACCCATCCATTCAGGTGGTTCCATACCTGTGATCAAATCCTAAGGCAGCAGCGGCAAATCCTGACCTGAGTGGTATTAACATGCAGGCACATATGTGTACACAGCATTGCTGTTTCTAAAGTTACTTTAAGCCACATAAGGCTAAGAATAAACCACTCAGAGGAAGAAGTTCAACAGCTGTTTACTGGAGTGTAAAAGCAAATGAATGGGGTTCATCATAAATTCAGACACCACATCAAGCCCCTCATTAGCCTCACTTAGGGTTTGAAGACAATCGGGAGATGGATAACAGGCTGGAATGAATATGGGGCCCAGGAGCATGATCTAGCATCCCTTTCATATCTCATTATTCCTGCTGCCTGCTGTGCTCTGAACAATCAGACCCATCCAACAGAAAAGAGCTTACAAATGCAAAAACACTGGGCAATCATGATTGTTTAAAATCTGTTTTTAAAATTTTACAGCCATCATAGCTCCAGTAACAGAACTGAAAATATTTCACCCACAGTTCTGCAACCACCAATAAATCAGGCTGCTGTCATTTTTCCATGTTTCCTTCCAAAAAAATAGAAGTGTCAGGGAACTAAACAGTAAAGGCAACACATGTTAGAATGGGGCAGATTGAGGCAGTTCACCCAAAGGAGATGGGATGTTGGAATGCTTTGGAGAGGGATTGGCCAGCTTTGGATGTGCTGGCAAAGAAATGTCACAAAAGCAAGCCTTGGCTGCCCTGCCCAGCACGATCCCAGGGAGACACAGAGCTTTAGTCAATGGGTTTTGAGTGTTTCCACTTCTGCTGGCAAGACAATCCCTATGATAAAATCAGGCTGTCTTCGCTGCATACTATTAGATACACAATTTCTCTAATTGTTTTGTTCTGGTTCCGTGTTTGCCAAGCAACCTTACGCTTCCGAGTAGATCTTCCTGCACAAAGATAATGTGTCGTCTCACTGACTTTGAGTATTTCTGTCCCCATCATAATGCTCTCTCAAGAGAAACCAAGAATGTCACTTTTCAAAAATTTTCCTAGGATTATGTAATATTCACTATTTGTTCAGCATTGCTGTAAAACTAAAGTACTTTACCTAGATCTACTCATTTTAATCCTCATGATGGCTCCAGAAAGTAGATGCCACTATGGCCTCCATTTTGCAGATGACTGACAAGGAATGCAAGGGATTTGCCCCAGGACACGTGGCTAGTAAAGGGCAGAGCCAGGACATGAACCTAAACAGCCTGGTTTCAGAGCTCATGCCCTCTGAAGACCACCAAGTCATGTTGCCTCTCTCATTAGGATTTTTCTTTTCTTTTTAGTGGTAAAATACACACCACATAAAATTTACCACCATAACATTTTTTGCATACAATTCAGTGGCATTAAGTACATTCACATGGTTGTGCAACCATCTCCAACATCCACCTCCAGAACTTTACCATCATCCAAATTGAAACTCTGTACCTGTTCAACAGTCACTCCCATTCCCCCTCCCCCCGTAACCTCTACTGTACTCTCTGTGTATTTGCCTACTAGGTACTCCATGGCTGGGCACGGTGGCTCATCCTGTAATCCCAACACTTTGGGAGACCAAGGCAGGCAGATCACCTGAAGTCAGGAGTTCCAGACCAGCCTGACCAACATGGTGAAACCCCACCTCTACTAAAAATACAAAATTAGCTGGGCATGGTGGTGCATGCATGTAATTCCAGCTACATGGGAGGCTGAGGGAGGAGAATTTTTGGAACCAGGGAGGCAGAGGTTGCAGTGAGCTGAGATCATGCCATTGCACTCCAGCCTAGGCAACAAGAGCGAAACTCCGTCTCAAAAAAAGAAAGAAAAAAAAAGTGGAATCATACAATATTTGTCCTTTTATGTCTGGACTTATTTCACTTAGCATAATGCTTTTGAAGTTCATCTATGTTGTGGCCTGTTTCAGAATTCCTTTCCTTCTTAAGGATATAGAGTATTCCATTGTATGTTTTCACCATGTTTTGTTTTTGCATTTATGCAACAGTGGACAATTCTGTTGCTTCTTGCATTAGGGTTTGATGCTTCTTGTATTTTATTATATGCTGGGGTTTCTGCTTCTGCATTGGCTCCCTCTGCTTCTTGCCTCTGGGGAGAGAAAGCATTACAGTGCTGAGACAGGTATCTCTGTTCCACATGATATTTGTATTTCTCTTTCTAAGTCATTACACTGGCACTCTAATGTCTAGGTCAGGCCTTCATTAATTTTCTTTGAGGTAGGGACAGCCTCTCAGAGCTTGACACCTTTGGCCGTTGTGACAAAACTCACTTTCCAGGTCTTGGAGATCCACATCCAGTAAGTCCATAGTGAGGCAAAAAAAATATTTCCAGTTCCCGATGCAGGCTTCCCCATGGCTGACAGGTGCATGCATGCTTTTGTGGGCTGCTTTTCATCCTATCATATTTGTTTCCATGACTGTAAAATATTTTTGTATACTTAGCTGTTATTAATATTTATTCGACACTTATAATAAGCCAACAACTATTCTAGGCACTTTTTAAATACTATCTTTTTAATCCTGACAAGCCTGCAGTAACAAAGATTATTTTTCCCCATTTAACAAAAGAGAGGTTAAGTAATTTCCCCCAAGATCACACAGCTGGTAAGGATCAGATGGCTGCATGCTGTTCTGTTATGTAGTTGTACTATAATTTTCTTAACTGTTGACTATTTTCATTAGATAAAAGTTTTTTTGCTACTTTAAGTAACTCCATAAAGAACATCTTTGTCCACATAGCTTTATCTTTCTTTGGTGTTAGTTCCTTAGGTTATATTTCCAGAAGTGCTACTACTAAATCAAATAGTACAACTATTTTTGTGGCTTTTGATTGCTAAAACATTTTCCAAAAGGCCAATAAAGATGGTCATGCCAAGGTTTCATGCCAAGGGTCCAGTGTGGGTGAAATCGCAAATCAGGGAAGCAAATGTTGAAGGCTTCCCATCTCCGCTTTGTGTTTTGTTTGTTTGGTTGGTTGATTGGTTGGTTTCTATTTTAATTTTTAATCCAACACCTTCAGTCTGACCCTAGAATAGCTAATTAGTCCCATGGCACCAAGTCCTACATTCCTCTAGTAATGTCTTATGCCCCTGAGACATTCTTCCTCCTGTCCCATTCTTCTCCCAAACACCCACCCACCCTCACACCCAATAAACCTCCCTTTTTGTCAGGGTTTATAACTATCATAAAGAAAGAAGTGATTACACCAAGCTACTAAGGAGTGATAATTTATTATTAAGGTACGGTGCCTGGGGAATTTGTCCTAAGGAACAATGGGGACAAGTGCTCAGAGTGGTATATATGAGAATGTTCCTAGAGGTGTTGTTGACAAAAAGCAGTGGTTAGGCAACCTATATGTCCAATAACACTAGATTAGTAAATAAATTATAGTAAACCCTACAATGGACTACCATACAGTGATTTAAAATGATGATGTAAATGTGTGCTTATTGACTTGAAATGGTAGTGTTAAGTTTGGAGAGGGAGGGAGTAAATTATAGAACATTTGATATAATCTCAATTTGGTAAAAGGGAATATATACATACATATAGGACAAAGGAGGTCTCTTGTATATACACAAGTATATATGTGTGTGTGTATAAAATGTCAACAACCAAAAAAAAAAAACTGGAAGGATAGATACCAAAATGTTTTCTTTAGGAAGGTGGGAGTAAGGATGATTTTTTTTCTTAAACCTACTTTCTAATTAACATGTGTTACTTATATCATCTTTAAGACTTTTTTATGCTGTGCTTGGAGTTGGCACTGCTAGGAGAGAATGAGCATGTAATGTGCAGGTGGGTGGGAGGGAGTGTGGGGGCTGGGAGCTTGTCAGAGACACTCCAATCCACCAGCACTGATATTGGCTACTCCACCTGCTCCCCAGCCTGGCCCCTTCTAAATGTGCACTGAAGGAAAAACTGGCTGTCACTAATTTGCCCCTCTCCAAATGGCTATAAAAAGCAAGTTGATTTAGGATTCCATGAATCCTACCTACTCTAACATATGCTGAACATCTTTTTTGTGTGCTTTTGTTAAAAATGCTTTCTAAATGAGCTGGTGCCCATATGTCTCAGGATCCTAAAATGTGGCTAGGTAGGCTGGCACAAGTCATGTTTCTATAATTCACTTCCGTGGGTTTCTAATGAGCTCAGTTAACTACAGCAGGAGTTTCCCAGCCCAAACCATGATGCAGACCATATAACGATAAACCTTCTCTTCCCTAGACACCCCCAGAGAAGAAAAGGAGGAAAGATGAAAGACTTATCAGTTTACTAAGCACTTTTTATAAAACATGGTTTTGGTTGTATATGTGTGCATGTGTTTTTATCCTATTCTGGAGTGTGACAGGCATGTGCTGGTCAAGAGACATTTAGCCTAGTATTATGAACGTGGGCACAAAGTTAGACAGAACTGGTTTTGAATTCCAGTCCTGAAACGTACTAGCTGGGTGATCTTGGACAATTTACTGAATCTATTCTTTTCTGTTTCCTCATCTGTAAAATGGGAATGACAATAATAAAACTGATCTCCTAGGGTCATTGTGAGGATTGAATAAGACAGTGCATGAAAAGTACCTAGCATAGGCCCTGGAACATAGTAAGAACTCGACAAATATTATTACTGCTCTTGGTCTAGTTACTAACATGTCAACAGTCAAGCATGCCACATTGAAATGAGGACCATGGCAGAAGAGGGCTGGAGTCATATAGGAAGACATACTGGAGGCACTTCCCATAGATATGGGAAAGTCACACTTTCAGGAAAAAGTGATGTCAAAGTTGGGATTCTGAAAAATTGATATGAGAAGTCAGGTGAAAGGGAAGGAGGATGTGTGGAGAGAAGAAAAGGGAAAGGTCGCAGAAATGTAGACGTAAAGACAGAGGTAGCTGCATATTTCTGAACTTCCATTCATTTACATCCTTACAACAACCCCATGAAACAGACATTAATATTATTCCCATTGTACCAAGGAGAAAACAGGCTCAGAGAGGTTAATTCATTTGCCATTCAAGACTGTTGGGGAAACAAGGGACCACCTTTGTCCTATATGTTAGGAAGGCCTAAAACACAGGGCTTGAGCTAACAAATGGAATATGGAGGCAGGTAGAAAAGATTTTACTGAGATACAAAGATTAGGACTTGGGGATTGGATGTGGAAGCCAGAGAGGAAGAGCTAAGGCAAGACTGAGCCTCTACTTTCTCTGCCTTAGAAGCATGGCACCTGAACTTGTTCACGTTCCAGGGGTAGATTTGGAGATTCTGCTCTAGATGTCAGGCAAGATGAAGCAGGCCTTGAGTGAGCAGGTAAACAGGAAAAGAGCCACAGTGCCCTCCTGCCCCCACCTAATACACTGTGCCCAGGTCCTGTCATCCCAGCCCCTTTCTACTCATCACGGTGCTTAGCTTTTGTGGAACTGGAAATGGGTGGAAAGTGATTCATAATTACTATTTTCTGCCCCAGAAGCATTACCCCCTTTGTATTCTGAGACAGAGGGCAGCTTCCCAATAAATACTTTTTAATTGTTTGATTGATTGGTTTGCTGGTTGATGAAAGGACTAGCAAGCATTTTAGTAAATGCCTATGAATTTTTGAAGTCCATAATATTAACCTACCAATATCCTGCCTTAAAAACAAATTTCTCTGGGTGGGTGTGGTGGCTTATGTCTGTTATCCCAGCACTTTGGAAGCCAATGCAGGTGGATCGCTTGGGCTCAGGAGTTCAAGACCAGCCTGGGCAACATAGTGAAATGCCATCTCTACAAAAAATTAACTGGGCATGGTGGTGCATGCCTGTAGTTCCAGCTACTTGGGAGGTTGAGGTGGGAGGATTGCTTGAGCCTGGAAAGTCAAGGCTGCAGTGAGCCATGTTCGCACCACTGCACTCCAGCCTGGGTGACAAAGCAAGACCCTATCTTAAACACACACACACACACACACACACACACACACACACACACACACATTTCTTTCATCATCATTATAATGGCATAAGAACAGTCAGATGTTATGTAGACTTTCCCCAGGCCAGCATCACTTGATATATGGGGAGGTTTTAATGATTTGCCCAAGACCATAGAGAGAATCAATGGACAAATCTGTGATAAAAGTTCTAGTCCATCATACCTTGCCCTATATCCAGATTAATGGACTCTACTCAACACACTAACACCAGAAAAGAAAGGGGTCCCTTATTCATCTCCCAAACTACTGTCAAGATTCCCACTAGGGGGTAAAAGTCTCATTAACAATGAGCAAGCCTTTCCTAAAAAGCCTATGAAAACATCCTTGAAATAGAAACTCATCCTCTTTCATAGGTTTCAGGGGTTAGGAAAAAGAAAAAAAAAAAGTAGAAACTCATCCTCAAAACTTTAGCTAACTTCTGAGATCACACAGTGATTCTTCCATTCCAATTTGATTTAACAGGCACCCAGACAGGTTTTTTAAAACTTCCATTTCTTGATTAAGTTTGACAACAGCCATCAGTTGAATTCCTGAAATGATAATGTTTAGAGCCAGAGATAAGTATCTCTCACCACCTTTGGGAGTGTCTGTATCATGTCTTTTCGCAAGAGATATAGAGCAGTGCTTCTCTCTCTTTTTTTTTTTTTGAGACAGAGTCTTGCTTTGTGGCCCAGACTGGAGTACAGTGGCATGATCTCGGTTCACTGCAACCTCTGCCTCCTGGGCTCAAGCAATTCTCCTGCCTCAGCCTCCTGAGTAGCTGGGATTACAGGCACGTGCCACCACGCCTGGCTAATTTTTGTATTTTTAATAGAGACGGGGTTTCACCATGTTAGCCAGGCTGAACTCGAACTCCTGACCTCAAGTGATCCACCCTCCCTAGGCTTCCCTAAGTGCTGGGATTACAGGCGTGAGCCACCGTGCCCGGCCTGCTTCTTAAACTTTATTGTACATGGGAGTCCTGTTAAAAAGGAGATTATGATTCAGTAGGTCTGGGGTGGCACCTGAGATTCTGCATTTCTAATAAGCTCCTAGGTGGTGCCAATGTCATTGGTCCACAGACTATACTTTGAGTTGCAAGGATGTAGGATGCAGAGCAAGTTATAAATTAATTCTACTTTAAGAGCCTTCTGAGGAGCCACAGAGGCAGCATGGTGTGGACAAAAAGGACAAGAGCTTTATAGTTGGACAGATTCGGGTTTGAAATTCAAGTTTCTCCATTCACTAGCTTCTCTGAGCAGCAACTTCATTTTTTGGGAATTAAATTATACAATGCATACAAGGAACATGGTACAGTGACTGGCACATAGGAGTTGCGTAATGAATGTAGCTAGCAACATTGCTTTTGAAAATGAACAGGAAGTTGTTTTAAGTTTTCCATGGATTTCACTATAGATCTTGGGTAGTAGTGATAGTAGGTCACAGTCTGCCTACTATCACTTATTGAGTGCCTGTTGTAGGCATCCTGGCACTTTCATCTCCTTCTCTATCTTTGCTGCCCCTAAAAACACCTTCCCCATGCCTTGCTTTTCAATAGCCCACTTTTTATCTCTACTTGCTCTAGAGCAGCAATGTTTGCTGTCAAAATCCTGCACCCCAAAAGAGAACAACCTATGCGTTGCAGATCAGAATAGAGGCCTGGCAGGAATTGTCACAGATTTATGCCTCATCATTCTTCTCAGACCTTCCCCAAATGTTTACCCTGGCATGATCTGGGGAGGAACAGAGACCATGATCCCAGCCATCCTTGCATTCCACCTCCTTCTTCTACCTCCATCTCATCCAATGAAGATGAAATTTTCACCAAGTTACAGAATTGGCCCATGTTATTTGCCCACTAGAATGTAAGCTCTTTGAAAGCCAGAATTCTTGCTTGCTTTTTCTTCTGTTAGATCACCAGAGCCTTGCATAGTGCCTGGTACATTACAAGTGCTCAGTAAATTGTTTATGAATGAATGCATGCATGTTATTCTGCAGAGGCATCTGTGATAAAATGTCAGGAACATTGTATATGGAATCAGAATGATTTTTGTTACACTCCCACCACTCTCAGCTCATGTGACTTGTGTGACTTTGGGCAAGTCACTAATCTTGCTGAGCCTCAGTTTCCCTTTCTGTAAACTGAGGATCATGCATATGCATTCTGCAGTTCAGTAAAATATTGTATATAAAGTGCCTGACACATAGCACATGATCAGTTGCTGGAAGCTGAATATTCAGTCCTCCCCTGTACCATTTGACATCACCATGCTTTTAAATCACACAAACATTTAAAATAGATGAAATGCAAAGATCTTTTGGAATATCTCCAAGTTAGAAAAATAGCCTTTGTTCACCGGAGATTTAAATTATGCCTATATATGTACAGAGACCTAAGAACGTATGTGAATCTGACACTGACAAGTGCAAAGCATGTGGAAATGCCAACCACTCTGTTATAAATCTGCTCTGGGGGAGGAGAGCGATGTTGCCTGGAGATTTTTATTCATTTGAAAATGTTACCATTCACCCAGTGAAAGCCAGAGAACGGCAACGGGACAGTTGGATCCAAGTGCTCTGACATTTCCTTGCCGGCAGACACCATCAATGAATTTAGAAGCTGTATTGCTTCATACGGCATTGAATTAAGAAAATGGTGTGTTACAAAAAGAGGGAGAGAAGGCTGTCAAAGCCTAGGTTTCCGATATGTTTCTTTTGTCCCAGACTGTTCCAGAGTAAAGGTTAAGTATGGAAATGTCAGGGTCTAGAGAAACTTAGGTCACAGAGAACCCAAGGGCTCACTTCACTTCACATTAACAGCTTAATACTCCTTGAGTAACTATGTGCCAAACAGTGGGCTACGCACTCTACTTGGAAAACATTATTGAATTCCTACAAAATCCCTATAAGAAACATGACCCCCACTTCACAAATGAGCAAACTGGAAGTTTGCTTTCTGAGTTTCAGAAAGGCAAAGTGACTTACTCCGGTCTTGCAGCCAGGAAGAGGCAGAACGGGGGCTCTGAGCCAATCTAGGTCCACCCTGGCAACACCACTGGAAGGTTGAGAGATGGGGCTGGAGGGTGGGCAGCGGGAGGATGGAAGACTCTGCTTGACTTGCCGGGCAACAGGGGATATTTGTCAGTTACTAGCTCCATGGTTTTGAACATGTTCCCTGGTCTTCCTCATGTGAGCTTTGAAGGATTTAATAGTAAATAATAATAGTAACAACAAACTTTTATGTGTCAAGCACTCATTGTTCAAAAATGTTGTACACAGTATTTCTTAAAGTGCTTGCAATAACTCTTAGAAAGGAGAAACTATTAGCCTTCCCATTTTCCAGCGACAGAAACTAATAATGAGAGTCACAGAGCCTAACACACAGCAAGTGCTCGGTGAGAGGTATTACCAATGTGCTGCACTGCCTTCTTGCTCTTCTTGCAAGCTCTCCTCCAACAGGACCACACCTCCATGCCTTCCTGAGTTCCACCCAGCTTTTTCCTGAATGCCCACCTCTTCCCTTCCTTCCCTCCACCAAACCCTTACCCACTGCAGAACCTGCCCGCCTAAGAGTGTCTAAGATAAACTTTCACTAACACTCCCCCTAGTGGTGGGCCAATGCCACCCTTCCCCAACTTCCTGTTTTATTTTTCTATGAAGTTCCAAAATATAATTCTGCAAAGATTCAACCAATTGATGAGTAAAATATACATGCCGACTGTAAAGACAATTGTAAGGATTGGTTTGGGGACACCAAAAGCATCCAAAGAAGGTTTCTCTGGATGGCTACTGTCAATAACAGATAACAGATACTGAGAGATTGCAGTGTGCCAAACATACTATGTAGTATGACTTTTAAAAACTCCACGACCAATCTTGAATTAGACACAATTATTTTCCCCACCTTACAGATAGGGAAAATGAGAGAATGTAAGAGACTTGTTCAAGGTCATAGTGTTATGACACTGTGACAGTGTCAGAACTGAGCTGCACAGTGACAGAAGGACCCTGATTCCAGGCCTGGCCTCTGAGTCTTTGTGCTTAAAAGACCCTAATTCAAACTAGACATCCAGGTTCCAAGCCTGTTTTTGCCATTCTAGACCCGTGTTCCTCACAGGTAAAATAAAGGATTGCACTTAATGACCTCAGAGAATTACAGATCTTTAGAGAAGTATATTATCTTATTTAATTCTTACTACCTATGAGATTGATTTCATGATCTCCAGTTCTACAGATAAGGAATGATTGTGCACTCCCTAAGGTAGTACAGGCAGGGCCAGAATTGTTTTCTCTGACCATAATCCCATGCCCTCTTTTCTGCAGATGCTGACTTTCCAAGTTCAGGCTCGCAGCACTCTGTGACTCCAGTTATCCTTCTTTATCTAACCCATCCACGTCTGTGCTTCTCTAGTTCTCAATTAGATATGTTAGTTAAAACTGAAATCAGAATTTCAAAGTTTTTCCTAAGTAGTTGGGATTTTGTTTATTAGTTTCTATCTCTAGGAACCCACCAAACAATTGGATATCTTTGGGTCAGCTTTTAGTATAGCTCATAGGTCAAATAAAAGAAATGCAATAATAAACATGTGTATTAACCAGCCTGGCCAACATAGCAAAACCCGTTCTCTACTAAAACTACAAAAATGAGCTGGGTGTGGTGGCATTCACCTGTAGTCCCAGGTACTCGGGAGGCTGAAGCACAAGAATCGCTTGAACCCAGGAGGCAGAGGTTGCAGTGAGCCGAGATCGCACCATTGCACTCCAGCCTGGGCAACAGAGTGAGACTCTGTCTCAATCAATCAACCAATCAATCAATAATGTATATTAAATATATTACAAAGAGCAAAGGATGGTCCTATCATTACATTGCCTCCATAATGTGTTATTCAAAGGCTTGTGAATAATTTTCTTAGGTAACTCAACTCCTTTGAGAACACTGACATAAACAGAAGATTATCCAATAATTAAAAATTCCAAATTATTTATCAGGAGAACACCAAACTATAGGTAAACCCAAGTGATATATAGCATGTGGAATTTGTTAGAACACACAGTATATTACAAATCTGTAAAAATTAAATCCCTAAATATTGTTATTATATGAAGGATCCTTTGTCTGTTTTATGTTTTAAAAAGTTTATTAATAAAAATAAATGTTGTATGCCTATTTAAGTGAAAAGAACATTTGACAAAAACATCAGCCTGAAATCTCATCATGCTAACCCAACTATTTTAATATTTGCACATTCTTTTTCAGTCACAGCCTGCATACAGACACATTTTAAGTATCTACTAATTTAATATTTTGTGTTCTTGGATTTTCTTACTTAACATAGCATAGACATTTTAGGTATTTCTTTTTTTTTTTTTTTTTTTTTTGAGACAGGGTTTTGCCATGTTGGCCAAAGTGGTCTTGAACTTCTGACCTCAGTTGATCCGCCCGCCTCGGCCTCCCAAAGTGCTGGGATTACAGGCATGAACCACTGCACCCGGCCTTATATATTTCTTAAAGGCTTTTATTATTGCTATTGGTAATGATCTGATACAACTCCAGAGACTGACATACCATACTTTTTCTAAATCATTCTCCACATCACTGGATATTATTGTCCATTTCCCATCGTCTGATGTTCTAAATCAGTGCTATCCAATATGACAGCCACTAACCACATGCGACTATGGAGCACTTGAGATGTAGCTAGTCTGGATTGACAAGTAGTAAGTATAAAATATGTGCCAGATTTCTAAGGCAATATAAGAAAAACAATGTAAATGTTTATATTGATGTTGAAATTATACTATTTGGATATATTGGGTTAAATCAAATATCAAAATTAATTTCATTTTGTTTTTTTAAATATGATTCCTAGAAAATTTTAAATTATAAATCTGGTGTGTATTATATTTATATTGAACAGTGTTTGTCTAGATGACACTTCAGTATACAACTGTCTGCCTATAAATTTCTACTTCTGTTGAATTCGTTCTGCAATCCAAAGTCCAGTGAGTGAGCTTACTAGAATGGAAGGTATAGTCTTATGGTTTTTGCAACCTATCACAATATTGCTTTGCAAAAGAGTTGTAGCAATTTGTAAAGCACTAGCACTGAATCGCTCAAGAACATTCCTAGCACCAGATAGTCTACTTTTAGGTATGTTTAGTTCTATTAATTTCCCAAGTGTAATATGAATGTAAGAGCCAGACTGTCTGGGTTTAAATCTCCCCTAACTAATTATGAGTTGAGCAAGTTACTAAACCTCTCTGTGTCTCAGTTTCCTCACCTATGAAATGGAAATAGCACTATCTCTTACGGTGGTTTTAGGGATTAAATGAACTTATATATGTAAAGCACTTAGTAAATATCAAAAACTGTAAAATTATTATGTGTAATTATAATGATAAAGATTGTTTTAAACTGTAATTCTTTGGTTACTACTCAGGATAAATGTTTTCTAGGATAAGTGCTTAGTATATGTATTCTATTCTATGTAAATGTTTTCCTCATGTCCTTTGGCCATTGATCTATTGAGATCTTGGGTTTTTTTTCTTTTAAAATCTGAATTACTTCTTCATACAGAGTTGAGTCTTAATCATCTTTGGTATACAAATTTTCCTTTTAATCTCATGCCATTGTTTTTACATTTTAAACAAGTTTCAAATTCAATGTTGTCCATAATTTAGAAAGAAATTTAATTCCTCCTTTACTTCAAAGCTAGGAAAGTTATTTCTTATCAAGAGATAGACATGATATAGTATTTTATCTCTTTTAGCTCGTCTATGCTTTGAGCCTGGTTCGTTTTTTTAGATGAGGCTGGATTTTTGCTAAACGTTTAGACTTTGACACAGCAAAGGATAAAACAGAAAACTCTCCCATTAGGGTGCATAGAGGCATAAGGAGTAGTCCCAGGGATATTATGGTGACTTCATTGGAAACAATGAGGTCCTGTGAAGACAGAGTTGTTGCCTTCTATAATCAAATGGATCTGACCTAAGCCCTTCCTGTACGGAAAATCACCTGCAAGTAAAACCAGGTAGTGCTGGGTTCTAATTCTTACTCTCCTATTGATTAGTTGCGTGTGATTGGAGGCAAGTAACTTAGCCATCTGGAGCCTCATTTTGTTCTACTGGAGATTAAATGCATATGAAAATGCTTAAGCAAGCGCAGCCAAATATCAAACTCAATTTTTAAATTATTTTAGTACAATATTCAAGATTATGTCATTTTCTTGGTGAGTCAGAAAAGGGAGTGGTTCTATATTAAACATTTCCCTGTTAATCACATTTGGCTAGATGTATCAGAAATTAGCTAGCCCATAAAAGGGGACTAGAATATGCCTGCTGTCTGTTTAGTAAGACAAATGCGTGGCTTTTGTCCTGTTCCACTTCTTATATAGGGCTTTCACATACTGCTCCTTAAAACAAACCTGTAAGGAAGACAGAACAGTTTATCAAAAGTTGATAGCAAAGGAAAACTGGGGCCCTGGAAGGTTTAGTGACTTGCTCAGTCACACAGCAGAGCCTCAAACAAAACGAGAGCAGACTCCTAGTTGCATGCCCTTCCAGATTGCAAGTTGCTCCCTCTAGGTATACAGTTGGTTGAATTGGACAATCTCTGGTTCCTTCCAAACCAGTTAACATAGTTATTAAGATCTTAAGCTCTGGAGTCCAAGAGACCTGGCTGGGTTCAAATTCCAGCTCTACTGCTTGCAAGCTGTATGACCTTATAGCAGTAGGTCAATCTCTTTCACCCTTACTTTCCTCTTCTGCAATGTAAAACTAACAATTTTACTGAACTTACTGGGTTTAGAAAGGATGAAAAGCTATGGTGCTAGTAAAGCACATAGCAGTACCTGGCGGGTAGTAAGTGCCCAAAGTTGCTCCGCTAAAAATGGAAAAATTGAACAATGACTAGAAATAGTTAGGTTTCGAGCCCTGAACTCAAATTTGAGTTAGGTCTTCCAAGTGCTTGATCCATTAACCAGTGCATAATACTATGGAGGCTTCTGCAGGTTTTCCAATGCTGTGTCCTTTGGCCCTCTCTGGTGTTTCAGGTACAAAGAGCAATTCATGCCAACTCTGCAGGCAGCTGTCACATTTCTTACCTGTCCCAGCTGTGAACAGCATAATTGAATTTAATGTGAGAAATGATAGTAACTTCCCAGAGACACTTAGTGTTTAATGTTAGATAGCTTGTCTAGTGCCTGCCCACTGGACAGGCTGCTGTAAGAGTCTAGAACTTGACTCTATTGTACATTTCCACTATATATTTGGCAGCTGTAACATACTGATCTCTCCAGCTGCCCCCAAAGGTGCTCTGTCCTTTTTTACCTCGTGTACCCAAAGCGCCTTTCTCATGGAAACTCTCCCACTGGGTTGTAATGATCTGTAGCCCAGATGTGGCTGGCATCCTGGAGATAACACTGACCTCACCAAAAACATCAAACCCAGACTCTTTGCATTCCCAAAGAAAGCAAACTAACTCCAGCAGCAAAGAGAGTCAGGGAGATTTCACTGAGGACCTTATGCGAAGGCTAAGGAGAGGGTTGCATCACACACCAGACAGAAAAGTTGATCAAAAGCTCTGATTTAAAAACTCAATTTCCTTGCCAAAGCCCTTTCCCTGGGTGTTAGCAACCTTTTCTTCTCTCTTTCTTTTCTTTTCTTTTTTTCTAAGACAGAGTCTCACTCTGTCGCCCAAGGCTGGAGTGCAAGGGCATGATCTCTGCTCACTGCAACCTCTGCTTCCCAGCTTCAAGCGATTCTTGTGCCTCAGCCTCCTGAGTAGCTGGGACTGCAGGTGTGCACCACCATGCCTGGCTAATTTTTGTATTTTTAGTAGAGACAGTGTTTCACTGTGTTGGCCAGGCTTGTCTCGATCTCCTGACCTCAAGTGATCTCCCACCTTGGCCTCCCAAAGTGCTGAGATTACGGCGTAAGCCACCACACCTGGCCCTCTCTTTCCTTTCTTTCAAACCACCCATTTCTTCTAAAAAAATTGGCTCTAGCCATTGCCTTGAATATCCCACAAAAACTTGGGAGTTAGCTATTCCCAGCCTCCATAAAAGGCATTTCAACCATCACATCTATTCTCCCCCAGTCATGCCTCTGGTATCAAAGCCTCATTCTTGAACATCTCATTAAAGAATCTACCCAACAGCTCTAAAGCCTTCTGAAGATGTGTGTGCAGATTTTATTAAGAAAATAAAGTTTTCTTAATAACGGCTCTCTTGATCTTCTTGTTACTGCAAGTCTGCTTGACTATGAACTCTTCAATAAGAGCTGACATTTACCCCATGCCCACCGTGCCAGGCGCTGCTTGCTGTAAGTGCAAGACATGGATTATATCACTAGTTCTCATGACGAACGTTTCCTAGTAAGGACCATCATTACCCTGATTTTGCAGATAAAAACCCGAGGCATAGGAAAGTTTATTAGTTTATCCACAGTCATACAGCAAGTGGCAGATCTGGGATTCAAACCCAGGCAGGTTGACATTAAAGTCCACACTCTTAAACAATAGGAGGGCAAAGTCTGTATGGTTCTCAGGGACAAATGCCTCATCTCTTGCACAAGGCAGCCCCTCACAATAAAGTGGCATTGACTGTTTGCTGAGGAGACAGACTTGCCTGGTCTTCTTTCTTTTCTTCTATTTCAGAACATCTATTCCCCTCCCTTCCATTTCATCATTCAATTTAACCAGAAAAAAAGATAACATACAAAGTTGTCTATTATGTGCCAGGTGCTGTGCATGGCAGTGGAGAAACAGAGACATATAATAAGGCAGAGTCTTTGCCCTTGTATGTAAAGGTCATAGCAGGTGAGAAAGACACGTCAGACAAAAAAAGTGTAATACATCTTTGGAAGAGCTACATTCGAAACATTAAAATACAAGGTGGCCCTACAGGTGTCGGAGTGGGTAACCCTCTGGAGAGAGAGTCAAGGGACTTGTGTCTAGAAGGAGTGATAACTGGGCTGGATTTTGAAGGAAAAGGGGGTGGAAAAGGAAATAACTCCAAGGTATAAAGTCACGGCATTGTTTCCCCATTCTGTCCAGCTGAAAAACAGAGATTGAGAGAAATGATGGGGGCCTGTTAGTGGGTGGAGCTCAGGAGATGTTGGCTTGGCACAGCCTTGCTTTCCAGCCAGGAGCAGGACACTCCTCTGAGGGGGACTGAGAGTCGGGGAGCAGCCAGGGTCCTTCTCTCCTTCTGGGGACTCTGAAGACTCCATAAAGTATGGATGGGGGCTTGTTGCTGCCATAGTGGCCAAACTATTAGGAGGCTCTTAGAATGGTCCATAAGAGGAACAAACAGTGGTATGGATTCAGGAGGGAAAAGCGAGCGTTTTAGAATGTCTTAATGAGATGTGGCAGTTTTGACATCACAAAGTTTTGACATATTTTATTTTGGTAATGGTGTTGCTGTTTAACCTCATTGATACGGTTTGCTGTTGTTTTGTTGTTTGCTTTTCTTGGTTAATTCTCTAAATTCCCTTAACTTGAGGTAAGATTTTTAGATTAATCAAATAGTGGAATTAACTTAACCCTCTGGTTATATTTCCAAAAGTTCAGTCAGTACTAAGAAGCCAGGACTGCCTTCTTTTTTATCACCTGTCAGCTACTTGTTTTTAAAATTTATAAATTAAGTAGAGATGGGGTCTCACTGTGCTGATGAGGCTGATCTCGAATTCCTGGCCTCAAGCAGCTCTCCTGCTTTGGCCTCCCAAAGTGTTGGGATGACAGGCATGAGCCCCAGCACTCGGTCCAACTATTCCTTTTCATTTATCTTTTCTTGAACTCTTTCTCAGAACGACAAGAGTTCAGGATCTCTGGTCCTAGATTCAAAATGCTGTGCTGAAATTCTAGAAAATAGAGCTTGATAAAGTGTAGCATGGTTCAGTAATTCTCCAGCAGGAATCTCCCCTGAGCCATGTTCTCTGTTCTACTCATTATCTTCCACAAAGTTCAGGGATGTGTCTAACTGGCCAATGGGAAGCCGCAGCTATGTGCATGCACTAGGAAGAGACGGGATCACTGTTCCTTCAAGATCTGATCATACAAAATCACACAGATGGGAAGGTGAACAACTATATCCCCAACACCCACCCAGCCCATTTAATGATTGGCACTCAGTAAATGTTTGCTAAATGAGTGAACAAACGAAAAAATGAAATGGAAAACAAGAGATCAAGTACACATGGCCAAATAAACTTGAACTTGCTTCAACTGTGTCCCTTCAGACTGGTCTCTTCACGTTGGAGAAACTGAGGCAGCTAAGCTGGCTCATTCATTGTCCAGTCTTCTTAGAGAAGGATATTGGTTCTGTTAATGAAGATGTAAACTCCTGAAATTGAAGCTATTAGAACTCAGCATTTACATATTGAGACCAGCAAAGCAACTCACTCCCAGAGTTGAGTCTTCTATCTGCCTCCAGTCCCCCCAGCCCCACCCCTCCAAGGGCAATCCACTGGAGTTATTGTTCTAAAATAGAAATCTGATTGAAACTCTGCCCAACTGGAAACAAAGGGGGAGTTAGCATTCACCAAGAGCTATGATGTGCCATGGCTATGTTAGGAGTTTATACCTTACCTTGTTTCATCCAAATAACACCTCTGTATGTGAGGTGGACATGATGACCCCATCTTATAGACACAGGCACTGAGACTCAGAGAAGCAAAGTCACTTGTCCTCAGCCACACAGCCAGTAAGTAATGGAACTCAGATTCAAAACCAGGTTTGACTCACTCTAAACCCCCGGAGTTGTTTCTCCTCAGATTGCACTGCCAGAAATCCTTGTCATTACACCACAATGTCCAGAAGCCTTTGTGGGGCTACAGGCCCTTTGTGAGCTGAATCCAACCCATATTTCCAGCCTTATCTCCCTCATGCCATGCTCCTCTCCCTGGGCTCCTGCCACCATCAGTCACAAAGAATTTCAGGAGTGCCATGTTCTCCCAGGTCACAAAAATTTGTAGTATTGTTGTTCTCTCCTGTCTATATACCCGCCCCCTTTCTCCACCTGGCAGACTTCTATTCATCCATCAAGATCCAGCTCAAATATCCCCTCCCTAAGTTTCTCTGATCACTCGCCACCAAGTAGGCAGTTAGTGGCCCCTACCCAAGTCTCCCAGTGCCCTTTGTACCTACTGCCATCACATATAATCCAAGCAGTTCTCTGGTCTCTTCCTGTCTGACATCCTTTTGGCCACAATTTCATGTTTAAGAATCCACTGCAGGCAGATTCTGAGTGCTGCCAGCCCTCTAGCCTTTCTAATTGCTAGGCAGATGCCACCCCCTCTGTGGAAAACACTCACAGTGTTCCCTGCAACGAATTCAGGCAATTGTTTTAAGATGAAATCCTTCCTGGGTGGAATTAACCATCAGGTGAGCTGCGGTTCTATTCTCAGTGCAGTCTGTGAGTGTGTGGTGGCTTTTCTGGTTTTGTGCAAGGCACTATATTCATGGTTTTTTTAAATTATGACTAAGCAGACTCTATGAAATGTATGGGCCATGGAACCTTGACATTAAATAGCCTCACACTATCCCTGCTCGTCCCACTCCTGTTCTATGAATAGTAGACCATACAGACAGCAGGACGAATGAATCAAAAATGACAGCACTTCACCAGGAGACTGAAGCTCAGGATTATGGAACAGCTGGCTGGGGGATTGTGATCTACACACAAGCTACTGCATCATCCATTTTCTGCTGATCTTGTCCTTTTAGCTAGAATATGTGCTACTGTCTACACATCTGATTGAGCTGGTAATAAACATGATAACTACGATTACTAATCTAATAATAAGCAGTTATTAATTGCTTACGGTGTCCCAGCAATTTTCTTATGCCTTCTCATACTATTATCATCATGAGCTTGCAAATATAATGAATTTGTCATTAAAAAACAGGCTCTGGAGTCAGAAAGATATGGATTTAAATCTTGACCTTCTAATTCCTAGCTGTGTGACCCTGGACAAGTCATTCAATGTCTCTAAACCATGTAATTCCATGAGTATGAAATGAGGATAATAAATGTGGTCATGCGGTATAACAACATGTCAGTCAATGAGGAACCAAATATACAACAGTGATCCATGAGCTTATAATGGAGCTGAAAATATATATGTTTTATCTGTATGTATGTTATTTATATAATATGTACATTTTCCATACATATGTTTATATCTGTATAATGTCACACTTAGTGACATCTTGACATTCTGACTCTGTGTAGTCCTATGCAAATGTGTGTATGTTTGTGTCTTAGTTTTTAATAAAAAAGTTTAGAAAGTAAAAAAGAAAAAATTAAAAGTGGAAAAACCTTATAAAATAAAGATATGAAGAAAGAAAATATTTGTACAGCTGTACAATGTGTTTGTGGTTTAAGCTAAGTGCCATTTTTAAAAGTCAAAACGTTTTAAAATTTAAAAAGTTTATAAAGTAAAAAAGTTACAGTAAGAAAGACTAATTTATTATTGAAGAAAGAAAAATATTTCCCTATAAATTTGTTGTAGCCTAAGTGTCCAGTGTTTATAAGGCCTACAGTAGTGTACAGTAATGTCCTAGGCCTTCACACTCACTCACCACTCACCCAGAACAACTTCCAGTCCTGCAGCCTCCATTTGTGGCAAGTGCCCTATATATGTGTATCATTTTTTATCTTTTATGCCATATTTATACTAAGCATTTTCTATGTTTAGTTACACAGAAACTTACCATTGTGTTACAATTGCCTATAGAATTCAGTATAGTAACATGCTGTACAGGTGTGTAGCCTGGGAGCGATAGGCTATTCCACATAGCCCAGGTATGTAGTAGGCTATCACCATGTAGGTTTATTTAAGTACATTCTATGATGTTCATATAATGACAAAATTGCCTAACTATTCTCAGTTACACATCCCTGTCATTAAACAACACGAGTGTACATTCATCACAGTGCAGAAGAACCTAGTAAATGTTTATCATGTTACTATCAGACACCCTTATCATGCAGGATAAAGAAATTGATTCAGAGAGGTTAAGTGGCATGCCTGTGGCTACAAACTAGTAAGTGGCAAAGCTGGGATTTGAGCCCAGGTCTGTCTCTTTACAATAGCATCCTTTCCAGTACAGCAAAGCAATATTGAACAGTCGTTAAGAGTACAGCTGTTTGGGCTCAAATTCTGGCTCTTCCACTCTCAGCTTTGTGATCTTAGGCAAGTTACTTACCTACTTCTTTGTGTCTCAGTCTCTCCATTTGAAAAATGGGTTTTATAGGTTTGTTGTGACAATTAAATGTGTTGATATCTGTACAGCTCTTAGAATAGTGCCTGAAATACAGCAAATGCTATACAAGTGTTTGCTATTAAAATTGACTTTCTTAGTTTTCCAAACATTGGATCTGATTGGACCTTATCACAGTGGTTAGGGTGAATGTTGGTAGAAACTTGGGCAGTTGCTCTGGATGGTTCAGTTCTTTCACTTTTCTAAGATATTTCTCAGGTCCCTAAATCTCCAGGATAATCACCAGTTTCTTCAATTTTTCCTAGTAACACTGTTTTAAAAACTGTTCCCTCCACTAACCATGCTCTAGTTGCCTCATCAACTAGAGAAGGGTTTCTCATGCTTGGCACTATTGACATTTGACCTAAGTAATTCTTTGTCATGGGGAGTGGGGGCTGCCCTGCATACTATAGAATGTTTAGCAAAACCTTTGCATTCTGCCCACTAGATGCCAGTAGCACTCGCTCCAATTGTGACTACCAGAAATGTCTCCAGACATTGCCAATGTCCTGAGGGTCAAAAACACCCCCAGTTGTGAACCATAAGGTGGAGAGCATGGCCACCAAAACTGAAAAAATTCTCCAGATATAGTCTGGGATCTGGATGTGCAACACTGAACGTCTTTTAAGGCAGCTGAAGATTAGCATAGCTCCTTTGACACTGAAGCATCTCCATTCTCCCATTGAACTTGCTGAATGCTAAGACTCCTATGTCTTTTTCACACGAACTGCTACCTGTGTAGATAGATTTCTGGCCTTAAGTGCATCTCTCCCCCAGAAATCTCAACGTGTTAGAGACTGCTTAATAGCCCAGCCAGTACACAATTACTGGGTAATCTTCTCTAAATGCCACCTTCCCTTAGCTCAGAAGCAGGCCCCATTGTCTATTCTTCCATTTCCACCCCTCTATAAGGCCTAATTCAAGTGCCATAGCCTTTAGGAAGTTCTTTCTGATGCTCTGTTAAAATTCTTGTTCTTCGGCTGTCTCTACTGTGCTTTGTTTGAATTCTATGGGCTATTTCTTCCAAAGGACTGTTAGCTCTTTGAGAGCAAGAGCTTTCTCAGGGAATACTACAGTTCCAGCCATCTGCTTAGTGCAAAATCTTTCCCAATGAACGTTCTTTGAATAGAGTTATGTCCTGACCCTACTCATAAATATTACAATATCTTCTTGTGTCCTGGAATATCAACACTCAACCATTCTACTTGGCATTCAATACCTTCCACACACTGTCTCCACTTACCCAGTAAACTAGTCCCTAAACACATCTTCCAACTGGCCAGATCAGTCTGTTGTCATCGAGGAACAGGTTTACTCTTTTTAGCCCACAAAAACTGTTGTCTTAACCCAAAACACCTGCCTCATCTTCGAGCCCTAGTCATCTTCTCAGGCATAGCTCAGTTCATGTTTAGCTGTTTTAGATCCACTTTTGATGAGATAGTAGATAAAATGCAAATGCTATCTTTAAGCACGGCCTTTCCTTTGTTCTCAAAGGCAGACAAGAGGAACGATTGGTATAATCTAACCAGATAGGCATGGGCTCAAATCCCACTTCTGTAGATTTCATAGCACTGTGACTTTGAGAAAATAACTTCACCTTACCACCTCGTTTCCATATCTATACATAAGTATTGTTTGGTCCATTTTGTGATGCTATAACATAGTGCTACAGACCGGGGTGATTTATAGTGAACATAAATATATTTCTCATAGTTCTGGAGGCTGGGAAGTTCAATATCAAGGTTCTGGCATCTGGCAAGGGCATTCTTGCTGCATTATCCCATAGCAGAAGAAGAGAGGGTGAGAGAGAGCAAGAAAGAGAGCAAGAGAGGGCTGAGCTCAATGTTATAACAAATCCACTCCTTTAATAATTACATTAATCTATTCGTGAAGGTAGAAACCTCATGACCTAATCATCTCTTAAGGGTCCCACCTCTCAACACTGTTGTACTGGGGATTAAGTTTCCAACACACAAACTTTGGCCGACACATTTAAAATGTAGAAAGTATCATAGAGGTGCCTGTAGCATAGAGGAGTTGAGAAGAGTGAGATAATGCATGTAAAGTGTTCAGCCTAGAACTTGGAATGTGGTAACCATTCCAGAAACATTCACTATTAAAGCTCGTCCTTGACCAATCCACCTACTATTGATCTTCCTTCTGAATTCCTACAGTCCATAGACTATGTGCCACGTAATGTATTCCTCCATTATACTACTAGCATGGCTTTAGGACTTGGTTATGTCTCTTTAAATAGACTGTTAAAATCCTCTGAGGCTAGAAATTCATTCATTCAACAAATATCTGTTGTGTACTCACTACAAGCATCAGGCTAGGCACTGTGGATGGAAAGTGCACAAATATATCAACTTGGACCCTGACCTCTAGGAATTTACAATTTAGTGGGGAAGACAAGACATGTACAATAAAGAGCTATAATTTAGGTAGATAATGATTAATGTCACTAGGAAAGTATAAGAGGCCAAAGGTACGAAGAATCACTTTTGCCTGGGTGATCAAGAAAGACTCAGGAAATCCGAGCCTTACAGAGATGAGGGCTGGCAAGAGAAGGCTTTATGGGAAAATGGAATAGCTTGAGCAAAAGCATGGAGGTGAGGAGGCAAGAAGCTTATATGGTAAACTGAGTAGTTCAGTGTAACTTGAGCTTGGGGTATGCGAAAGACAGCAGTTGGAGAAGCAGTTAGTGGCAAGAAGGGACCTTAAATATAAGGCTAAAAGAGTTGTACTTAATGAAAATAAGGTAGGGAACAATGGGAGTCTTCATCAAGGAAATAGCCTGCTCAAATTTGTGCAACTGGAAGATAAATGTAGCAGGATGCAGGATGATCATTTATGAGGTCACACGAATAATTCATGTATGATATGCAGGGAGTTAACTCAGAGCAGCAGCTGTGAGAATGGGAAGGGAGGATGGAGTGGGCAAGACCCTGTGAATGTCGGGGAGACATAGATTACTATGTGGTCTTCACTTTGCCCCCTACAGTCTATTCTTCATACGGCAACCAGTGGGACCCTTTGAACTGCATATCAGATCATGTCTGTCCTAGTCGGTTTTCTGTTGCTTATAACAGAATATTGAAAACTGAGTACTTTATAAAGAAAAGGACTTTAGTTTTTACAGTTATGGTGGCTGAAATCCAAGGTCAAGGGTCCACATCTAGTGAAGGCCTTCTTGTTGGTGGGTGCAGGGCATCACAAGGTGAGGGGGCTGTGTGTGTCAGCTAAGACTCTCTTCTTCTTACAAAGCCATGAGTTCCATTCCCATGATAACCTATTAATCTATTAATCCTTTAATTCATTAATCCATGAATAGATTAATCCATTCATAAGGGCAGAGCTCTCATGGCCCAATCACTTCTTAAAAGCCCCACCTCTCAATTCTGCCACACTGGGGATTCAATTTCAACACAAGTTTTGAAGGAGACAAATATTCAAACCATAGGAATGTTGCTTCTCTGACTGAAACCCTCCAAAGGCTTCTCATCACACTTAGAATTAAATTCCAAACCCTTTTCCATACCTTACAGCACAATCCGGAGGTGCTGCTTCTCTGGCCTTGTCTCTTTACTGTCAACCTATCACTCGATGCATTCCCAAGCTACTAACCTCTTTGCTGTTTCTCAAGCATGCTCCCACTTCTGGGCCTTTGCATATGCCATTCCCTCTGCCTGGTATTCTCTTTCCCCAAATATCCACATGGTTTGATTCTTTATCCTGCTCAAAGGTATCTTCTCAAAAAGAACTTCCCTGATGAAAATAAGCAGCATCCCCACCCCATCACTTTCTATTTGCTTTTTATTTGTAGTATTTATTGATTACTAACTGGCATTATAATATACATTGATATTGATGTGTTTGGCCTTGGTCGCCCATACTGGAATGCAAGTGCCATCAGTTTTGGTGCATGCTGTATCCTCAGAAGGAATGAATGAATAAATGAAAGGGGGGGTCAAAGAGACACCAGCATTTCCAATCTGGATAGATGGGAGGCCAGCAGAGCTGCCATGAACCAGGATAGGAAACACAAAAGAAGAAAGAATTTTGAAAAGAAAGATGAAGTCTGTTTCTAACATTTACAGTTGTAGTGCCAGCTGGACATCCCATGGGAGAATCCTAGGAGGTAGCTGGGAAAGGACTGGAATTCTGGTGGGCACTGGGGCTCAGGAATCAATCATAAAGAGCAATTATTCAGCCATGACACTGGCTGGCCAAAAGCATAGACAACCCATCTATGAGTGCATTCGAAATGAGGAAGCAGGCAGGGAAAGAGAGGTTTTTCATTATCCACTCATTGCTCTTGGGAATAAATCCCAAACCCTCTCCATGTTCCCTACAAGACCACACATAATCTAGCCCATTGTCCGTGGCTCTGACTTCATCCCTCCACCATTGTTCCCTGCACTTTAGCTACACTAGTATTCTTTCGGTTTCTTGAATTTGCTAAGTTCCTTCTCACCCCAGAGCCTTCACAGTTTTTCTTCCTTTTCCTGGAAGCCACCACTCCAACTTTACTACTCCTCACTCAGCTAACATGTTTTATCTTGCAGATCTCAGCTTTGAGATGTATCACTTCCCCAAACTGTTCTTCCTTGACTTGCCTTCCCCTATCCCAGCTTCCACCTTGTTATATGCTTTTATAATATGTTGTAAATATGTAAATACACACATGCAGCAGGTAGCTGATAGAGAGAATGTGTATGACTGTTTGATGTCTGCTCTATTAGACCATAAGCTTAAAGGACTAGTGGGCCAGTGACAATGCCTGTGATGTTCACCATTATATCCTGGCAGCTAGCACAGTTGTGGTGTATAATAGATGCTCAATTAAAAAAAAACTGTTCTGTGAGTGAGCTGAAGCAATTACAAGAGAAGCAGGAGGAGAACAAAAAATATATACAATGATATGAAGTCAAGGTGGATTTTTCAAGTAGATCCAGGGCATTGCCACTGTTCAATACTGCAGTTGAACATGGCAGGCTGAAGACCAAGGAAAACCTGCAATCGAAGGGCCTAGAAAATTGTGACTTTAGGAACCCAATTTAAATATGGTGATTAAGGAGGTAGAAGAGGTGTTGAGGAGAGAGTAGGTGGGAGAGAAATAGAATCAGCTAGTATAGACTGCTCTTTCAAGAGATTTGGCAGTAAAATTAAGAGAAGGAGAAGATGAAGGTTGAAATTGTTAGAGTCACCAAAAAGAATTCTTAGGGTGAAGAAGAATTTTACGTTTTCTAAAGTCAAAAAGAAAAGTTTAGCCAAAGGGAATGACAAAACATTCATAAACAAGTAGAAAGCAGTTGATGGGGCAAAGCCCCAAAGAGAAAGGGAATGGAATCTGGGACTCAAATGGAGAAGCTGGGGGTGGGATGGTGGGAAGAAAATTCAGAAATTCGGGGCAGATGCCTCAGCTGCACATGCATCCAGCCATTTAATCCTCTCTACAAATCTCTTTGAGGCTGGTACTATTGTCATCCCCACCTATGGGTGAAAAAGGTGAGGCTTGAAACAGTAAATAAATTGCTCCCAGACATAAAACTGTTTGCTACTTGAGCTCAAATTCAAGCCCAAGACTGTCAGTTTCCAAAATCCATTCTTCCCCCTTACACTTATTGTGCACCGCAAAGGATGAAGTGGAGAAGCTTTACTCCTCTGAGATGGGAAAGAAGGGAGTGTGGTGGAGGGTAGGGAAGTTGAGAGAGCTCCAGTGAGGTGGCTTTCCCTCCACAGTGAAGGAAGAGGCAAAGGCATCTTTGAAAAGTGAAGTCTAGCTGAGAGTGAAAGATTTAGAAGAGATGCTACAGAGAGTGGACAAGAAGCCAGGTGGAGGTGATGAGAGAGTGGCCAAGTCACAGAGACAGTCCTCCCGAAGTTGTAACAGATCCAGATGTCCTGGGTTCCTGAACTTCCCCAGCAATGAGAAAGAGTGGAGAAAATAGAAGGGGTCTGTACAGGTCTGGAAATTGGCAAAAGAGGCAGGGCTGCAGTAGAAAGACAAGAGAGCAAGACAAGGAAGCAGCATCTTGCAATGATTGAATCTGGGCCCAGGGCTGGGCTGATGTTACGAACATTAGGAGAGAAAGGATATTTGATTGTGAAAATTGAGGATTTGAGGCCAGGACATTGGAAGGGTTATCAATATGAGAGTTGGAGCTCTAAAGGGAGACAAAGAGAGGTGGAGAGGTGAAGGCTGTGGACCTGGTGCTAAAATTTTTAAGGACTCCAAAAGAGGAAATGCTGTTTTAGGATAAGGGTAGAATTATGGTCTGTGAGCTAGAGGGAATCCATCAGCTTATTCAGAGGACAGAGGTGAAATATGAGCAGACCCAGTAGAGAACTCTGTGAGGGGAGCGACGTCTTGATAGAGGACTTACCACCTTGAGAAAGTGGCAGCGATGCTTGAGAAGACCCTGAACATCCTGGGGAGTTTGTTCCCGGTGGAAAGCAGTGGCTCTGTGGGTCTTAGAAGTCATGACCAAATTCATAGACGAGAGAGGTGATGGAGGAAGAGATAGATAGGAATGGCCATGTCTGAGCTTGCCCATAGCATGTTGAGTTTAAGTGAAAGGAATTAATTCACTCCAAAAATCATTGTTGAGGATCTACATACTAGAGTAGGAATACAAATGAGACATAGTCACATCCTTAGGGAACATCATTTTACAGAGAAAATAGATTCATAGCTTAGTGATTAGTGTGCAGTTACGTAGCTTGGGCCCAGACTACAGCTTTGCCACTTGACGTACAGTTACTTAAACTCTATGAATCTTCATTTTTTCATTGTAAAATGTAGATAATAATAAAACCCACCTTGGCTGGGCACTGTGGTTCATACCTGTAATCCCAGCACTTGGAGAGGCCAAGGCGGGAGGACCATTTGAGGCAAGGAGTTTGAGACCAGCCTGGTCAACATGATGAGACTCTGTCCCTACAATTTTTTTTTTTTAATTAGCCAGGCATGGTGGCATGCACCAGTAGTCCCAGCTAATCAGGAGGCTGATGTGGGAAGATTGCTTGAGCACAGGAGCTCGAGGCTGCAGTGAGGAGTGATAGCTCCATTGCACTCCAGCCTAGCAGACAGAGCAAGACCCTGTCTCAAACATAAATAAATAAATAAAAATATGACCCACCTCATCAATTTGTTACAAAGATTAAATGAGATAATACATGAAAAGAACTTAGCACGGTGTCTGAAATACAGTTCTCATTAATGTCAGCTATTACTATTCATTAGAATACAGAAGGAGAAGTGTTGAGATACAGAGATGACCAGAGTGCTTTTATAACTAGATGAAATCAGGAGAATACTTCTATCATTTTAGAATGAAGAGGTCTTTTAAAGTAAAACATAAAACTTAAAAGCCAAAAAGCAAAATATGCTCATATTTACTAATATAAAAGTGTGAAGCTTAAAGAAAGTGCATCTTCTATATGAAAAGAGGCATTATCAAGTTAAAAGGCAAGCTAAAACTTTTGGAAAATATGTTCACCCTCTCTAACAGACAAAAGTTTATATTCATCCTATGTTCAAAGTCATTACAATAGTCAAATCTGTAGAGATGAAAAGTAGAATGGTGATTTCCAGGGGCTGGGGAGAGAAAAGATGAGAAGTTACTGTTTAATGGGTATAGAGTCAGCTTTGCACGATGAAAAGCGTTATGGAGATGGATGGTGGTGATGGATGCACAACATTGTGAATGTACTTAATCCCACTGAACTGTACACTTGGAAATGGTTAAGATGGTAACTTTTATGTCAGGTGTATTTTACCACAATGTTTTTTTAAAAAGCCATTGCAAATGAAGAAAAATGAAATTGAACACTCCAATAGAAAAATGATCGATGGATATAAAAATACTTCAAGGATGAAGGACATAAATGGTGGTTAAATATCAAAAACTATCAAGCTCAACAATTGAAAACAGGAAAGTTTTTGACCAATTAGGTAAGACAGATTAACTACAGCAATAATACCCACTCATAGTGTGAGCCTCTGACACTCTTACGCACCATGTGTGGGAGTAGAAATGGGCAGTAGAATGCTTTTTTAGAAGACAATCAGGCTGGAGCTATCAACATATGAAATGAGATGCCATTTGATCCAACAATGCCATTTTTAGAATATATTCCAGGCCGGGAGTTGCGGCTCACTCCCGTAATCCCAGTACTTTGAGAGGAGAGGTAGGTGGATACACTTGAGGCCAGAAGTTCAAGATCGGCCTGGCCAACATGGCGAAACCCCATCTCTTCCAAAAATACAAAATTTAGCTGGACGTGGTGGCACATGCCTGTAATCTTAGCTACTCAGGAGGCTGAGGCACTAGAATTGCTTGAACTGGGAAGGCGGAGGTTGCAGTGAGCTGAGACTGTTCCACTGCACTACAGCCTGGGCGACAGAGTGAGACTCTGTCACGGTGAAACCCCGTCTCTACCAAAAATACAAAAAATTAGCCGGGCGTGGTAGCAGGCGCCTGTAGTCCCGAGGCTGAGACAGGAGAATGGCATGAACCCAGGAGGCAGGGCTTGTAGTGAGCCGAGATCTCACCACTGCACTCCAGCCTGGATGACAGAGCAAAACTCCATCACACACACACACAAAATATATATATATATATATATATATATATACCAGAGAAATAGCCACTGAAATGTATAAAGGTATAAAGGGATTTATACTAGCATTGCTTGAGATTAAAAAAAAAAAAAAGAAGCTACCTAAATAGCCATAAAGAAACAGATTTTTTTAAATGATAGTACAAGCACACAATGAACCAGTAATCAGCCACTGAAAAAGCAAAGTTGCTCTCTCTATTACAACATGAAAAATAAATATGAGAGATAGCAATTGAAAAGTAACACACTAACCGGTATTATCCCGTGATCTGTTTTTCACTTTCTAAAAGTATACAATGGTCCCTTTTTTATTTAAATGAAAAGATTTAGTGTATGCTTATAAATGCAAAGAAAAGAACTCAGTGGTACCTGTGGTCACCTGGAGCCATGAGAATGGAAAGGGAGGCTTTCATTTTTTACTTTATACACCTCTGTGATGTTTGCTCACAGTTTTCTAGGAGCACTTTCTAGTTTTTGTAATAAAAGAAGCAAACATGAGAAAGTTAGGAGAAAATAAAAGTGTTTGTGGAGCCTAGAAGCAGAACTAACTAACATCCTACAAAAAGTGTCAGAATGGGGTGAAAAGCTGTTGTAAGGTGAGGAGGAATGTGCTAAGTGGAGAGGGTGATGAAAGCCCTCCCCAGGCTGAGGGAGGCAGGCACCTTGGAAGCAAGTTCAGGACACCTGTCAGTGGTGGGGACGAACAGGTGTGACCAGGCAGGAGAAGGCACTTAGTTGATGATATCAACTTCCCCCAGTTCCAAGTGGAATGTGGATTTGAAAGAGTACATTCTTTCACCCAAAAGTATTTACTGAGAACTACTATGTGGTATAGAACAAAATCCACATGAACTCTCTTCCTTTCAAATTGCTTTCAGTCTAACGGTAGGGGCACACCAAAAGTTAAATTAAATTTAAATTTAAGTAAGATAAAATTAAATAATTGGCAAGGGCTTTGAAGAAAATACTGACAGTGCTGAAGTGCAGAATATGGGAGATGGGTCCAGGCAGTTATGTTTCAGTTTATATGCACACTATTTTTAAAGCCATTATAGTAGTGAAATTCAGAGATGAAAAGTAGAATGGTGATTGCCAGGGGCTGGGGAGAGGAAATATGAGGAGTTACTCTTTAATGTGTACAGAGTTTTAGCTTTGCAAGATGAAAAGAGTTACGGAGATGGTTAAGGAGATAACTACAACCCTCTGAGGCAGTTTTGTTTAAGCTGAAAGTTGAAGGATGACAAAGCATGCGCTTAATGGAGGCACTGCGGTGAAGGGCAAAGGCTTTCCAGGCAGAGAACACCATGTGCGAACATTGAGAGAGGAAATGTCTGAGAAAGGAAGGAAAGTCAGTGTAACCATTTTCCAAAGCAATATCAGGAATTTGCCTAAGTTGGTATTCCTTTATAGCACCTAGGTTGGCTGAGGGCTGAGGACCTGGAGTGCCCTTCTGCAAACACCTGTTAACTAATGGGCTTTTTGTTTGACATGGCATTAAAATTTTTTACTACATACTAAACCTTGTACCCTAACTTCATTCATGTGTCCTTAGGCATTTCTACTCTGTGTGTTGTGTATCTGTGTGGGCGGGGGGCAGAGGGAGAGACAGAGAATGAAAAACAACGACAGAGAGATGGAGGGAGAGAAAAACAGAGGAGAAGGAGGGAGGGAGAGGGAGACTTGGAGTGCAATTTAGGTACGCTATCTGTTCCTATCTTAAACAATTAAATGCAGAAAACGTGCACCCTGAAACTGTTACTCTTTTGAAACTGAATACCATCAGTGTTGGTGCAAGCCAAATGTTGCTGAAAGTCACATTGAATGCAAAAAGCTGCATGGAGGGAGAGCAGCAGGATTGACCATTGCTGCAATGCAGCTTCTTTTAAACTTTTGGCCATTATATGAATGGCAAAGAGTGTAACAGCTGATGTGTAAACTCTCCTTGATTCAATTAAGATGGAGCAAACACAGCACTCATCCCTGGGGAGCCCACAGTCTAATGGGGAAGATCAAGAGCATGGACCGATCCCATACAAGGTAATAGCTGCTAGAAGAGAGGCACGCATCTAGTGCCATGCAAACACAGATCAGGGAGCAACGAACTCAGCAGGGGTGGGAACAGGACCCAGGAGCACTCCTGCAAAAAGAGGTGAGATGTGGGGGGGCGCACTGCAGGGCTGAGCAGGAGGCAGTCAGTAGGCGATGGGATTCCAGGTAGAAGAAACAGCATGAATAAAGAAAGCAGAGCTAAAAGTACACAATGTTTTCAGGAAATAATGAGCAGGCAAATGTGGTTAGAAGCTCAGGGAGTGGCTGGTAATGAATCTGAAAGTTAGGCAGAAAGTCAAGGAGTGAAGGGCCTTGGATGGCCTATGAAGAATTTTGGAATTTCTGTAGGTGTGTATTCAGGGAGGGTTCCCTCAAAGGCTTTCAGGAGAGGAGGTGATCTGAGAGCTGCGTTTAGAAAGATGACTGACTACTGCGTGACAGATGGACAGAGGGGCAAGTCAGGGCAAGCAGATGAGACAGGATTCTTGTTTAGGACACTGTTCCTCCTCCACCCCACCCTCACCTCAGCCTGGCCTCTGTACACGAATAGGTCTAATGGCGGATCGAGAAAAACACCAGTCAGCTTCCGCTCTTCCTCCATGGCAGGGCCGACCTCGGCACATCCACACTGCGGTTTTCTCTTGGAAGGAAGGATCAGGCTAGCGGGGCAGTGTCCTCATGAGGCCTCGTGCACACCCCTAAATCCTCCGTTAGGAGATGCCTGTAGGCCTGTAGCAGCCGCAGACAGAGCTGAGCCCTGGCTTCAGACTCTTCCCTAGAAGGAGCAATGAGGAAGTTTATCCTCTACCTTCCCAGGAGAGTATCTGCTTGATGCTGGGTTATCTCCTAAACTGAATTTTGATTACTTTGTATTTAAGTTTAGGAACGTCTCTGTCATTTGGGAACTGCTTTTCTGGCTGCAGCTCAACAGTGGCGAACATGGACACTGGGAACAGGCCCAGAGTCCTGAAATGATTAATATCCTGTGTTGTGGGACGTCCAAACGCATGGATAGCCAAAGCATTTAGAGAGCCAGGCTAGGCAGTGCAGTGTGATGGCAGACAAGTCCCTTGAGTTATACGGGGGGAAAGATGCTACAATTCCATACACTAAATCAATGAAATTGAATAAAGGTTCTGAACCAAACCTCCCTGTGGACATTGACTTTCGGGAAATGGCTCGGGGCTGGTTGGTCTGCAGAGCTCTGGCACGGCTTCTCCAGGGAGACTCAGCCGATCCCAGGTTTACCATCTTACACTCTAGACCTGATCCCTCACTTTGACCAGTGGCAGCCCTGATCTCCTGACTGCCACAGATCAATTGCTTTGTTTATCTTATTGTCAGCCTGTTTTGGAAACACTCTCCTAGACTCCTTTCTGACTCATAGGTTAAGGAGCGTGAGTAATTCTTCTGGAACTCACTTGGAACAGGAGGGAACCCTTCCCATTTGATTTCCGGTCCTAAAAAAAGACAAGATAGTTCACACAGGATGCTAATTAGTTTTCCTATTCAACAGTTAGCGTGGCCTAGTCCTGTTTGGAAAGCTGCCTTTTGTGCTGCAGGGTTTAGAAATTTGAATACCTCCAGCTTTTATTCAGAATTTATAAAATGACACCAGAATATCGTTTTGTTGTGATTAGTTTTGCTGCTAAAACTAGGGTTTTTGGTTTTGTTTTGTTTTTTTACAGAGAAAACCCAAATGATTTCTCTTATGAGACATAAAAATGAGGAGAAATGAACAACCAGATTTCTCTTCTACATTGTTCTCGTTTTATTGTTCGTGGATGAAGGTAAACTCTCATTGTCCTCCTGCTGTATTTTTTGGCCTGTCCTTCTAAGCAGTGATGTAAACTCATGAAAGCTTTCACTCCAAATGGGTGTGACTCTCTTTGTAGCCAGAATGGTTTGGCGTTCACTTTCTATAGCAGAAATGGTAAGAAAGTGGCTTTATATTCTTCTGTTTCTAAACTGGCTTAAGAGAGGACCAGCCCCTTTGTAGAAGTCAGATACCTGAGAGCTTTTCAGGTTGCCTATAGGAAGTATTCTAGCTCTGCTGGGGGAAAAACCACGGAGCGCAAGTTCAAACTCTCACCTTAGGGGCAGGGTTACAGGGAGCTTTAACTTTCTACTTTATGCAGTTTTGTACAGTTTGCATTTTTCACAATGAATGTGGAAGACAGGACGAAAAACCAATCAAAGACTGACTATATTTATTTGGAAATCGTTTCTTCATTCATTTTTGTCTTAGCTGCTCTGTGACCTTGGACAAGTTAATTCACCTCTTTGTCCTTCTCTGTAAAATAAAGGTGGCAATACACCCTATATAAGGCTCTTGTGCACTAAAACATCTAATGCACATAAGTACTCATATTGAGTACACATAGTCATGCTCCGTAAGCTTTACTGTTGTTGTTGCATTGTTGATATCGCTCACTGCCAGTACCCAAGACCCCTCTCTGAAGCATGGCTGTTGAGTGGTGCAGAATGTAACTCTCACCCTTTTGATTGCAAGGAAGAATATTAGTCTTAATTAGAAAAACATTATATTGGGAAGATTTGGAAGAGAAAGGCAAACCCACACGTTTACCCACTTTCTCTCCAATCATTTCTTCAGAAAACAGCTGAGAAGGTCACTGTCCACCCCATGCTTCTTCCAAGTGTAAGTCGGATTAGGTTCCCCCTCACTTGAGCCCTCTAAAGGCTTCCAAAGCACTTTGAATAAAGTCAGACTCACCTGCCCTCCTAGTCCCTCCAGATCTGCTTCTACTCACTTCTTTCCTGGCCTATCCACTCTCCTGCCAGCTCATTAAGCTCTGGCACCCGATCAGACCTCATATGGGCAGCCCACCCTCCTATATCCACTGTTCCTCATGGATCTCAGTCTAAATATCACCTCCTCAGAGAGGCCCTTTCTTGTCTGCTCCCTTCATTATCCTGTACACAGCCCTCTGTCTAGTTCACTGTACTTGACAGAAGCTATAACTAGTTTACTTGCTTGTGGGTTTCTCTCACCAGATTGTAGGCTCCAGGAAGGCAAAGAGTAACCTGGACTGGCATGTAGTAAGTGCTTATTAAATACCCCATAGTAAGTGGGCAAGGGGCAGATCTGTGGAAGGAGTAAGAGAAGGAGAGAAGGGAAAGGAACAAAGGAAGGAAGGGAGGGAGGGAGGGAGGAAGGAAGGAAGGAAAGTCTGCAAAGGAAGGAGAGGTTAACTATTCAAGTGGGTGGCTTTAAAAGTCTAATGACTGGTAGAATGTGGTGCTAATGACAGGAACAGTTTGGGAGGGAGAATAAGATTAAAGAGTAGATTGAGAGCTTGGTTCAAACATGTTGCATTAAAGTGAAACTTCCACCAGGCAGAAAGATGCGGGACGAAAACTCAGGACCAGGCCAGCGCTGGAGATGCCAGGTAGAGAGTGATGAAATGGTATTTAGTCTCTCAGAATGGAAGAAACCTTTAAAGGTCAGGGAAGGAAGGAAAAGAGAAGTAGCTTCTGGGAACCAAACCTTTGGGTTCTAGGGAAAATATGATTGCAAAACAGAAATTTAAAGGAATCTGTAAAGAGCAAGATCATGAGTGGAGCCTGAAGCTTAATTTGACCCAGCGTGGGAAACCTCACCCGGGCAGGACATGGACGGATTGACAGATTGCTGTCTCTGTTCAGGGTCAGTGAATGAGAAGGCACATTCAGACAGACAGGAGATGGAAGATGGTGTGAGGTCATGGCTAATGGAGAAGAGGACAGGTTCTGAAGAAGACACCAATATAGTATAAAATGCCTAAGGACACATTGCTCACAGGTTACTGATACCTCTTAGCAGTGTCCTGCCAATTAATGAGCAGGTGATGGCGATGACACCAGGCAAAATTGTGAAGTCAATGGAGTCTTTCTTTCCCTTCAAGGCTTTTTCTGCTTCCATTTGCCCCTTTCTTGCTGCTGGTGGTGTTTCTCAGAGGGACCATGGAGAAGAGAAAACAGTAGGGCCGTGGAGCTGGAGGGCTCTGGGTTTGTATTACCTACTGCCAGCTGGGTGATTGGGAACATTTTCTCTGTGAGCCTTAGTATTGTTAATCTTTCAGGTGAGGATGATAATATCTACCTCCCGGGTAGTTATGAAGATATCAGAAAGCCTCTGAAAAGCCCCTAGCACACAGTCAGTGCTCTGGAAATGTTAATTCTCTTCCTTCCCAAGGACTTTCACTTTCTGCTCCCTTCCATTCTTATCAGAAATTAGTGAAACTACTTCATCTTTTCTAGGAGTATTGGCATTTAAAGCTTTTTATGCACTTGTGAAATGCATTTTTAATTATTCATTCATTCATTCCACAAATGTTTATTGAATACTTACTACGTTTGTGTCCAGTGCTGGGCTAGGTGCTGGGAGCACAAGGGTGAATGCAACAGACACACCACACCTCAAAGCTTGTTAGGGAAATTAGCTTCATTGTTCTAAAGTATATGCAGGAAGGTGCAGCAGTAGTTCCAAACTCCTGCATGCACCAGAATCGCTTGGAGGGCTCTTTAAAACTGATTGCTGGGCCCCATTCAAAGAGTTTCTGGCTCAGTAAATCTGGAGTAGAGTCTAGGAATCTGCATTTCTAACAAGTTCTCAGGTGCTGTTGCTCCTACTGCTCATGGTTCAAGGACCACACTTTGAGAACCATTGAAATAGAGCATTAGGGAGAAAGGGGAATAGGGTATTAGCAGATATTAGTAGAGTATTGTCAGAAGAATCTGGTACCTCTTGTCTTTAAGATATGTTGTTTTCTTTGATAAAGGTAAGCTGGGGTTATTCCAGCTAAGTGCACAAACTCCAGATGTTTTGGAGGTACAGAGGACCTATAGGCACAGCAACCTCAGCTTCCAGATGCAGAGCCCATTTGCTTTCCACCCCAGTTCATCTCTTCTCCCTGTCCTTAAAGTCTCTATTCAAATCAAAGCCTTTTTCTGATGACTTTCCTCACTTTCCCAGACAAATTTTGGCCATTCTCCGCTCCCATCACACTTAATACTTCCCTTTATTATGATAACCATCTCACTGGATTGTAAACTTGTTTATTGACTTATATTCCCTGCTAGCCCAGAAATGCCTTGATAGGTGGAACTATATCTTATATCTCTCAGTATCGCAGTTAAAACTTGAATGTTTATGGACCACTAGACTAACTGATAGGATAAATGGATGTGTTTAATGAGTATCAAATTATATGACATGAGGAAAATCCATCAAAATGATACTGTGTGTAGATACTGAGAATCAGGAGCAAGTGTTCTCTTGTCTGACCAAAATGGGTTGAACTTGTTACTCCACTGATAACCATGTAATCTTGGATCAAATGCCCAATCATTTGGAACTTTCCTTTCATTATTGGTAGAATAAGGACATTAATCTTTGCATGTGTGTGAGGATTAAATGAAATAACGTATATAAAATGTTTAGCATAGTGCTTGGCACATAGAAAATGTGAAATAAAATGTACTATTTGATAAAATAAAGCAAAAGGAAGAATTAAAAAATGAAAACTGGGCTGGAAAAAAGTGACACAGTCAGTTAAAGCTATTTATAATACTTGCTTAATATTCATGTCTAATTACTAAGAAGCAACTTTTTTGCATATCAGTTAATATATGTCAAATTAACTTTGGTAATTATTTTTCCATTAAACTGCGTGTTGTTCTCAAGTCAAGAAGACTGAAGACTAAGTAAAAGCCATTTGAATTGGTGTTTAGGATGTCATTGGTGACTTTTAAAAACTTTTATTCAGGAAAATGGGCATATAGGAGGATAAGGAAAGATTTCAGAGTGTATAACAAGAGGCCACAAATACAGACAACTTTCTTGGGATAAGTATAGCAATACTTAAGAGAGAAAGATAGGCCAGGCACAGTGGCTCACACCTGTAATCCCAGCACTTTGGGAGGCTGAGGAGGGGGGATCATCTGAGGTCAGGCGTTAGAGACCAGCCTGACCAATATGATGAAACCCCATCTCTACTAAAAATACAAAAATTAGCCGGGTGTGGTGGCATGTGCCTGTAACCCCAGCTACTCGGGAGGCTGAGACAGGAGAATGGCTTGAACCCGGGAGGCAGGGTTGTGGTGAGCCGAGATAGTGCCATCGCACTGCAGCCTGGGCAACAAGAGCGAAACTCCGTCTCAAAAAGAGAGAGAGAGAGATAATGGCAACTCTTTGTTGAACAACTTATCTATAGGAACTAAATACTTCCATTGGCATTAGCAACATATACCAGAGTTGAAATGGTTTTAATGCAATGTACCAGGTATTCTTGAATCTGAAGCCCTGCAATTCTTTTCTCTATATTCTATGAAGTAAATGTTCAAATTCACATGTAGCTCATTTTAATGTTTCATTCCAAGGGTGGTTTCTTTACCAATGGATTCCCAAGTGTATTTTTTCAAAGAGCGCTTAAAATGTTTCTACTTTAAAAATGAAGCTTTTTTACAGGATAGCTATTTAAAAATGGGCAACACCCTAGTGAGAGGAAGAGTACTGTTAATAAATTTGATTTTAATGAACCTGGCAGGGCAGAGCAAGCAGGACCCTGCCATTGCTGAATTGGCCTCAAAAACAGTAAAGCACAGGAAATGGGATGACAGCAAATTTCAAAGCACAGCAAAATTCTCATTAATGCTGAACATGGAAATCACACTTCAGCTTAAAATTTGCTGAAACAGAAATAGAAAACAAACAGGAGGCCCTTTGGGTCTTCTTGTGTACAAAAAAAATGAGTGATGGATTATTCTTTAGGATTCTATGACAATCAGTTTTGACTGCTTGTTTTTCAGGGAGCTTTTATCTTCAGATTCATTCTCAAGGTGAGCTCATCTAGTGCATTCTCCCCAGTGTGTTCAAGCGTGCACCAAGGACTATCCTACACACAGAAACTTGAAGAGGAAAGCTTTTCAGCCTTAAAGTAAATAAATAAATAAATAAATAAGGCTTCTGCATTGCAGCTAATGGCCTCTTACAGAGGCTTGCAGAGAATAAACACAGTTTAGAAGCATGGTTAGTAACAAACCCAAAAAAATTAATTATGATTTTTTTGTTCTTTGGTGTGTGTGTGGTTTTTTTAAAAGAGAAAATGCATTTTTCTAGTTCAATCAACTTAATAGACCTTTTCCCTCCTTGCAGAATAAGAAACAATGTGTTTTCAAAGGACTATGGTACTTAATATTTGAAAATCAGATTTTATTTTCTAAACTTGACTAATCTACAACTTTCAAATGTAGTGAGTTACAGACCATCATTTATAAGGTGATCCCTTGGAAGTTTGAGAATACTTTCTAATGGGGAAAAAGTGTTCTTTTCATTGTGTTTTCATATTAACACAAGTCTCGCTAACCCATGAAAGTGTTTAAAAGGACATATAATACCCCCCTTTTTTTTCCTTTGAGATGGAGTTTCACTCTTGTCACCCAGGCTGAGGTGCAATGGTGTGATCTCGGCTCACTGGAAACTCTGCCTCCTGGGTTCAAGCGATTCTCCTGCTTCAGCCTCCAAGTAGCTAGGATTACAGACATGTGCCACAACACCTGGCTATTTTTTAATTTATTTTTAGTAGTGACGGGGTTTCACCATGTTGGCCAGGCTGGGCTTGAACTTCTGACCTCAGGTGATCCGCCGGCCTTGGCCTCCCAACGTGCTGGCATTACAGGAGTGAGCCACTGCGCCTGGCCCAGGACATATAATACCTTTTATTAGTAGGACTATCCTACCTTTTATTAGTAGGAGTAAAAAATAGAACTTTTTACTCCTAAAAAATAGAACTTTTTACTCCTACTAATAAAAGGTATTATATTAAATAAATAGCACTATTTCAGGTTAGAGAAAACACAAACATTACAGCCAAAGCCACCTGAAATCTGAGTTGAATTCTAGGTTAGCTGCTTACCAGATTTGTGATATTGAATGAATAGCTTTACCTCTCTGAACCTCAGTGGCTTCACCCATAAAATGGGGGTAATACCTACATCCCAAAGTTGCTGCTGTGAGGCCAGCACATGGGCTGAGAGCTGCTTCTGGAGTCAGATGTCTGGGTTTGGATTATGGCTCTGCCATTTACTTGCTGGGAGCCATAGGCAGGTTATTTAACTTCTCCACACATCAGTTTCTTCACCTATAAAATAAGAATAACATAGAAACTTACCTCTGGAGTTGTGTCAATTGTGTTGGGTTGAGTCAATATGTATAAAGTGTTTCAAATAATACTTGGCATGTGGTAAGCACCATAAAAGTGTTTGTTTTTATTATTATTATTTTGTTAGGTATGTTTTCTGTCTCAAACAACAATAATGAACTATCCTAAGTTTAAAAATAGATAGATCGATGGAAAGATAAATAAATAGATAATAGTTACCTAGGAAACTGATTTGGTTCATGGTAATTTACCACTATATATAGGAAACAGATTTCATCCCCTAGATTGTGTAAATGAAAACATGGAGAAAGAAGGAAGGATTGTGTCCAGCCAAAACCACAATTTCAGCTGCACATTCACCTGGTTTAGAAAGAATGTCAAGTGTTACCTATTCTTCAGCAAAAGGAAAACAAGCAACAAGTCTCTGCAGCCAGACATAGAAAGCATTGTTTTGAAAAAACTGGAAAGAAGATCTCAGACATGCTTGGGCAAGATTATTATTCTACTGCATTTTAATTGCAATTTCCATACTAAAAATAGTTGCATTAGACTTCATTTATCATTGTTCAATAGCCCCATTTGTGGAATATGAAAATATTTAATGCCTTGCAAATGAAGACAGCTGGATGCTTAAAACCCAGTCTGAAGAATTAGAGAGTCTTACTGTATTATTTTCCCCTGGTACAATGAAATTGCTGTTTGTCTTTCATACTCTCAAGTTCTAAGATTAGGAAAGAGTGAGGGAAAAGGTTTGATTTTAATAGGGAGGTTACCAACTATTTTGGTTTCATCTACTTGGAAAGGTTAACTCCTAAACCTTATAATGGACCATGAATCATGGCCAACCTTCCAAGGTGCCAATATTGCACTCTGCATTAGGGGAAGAGAGTGGAGTAGATAAGGTGGGGATTATGTGAGAAGAGCTGGTTCACTCTAATTTCCAAAGCCTGCTGTCCCTGGGAAGCATGAAATCACCAAGACCATGGCCTCAGGAAAAAAATTATGTTTTCCCCCTTTGGGCCCAGACCAGAGCTCTTGGTTAAGGCATTGACCTGGCGTAGCATGTGGGGTTGTGGTGTTTTAGTGCAGAGGTCCTTTAGCTATGAATGTTCCTGGGCAGCAGAGTGTCTTCCCCAGAAGCAGAGCTTCAAGCTGGAGAATGTCCAAAAAATAAAAATAATACCAAGCACCACTAAAACTGTAAGTTATATTGAATTCCATCTTGAAACTGGAAATTCACAATACAACTCTTGGTATTTCTCTGTCAGTGTATTGAGATTAAAAGGAACTCCAAGGCATAAAAGCAGATCACCCTGGAATTTTCCAGGGATCCCAGCCCAACCAGGGCAAGTCATCTCAAAGGCTGTTCAATTTGAAGGTGGATAACTGGTGACTAACTAAGAAGAAAAAACCAGAATAACATGAAGTGGTGCCAGAAAACACATGAAGTGTTCTGGGACACTTGGCTCTCCTGGTTTCCTTTTAAAATTATTTTTATTTTTATAAACAACTTTGCAGAAAGTTTATCCCATAACCTCTTCAATAAAATGTAATCAGTGAGCTACTGCTAGAATACTTATAACTTTGTCCATATGTACACATCTTATTTACAAAATTTCAGTCACTCTGTATATGATGGGAGTCTTACTTTTCATATTACATTATTTGGCTTTTTTCTATATGGCTTAACTTCATATTTAACATTTTAAAGGATGGCGTTGTATTTTATCCAGCTGATATAACTACTTATTTTCTCAAAAGTGAATAAACTTTCTAGTCCTTATTATTGGACTTCCTGAACAATGACAGCAACAACAACAAAATCAACATTCACACTGTAACTTATGAAAAAGTTTGTTTCTTTTCATACCCAATGAGATACTTGATTTGAACATATTGTCAACTCACTGTGAGGCAGAAAAACATAAAAAATTTTGATAGTTGCAACTTTAAAAATTGGCTAACAAATGATAGAAACAACTCAACTAAAGGAAACAATTTTAAAAATTATTTATTCTTTTGTCTCCCTATATTATGGAATGTGGTGCTTTTTGCTGGAAGTTGGTATGACTATTTGGAAAGCCAAAATGGCTCGATGTGCTGCACTCTGGAATCTCATTGATTGATTGATTGATTGATTCATTCATTCATTCATTCATTGAACTTTTATTGCACACCTACTACCTGCTGGATTCTATTCTAGATGTGAGAGATATGGCAGTACAAATAACCCTCCTCTCACAGACCTTACGGGGGAAAGCATACAATAAATAAATGAATAGACAACAAAATGTCAGATAGTGATATGTGTTGAAAAGAAAATTCAAGAAGGGTAAAATGTGAAATGCAGAGGCTGCTGTAATATTTCAGAAGGGATGGGAGGTTTTCTCTGATGAGGGGGTAATTGAAGCCAGTGCTTAAATCCTATGTGTATCTCTGGAAGGTGATGTCTTGCGTGTGTCCATGCAAGAAGTACAGCTCACTTTTGCATGTCTTTATCATTTTTTATTAATTTGTTCAGACAATATTTGTTCTCATGAATGTGCTACTGCTTTGATAGCTATGGGAGATATAGAAGTGAAATATGCAGGTGTGGCACCTGCCTCACAGAGTTTATGAGAAGACAAGAAATTACAAGTGTGACAGTGCTTTGAAAAAGGAAGTACAAGGTGCTGTTGTGGTAGATTTTTATAGCTGGGAGGTCAGGGAAGGTTTCCCTGAGGAAGTGACCTTTAAGCAGCGAAGCAAGTGTGAGCCAGATTCATGGGTCAAAGGCAATGGAAGTAAGGGAAATTTACAGGCAGAGGGGATCAGTGTGCAATCTTTCTTTTTCTTTCCTTTCTTTCTTTCTTTCTCTTTCTTTCTCCTTCCTTCTTTCTTTTCCTTCTTTTCTTTCTTTCTTTCTTTCTTTTTCTTTCTTTCTCTCTCTCTCTTCTTTCTTTCTTTCTCTCTCTTTCTTTTTTGGCTGTTGACTTTCACCTTTCTCACCTATCCAAATCTTCCAAGGTCTAAGAAGTAATATCACTTGATTATATTTTCTTGCCCTTCTCTGGTAAATGTGCAAATGTATGATTTTGCAGTAGATGAATAAAAGAAAATGTACATGCAGCACAGGAGTCAAAAACAACAATAATAAAAATACAACCCAAACTAATGGACTTTATTCATACTCAAGATTTAGATGGTTTTATTTACAGTAAGTTTTATTGTCAATCTTTTGTTAGCTGGAGTGCTATCAATTTATGACACAGATTTTGGCTCATAAATTTCCCAAAGACCACTTATCAAGCTATAGTCACTTGTGGTTTTGTATTTAACTCAAGTGCATATAATTTTCCATGTCTTTAAAATAAGTTTTATGGCAGAGAGAGAAGCAGCAGCAGGAGGAGATAACATTGAAACCTTATAAGAAAAAAATATGTAAGTTGTATTTCCTGTCTATACCAGCTGATTCTTTGAAACCCAGTGTGGTAATGAAGTAGAGTAGGAAAGCTGTGGGCCAGTCCCATTAGCCTACAGCTTCCAGAGGGCCCTGAGGTTTAAAAATCCCAAAGGATGTTCTTTTCAAAACTGTTTACAGATGAGCCTCAACTTACGATGGGGTTATGTCCCGAAAAACCCATGGCAAGTCAAAAATATTGAAAGTTGAAAATACATTTAATATCCCAATATGCCAATCATAAACTAGAAAAATCGTAACTCAAACCACTGTGAGCCCAGGGCCATCTGTATAATAAAGAAACATTAGGAACTATGTGAACGCTTTCAATGAGAGAGTTTTGCATGAGGTATAGTTTCTCCATACAATAAAAATGCTGCAGCCATTAGACAGCCAGTTGTAGAAGGAGGCTCAATAACAAGAGAGAATGCATGTGATAATTTTTTAAAAGCAAGATGACAAAACTTTGATGGGATAAAAATTACATCAAAAGAGCTGGGTGTGGTGGCATGCCTATAGTCTCAGCCACTTGGGAGGCTGAGGCATGAGAATTGCTCGAGTCTAGAAGTTCGAGTCCAGCCTGGGCAGCATAGCAAGACTCTGTCTCTGAAAAAGAAAAAAATTAGGTCAAAATAGGATATAGTTACAGAAAAAATACATTGATATTTTAATGTGGGTTATATCCGCTTAATGGAATTATAGATTATTTTTATTTTCTTCTTTATGTGTGTGCTTTCCAAATTTTTGATCACAAATGTAAATTGGTTTCATAATCTAAAAAAAAAGCAATAGATGTTCTTGTTCTTCCAAAGAGAAAGGAGAGATTTGAGTAGCAGTCATTCTTACAATGCACACACATCTGTATGCAGGATGAGAGTTTTCCTTAGGTAAATTCTGAGTCTGTAGCTTTTATATGAGTGGAGCAAAGGACCCAGAGCTCACTGCAGAGGATCTAAACAACCTTTGATGCTGGAGATCGTGCTTGGTGATTATAAACTTTTATTTTTAAAATACCAAACGAGAAAGAGAGGGCCAATGAAGTAAGACAATGTTACAAGGAGTAGCTCTTTATAAGGAGTAATTCTATCAATGACAGGTTAAATGACATCACTGCTTACATCTCACCACGCCAGCTGCTGACTTATTAACTGGAATGTGTATATGGTGCATTAATAATGTGGTGTGGGGCCTGCATGCTAGTTGTTCCTTTATTTCGTTTATATGGAGAGTGTGTGTGTGTGCATGTATGAAATCCACCTTTATTTTCATGGCCTCTGGATTTTGTGTTATGCTTAGATGGGCCTTTTAAGATTATAGAACTTCTACTCATATTTTTTTCTAGTGTTTTTATAGGTTTGACTACATGCACTTAAATTCTCTTTTCCTATGGTTTATGTTTTAATGTAAGTACAGGGTAGGGGGCAAATTTTATGTGTTTCCCTATGGCTAGCTAGTTGTTTCAATAGCATTTATTGAAAAATCCATCTTCTTCCCAATCCTTTAAAATTCACTTTATAACTCAATTTTCCTATACTTTGGGTCTATTTCTGGATGCTATGCCTTTTAATTCGTCTATTGGTCTGTTTCTATACCAATACCAGACTATTTTATTACTATAGTTTAATAGTACACTTTGATAATGTATGAGATCAAATTCCCCAGTCTATCCCTTCTTTCCTTTTTCAAAAGCATATTGTAAATTTTTTTGAGCTAATGCATTTCTGAAATGGCTTGCCTGAACACTTCACTTTGCTATACTAACTAGAATGGATTCTTCCTTTCTTTTATATTCTCCAGAAAGTGAACTCTAGTCTGCTCATCCCAGTGAAGCTGGGCAAAATTGATGCCAGTTTTTTGAAGACAGTGTCTATCTGTTCTTCAGAGCTTCTGTTGAGAAGCCATGTGGCCACTGGTGCTTTAGCTTCCTCTAGCCAAACGGAAAAGCCCCTTTCACATCTGAGCACCAAGATCTTTGGAATCTTGGCCATGTCTGCAAGCAAGATCTAGTCTAAAGCCTAATTACACAGTCTAGGACACATTCCAAATGAGGTATTACTGCTCTCCCATTCTGAGCTGCTATGGCCATCCCATTAAAAAAAGAGCCAAGGAAGGTCTTTTCAAAAGCAGCTGAAAAAGCTATAAACACTGGTTAACTCATTAATGCCTGATTTTTTTTTTAATTCCCATTTTTTGTACACCCAGATGTCAACCTTGGTTAACAGATCAAACCATTCACAAATGTCAAATCCCAAAGAAACGCAATCAGAATCTTCCAGAACAGGACTCTGAAGTCTGTATTTTTTAAAACTCCCCAGGTAATTCTAATGGATCCAATCATTGGATCAGAGTCAGGGAAACTACTGTAGATTATACTACTTTATCCTCACTAACTTCATCTGTAAAACAGGAGCAAGAAATATCTATTTCATAGAATTGTTAAGAGTGATACCTAATATGTATCACATCTTGACTGTATGCCAGGCACTGTGTTAAGGGCTTTCCATCTATCATCACATTGAACTCTTATAACAGCCCTATGAAGTAGACACTAGATTATCCCCCTTTTACAGATGAGGAAACTGAGGTACAAAGAGGTTAAGCAATTTGATAAAAGTCATCCAGCTAGCAAGTGTGGAGGGCAAGCATATCAACTGCTAGGGTTAACGTGAGGATTATATTAAATAATGTATTTAAAGCATCTGGTACACAGTAGGTGCAAATAAATGCTCTCTCTTATCTTCCTTTTATCCACATGATTCTACTCATGCCCAGTAAAATTTACATTGAGGACAATATTTTGACCTTAGCAGTGCCCTATGAATTGAAAGTTCAGTATCCTGGAAAGTAGAAAAGAAAAGGGAAGTTAGGTAGTAGTGGAAGGAGGTGTTTGGGATCTCCAACAGAGAGAACCACAAAGAAAGGTGTAATTACACAGGGAAAAACAGGTGCACATGAGGGAAGACAGTTGCTTGGCCACTGAGGGTAGGATAAGGCAGGGTGATAACCTTTAAAAGAGGAAAGCCAGGGTACAAGATGAGAATCTCAGAGGAAGGGAGTCCACAAAGACACCTATTTCAGCCCGCCTCCCACTGCATGGTAATCCAATTCTCACTTGGACATTTTTTGTGACAAGAAACTCAATTAATCAAGGCAGAGGATGCTCTAGCTGTTAGAAAATTGTTCATATTGATTCATTCTAGAGTTTCTACCCACAGGTTCTCCTTCAACCCCTTAAGGCCCTTAAGTATAAGTTTAATTTCTCTTCTATTTGACAGTTCTTCACATATATCAAGACAGTTACCTTGTACCCCTGGGGCAAAACCTTCTGCTTCCTTTAATATTTCCTCATATGACATAGTTTCTAGCCTCTTTACATCCTGGTCCCTCTACTTGTGCATGTAGATAATTTCTTTCTGCCAAGTCTTAATTGCAGACAATACTTCATGTGGGTACTGACCAACACTGGGCAGCACAATAACACCTATCTTGCTTTACATGTCAGACTTCCACTGATGCAGCCTAAGAGCGTTTATTTATTTTGGCAGCCACAATTCACTGTGGACTCAGATTATTTGTCACCTAAGACCCTTTATCTTGCTCCTGTAAGCATCTAAGACACCTCTGCCTCCGGCTGGCTTCACACAGGGTGGGACTCCACATTTACCCCTGTTAGAGTCAGCCCACTGCTCCAATATTGTATGTGGTTTGTGTAACAGCGTCTCTTCCCCTCCTGGCTTTGTGTCATCTGGACATGTGATGCGAATCTTCTGGATTTTCCTTCAGAACACTGATAAAAGTTCTGATGTCTGGACCTGGGAGAGAGGCTTCTGTCATTCTGAGGGTAACTGGTGTGGTATAGAGGCTTTGAAATAAAAAGAAAAAGTCTAGTTTGAATCACGGCTCTGCCACCTACTGTGTGACCTTTGGCCAGCTAGCTAAATTCTGAGTTTCAGTTTCCCCATCTGTAAAATGGGGCAATAAAAGCTTCCTCACAGTGTGGTTATAAAGATTAAGGGAGAACATGAGGGGAAAGTACTTAGCACAGTGTCTGGTACGTAGTAGGTGCTGCTGGAATGCTGACTCCCTGCAATCTTCTTTTCGGTCAACGTCGACTCATCAATCAGCATCTTTAGGTTATGGTTACTTAACCAGTTATTAGTCCAATTAATGATACTAGCATCCAGCCCATATTTCTTCATCTTGTCTATGATATCTTGTCAAGTGCTTCGCTTAAGTCCCACTTACCTAGAGTGATCTCCTCATGAAATGGGGGCAGAGACAAAGGAGCAATAAGATTCCACCTGCGTGTAAACTTCGGAAAAATAGCAAGCTACCGACGGAATTGCTTGACCTCGAAAACAGTCAGCATTCAGACCACAAGCACATATTGGGCACTCCGTGCCTGTCAATGAGCTGGGGATGGGCAATGGTGTTACAGAGATTAAAAAACGCAGTGTCTGTGTTCAAGGAACTTACCAGGCTAGAAGTCTAGAGTCACGGGGGCCAGTCTGGGTAACAGAATTAGGCCAATTTATTTAATTCCATTTGTTCATGTATCCAGCCAACAGATATTTATGGTGCACTTGTTGGGTGCCAGCCCCGCCCCCACCACTCCACCCTACCCCAGCAGGCGCTAAAGGAGAGCTGACATGATGGATAACGAAAAAGAAGACGCTGTCCTTCTATTCAGGGAGTTTAACATCTGGAAGAGCCGGGAGTTCTTTGTGCTAAAGGCCCTCTACAAAGTGCCTGAGATGCAAAAATAAGTCACTTTCTCTGTCCTCTCAGCAACCGAGTCGCATGTCGTTATCAAATTTTTATTTTCTGTAACTGTTTCCTTCCGTCTTGCTCCGTAGACAGCTTTTTGCAGCAGAGAGCGCTGCCGCGGGGCTGGTGTCTACTCTTCAGTAAGTGGTCAAAACCTGGCTACTGGAAGGAAATGCAATGGAATCGCTCCGCGCTCGAGTATTCTCTTTGGAACTACGGGAATGACAGCTCCAGTGGGACACTTGGAGGTCATGATGAACGCAAAGAACGTGAGAACACTTGCAGTCCTCGGGGTGGAAATGCCTTCTAGAAATACTAAGTATCCGTTCTCTCGTTGAGACTTTGGCAAACCAGGGATTTTAGGAAGGGTCTGGCACTCAACGTTCCTAAAATTGGTTTCCTAGATGGAGCCGGAGGGAGAGAGGGAGTCAGGAACTGCTGCTTTTCGTCGGAATGCCCGGAGGGGAGAAGAAGAAGGAGGAGGGGTGAGGGCGGGCGGCCAAACGCCAGCCGGCAGGGGACCCAGAGAAGAGGGACATCCCGGGCGACCCCGAGGAGCGCGGCTTGGGCACCGCAGTGGCCGCGGCTAGTGGGAGACCTGAGGGGAAAGGGAGAGGGCAGGGGCGAGGAACCCAGGGAGCGCGCGCGGATTGGTCCTCTCCTCGGGGCGTGCGCTCCTGTGCGCCAAATGATTGGTGGCAGGAAAGTAGCAGGTAAACCGGCTCCCGCCGCCTCGCCATTGGTCAGCGGCCTCTCTAGCCGCCACACAACTGGCCAGCGGGCTGCCGAGCCGCGCGCGGATTGGCTGGGGGCGGCCGCCGGGACCGGCTCCCTTCGGGCGTTCGGATTGGCTGGCGGGAAGAGGCAGGTATCCGGGCGCTGCGGCTCCTCCATTGGTGGGCGGGGAAGGGGGGTTGGGCACAGCGATTGGTGGGCGGGGGGCCGGGCCTGGGCCGGCGGGGAGCGGATTGGTCGGAAAGTAGGTTAGTGGTGCGACATTTAGGGAAGGCAGAAAGTAGGTCAGGGACGGAGGTGCCTGTTTACCCGCGCCGGACTCACCGCCGCCGCCGCCGCGGGATCCGAGTGCGGGCGCGGGCGCGGGCGCTCCCGGCGAGCCACGGTGAGTGTCAGGCCGGCGGCGGCCAGCGACGCGATCCCGCGCACCCCGTCGGGGGCCGTTAGCACCCTCGCGGGCGCTGCGCCCCTGCCGCCGCCCCGGGGGCAACCCGGCCGCCGAAGAACCCTGCCCGACGTGCCCGCTGCCGGCCTTAAAGGGCCCGTGACCGCTCCCTGCCCCCACCCGGGCCGTGGGGAGGCTGCGCCCCTTAAAGGCGCCGCGCCCGTCCGCCCCCATCCTCCTCGCGGGGGCTGCCGCTGCGGGCTAGGGCAGGCAGAGGTGCTGCAGGAGCCCTTAAAGGGGCCGGGAAAGTGTTCGCTGGAGTACCCACCGCCCTTCCGCGGGCATCGCTACCTGGCGGGGGGAGGGGGCAGCTAGCTGCCTCTTAAAGGGATAGCTCTGCCCTTGGGGGCAGTGACTCGGCCGAAGAGGACTCCTAGATGTGTCCCCGGGAGCTTCGGGGATCCCCGAGGGGACCATGCCTGGTGGCTGCCCCTCAAGGGCGTTGGGCGAACGGTGCCGCGTCTGCCCTTCCTCCCCGCTTCACTTCCCTTTCGGGAGCCCGCGAGGCTGGGTGGGGGCGGGGAGGGCGTCTCCGTCGGGCTTGGGGAGTCCAAGTCCGCCCGCCCCTTCGGCCCTGTAGCCAGGGCTGGCGCTGCACCCGGGAATCCCCGGCCGGCACGGGGCCGACCCCAGCCTGCGAACTTTCGTGGGGCCTGTGCCGTCCAGGTCCTGGGCGGCCCTCAAGGATGCCCCGTGGGTCTGCGGGCAGGTGCGCGTCGGCCTGGGGATGTCGCCCGGAGCCCGGGTGCGGGCCGGCCTTGGAGTCCCAGAGCTCCGCGGAGGGCGCAGCGAGCCTGGCTCCAGCTCCGGGTTTGACAGATGTCAGGGAAGAAAAGGTTCCCGCTCGGCTATTGCCGGGCGTTGACATCCCAGAGAGCTTCCCGTTTGCTTGGAAGAAGACGAGGAAGGTAGAGGTGAACGTCGACCTTGTGGGGCGCATGTTAGCCTCCCCGAGGGGTCGCGAGAGCCGGCAGCGGGGTGAGCTCAGGTGCCCGCCGGCAGGAGCTGGGGAGGGAAGGGGAGTGCTGGACACCGGCGCCTGCTGTCAAGTTCTCGCCGGCCGGTGAGAGACCCGCTGCCGCCGCGCACCCCGCACCTCCTGACCCCTCTCCCCTCTCCGCCTCGGCCCCTTCCCGGTCACCTAGCGTTGTTTTGGCGCTTTGGCGCTTGCGGTCTCTTCCTTCTTCCACCGCTACTCCTCAGCGAGGAATTATTAGCCAAGTTTTCTCACCCAGCTTCCAAAAATCAGATTCCGTATTTGTGAACAAGCTTTTCTTGACACTACCCGTATACCCGTATTTCCAGCATCGTCGTTTTATTAAACATCCATAAAAGCTGCCCCTTAGATGCATTCATTTCCCACGACACCTGCTTGCTTGTCATTTGTCCTTCTGACATCTGCTGTTGTTCACCCCTTTAATCTATTATTAAATGACAACTATTATTTTAATTCTTCTGGTCTCATTGATATCCGGATCTGTGAATTTGGGTTGGTGGAGTTTTTAATTAATGTACCCGTTGAATCATGAGCTTAAAATAATCATTGCTGCTCCTGAGCAGTTTTGAATAATATCATGCTCTCTCTGCTTGCAAGACTTAAAAAAATTCGCTGGTGTTATATTTGATTTCCATATCAATGGAATTCCCAAATATTTTTGAAAATACAAAATTCAGTCTTTCAGTCCATGTTTTGTTACTCAGATCATTTTACTGATAAGTCTTTAACGCAGCTTATAGAACATATTTAGAAGGTTTGGAAATTTCCTGGACAGGATTTGAAATTGCCTGTATCATCTGAAGCTGGTTCTGTAGAAGCATTTTGGTTTTGATTGTAGATGCAGCCAGTGAATGATAACAATAAGTTAAAACTGTAGTTAAATTTGTTCTTTATTCAACCCTCTGAAGAACGAACAGATCTGGTAGAAAAGCACTAACCTGGGAGTTAGGAGCTGGACATCCTGGTTCTAGTTTAGGCTTGGGCTCTCATGGCCGTTCCAGTCGGGGCAAGTTATTAAAGATTTCTAGGTTGTGTTTGCCTCTGATGGAAAGTAAGACGGTTGAACTAGGTGATCTCAAAGGTTCCTCTCTTTTGAAGTTCTGTAAGTCTCTAAATATTTAATACATTTGAATTCAGGTTGGTATTTACCTCCTGGCACCTCCAGAATATCTGAGCTGAAGCCCTATTTTCATAAGAAAGTTAAGCAGATCAACAGATGGTGTTTTGAAGAATCCATTTCAAATGATTTATAAAATGATGACTACTTACGAGTTTGTCTGCTATTTGCAGAAGAGGTTTGCATGCCACAGGGCAGGAAAAGGAAGTGGCCATGTTTTCAGATTTATCCCTTCACACCAACAATCTCTGTGGAATTTATATGCTAAAAGATGGAGAAGCACCATAGAAAGATTTGGCTGTATTAACAAAACTGCATATGAAAAGGTAAAAACTAGATAGTTAATATCTCTCTTTGGTGTAAGGGTTATAATGTATCTGAGCTTTCTTTGTGATTTCATCATCAACTCTCACTGTGGTAGGAAAATCAATATTAAATAAACAGTTTCAGCCCCGTGATTACATGCAGTGATTTTAGGAAGCATCATGATAACTAAAGTAGGTACTTGCAGGGAAGTAAAATATCCTTTCTAGACCTTGAGGTTTCGTTGGGAGCTAGGGACACAGGCATGTTATCCTTCTCCACAGTCTTTTTTCATTGTCACCTTATCACAAGACTCAGATTTATCCCAAATACCCACCTTGTCTTTTCTTCTCCCTCTCATGAAATAAGACCTGCTCTGACTCAACCCCCTCAGCATCTCTTACTTCCCACCCAAAATGTCCTGTCTCTATCCCCATCGTCCCCTCATCTCCTCCCAATTCAGAGAAAGCAAGTGGACCTCTCCTCTGTTCCTTTTCTTGGCCTCTCACCATGGGCAAGTGCCTGGGCTCTGGTGGCAGAAGAATCCATGGCTCAGGTTTGGGCTTTGTGGTCTTGGATGTGTGCTTGACTCCTCTGACCTCAGGTTTCTCCTCTTGGTGTAATGGCAGTGCCTGCCTCGTGGAGTCTGTGTGAGGATTAAGGGAGATGGTGCATGTAAAAGGCCTGGCACACAGGAAGCCTTTCCTTTGTGCCAGCTGCCATTCCTTCTCACCTCTACCCGGGTCCTATCACTAGAATATTATTTGTGCTGTTTGTCCTTAGTCTCCCCTGCCCCACCCTGAAAACCTTAGGCTTGACTTAGGAGAGGAAGGATGGAAGAGGCAGAGTCAGACTTGTGGTGAGCCTGCTGTGTACCAGGCAATTTACATGTGTCTTTACTTGGTACCCTGGGTTCGTAAGCCTCTCTTTCCTCCCTCCTGCCAGCCTCCCCCACTCTCCCATCTCCTGCTCCATTCTTAGTACCTGCCCTCTGGCTTCTCTCGCTACCACCTTTCTTTATATTTCTTCTCAAAGTTTTCTCCAAAACTTTGTCGTGAGTTCCTGGGGCCCATCTGCCCATCCTTATTCCTGAGTGGTTGTTCTTGGCCCCTTTGCAGTATTTCTTTTATTTTTTTAAACATGGTCTCAGTCTTGCCTGGTTGGAGTGCAGTGGTGCAATCGTGGCTCACTGCAGCCTCCCAAGTCTCAGGTAATCCTCCTGCCTCAGCCTCCAGAGTAGCTGAGCCTACAGACACGTGCCATCACACCTGGCTCATTTTTGTATTTTTATTAGAGATGGAGTTTTGCCATGTTGCCCAGGCTGGTCTCAAACTCCTGGGCTCAAGTGACCCACCTGCACTGGCCTCCCAAAGTGCTGGGATTACAGGCGTGAGTCACTGTGCTCAGCCCCTTTGAAGCTTTTACCTCACTTGTTTTTTGTCCTTTGAAATCCTTTCCTCTCTCAGCCTTTGGGTCATGCTGGTTTCTTGATTCTCTTCCTGCACCCCTGTAAAGATAAATGTCTGTCCTAGCTTCTGCTATTCACACTGTCCGTGGCCTGGGGTCCCCTCTCTAGCCCTGACCTGTCTCTCCTGTGTTCTGCTAGCAGGTCCGTTGTGGACATGAATGGCAGCCTGTAATCTGCATTTGTGGTCTCGGAGTTACAGGTTTGCAGACTGCTTGCAAGCACTGTCACATTGAGTCCTCATGACACACTGGAGCCTACATCCCTTCATTCCCCAGGCTGTCCTAAAAGGCAGTTTGGTTGGGTAGTTTAGCATACAGACTCTGGAGCCAGATTTCACATCCTAAGTATTCCCTACTGGCTTCGTGACTTGTGGTCAATTTTCTTTTGCTCTCTATGCCTTGGTGTCCTCATCTATAAAACTGGGATCATAGTAGCCCCTACATCAGAGAGTTGAGGTGTGGATTAAATGAGTTAAAGCATTGGAAAAAGTGTGCCAGTCTATTCATGGCACATTGCAAACACTCAGTGAATGTTGCTGTCAGTCTTGCTGCTCTTCGTTGCCTTGCCGGGGTGCCTTGGCCTGGTTTGTAGTGGTCTCCACATTCAGCCTGCCTGTCTGCCAGACCTTGCCATGTGCCTGGACACTGTAGTCAAGCTGAGGGGCTGTCCATTCCCTGTACCAGCCCTTGGCCCAGTCCATCCCTCAATTTTCACGTGTCCAAATCCTCCTCTGCTTTTAGGACCCAGGGCCTTGGTCCTGCAGCACTATTTCTTCATTTTGTTTTCCTTCCTCCCCACACCTGGCAGCAATGTCCACATTGATTTTTCTCCAATTCTCTTAGGTTCTGCTGCATTCCATATTGTGTTGGGCTGTCTCTGAAAATATCTCACCTGCTCGCTCAGCCTGAGCATTCTGGGAGAAGTTTATCTTGCTTTTTCCAAAATGACAGGCACAGGGAGCCTTTAGGCCATGGTTGTCCAATGCACATTGATCTTGTGGAGGAGGAGATGGGATGGGGTGGGCACTCAGGGACGGAGCAGGTGGAGGGAACAGGATGCACACTGCATAGAGGTGGGGGTGCAACAGGGCCATAAGTGGACATGGCCGTAAGTACTTAGGTCTGCATGGAAGGAGGGTTTGAATTGGGGACTTAACCTCAGGGGGAGATAAGATTGGATAAGGTTTAGTCATCTTTGCTGCAGGGGAACGTTGAGTACTGGCATGTAATGGAGAGTGGTTTTTACCTTAGTATGTGCTGTCCTTTTAAATAGTGTAAACTAATTCTTTATCTAGCCTGGTTAAAGAAGGGGATGGCTGGTCTGCCTAATTTAATATTTGGCTATTGCTCTACCCACTGGGTTTTGTGCATATACTGAATGAAGCATTGGCTTGTATTTATTCCTTCAATCACTGTTTGAAATGTCTGACCTGGGCAAGTTAATTAGCTTCTCTGAGTGCAAAATAGGAATAATAATTATTACGATAATAGCAGCTAACATTTATTGAACACTTTCTATGTGCCAGCACATATGTGAGTCACCTTTGCTTATTAACTCATTTAAACCCCATAACAACTACATGAGGCAGGTACTATTATCCTTACTTCACAAATGAGGTGGTTTTATAAACTGCCCAAGGTCACTCAGCTGTTATGGCTTGGGGCAGAATTTGTGCTGGTGAACTCCAGAGTCTGCCCTGTAACACCCTAGTAGATTCCTACTGGGAGGAAACACCCCGTTATATCCCTTACCTCACTCAGCCGCACCATGCCAGGAGCCTAGTAGGCTGACAGCAATTGGGAACCAGTCTTATTGTTGACAAACATGGTATGAGCCTCTTTTAGAGCGGAGCTGCCTGAAACCCTCCGCATAAGGGATGCGGACCTGGATGCTACCTGAGCAGCAGCTCCAGGGGCTTGTGAACATTCTCCTCACATCCTGTTATGCATGGCTGTCTCTCTGGCCTCCCCCTGCTTTCTCTGCAGCATTGCTCTGACCCAGGCCCCCTGTGGCTCAGCCAGCTCCTCCCCAGGCAGCTCCTTGTGTGAGATGAACCTTTTAACATAACTCACTAACCCCACCTCCCACCCTCATCTAGCCATCTGCAGAGCTCCTCACTGGGGAGGGGACCTTTTCAAAGGTCCCTCACCTTCGTCCTTTTCTCCCTGAAGACCAACGTCCACAACTTTGGTATATCCACAGTGTTGGGGTGTGTGTGTGTGTGTGTGTGTGTGTGTGTGTGTATATATATGTGTGTGTGTATATATATATATATGTGTATATATATATATGTGTGTATATATATATATGTGTATATATATATATGTGTGTATATATATATGTGTATATATATATATATGTGTGTGTATATATATATATATATATATATATATATATATTTTTTTTTTTAATGCCAGTTGTTCCCCAAATACATTTAGATAGTAAGGGACACATTGTTTTATGTCAAGAACCTGTTACATAAAAATGTGTTATATAATGTTCAAATATATACTGCACAGTGAAATTAGATACCACTTTTTTTTTTTCAAAGAATAAAAGGATAATAAACACAGGCCGTCCTGAATATAATTAACCTCAGATTTGGGAGGCATGGAAGGACGTGCCCTGCCCTCAGAGCTCTCGTCCTGAGCTCTGCCTTTCTTGAGTGCGCCGGGAGCAGGATGGATGGGAAGTTGGCCTGAATCTGCCATGGTGTGGTACTGTGAGATGCTCTGGAAATTGTCTTTTTTTTTTGGCGGGGGGTGGGGGATGCCTTCGCATCTTGCTCACTTGTATCTTTCTCACACCTAAGCAGAGGGAAGAAGCTCTTTTTGCCCCCTCGTACTTAGACCACCCAGGTCATCTTTTGACCAGTTTTCTGCTCTGCTCAACTCCTTTCAATCTTCCCAGATGACAGGCCAGCTTTGCCTGCTAAGAACAGCCCTGGTGCCAGTGGCATGCAGGTGGCACCCCTGTGTCCAGTCTTCCAGGCTCTCCAGGGTCTGGTCCTGTTCCTCCTCCCCAGCCCTGCTTCCCCGCTCAACCTCCATTCCCAGCCACAGCCCTGTGCCCGAGGTTCAGTCCTCCTTGCCTCTCCGCTGTCCTCCCTAGGCCACCTCACTTCACACTCTCCCTCTGGCTAGCGGGGTCTTTGCTTAAATTGTTCCCTTGAGGCCTCTCTTCCTTGCCCGTGCCTGCCTTGGATCTCACTTCTCTGTGAGGTACCTCTGATAACATTTGTTCCCTTTGTGTGTGCTCTCCCTTTTGCTCTTGATTGCCAACCATTCATTCGTTCAGAAGCAGGGGTATGTCATAATGAGCAAATTACCATATCATACTGAATCAGGATGGCCAGTTGTCTCATTTTTTAATTGTTTCATGGTTAATTATCTTACGCTCACTTCCCACTCTCCAGTTTCACTCAGTTACTCCGTCAGTGAAGTTTATTGGATGCCTAGCACTGTTGTGGGCACTGAGGATACAGCAGTGAACAAAACAAGGGGCCCGCAGGAGGGGACAGATGATGAATAGTGAAACACGTTCATGCCTTGTTGTGAGAAGTGCTAGGAGTGCTAGGATAGCAAGCAAATAGAGTAAAGCAGTAGCGATGAGGTATGGTGGGAGGGAGGGTACCTTATCTAGATCACAGGGGAGACCTCTCTGAGGAGGTGACATTTGAACTTAGCTTCAGAAAGATCTGGGGGAAAGTATCCCAGGAAGAGAGAACAGCACATGTAAAGGCCCTGGGGTTGAAAGGTGCTTGATATTTTTGAGGAAAGTAAAGGCTAGTGTGACTCGATTATGAGCTGCTTGTGTACAGATGTTTTCTGCCTCTTTTATACTCCCTTTAACCCTGAGCCCAGTGTTAGGAAGGCCTTGTAAATACTTACATACAGAATTATAGCATTTGTCATTGGTTATATATTATAAAATAGTAATTTTATAAAATAATAATTTATCATACCCTGCTTAGAAGGCTTTTAATAAAACATTATATTGCATATAAACAAATTAAGGGTTTGAAGGGTTTTCTTATAAATGCACTCCTAGCATGTTTCACCAAATATTACTGTTTTAATTGTGTTTAGTGCAGAACTTTAGACCTCATAATTCTGCTTCATGTGCACAACCATCTTAAAAACAGGTTTTGTTCCAAAAGTTTATTTGTAAGGCACTAGGTGGAAACTTGGGATAAATTTTTCTATAAGAAACAATGAAGTAAATAGTGATGTAGTTTCTAGGCGAGCCCTCAAAAGCTATTTAGTGGTGACTGTAGCTGAAAACATACTGGTTGGTATCAGCAGTCGTCAAGCCTTCTGCTGGTAGACCCTCCTCTCAGTAGCATTGTACCTCATTTGCTGTTAGCAATCATAGGACCCATTTACCTCAGTCACTTCTCCTACTGTATTTTCAGTCTGTTAAAGTTTTATAGAAGGGATTTTTTACCTTTATACCTTTAAGATTTGGTTGCATGTGTTATAAATGAGACAGTAGTGCAGAGAGTGGGGAAAACTCTGGACTGGGAGCTGGGAGAGGCCTGGGCTCCAGACTGGGCCCAGCCACTGACTGGCTGAGTAAATTTGAGTAAGTTATCCTCTTTGAACTTTGATTTCTCAGGTTCTTCTTGGCTGTAAAATCCTATTGTTTTCTCACCATAGCAGGGAAACGTAGATATACTTCGTTGTTCAAACCTGCCCTCAAATGGCTGCCTCTGATTTCTTCTTGAAGAAGTATATGGCACTCAGCAATGAGGAACTCAAGCAGTTCCCCATGTGCAGAGCTCTGCAGTGACATTCTCAGTAGGAACCTTGATTTTGATCTGCTATCTTTCTTGATGAGTTGAAAGAAATTTTGTCCCAGAACTTTTGGTCCAGATAAGATTTCTGTGTTCTTGGCCAACTTATCTTCCATATAATTATGTAAATTGTTTTTTCTTTTTAACTCTTAGGGATAAAAATGGTGACTCTGGCTTGCCTGCTTATAAAATATAGTTATAAGTGCCCTTAGGGAATGGAATGAGTTTGCAGGAGAGAGCAGAGCTGAAAGAGTGTGGGATCAAAAACAACTTTAAATGTTAAATGCAAAGCTATTTTCAGTACCCTGCTGGAAGAAAAAATTTTTTTCAAGGTTTTAGAGGATAGAAGAGGTTTTTGCTCCAAAGAAGAAAGGAACCTAAGGTTTTGCAGTGGTGAAAAGTACCTGATCCTTTAACCAACTACCACCCTCCCTTCCCACCTCTGAGTTTTGTTTTCGACATCATGAACCACATTTGCCATTTGAGAGGTTTGATATTTAAGTGACGTTAGTGGCAGAGCTCAACTGGCAGTGTTCAAATGACTTAGGTGCAGAGTGCTGTGCTGCAAACTTCCCCAGTGCATTCTAGGGTAAGGGATGCCTCATAGAGAGTGACAGAGCACTTTTAGCTCTGCCTCTATTTGGTCAGTTGTGAATGGTGTGTTCCTTTTTTTCCTTACTTGAAGGCATAGCGAGGAGTTGGTACAAGAAGTTATTGCTTCATGGACTTCACTTTGGAGCTAGAGGGTGGCATTAGACCTAGCCTGCCTTCTTGGATGCTGGAATACCAGTGGCAATGTCATCTCTTGTTCTCTGCTATACCCCTAGCAATGAAAACAGTGTCTGTACAGAAAAGTCTCTCAATAAATACTTGTTTATTCCTTCAAAAAGTGAATTCAGCTTTGGATAAATTTTTAATTTCCTCCACTCTCTAGCAGTATAGGCTTATGAGGTTGGTCTTGCAAGGTACTTTGGAGTTTAGGTTGCCATTTCTTTTTGACATCTGTGTTTTTCTTATTCTTCAGGTTGGTCAGGTATCAGTGTCTTTTACTGATGATGGTTGTCCCTGCCCTGCTGATGTTCATCTTCTGTTATCTTTAATTGGCTCCAAACTGCAGCAAATCTATAGCTGAGCCACATTAACTAAAAGAAAACTTGTTGCATATTTATTTAGGCATAGTACTACACATGTATTTATTCAGTCAACAAATATCTGTGAGTCTATATGCCAAGAATGTTACTAGACCCAAAGGAAGAGCAGAAATTGTTGTTGTGACCAAGGAGCCTGCAGTTTGATTGCCTTGTGGAACATCTTTATGAGCATTGTAGAAGGGAGGAGGCTTCATAGAACTGGTCAGGTTTTCACCTTTAAGGATGGTAGGATTTCGATTCACAGACAAGGTGAGGACAGGTATTTCCAGGAAGTGGCTGAGCGGAAACAGCATAATTAAAAACACAGAAGTAGGAATGGACCAGTTTGCATTCATGGACACAGACTTGTCTAAAATGGAAGGTTCTTAAATAATGGTGGGAATTTAAGTATGGAAGATCACTGAAGGCCCAAACCTGAAGCCATTTTAGACACCTAGTGACTTGCCTAAAGTGACAGCTGATAAGTGGTAGATCCAGGCTTAAAATAAGGCCATGGGAGCTCTCGACCACTGGCACTGGACTTGGCTGTTTCCCAGCAGTCTCTAGATGCAGGATTTGGGTTTGATTGGGGATTTTCTTTTTTCTTTCTTTCTTTCTTTCTTTTTTTTTCTTTTTTTTTTTTTTGTGATGGACACTGAGATTGGGGGTTTTAGAGTCATGAGCTGGAAATAGGCAAGGCTCTATTTAGCCCACTCTTTCATTTTGCAGTTGGGGAAACTCAGTGAGGTTAAGTGGCAAGTCGGAGTTTACCTAGTGAGTCAGAGACTGCTAGGCAATGGATAACCACTGGATTTGTTTTATTATGATTATGATTTTAGTGACATGAAATATTTCTCTCTAAAGCATCAGTCCAGTGTTAGTGTTCCAGTTGGATTGGAGCAATGAAGGACTAAATGCAGCAGAGACCTGACAGGAGGCTGCTAGATGAATCCAGGAAGGAGAGAGAGAAGCCAGAACTGAGAATTAATTGTCAATTATGTTAATCAGCATGGTGTTATCAGTCACCCTTTAGATTTCTAGAGTGCGGTGAACATCTGCCTGTGTGAGTGGCTTTCAAGTGTGTGAATCTGCACTGTACTGTGACCAAGATACCTTAATGAATTCTCCAGACAGAAAGTGCCACTATGGAAGTCGAATGTTTTAAAACAAATGCCCACATTTTCTGGAAAGAGCACCAGATTAGGAGTCAGATGACCTGCATTTTAGGCTGCTTCTGCTGCTTAGTCACCATATAGCCAAAGCAAATCACTTAATGTCTCAAACTGAGCCTGACTCCTTATCTGTGGAACAGGTATAACAATTCCTGTTGAGCCCTTTTCAGTGTATGTGTGATGCTTGTGTGAGCTAAGGAAAGAATAGGCATTTTGAAGCTGTAAAGTTGCTTTCTGGCTGCAGGGAGCAGCAGTGCAGTTTTAATAGTGAAGATGTACTGGCCCTTACAGGAATAGCCTAGGAGAACCAGAAGAAAGTTCCCCTACCTCCAGGGCATGTTTAGGGAATCTGGCGCTGTCCACCAGGTGGGTGCTGATGTGTACTACTTTATTGGATAGGGCCATGTTTTTTGTTTATTTGTTTGTTTTTATTATACTTTAAGTTCTAGGGTACATGTGCACAACACACAGGTTTGTTACATAGGTATACATGTGCCATGTTGGTTTGCTGCACCCATTAACTCATCATTTACATTAGGTATATCTCCTAATGCTATCCCTCTCCCAGCCCCCCAGCCCCTGACAGGCCCCGGAGTGTGATGTTCCCCGCCCCGTGTCCAAGTGTTCTCATTGTTCAGTTCCCACCTATAAGTGAGAACATGCGGTGTTTGGTTTTCTGTCCTTGTGATAGTTTGCTCAGAATGATGGTTTCTAGCTTCATCCATGTCCCTGCAAAGAACATGAACTCATCCTTTTTTATGGCTGCATAGTATTCCATGGTACATGTGTGCCACATTTTCTTAATCCAGTCTGTCATTGATGGACATTTGGGTTGGTTCCAAGTCTTTGCTATTGTGAATAGTGCCACAATAAACATACATATGCATGTGTCTTTATAGTAGCATGATTTATAATCCTTTGGGTATATACCCAGTAATGGGATCACTGGGTCAAATGATATTTCTAGTTCTAGATCCTTGAGGAATCTCCACACTGTATTCCACAATGATTGAACTAGTTTACACTCCCACCAACAGTGTAAAAGCATTCCTATTTCTCCACATCCTCTCCAGCATCTGTTGTTTCCTGACTTTTTAATGATCACCATTCTAACTGGTGTGAGATGGTATCTCATTTTGGTTTTGATTTGCATTTCTCTGATGACCAGTGATGATGAGCATTTTTTTCATGTGTCTGTTGGCTGCATAAATGTCTTCTTTTGAGAAATGTCTGTTCATATCCTTTGGGATAGGGCCATGTTTTAAAGATGATTACATTTCACCCCCGTAAGCCTGGGCATGGACGGAAAAGTTAGGCATGGATAGCCATGTGAATCTATTATCTGTAGACACCTTTCAGGATAGTGACAGGCAGCTGTGAACCAGAAAAACAAGTGTCAGAATCTAGCCAGCTGGCCAGTCTGGCATTCTTGGATGTTTCATCTGTCCTGGGGCATTAGGCAGCGATCCAGAGGAACCTTGATTAGCCTGGGGGATTCATGGCTGAGCCAGCATGCTGTCCAGGTAATACCTGGCTGCAAAGCCTGACTGGAGATCTGCCAAATCTAAATTTCTGCCAGCATTACAAGTGTATATATTATTATTATTATTATTATTATTATTATTATTAATAGCAGTATCTAACCTTGACTACCTACCATATGCCAGCAACTGTGCTAAGTGCTTACATACTTTTTCTCATTCAGTCTTCACAGTATTCATATAAGGTGGGTAATGTCAGTTCTGTTTTCTAGTTAGAGAGACTGAAACTCAGACGAGCTTCAGCTGATACATACTAAGTGTAAAAGCCATGATTCAAACTCAGAACAGTCTCAGTCCAGTGCCCAGCTGCATAACTGCTATGTTCTTCTTTCTCTCTTTTCCTGGTACCTGAAAATACTTCTTGTCTCTGGTTTTGAGGTTTCTGACTGTGTTATTGGTTGATGGATGGGTTGCCACACAGAGGCTCAGCTCAGCACAGCTCTTTTTTCTTCATAGCTTATGACGGACATCCTCCTGGATACTCTGGCTGGTGAGCAAATGGGTGCCAGTGGTGAATGCAGCAGAAAGACTAACTCTTGCCAGCTAGTGCATGTGGGTGAATTTTAAAGACAACAAAAGAAATTTCTGTAGGTCAGTTTTTCAAAGAGTAACTGGTAGCTTGTAGTCTACTTAAAGGCCAAGTTTGATGTTCATCAAAGTCACCCTGTAAAAACCTTTCCAAATGCTGTGATTCTGATAACAATACCATAGAACATTCCTGTGTAATTGACAAGTAGTTTTTACATACAATGTCTTGTTTAGTCATCATCACAACCCTATGAGGGTTTGCAACTACATATAGTTGCAAAGAAGACTGGGAGATATCTTTAGTTGGGAAGCCATGAGTCTAGCAAAATCTCTGTTTTTAAGGGTGGCGAGGGGAGTGAATGAGGGGAGCTAGCAATCTGATGTGTTGTGGTGGTGATGGAAGGGATAAGTAGAGTTTGAAGCTGTTGTCAGTAGAGTTGGGAGGATGCCTCCTAGTCTATGACATCTCCTAGTGTTATGACATCTCCTCTTGTGGACTGGGAAATTGCTTAGAGTTTAAGCAACTGTCCAGGGTTCTACAACTGGTCAGCGGCAGAGGCAGCACTTAAGTATTGCTTTTGTGACTTAATTCACTCTCTATTCAAGTTTCATCTTTGCTTTCTCTATTGAAGTTCTTAAATATTCTGATTCACTGTATTTAGAAGTCGGCAGGAATTATTAAAGTGAACTTCTTTGTGGTATACACTGTTACTGAATCAGAGTAAATAAAAGGTCACATGATTGGTTGTTGTGTTAGGTTTAATTGACGTGTACTCTGTATGATACAGAATACTCACATATCTTTTGTGGGATATCATTGGTCCAACAGCTTTAAAAATCCCAAGGCTTTAATAGATGATAAAACACGGAGTTTGTGTAATTTCTTGAAAAAGTTGGCCATCGAGTTCTTGGTCAGGAACACAAGCTTCAATTGTAACAGTTTCCATGGAGACATTAGCCTTGGCTTGCATCATTTCAGCTTTCAGTGCCTTTCCTAGGAATGGAGTGAACTGCTAAAAGAAGAGCTCTGGTTGTGGTTGTCACTTAGAGCTCTCTCCCCTACTGTTTCTGCTGGAGGCTGATTTGCTTTTCTGGGTCTTCTCAGTTTTTTCTGTGACCTAAGCATAAATTGTCTTTGAGATCCTGGTAATCTCATATTTTAAAAGTTTTCCACAAAAGACAACTGAATGGAACACTTTTTTTTTTCACCCCTTTAAAGTATTTAATTGGCCATCAACGGTGGCTCACGCCTGTAATCCCAGCACTTTGGGAGGTCGAGGCAGGCAGATCACGAGGTCAGGAGATCGAGACCATCCTGCTAGCACGGTGAAACCCCGTCTCTACTAAAAATACAAAAAAAAAATTACCTGGGCGTAGTGGCGGGCGCCTGTAATCCCAGCTCCTCGGGAGGCTGAGGCAGGAGAATGGCGTGAACCTGGGGGGCGGAGCTTGCAGTGAGCCGAGATCGCGCCACTGCACTCCAGCCTGGGCGACAGAGCGAGACTCCATCTCAAAAAAAAAAAAATAAAATAAAATGAAAAATAAAGTATTTAATTGGTGGCAAGGGGCTTTGCTAGAAGAATGGACACCTGGTCTCACTCAAGCTTCTTGTATTAGTTGGGATACCAGGTGAGTCCCTCTGTTAAAGAGACCCACAGGCACAATGGCTGAAACCAGGTAGAAGTTTTCTCTCTCATGTACTAGTCCCTAGTAGATAGTGGTCCAGGCCTAGTATTTTTAACACATGGCTTCCATTTGATGGTTGAAGGTAAAAACTTACCATCTCCCAGAGGAAACACCCAAGGGGGCACACATCCAGTCATTTTTAAGGGAAAGACCCGGAAGCAGCACATTCTCTTTTTCCAGTAGCCGGAATTTGCAACTACATATAGTTGCAAAGAAGACTGGGAGATATCTTTAGTTGGGAAGCAATGAGTCTAGCAAAATCTCTGTTTTTAAGGGTGGCAAGGGGACTGAATGAGGAAAGCTAGCGGTCTGCTGTGTTGTGGTGGCGATGGAAGGGATAAGTAGAGTTTGAAGCTGTTGTCAGTAGAGTTGGGAAGATGCCTGAGTCAAGGGTGAGAATCTAAGCAGGCACACAGAAACCAGGGCATGTGCAGCCATCTAGAGGTCAGGGAAGCTCTTGGCTCTGAAACTAAGCAGTGGGGGGCACCCAGGCATGGAAGGGAATGTGAATTACTCAGAAGACATTAGGTTGTCAGTAAAAGGAAATTCACCAGTGTGACTGAATCAGTAGAAAGAGCACTTAGACTAGGAGTCAGAAGACCTAGGTTTGAGTCCAGCCCTTTTACTTCATAACCTGGGGCAAAAAACTCCCATAAATATTTGCTTTATTATTTAGATAATGGCAATAACAGTGATGGCCTTTCCTGCCTCCCAGGCTTAGTGTGAGACCAAAGGGTGAGGAAGTACTGTGTAGACTGCAGCCCCATGGAGATGTGCACAGTGTCTGCCCAGCCCAGGGCCTGCCATGGGTGTATTTGTTGAATGAAGTGTGAACTATTAAAAGAGTTGGGAAAAATGCATTATACTAAGGAGATCTTAATCCTGGACAGTCTTCTCTACCAGGCAGAAAGGTTCTGCTCTCCACTGGTCAAGGCCTTGGGCCTATGTGTAAAACTGGGTACCTAACAAACACATGGGCAGACGCCTGCAGCTCCTTACTGGGTAGCACATGACACATAGTATGTCCTTGGCAAGGCCATTTGCTCATTCCTCTGTGTAGGTAACCAAGTGCAACAGAAGTGGAGGTATAGCCCATGAATGTGAACTAATCATTTTTAAATGATTTGGTCCATGGGCAGGTTAGAAGATGAAACCTTCCCAAGGCCACCAAAACTTGATTTCTTGCTTGAAAATGATAAGATGCAGTTATAAAATGCTTCTGTTGATTTGGAAAAAATGTGTGACTTGTTCAAAACAATATGTATTAATAGAAAATGTAACATAAATAAGAGGATACAAAAAAGAGCTTAATGTTTCTATCTTCTGGGCCTAGCAATAGTGATTTTTTTTTCCTTTTGGTAGGAAAATGGGGGCTCAGTGGAATAATCAGTTTTATTTCTTTTTCTTTTAACTTCATGAAGGGTTTGTATTGTTCATTTTGTTATTTAATTTGTTCATTTGCTAAGGAAAGAACTTCTTTCTTGGAACTCTGCGGAGTGTTTTTAGATGGACTTTACTGGAAAAAAACAGGAATTGAAATTATATTCACAGTGCGCTCTAAACTCTTTTAAAATCTCATGCATGGATGGAGGAAAATGCACTGAAATATCAATAGTGGTTCTCACCTCATGGAATTAGAGGTGACTTTTATTCTCATCTCCTTCTCTGTGGTTTCCTATTTTTCAACGAGTGTGAATTACTTTTATCATCATGAAAGACCAGTTAAAAATTAATCTCACAAATTAACACTCTCAAGCCAAACCACGAATTTTTGTTTTTCACAACCTGGCTTGGACTATAAACTGTCACACTATCTCAGACCTATGCAGATTCTTTTCTGAGTGAGGCATTGAGGAACTTGTTATAAAGATGATGCTTTCCTTCTGGAAATCAAGAAACAAGCCAAGGGCTTATAATGTGTTAGGAAAGATGTCCTGAGTAACTTTCCTCCTGGAATCTGACTAGCCTTTATTACAGCTACTTAAGGAAATGAGTTTTGTGGGTTCCCTGTTCACTGTGTCACCATTTTTTTCTTTATCCTGTACTCATATGTACCTCAGGGTCCCCAGATTTTCTTATCCTGGGATTGCATGACCTTGTCCTTGGCTCTCTCGGGCCCCTGCCGTTTCCAGTGTTCTCTGTTCATGTTCACAATATTGTTGATTTGGCTGTGGCTTCTTCCCGCAGTGTTCTTGTAGACTGAAGAGAGCACATTGCTGCCCTTGTCCCTGTGCAGCTTCCTCTTCCTCTTTATCATTGCTCAGGTGAGTGGCCTGAGCAGTGCTCCTGGGATGAGGTGAAGAGAAGCAGTCAAGACTGCAGGGAAGGGCTAGGGGTGCTGAGCTGGCCGAGCTTCCCTGGGGGAAGGCACTGGGCCATCTGTCCAGCAGCAGTTGGCCCACAGCTGGCAGGGCAGGCTCAGGAGTGGCTCTTGAAGATGGCTGCTTGGTGTTTGAAGACAGTTCCCAGGGCATGCATTCATTTGTTGAGCACCTTCAATCTGGCAGCCTGTGTTCTAGATGCTGGCTGATGACCAAGGCTGACATGGCTTTGGCTGTCATGGGAGTTTCATTCTAGTGGTAGAGGGAGAGAGAGAGAGACGATGTGGTAGAGGGAGAGAGAGAGAGACGATTAGCAGGGGAATCAATGAAGAAGATAATTACAGGTTGTAAGAACAGCCCCAGAGGAGGTTACAGGTGCCTGTTTGTCGAGAAGTGGGAGGGCCAGAGTTGGGATAGGAACCTATGTCCCTGATTGCAAGGTCTGGCTCCTTCTGTGTCCTCTGGGCTTTCTGGTGGGAAGGGAGGAGGTGGAGGAGACCCCTTGCGAGGGCCGAGCTTCTCCCATTCAGCCAGTCTGGACCAGCCTGGGGCCTTCAGATGGAGATAGCAAAAGTTGAGGGCATAAGCTAGGGACTGGCTCTCTTGGTCACTCCAGTTGCCCATCTCTGTACTTCCCCAGGTGAATAGCCATGTTTTTTAAAGAACACGGAGCAAATTTGCATACAAGAGTCCAGATTTATGCATGCTGCAGCTTTGTCTGAAGGCAAGCTTATATTTTCTCTCCTATTATTTTCAACTTTTAATGAGTTACCAGCATCTCAGTGCCCCTCCAGCAAGGATATTGGGCTGGTGTTTTCAGGGAACAATTTTAATTAACTCCTCCTTGCCTCCCTCTCACCCAGCCACCCCCAGTCCCCTTCCTGGTGGCTCAGAGTCTGGCTTTGGCATGCAATAAGAATATTTTTGCCTTGGTGTTAGCCTTTCTGAAACTCTTGATTACCAGTGCTCACAGGACCTTTCTGCAGCACTGTCTGCTTGGCTGTGGACTACCCAGAGGAGCTTGGTGTCAGGCAAACTTAGGCGATTTCCCTGAGCATCCTTGTTGAGTCTGCCTTTGTACTTCTTTGTCAGGTCTAGAGGCTTGGCCGTTTGTCCTGCTCTTTTGTCCCCTCCTTCTGGGAACCCTCAGGACCCTCACTCCATGGAGACTCAGCACCCTTCCTCCTGCAAACATCAGTGATGGGGCTTTCCCAGCCCTTTCCCCTATCTTCCTTTTCAAAGAACAAAGCCTTTGAAGCTTGTCTCATACCTGTCTGATGCAGTATGGGAATCTGTAAGTTCTTTGCCTCCTGAAGGGGTCTGGGGAATCACTTGGCTTTCAGAGCTTTCCTCGCTCCTCTCCCACCCACAGACCGATTTTAACCAGAGAGTAAGTCATTCATGCTGTGCTTGAATACTCCTTCCAGTCCCACTAGGAAGACTCTTTGTTACTAAATTCTGTTTTCTTGGGAAAGGGGAGCTTATTACTATCTCATTTTGTTGGTTGTTATTACCCTCCTTTAAAAATGTATCTACATACACGCATGTGTGTACCTACATGTTTCTATATTTCCCTTGTGAATGTGGCCCTCAGAGGGCCTGGATTTAAACCCTGGGAGTGGTAGTGACCCTTTGGGAAATGTATACTTTTTGTTCCAAATCTTCTCTGGCTTAAATTTGTGAAGTTTTGTTTCAGCCTTGGTTTCATAGTTTTTCCCAGTTTCCAAGATAAGTTTGGGGCTCACTGTAATCAGCATGTAAAGGAGAATATGGCCATCAGCTCTGCCCCTTAAATTCATAGTCAGACTCAGTGGGGAAGCCGTTCCTGTCCCATCTTGCGCTCGTGGCTCTGTCAGCCTCAGGCAGCTCCTGCACCGTCCTCCTGCCTGTGACAGTGTTGTCAGGAGTTCTTGGTACCTGGGTGCTGCTTGGCCTCAGGGTGCCAGGGCTCCCATGTGGAGTGTGCTTGCTGCAGTCTCTACAGCCCAGGTGTCTCTGCAGCCCTCCTCTTACATAGCCACAGCGTGGTAAAGTACATCCAGTTTGCGCTGTAGTAAGCAATTTTATTAAAAAAATAAGTTTAATATGTAAGTGGTCCCTTAGTTCGTTTGAATGGCTCCCCTCTCTGGCTTTGGTTTGAATGAGCTACACCTGGCTGGAGCCCTGCTGCTCCCCTCAGCATGGAGTCACCTCCCTGTGCTATGGAGGAAAGGAAGAAGTTATTCTTACCTTGGTTTTGAGACAAGACAAGCCTGGAGAAGGCTGTAGGGATGAAGGAGTTGCCCATTTGTCCAGCATCAGTTGAGAGTCTACTGTGTGCCTGGCATCATAGGAAGCCTCTGGAGTGCTGTGAGCAAGAAAATAATACTTGATTTATGTTTTTAAGGGTTCTTCTCGCTGCCTGTGGGCCGGCAGTGAGGAGGACAAGAGCGCAGCAGGGAGATGGGTTAGGAGGCAGTTGCTCCGGTGCAGGGAGCAGTGCCAGCTTGAGGGCTGCTGGTGGGTATTGGTGTGAGGGTGGGCAGGCTGCAGATAGGCCTTCGCCCATTGCCCTTGCCATGTGTCCCCATGTGTCCCCAGGGGAGGCTCTGGGCATCCCAAACTGTGAGCCTGCCCTTTCCCAAGTGTGCTAGGCCCTGCCAAGCTCCTGCTTCATGGCCTATGCTGTTCATTCCATCTGGAATGCTCTCTTCCCCCTGCTTTCCATCCTAGCTGAGTGACATTGGGCAAGTGACCAGATCTCTCTTGAGCCTCAATCTCTTATTCTGTGAAAGAGTGCTCATGGAACCTACTGCATGGGACCATGAGGATAAGACTATAGTTGAGTGTGGTGATTGCAGTAGCCTCCAAAGCTGTCTCCTGCTTCCAATTTCATCCCGCTACTGTGCATTCTTTACACAGCGATCCTGTGACCGAGGGTCAGATCAGGGCAGGCCTCTGCTCAGAATCCTCTCCACAGTAGCTTCCTGTCCCAGTCAGAGGAAAAGCCAAATCTTAGCATGGCCCTCAGAGCTTCCTGGTACTTCTGACCTCATCTCCCACCCCAAGGCCATGGTGTATGGTTGATCATGCTGGGTTCTGCACAGCTCATTGTGGTGCATGTAAGTGGCACTCACTTCCTCCCCAACTTATGCATTGCACAACTTGTGCAGCTGTACATGCTGCTCCTACCTGCGCCTCTCTAGCTCCACTCCAGCCACAGTGGAATCCGTGTTGTTCTTCAAACACACCAGGCATGCTTCCTGTTTAAGCTCTCCCTACTGCCTGCTCCCTTGGCCTGGACCATTCTTCCCCCAGAGGTGTGTATGGCTAGTTAGCTCACCTTCTTCAGGTCTTTTTTCAAATGTCACCCTATTTAAAATTGTTCCATCTGGGTCACTGCCCCCCAAATGTTCCCTTTTTCCCTTGCTCTTTATTTTTCCTCCTAGCACTTATCACCATCTAATATATTATACGTTTTCCTTATTTATTTGGTTTATTTTTATTTATTTATTTATTTCTCAACAGAACATAAGCTTGATGCAGGCAGGCACCAGTGTTAATTTTGTTCACTGCTGTATCCCCAGTGCCTGGATTGGTGCCTGGCAGTAGGGGTTCAGTGATGCATGAGTGAATGAGTTTGGATGCACAAAGGTAAAGTATTGGGTACGGTGCTTAGCACACTGGAAGCACCTAATACATGGATGCCAGTATTTTCATTGTCTCTGTTAACTCTCCAGGCCCTGGCTCAAATGTGGCTTTCTCTGAGCCTTTCTGCAGTCCCTTCTCAGGCTGAATTAAGTCACCACCACCTGTGCTCTGTGTTCCCCTTCATTTTGCCTTCTCTGTCTGCTCGGCATTTATCACACTGCAGTAGTGGGCTTATCTCACACTTTTTCCTGTTCCAATTGCAATTCCTGTGGGGCAAAGACTGGCCTGTTCAGATTTGTATCTCAGGCGGTCTGCGCCCCCAGCTGGCATGTGGTAGGAGCTTAGGAAGTGCTTGCTGCTGGTGGCTGTGGGAGGTGGAAAGAGCTTTTTAATCCATCAGGACCCTTACAAGGGGGACTGGCTCCAGCATCACTGCCGTCTGATGTTTGTGCCCCCTCCCAAGGGGTGTCAAGGGAGAGCTTGGCAACCACTTAAATGAGAGTCTCCAGTGGTATATTTAGAGCAAATTTTGGAGAGAGGAGTCTCTTGGATAACAGCATCTGGGTGACCTGATTGTTTCACATATAAGAGTTTGGCTTTTTGGCTACTCAGGCTTTGAGAGGTTGGGGTCATTCAAGGGAGGCAGTGTAATACCCATGTGTTCAGAGGTGGCTGGGACGAGAGGGTGCAGGAGAAAAGGCTTGAGCTGGCCTGTAAGGGATCTGAGTTGGTGAAGGGAGCACAGCTTCTGGGGGTGGCAGAAGGAATAGGAGAGCTGCCCCTGCCATACCTGGGGAGGGGTGGTTAGGTAGGTGCCTTGGGAGGCATGGTTAGGTAGGTGGTTTGGGGCCATGGGGGGAAAACTGTAATGCCAGGGCAATTACTTTGGCCTCTTGTATTTGGCAGGAGGGGTCCACACTGGGGATTGTGGTGGCGTGAGGGAGAGGGCCCTGGGAGAGAAGCTCTAGAGTCATTTTCTTTTCCAGAGGTGGAGTTGTCTTGGGGACCTGCACGTGGCACGCAGAGCCCATGCTCTCAGGCACCTTTGGGGTGGCAGAGTTTCAACTGAACCAACAGAGGACAAGGGGCTGAGAAGTCGGAGGCCTTGGCTGAGGTGCCCAGTTTCTTGGTTCACTTTCTTTACCTGCCAGGTTAGCAGCAAGTGAGCAAATCCCTCCTGCCTTTGCTCAGCATTAGCCTCAGAGACTTGAGGAGAGCTGGGCCTTCAGGTGGGAGCCTGGTGGCCACACTGGAGAGGACCAAGCTTGACATTGAGTGTCCGAGGGGCTGAAAGTTGTTCGCTCATCCAGAGATGGATTCGTTCTGCAAACATAGGGAAAGTTCCCTTCCCATTCCTCATGGCTGTTTGAGGATGGAATTCCTGCATTGACCTTGGCCTTTCCCTGATCTTGGCCTTTCCCCTGCACTATGGCCTCTCTACTCTTAACATTACGCCCCAGCCCTTTTCCATGGGCCCCTCGTCTTCCCTATGGCCATCTAAAATGGCCGTATAATATTCTATCAAGGGAATGTTTTCAGTAAGCCATGAGCTTGATATGGAGCATTTAGATTGCTTCTAATTTTTGCTCTTTCAGCTAATGCTACATTAAGCCATCTCTGTGTATTATGGAATCATTTCATTAGTTGGCATTTGTCTAGCTAATGGCAATGGCCCAAGATTTAATAGCGAATCAGAATTTCTTTTTTCAAGAAGAATGTCATGAGGATATATAAAAAATTTACTTAAAATGCTAGGAATCATCTATGTTGGGGTTTTCATGAATGAGGAAGCAGGGAAACAGTAACATGAAATTAGTTGTAAGTGAAAGACTGTGTGTATAAAAGTAACTCGTGACTTGTTTGTTCCTGAGTGTGGAGGGGAGCCAATAAATCCTTGGAAGGAGCAATCTACCTGTGAAAATCAAAGAGATCTGTATTCCTGCATCTGATGAAAACATAACAAACAGTGATCTCTTCTTAAGGATATTTTTAGAAATGCCCTAAAACAAGAAAAAGTAAATAAGATTTCCGAGAAAAAACATGTCTCCTTAATTCCAAATGAGCCTCTCTGGAAATGCCATTTAGTAGTGGAAGCAGGTTGTAGACTTGCTGAAAGGATTTGGTTCTTTGGTTATTAGGAAATAACTAGAATGAAATTGACAAACAGACAACACTGACTTGGTCCCCAGTACTGCTTTGAGCCTGAGGTATGTGTTGGCTTTGGAATGATGGGGAAGGCTTCCTCTGACTTGCTGATTTGTTGTAGTTGTTGTTGTTATTGTTTTGAGATGGAGTCTCGTTCTGTCACCAGGCTGGAGTGCAGTGGCGTGATCTTGGCTCACTGCAACTTCTGACTACCTGATTCAAGCGATTCTCCTACCTCTGCCTCCCGAGAGGTGGGATTATAGGCACGTGCCACCACACCCAGTTAATTTTTGTATTTTCAGTAGAAATGGGGTTTCACCATGTTGGCCAGGATGGTCTCAATCTCCTGACCTCATGATCTACCTGCCTCGGCCTCCCAAAGTGTTGGGATTACAGGCATGAGCCACTGCGCCTGGTCTGTTGTTGTTTTTATTGTTTCAGTCTCTGGTGGCTTATTATGTAGACTTGGGCTGTAAGCTTTGCATTTCAGTTTAAACCAGCAAATGTTTACACTATATAAGGTTGCAAGGGCTAAAACTTTAGGGAGAAAGAACCCAGTGCACCCCTGTTTCTGAGAAGCTCATGACCAGGGAGTGGGAAGGATAAAGCAATGTTAAAACCAATGGTTATTCAAGGGAGATTAAGAAGGGGGCCCTGGGAGAGTCAGCTCCATCCTTTTAGAGAAGGGAGGAGTTCTACCTCACTGCTGGGCAGGGTGGGGCTAAGGGGCAGGAGAATCAAGAAAGGTTTTATGGAACTAGTTGCATTTGTCAACATCTTGAAGGACAGGCTGAAATGGAGGCTGGACATTCTCAGCAAAGGTAAAAGGCCTGAGTAGAGGAGATGGAGATGGAAGGACATGGGGCAATGTTTGGGATTTGGCTGAAGAATTGCATGCCTGTAGTAATGGTCATAGTAGCACTTTATGGAGAGTATCAGGTGCCAGGCATGGTTCTAAGAGCTTTATATGTAGTAACTCACTTAATCCATGCAATGAACCAAATGAGGTACTGTTATTATCCCCATTTTACAGATGAGGAAGCTAAGATAAATAGCAAGGAATTAATTGCCCAGGATCACACTGCTGTGGAGCCAAGATCAGACCAAGTTCATCTGGCTCCAGGCTCTGTGCTTACGACCATGAAGCTGTCCTGTCTCTGATTTGGGGAAAGAACAGTCACTAGAATCAGACAGATGGACAGATGCCGTATGTTTAGAGGCTGGGATTATCAACATTCAGGAATGCAGAGGTGGAAAAGAGACCAGAGATGGAGATGAGGGGCATTGGAGAGGTGGGGATGGGAGGAGGGTTTGGTGAGAGCCGTGAAGGGCCACAGGAAGACAGAGCTTTAAGGAGAAGTTTGTCAGTGAGGCCCAGAGCTGCAGACAATCCCAGGAGGTGAGACCTGAGGAATAGGTCTGGGCTGAGGAGAAAGCTGTGAGGGCCTCGGGAGAGGGGCAGCAGGGTGACCCAGGCTGGAGCTGCTGTGGTGTCCTATCCTGGCTGCAGAGTGCTGCGTGTTCCTGGGGGATCATAGCTGTTGATGAGTATCACTGTCCCTGTCCTCTTATCTGTAGAAAGAGGTGAGTGTGACAGAGGGGGCAGGTGAGAGCTGGCACTGCTAATTTGGCAAACCTGGTGACTTTTCTGCAGCCTAATGATTTTTGAAAGCTGTTTGCTATGCTGAGGCACAAGTGTGACTTCCCCCATCTAAATGCTGTGCAATCGCTATTTTCCCTGGAAAATTGGGCCCATGTGGGCTCTGTGTGTGGTTTATTTGAGTTCCATTTTTATAGCCTTATTACCTTGTCCCCATGATGCAAGAGGCCTCTCTCTTTTCTTGAGCTTTGCTGTGAAAATTGTTTCTTAAAAGGCACAAAGTGATCTCTCGTCATCTGGGTGGTGCTCGCTCCACAAGCAGCACTTTTCTCAGACTCCGCACACACTTGTCATCGCCCCTGCCCCCACTTGGCAGGTTCCTCTGATTGTTGGCAATTTACTGAGAACTTTTAGGCAGCTCTTGAAGCTCACTACCTATGTGTTTGTCTTGATTTCTTCCGGAAGAGTTTGTGCATGTAAATATCCATTCAGCCTCTTTCTCTCCGAGATGTTGCCCTGCCACTGACCGTGCTTGGGGCTGAAACCCAGTCTTGTCCTCTGGCCTCGAGCTGATTAACAATAGCAGTCATCATGTACAGAGCCTGAGTGGTTATCAGGCACTAAGCTAAGGGATTTACGTTCGTGATCTTAATTATTCCCAATTTCTTTGAGGTAGGTACTATTACTTCCCCCATTTTACAGATAAAGAAAATGAGCCTTCAAGGGATAGAGTAAGTTACCCCAGGTTACATAGCTAGTACATGGCAGAGCTGGGCTTAAGCGGGCCTTTCTAACCTTAGACTCCATGTGCTCCATTCATTCATTCATTGGCAACAAATGATTGTCTGCAACAGGCTGAGAACTGTTGTAGACCCAGGGTGTACAGCAAAGGGAAAAAAGGCCAAACTCCCACCTTCAGCTTATATTCTAACTTGGGGAGGTAGAGATCATATAATAAATGACATATACATTATGCTATGTGGTAATGAGAACTATGGAGAAAAATGAAGCAAGGAGGTCAGATGGGAAGTGGGAGGATTTTGAGGAGTGGTCAAAGAAGGCCTCATTGAGAGTACAACAAATTGTTAGGTTAACAAACAAACCCCCAAATCTCAGTGTAGCAACACAACAAAACTGCACTTCTCTGCAGAAAAAATTCCAAAGTGGCTGCTCCTGGTTAGCAGGCAGCCTTCCTTGCAGTCATCCAGGGACCTAGACTCCTTTTATCCTGTGTCTCTGCCTTCTTCAAGGGCCTTGGTTTCCTTTGCATTCAAATGCTGGAGCGTGAGGAAGAAGAAGAGAGGGTAGTTTGTGAGGAAGGCTTTATGGACCAGTCTGGAGGAAGCATACCTCCCTCCCACCCACTGGCCAGAATTCAGTCACATGTTCACTCCTGACTGCAAGGGAGGCTGGGAAAGGAAGTCTGGCCATGTGCCGCCTAAAAAAAGGAAGTGGGTTCTGGTGAACTCATGGCATGGTGTGTTGCAGCGAGTGAGGTGAAGAAGTGAGCTATGTGTTTAGCTGGAGGAAGAGCATTTTACACAAAAGGAGCAGCAAGACAAAGGCTGCTGGAATGGAGTGGGGAGGAGAGAAGGAGAGTGGGAGAAGATGAGGGCATGGAGTTGTGGGGGCCAGGCCACTGGGGTCACTGTAAGGATTTGGTTGCCTTGGGAATGACAAGCAGAGCCAGAACATAGAGTTTTGAAGGAGGAACGACAGGATCTGAGGCACGTCTCACAGGGCTCACTCTGGCTGCTGTGTTGAGAGTGGACTGAGGGAGCAAGGGGGATGCAGGGGAGAAGCGGGCGTTTGCGGGTGTTATCCAGGTATGTGACCAGAAGGGCTGGCCCTGAGCCGGGGTGGTAGAGGTGGGGAGAAGCCGTTAGATTTGAGATCAGTTCTGAAGGTGGGCCAGCAACTTTTGCTGTGGGATTGGTAGTGGGGCATGAGAGAAAGAAAGGAGTCAAGATTATTCTGAGGTTTTGGCTTTGCCTAATGAGTATTAGTCTCACTTCCTACCCTCAGAAGCAAGAGGGGAAATTTTTTGGAAAAGGATATCTGAGTGTTCTCTGGGCCCTGACCTGTCCTCCATAACCTCTTTCACTCTGTGATACTTTTTTCAGCACAGATGGGCAATTCCCATTCATGACTAGGCTTTCAGACATGGAGAGGGCACTTGGAGTCCCTCCTGGCACACAGCAGAGGTGAGGCAGCACTGGGAATTGTCTCACTTTGGGGTCTTTGGGTCAAACCTTGGGACCCCTTTAGAGTGACATGGCAGGGACTGAGTGTGCCCTCTAGGGGGGTGAGATATGCCTACTGGAGTCCACTTCCAATGCCTGCCATCTGCAAACACTGGTGAGGCCCTGGCTGAAGGGTAACAACCCACAAAAGTGCACAAAAGGAGGAAGTTCTGGAATGCGAGTTGATGCTGCCAGCGGTCCGGTTGGCTCCTTGCCTTCTGTTCTTTGTGTGTTGACATCAGACCTCTCTACTGCAGACAGGCTGCCCTACCTGAGGGGGCACAGCTGCCAGCAGCCTCAGTTTACAATCCTAGCAAAGGAGGAGAGCCTTTCTCTACATCTAGGTATCAGTTTAAGGGAAAAGCCTCTGTGTTTGAGAGTGGGAGCGGAAACTGTTTCCCACGTACTTCCTTGGCAGTCATGACCTGTCAAGGCTGAAACTGGAGATGGGACTTTTTAATAGACCATGATCTCACTGGGAGCATATGGGGAAGAAAGTTCATCTTAGAGATGGCAGGGCGTGAGCTGTGAAAACAGATAGTGCACACCTACTAGATGCTGGGCCCCCGCTAGGTATTTTATTTCACTGGAGAGCAAAACAATATATCATCCCTGCCCTCATGGCACAGATGGCCTCAAGTGGCTAAACCATAGAATGGCTAGCTGAGAGAAATGATAGTTCTTTCTTTTTTTCTTTACTGATTGCGAATGGGGTTGTATTTTTAATTTTGGTATCCATGTGTTCATTGCTAGTATATAGAAATCCAATTGATTTTTTTGTTTTTATGTTGTATCTTGCATGTTTGCTAAACTCACTAATTAGTCATAGAAATTTTTTTTTGTTTATTCCCCAGGATTTTCTGCATAGACAATTGTATCACTTGCAAATAGGGATTGTTTCATTTCATCTTTTCCAATCTGTATGTTTTTTATTTCTTTTTGTTGCCTGATTGTGTGGCCAGGACTTCTAGTCCTATGTTGAACAAGAGTGCTGGGAGTGCACATCCTTGCCTTGTTCCTAGTCTTGGGGAAAGCATCAGCCTGTCACCATTAAGTGTAAGGTCAGCTGTGGATTTGTTGTAGATGCCACTTGCACTTTGCTGGCATGGTTGTGAGTAGGACTGTGGGTTTTGTGTGTTTGTGTGTGTGTGTGATGTTTGGCTGAAATACAGTGGTTATTATCTACAAGTTTTCTGTCTTGAAACAGGGAGATTTGTTGGGGCATTTTCTCTTTGTGCTCCTTGGCATTTCTGAGTTGCTGGTCTCCTCAGTTCCAAGTCTGAGCTATATGCAGAAAAGGAAATGCAGGAAGCTCACCACTGTGTTGTTCCTTGGATCCTGAGGTCCCAGCTGGTCTGCCTTCTTCAGACTGCCATTTGGAGTCTTCTTATAGTCATCTAGCATAGAATGCCCAGGGGTTTTCATTGTTCTTAGCAGGTGGAATCAGGGAAAGTGCACCTGCTCCATCCTGCTGGGAGTGGAAATGGTTGGGGGAAATTGGAGCGTATAGGTCGGGGCTAGTTTAGATGCAAGGGCTCCGTTCTGTAGGTGCAGGAGGGCCGTGGAGGCTCAGCCCTGACAGCAGTGGGAGGGGGATGGGAAGAGGGGGAGTGGAGAGAGCCTAGGTGGCTGCTGCCTGTGTCCAGGCAGGAGGTCCTGAAGTCCTGAGGTCCTGGCCGTGACAGTAGAACTGCAGCAGAAAGAAGGACAGGAAGTTCCATGAGGACAGTGAGGAAGTGCAAGGAGACCAGGTTGGTCTGAGGTTTCTAGCTAGAGCAGCTAGCTGGTTCTGAGATAACAGAGACAGAGGGAGGGGTCTAAGCGTGGCAGAGGGGTGTATTCTAGGCATTGTAGAGCAGATCTGGAAGACTGGACTTACTGTGCTTCCCCTCAGGGGAGGCTTCACAGAGGAAGTCTGGCTGCTGGGGAAAAATCCAGGGAGTGTGCATTCTGGGCAGAGGAATTCTGGCTGCTGGGTAAAAATCCAGGGAGTGTGCATTCTGGGCAGAGGAAACAACGTGGGAAAAGGCACAGATACAGAAAACGGCGTGATGGGCCTGTTGGGACTCCAGCTAGCTGAGGCATAAGTGGGTAGTTACTGGTTCCATGACTGGGAAGGATGCTGTAGGAGTGCACAAAAGGAAGAAGTTCTGGAATGCGAGTTGATGCTGCCAGCGGTCCAGTTGGCTCCTTGCCTTCTGTTCTTTGTGTGTTGGCATCAGACCTCTCTACTGCAGACAGGCTGCCCTGCCTGAGGGGGCACAGCCACCAGCAGCCTCAGTTTTACAATCCCAGCGAAGGGGGAGAGCCTTTCTCTACATCTAGGTATCAGTTTAAGGGAAAGGCTCTGATTGGCCCAGGTTGGTGATGTGCCTGCCTTTGGACCCGTCACTGTTGCAAGGGAGTGGAGAGTTCTAATCTAGGCCGGATCGTCTGCCCACCCCTGTTGGGGCAACCAGAGTCTTTTAAAGGAGAAGGCAGACAAAATGCATCTGGGGAAGATAAAAAAGACTGTTTACCATGGCTTACTGTAATAGATTTTGAAGAATATGTAGTCTGGCAGTGCAGGAACTCTTCATGGAGATTAAAGCAGGGGACTTGATCAAAGTTAGGTTTTATTAAAATCATTCTGGACACTGTATGGGGTTGTGATTGGAAGTGAATGACAAGAGGTGTCAAGGCGGGTTCGTAGGCCACTGCTTTAGCTCCAAGGAGCACTGATGAGGCCTAAGCTAGCTTAGAATCCTGACTTACTTTGTTTGCACTTCACCTGTAGCGACAGCATCAGTGAGGTGGAGAACAGGGATAGAGTCCTAGAGATGTTAGACAGGCAAGACTTGGTGGCCAGATGGAGGCAAGGAGAAGGGGGTCTTATGGAGGATTCCCCACTGCCACCAAGGGCATAAAGAATGAGTCTCTGGAGGGCTAGCCTTATCTTTGGAAACACTATTAAGTGTTGGCAGACTCGATGTACCTTATTGCTTCTTCAGAAGTGTTAGTGTTGTTGGCTTCTTGTGGTATCCAGCTGGAAAAGGAAGCTGATTGATTGCATTTCCCTCCCTTTAAAGAGCTTCCTTTTTTGAGAAATCAGAAGATAGGTGATACAGTCAGGACTGCCAGTGGAGAAATAGGTTGGGGAGAGGGAGACACTGGCTTGGAGACTCTCCTGCCCCCAGCCTGCCCCGAGGCCCGCGAGTCTGCTTTAGGCACATTCGTCCTTTTGGCATCATCCTTGCTGGGAAGGCTTTTAAGGGATTTAAGGAAAGAAATGACACAATCTGATTCATATTGCACCAGATTTCCTCCTCTGTTCAGAATAGACTATGGGTGGAGGTAGAGTGACTCCAAGAGTAGCAGCAGGGAAGCAGGGCACCAATTAGGAGACTGTCGCAGCAATCTAGGATGGGGACGGTGGAGGTGGTGAGAAATGGTCACATTCTGAATACATTTTGAAGGTAAGAACCAGTTTTAGTGAGGATTAGATGCGGAGTGGGAGAGAAAGGAGATGAAAATGACTCCAAATTTTTGGTCTGGGCAGCTGGAAGAACATTGTCTTAAACTGAGGCGGACACAACGCTGGGAGGAGCACGTCAGGGGTCTGTGTTGGACATGTTTAAGTTTGAGACACCCACCATGTCTTACACAAAGCTCCCATCTACTTCTTACTTGACACAAACAGTTGGATGTACTGGTCAGGAGTTCAGAGCAGGGGTCCAGGCTTGGAGAGAAATCTGAGCATTGTTAGCATGGAGGTGATATGTGTGAATCCAGGAGACTAGTTGAGATCACCAAGGGAGTGACAGAGAAGAGATGAAAACAAGGACTGAACACGCTGACATAAGAGGTGGGGAGATGAGGGAGAATAAGCAAAGATAAGCCAGTGAGGTGGGCGGAAAACCAGGAGAGCTAGAGGGCATGATTAACTGGTGTCAAAGCTGCAAGGTAAGGACTGAGACTTTACCAATGGATGTAGCAAAATGCAAGACAGGCCAAATGCATATGCTGTTGGACCTAAGCTTAACTTTGCAAATAAGTCATAGTTCCTTCCCAGAAGGAGAATATAATTTTGCAAAAAGGGATCATTTAAGATTTATTAAAATAAATCTGAGAAAGATGTGAAGATAGTACCGTAGGAATCCAGCAGAAGGAAACAGTGCTTCTGGCTTTTGTGGGGAGGATTGAGTCAGATTCATTCATACCTTCATTCATTTGTGTGTTCATTCATTTGGCAAAAACTTATTGGGTGCCAGGGGTTGCGGGGAGGAGGGAAGAGAGAGTTGTTATCTAGTGGGTATAGAGTTTCATTTTTGCAGATGAAAAGAGTTCTGGAGATGGCTTGTGGTAATGGTTGAATAAGAATATGAATGTACTTAATACCATTGAACTGTACACTTAAAAATGGTTAAGACTGCAAATTTTATGTGACATGTATTTTCTCACAATTAAAAATGGAGAGAGATTAAATAAAAAACAGAGCACTTTTTGGGGCCCCATCATGAACTTGGTCTGGGATATGATGTTTGAAATGGATGCGCCATCTCAGTAGATGGAGGTAATGTGGAGAAGAGTGGAGGAAGACGTCCAGCTCAGAGGGTTTTGGGAACTATCAGTCCTGTTTGTCTGGATGGTAGGGTCTATCGGGGGAAACCATGCAAGCTGAGACTGCAGCCGGGCCAGTTGGTGCAGGCCCAGCATCCTGGCTGTGGATTTGGGCCTGCCTTCTTAGATTCTGGGAGCCTCTGATGGTTTCTGCCCAGGGGAGTGTCATTCCAAAGGTGTGTATTTAGATTAATTTCATTAGTCCTTCCTGTTAAACCATTGCCTATTAAAAGCAGTGGGGTTGAGGCATTCATTTTTATGGTGAAAATTCTGGCCTAGCAGAATTTTAGATATCCAAGCATGTGTCAATGAAGTGAGTAGGTTATTTTTCCATCCATTTTACAAGTATTTATTGAGGATCATCTAAGTGCCCGTAGTGTTCTAGGCAGTTGGGGGTATGGGACGGGGTGAATTTAACAGGTCTCTTCTCTTAAAAAGCCTACAGTCTAGAGAAACCCCCTCTCCTTCCTAAACAAGAAGTTATGCCACAACGTGCCATGTGTTACCATAGGCATGCCGCCACAGTTCCATGGGTACTGAGAGGAGGGGGTGCCTGGCCTGCCTGGAACACTGGGGAGGCTTACAGGGAAAAACTGTCCAATGGATTTAAAGGACAAGCAGGGATTTTCTAGGCAAAGAAGCAGAATGGGCATCCCAGGAGTATGGTAAATCAAAACTTATTGGGTGCTATGAATTTAAAGCTAAACTTTTATTTCATTGGCTTTTAGGTGGTGCTGGCTAGAGTGTATACGTTTGGACCCAAGCTTAACTTTTCCAATGTGGAATCCTGGGCCTTCATTGGTAAGTTTGTTTGATGCCTTCTTACCAAATTATGCTATCAAGGATTGGTATTTGGAATGAAAGGCAAGGTAGTTATCATTGGCAAGTTCTCTGTGGAGGTTACCAGCCCTGGACCTGGAGAAGCCTGTAGCACAGGCTGAAGGGGTACATAGGAAAAGTGAAATCTCACTGTAGGTTTCTGTGGTAGATGCAGAGAGGGAGGCCAGAGGAGGGGAACCAAGGGGTGCGGGGGATGGATGCAGCGGGCCTTATGGAGAGGTGGAGCTTTGGCTCTGTTTTGAAGGGCAAGCTAGATTGAAAAAAGTCCGGGGAGGAGTGAAAGAAGATTTTCGGGACTTGAGAACATAGAGGTGAGGTGTAAACAAAGTGGGCCTAGCAGCAGTCCCATAGGAGCAAAATCTTCATCGAAAGGAGTCACGGGCAAGAACTGTGGTGGGATCTGCTGGCGTCTGATGATTCTAGTCCATCAGCAAACTTTTTCTGTAGAGGACCAGATGCTAAATATTTTTGGCTTCGTAGGCCATGTGGTCTCTGTCACAGCTACTCCACTCTGCTGTGGTAACATGCAAGCAGCCATAGATAATATGGAAATGAATGGGTGTGGCAGTGTTCCAGTAAAACTTTATTTACAGAAGCAGGTGGTGGGCTGGATTTGGCCTGCGGGATGTAGTTTGCCAACTCCTTTTCTAGACCCTAAATGCCCGGCTAAGGCACATAGACTTTATCCTGAAGGCAGTGGGAAGCCATTGAAGTTATTTTGGATAAAGAAGTGAAGTGGCAGAAGTGATGTTTACATTTTAGGAACATTCATCTGATAGCTGGACAAGAGGCATGGGCCCCTTTTGGAAGGCAGCAGCAGTCATCCAGGCATGAGGTCTTGCGGTGAACAGTAGTGAAAATGGAAGCAAAGGATCAATGGAGGAGATACTGCAAAGGGAGAACCAATAGCGTTTTCAGTCTTCTTAGACTTAAGAGGCAGGAGTCAAAGAGGATGAAAGTTTAAGCTTGCTTGTTTACGGTGGTATCTTTGACAGAAATGTAGATGTTGGGGGTGGAAAGGATAGCTGATGCATCTGGTTTTAGATATGTTGAATTCAAGATAACAGTGGTTCATCCATAAGAAATGTCCAGCAGAGAATTGGAAATGCAGGGCTGAAGCCTGGCCTGAGAAGATTAAGTCTAGAGATGTGGAATGGAAGCCATAGGATTAAACACGGTCTCCCCAAGATGAGCAGTGGGCTGAGCTGTGGGGAATATGCGTAACTGTGGGACGGGAAGACGATGGAAGAGACCCAGAGGCCATGGAGGAGAGTCCCGGGAAGGGAAGAGAATGGGGCAGCAGAGACCAGGGAGAACGGACCTGAAGGGAGGCTGCTGAATTTGTGACAAGGTCTTTGCAGATGGCCTTGAGAAATGTAATGTCACAAGAGGGGAAGGGAAGAGGAAGCCAGGTTACATGGAGTTGGACATAAATGAAGGATAAAGAATTGAGATGTTACAAAAATAGACCGCTCATAGAAGGTTTGGGTAGTAAAAGAAGGGAGACACATAAGATTTAGATACTTGCTTGTCAGAATAACCTTTGCTTTAGCTTTGAGGCAGGCAAAGCATGCTGTGACCAGTTTTCATTTCCTTCTTTGGAGCCAAGCTGTGTTTGGGAGTTTGTGTGTACCTTGGGCTTGTGATTGTGTTCTTATGCTCCCTTTTGAGGTGTGGTGTTCGTAACTCTGCCACAACTTGCACCACGGAATCCAGCCCGTGTTTGGACCCTTGCCATGAGACAAGATGTGATCTGTTGGGGAAGTAGTTGCATTTGTATAAGTTGGAGGAGAAAGTAGAGTGGACCAAAAATTGAAATAAACCTTCTTACTACAGAGTCTATCCAAGTATGGGGACTTGAGGATAATTCCTCCAGTCATGATTTAATTATGTATCAATTTGTGCTCTGAGTATTTTGAGTGTACCTTCTTTGGTTTGAATTCTAAGTAGTTTTTGACTTGGTTTGTGTGAATATAGCAGTTAGAGAGCTGGTAACAAAAGCAACAGTTGTAACTGGTTTAGAGCCATGATTTATTGAACACTCATTATGTACTAAGTCCAGTGCTAAGTGCTATTGTGTATCATCCCATTTCATCTTTGCAATGACCTATGTGGGGGGAATTATTAATAGTATTCTTATTTCAGCCAGAAATAAGTCATAGATGAGTAACTATGCAAGGTTACAAGGGATTTGAACCCGGGTCTGTATAATCCCTGGCTTATGCTGCTTCCTACTTTATCTTGCCTGTGTCTGGAATTTTTCCTCCTACTAATGTAGAAGGACTAGAGATAGATCGAGTCCCTCAGGTTAAATATTCAGAGGCTGTAGTGGGTGTTTCCACTTCTTAGGAGTCTATTGAAAGGGCAGAAGAAGTGTGGGAAGTCTGGAAGAGACTAAGGCCAAACCTCAAACACTTACTTTAACTGTTTCCCCAGATAAAATTTAGTTGAAGGCAGCAGCCTTGGGCTTGGAAAGAAAATAGCGCTAGAAGGCATGAGAGTCAGATTCCAGTCCTAGCATTATGACAATTATAATGTCATTTTTGTTTAAACTCTTGGCATTTCTCTCCAATTACCTCCAGCTTTGAGCTCCAAAGGCAGGCTCCTATTTTGTCTTGTTTTTCACTGTATCCCCAGCATCGTAGCACAGAATCTGGCATGTAGTATGTTATGTACTCACTAATTATTTATTGCTTCGAATGCACCAAGGGACTTGGTACAAGACACTTAGCCTCTCAGGCACTGCTCTTGGCATCATGGTTATAGAGGTGAAACAGGACAAGGTCTCTGCTGTCGTGAAGCAGACGTCTACATGTGTGAGATGTAGAATGTGACGTCAGGTATGATCATGCTCTGAAATAAAAGACAGTGAGACCGGGGTGGAGAGGGAAGGGCCTGTCCAAGAAGTGAGACAGTGAGCTCGTTGGGGGTAAAATCCATAAAATTCCTCTTGGGGTGACTACAGATTGTCAGCTGCGCTGTCAGCACCTTGTTTTAATTGTTTTACTTGGCTGCCATTGCCAATGCCCAGCTGACTGCTCCCTGCAGCGAGAACTCCCACCTCAGGCCTCGCTTTCTTCAGCTCTGCTGAGCGTGCCTCTCCTGGGTCGGCTCCCGGTTCTCCTCCAGCTGCTGAGATTCCAGCCTCCACAGCCTGCTCTGCTGGTTCTCTGTTCTTTGTCCTTAGCTTCTGGTTTGGCTTGGTCCCTTTCACGTCATCCTTAACGTCCTCCCTGGGTGAGCTCATCCACCACTCACCTCTGTCTTGAAGACACCCGGATCTCCATATCCGGTCTGAACCTCCTCCCAGTCCACACTCCTAGTGGTCTGCCCCGAGGGCACCTCAACCTGTCTGTCCCCTCCTGAGTGCCACATGCGTCTTTCTCCCTGTGCTGCCTGCTTGGTCCACGCCCCTCAGTTGCTTCTGCTTCATGAGTCGTCCTGGCCTTGTCTTTTCCCTCATATTCCCTTGGTTACCACATCCTGAAGAGCTCATCTTCTAATTTGTCAACTCAGTTCTTCTCTGTCTCTCCACTCCTGTGTTTAGGATTCATCATTTTGTTCTATGACAGCCTCTTAATTGGTCATCCTGTGTTCATCTTTTTCCTCCCTCATTCCACTGCCCACATTCCTATCAACGTGATCTTTCTAACACATGTCTGATCAGAGCTTTCTTTTGCTTAAAGCTCTCCAAGAGCTCCTCATTGCTTAGAAAATAAAAGCTAACCCCCTTCAGCGGGGCCTGCAGTCTTCTCATCATCTGGCCCTTGGCCCCCTGCAGCTTTTGCTCCCCCACCCCCACCCCACTTTGGGTTTTCCTTTTTCCCTAACTCACATTTCTAACCTCAGCCTAGCTACCAACAGCCATCACCTCCTAGTGCCTTTGCAATGCTGGGCCCTCTCCTGGGAATGGCGTGGTCTCTGTTCACCCTCTTGGGAACTCAACTCCAGTTTCCCCCAAATCTTCAGGACACCATCCTTCCCTACCCAGCACCTCTCCATGACCTGGAAATGACCTTCCTCCTGGCTCCCAGAACACCCTCATGTCTCTCTTGCAAAGCACTTATCGGTGTTACTGTTGATTTACTTACCTGTTATGCTCAGCAACCTGAGCTCCTTAAGGGTGGAGACCACACACACACACACACACACACACACACACACACACACACACTCTGTCTCTCTCTCTCTGTTCCAAGTGCCAGCATAGTTTACCTGGCTCAGGAAGTTTTTGTTGTAAGAGTGAGGAGTGGTCTGTTTGTGCAGCCAAGCAACAGATTCATAATGTGATAAAATGTACCTGAAATGGGAGGTTCATTGGCCATTGGGTTTATTGGGGTGCTCTTCTTGTCAGCTTTGAGTGCAGGACAGGTTGTGTTGGGCTTGAGTTTGTGACGCCTGTTGTGTCTCCCAGCATGCTGAGACCTCAGGAATGTCTCTTCTCTATATTCTTTGCCCCTGACTTTTTATTTTTTTAGCTCTTGTTTTTGATGGACCGATAATAGCAATTCAAAATGAAAAATAATCCATCAAGGAATTCTCAGGAATGAGGTCCACCCACCTTGGTCCTGGATGAATCCCAAATTTCCTAAATAAGCCAGAATATCTATTCTTGCGAACTACTGTCTGACAGCCTTTTTCCCCCTTAATCCAGCTGAGAATGCTTTTCTTGAAGGGTAAGGATACCTAGTGGCCCTTCATGGGGGTGCCTGAGGGCCTCTTTGTCTTCATTTTAAACCTTGTAAAGTCCCCAGTGAATACTGAGGAGTCTAACAAATAGGAAGAAGCTCTGACCCCAGGGGTCCCAAGTCAGCATCTGTACTTTGCATGGGAGCTAGCACAATGCACCTAGCCAATAGCATATAAACTCTCCTGTTTTCATTCAGTGCCTTAAGCTTGTTGCTTGTTGTGTCTTCTTCACTTCCTATCTCTGCCAGAGACCTGAGAAGTTGTGCCAAGAGTGCAGCTTTTATTTGGGGCCTCACAGTAATCTAGGAAAGCTTTTCAGAAGAGAGCCATTCTCAGCACCGAGGTGTCCTGCAGACCAGGACACTCCAGCAGGCTCTTGGAACTGCTTTCCTGGGATGGAAATGCTTGTGATGCTGCCTCCCCTTGTAGGGACTTTCCATATGCTGTTCCCTCAGCCTGGAATGCATTTTTCTCCTGGTTTGCCTAGCTCATGCCTGTTCACCCTTTGGAACTCAGCTGATTGGCCTGCCTCCTCCTCAGAAGCCTCCCCAACCTCCCTGATAAGAAGGCTAGGTCTTGTCCTCACCATTCCCATGCCAGCATCTAGCGCTTATGGACTGCTCACCTTGTGTCAAGTACTGTTAGAATGCTTCATGCGTAGCTACTTTGTATTAGGGGCTTGGTAGATGTTGGCTGAGGTAAGTGTCATCATTGTCCCAAAGACACTGTGTGAGGAAACTGAGGCCTCGACCCATTGAGTAGGTGACAGAGCAGGAGTTTATCCCAGATGCTGGACTGTGGGTTTACGCTCTGACCCTTCTATACGCCACCGTTCCCTCTGCTCCAAGTCCTTGCAGTCTGTCCTTTTCCAGCACTTGTCATGGAGGTCATGACCTCGGTTTGTGTGGTTATTTGATTAATGAATGTTTGTTCCCTCACTGGGCAGCCCTTTTGAGCCCCAGGATGGCAGGAGTACCTAGGACTCTAGGCAGGTGCGCAGCCTGGAGTTGACCGAGAGCATGTGGGACTGCCCACTTGCCCACAGCTGCTTCTTGCCTTTTGCATCACAGGAGGGTGGGCTAGGACCATAAAAGAGCCAGCCCAGGCCTCCCCCTTTCTGGAGCTCACTGAGTGCGTGCATGGGGTTTGGCCGTCACCCTCACTTCCATGGTTCTGCATCAGAACCAGCTGTGCTGAGGAAACATCTGTGCCTTGTTAAGGTCTGTTCCTTCTGCCCACTCCCTTTGCCCTTTTCTCTACCTTACAACCCCTTTGTTGTCCTTCTTCAAGGAAAGGGGCCCCCTTTGTCTCTCAGGGCAGAGCCAGCTGCCCTTCTCCTGGTCCTCTTGATCTGCACACACTCTGAGGATGACTGCCCATGGCAGGTCATGATGGTCCGTCTGCCCTGGACTGTGGTTTCTGTGGCAGAGCAATACTTTGTACAGTCAGGGCCCATGGCCCTACGGAAGGCTGAGGGAGAGCCTGAGGTCATTGCCTTAAGAGAAGCTGCTTCATGGTGCAGTTGGTATGTGTGCATGTGTGTGTGGATGTGTGCTTTTTTCATGCATGATGTTTTTATTTGTGTTATTTATCCCCCTGCTATATCTCCCTCTCTCAGGGGTCTAACATGGAGCTTTGAATAGTAGATACATCATAGCTCTTGGCTAAATACATATTTTCTCCCCCGCTGATCTGAAGGCACCTCCCTTTTCCCCTACCCCTCACTTTGGTACCTTGGTGACTTCACAGGGTTGTTATGACTTCCCAGACCTCATTGAGATTGCAGTGATGTGAAAACCCTACCTAGATTCCAGCCAGCTGGGCAGGGGCCTTGGCAGCAGGGGAAGCCCAGTTCCCTAGGGCAACTCACCAGGCCTCCAGGGCTCTCTAGGGCCAGGCTGGCTGAGCTTCAACTGACTCATACTGTTTTTGACTGGGAAAAATAAAAATTTTAAAATGGCTTCTGACCAAATGGGGAAAGTGGATGTGGGAGGAGGAGAAGGGGGACGTTAGCCACACCCTAGGTACATTTGCCAGCAGCAAACTGAGATGGGCTTAAAGTGTGGCTGGCCTCTAAGACGCCTGCTTCAAAGGGCATTCGGCACACTGGTCTCAGGCTTTGGAGGCCCACCTGCTTCAGAACATCAGCTCCCTGTCTGTCTAGCGTTGTGACTTAAGACAAACCCACCAAGCTCCCTTAGCCTCCATTTTCTCATCTGTAAAATGGGATTGTAATCATTAGAATAACCTTTATAAGGTTCTTGTGAGAGTGGAATGAAGATGTGCTTAGCACCGTGACTGGCGTGTAGAAAGCACCAAATATTTATTATCTGTTAACATTGTTTTTGTTTGTCAAAGTATTATTGTTAATAATAATTATAAGAAGACTTTGGAACAGATATAAAGTCTAAAATGCAGGCTGTGATGAAAGGGAGATGGTATATAAGAAAAGTGCTTTTTGAATTGCACATTATGTCCAGATATTATTATTAGCACAAGTATGTTTATTATTGTTTTGTCTTTGAAAAAAATGCTGGAGCACAATTTTATGATGTTGAGTCTATGTCCTTTGTTGTTTTGTTTTTTGTTTTGGAAAAAGGTTTGTCACATTGGCCTTTATTGGAATCTTGTCCAGTGGATGTATGACCCACATTGGTGACCCTGGGTGCCAAATGCCTGGACAGCACCTGGCAAAGAAGAGCCATTATTTCAATGGTCACTATTGTTTAAAATCGTTATGGTAAACAATACCTGACAGAAGTTCTTAGAGGTTCATTGACAGTAAATTGTGGGCAATGCACTGAGTTATTATTTACTCTAGACCTGAGAAATTCTCCCTCTCCAAGTTTTGTGCCTTGTATAGCTAAATAAATATAAACAATTTCCTTAGAATTTGATACAAACAGCTACCATTGTCTTCACAAGTATGTTAGAAATACTTTCTTAATAGCAACTACTTGACTGTTTTGTTTTTTATCTCCATTCCCTGCCATTACTCTGCCTCTTCCCATCTTTCTGAAATAAAAGTGAGCCAAATTAGCCATTTAAAAAATACGTAGATACTTTCAGGCAGAGGTTGAAAACTGTCTACCCCCTGGCTGCATCTGGCTTGCAGATGTGTTTTGTTCAGCACTCATAGTGTTTTAAGATGTTTAAATTAGTGGCCAACATTTAAAAATGGGTAGATTTTTGAATCAAAATCCAGATTTCCAGCTCTTCATAAAAAATCAAAGGTCTAGTGGGCCTGGGCCCGTCTTCCTTGTGGCAGTGCGGAAGAGTGGTGGTCCCTCCCCTGGGAGCTTGTTTCTCCAGCCTGCCTCCGGCTGGCCCAGCCTCACTGTACCTTTCCATGGCCTGCTTGGCCCCTGTAGGAATAGAGTTTGTAGTCTCTGCTTAATATAACTAATACCCCTTAGATACTGTGTATCAGTTTAGAATTATTTCCACTAGCAACTGTGACCATAGGTAGGAAGGATATTTTACTTGCTAAGTTGTCATTCTTATGATAGCCCAAATGGCTATAATAGTATTTTAGGCTCTTTTGGATTTAATAGAATTACCTTCTCTCCTCTCTGTGGGATTTCCTCATTAACAATTTTTAAAAAGTGTTCAGCAAGGCTTATATAGCAACATAAAATTTTAAATAATGCAGGATATAAATTTCTATAGCTGCTATTGAAGGGGGGTTGCAATCAAGTGAACTGCTTTAATTCAACAATTTATGGTGTTGTAAATTTGAAAAATAAAAGACACTTAGTTTTTTTTTTTTTTTTTTTTTTTTTTCAGAATAAAATAATTAAATAGTTGACCTTTGGCAGAGTCTTTGTTGAAATAGGCAAGGGTTTTGAGCTTCTCAGAACTTGAGACCATTGCCTTCTGGAGTCTTTCCTCAGATGAGTCTGTGCCTCCTTCTAGCTAGTGCACTCTGAGCACTGTGGCCACATCTGGAGGGTGGAGAGGAGACTTAGCTTCCAATGGTGGTCACTCTAGGGGAGGGGGGCCCTTGCAAATACCAAAATTTTTTTAAATTATTATTTTATGAGCTTTTAAAAACTTTTTTGTTTTTGTCATCACAAAAGTAATAAACACTTGTGATAAATTCAGACAACACTGAAGTGCTTTAACATAAGCAACAAAATCTTCTGTGACCTCCCCCAACCTTTTCCAACCATTCCCCAAACATAAGCACTTTTGAGAGTTTGCTTCTTATACTCCTGGACTTTTGCATTTGCTTGTTTCTCTCCACCCCTACCCTTTGCCCTCAACCACGACATAGATACTTTCCCTTTTGTTTTCTAAAGATAGACTGTCCCTGTGCATGGTGTTCTGCAACTTTCTTTTTACAGCTGTCAATTATTATGGTTATTTTTCCAAGTCCATATGTACAGATAAATGTACTTGTTACTTTTAAAAGTTGTACTCCATGTTATGGTTGTATGTTAAGTAAATTTCGTTTTGTATTGATAGACACTCAGGTTGTTTCTGACCTTTTGCCATTGCAGTCATTGCTGCTGTGGAAATTTTTGTGCACACGTGTGAACTTTTGCCTGAGATTTTCTTTGGTATAGATACATAGAAGTAGGACTTTTGGTTTAAATGGTTTGCTGTTTAAAATTTGAATCCATAATGCCAAATTACCCTCCAAAAAGGCTGTACCAATTCATGCTCTTCCTAGGAGCATCCCATTATGGCTTTGCTAATCTAGTTTTTGCTTACACATGTGTAAGAAAGTAAATCTTAAAAGCCTCACAAATAATGCCATCAAAATTACACGTTTATCTTAGAAAAGCATTCAGAATATATGTCTGTAGATTTAATTATATGATTTTTATATCTTGACTTTGATGGTGGTTATCATCCTGCAAGGTGACAAAAAGTTCCCTAAATACTGTACACAATTATTAAATAATTATTAAGGATATCAGTTGTGCCAGGTAGCCTTTGGAAGAATTACAGCCAAATCACAGCTTCCTTTTCCACAGCTCTGCCAGGCTGGCTTGTCTTTCCCACCAAGGGCTGAGCCATTAATACTGAGGCTGGGTCAGCATTTGAAGGGGCCCTGCCAGGGAGTGCCAGGCCTTGGGCCCCAGAGACCTGGGGAGTGGGAGATGGCAAGTGACTGCTGTGAGGCTGAGACAAAGTTTTTGCCTACAACACCCCATGGCTGTTTCCTTTACTGAGCTAGATGAGGAAAGCAAAGGGAAGTGATGGTCCAAGACTTCTGGTGGTCACTTTTGTTCATAGATTTCTCACAGGAGTGCTAACATTTAGGCTCATGTTTACGAAGGTTTGAAACCTTAGCATTTGGGAAGGATCTGCAAATTCTCAGCCAGGGGCCTTAACTGATCACAGGTAGTTGTGAACTCTTGGTCCAGGCTGTATCTCAAGGCTTCTTCTTAGAAGGACAGGTCAGCTTACCACCTGCTAACTGCATGTGAAATTTTGAATTCTGCCTTCTCTAGCTCTCCTCTCTGGCTCTGAGCTGGTATCTGGCATTTGCAAACAGTTTACCCTTTGTTGACTTCTTAGCACTAACCTCACTTTTATGAGTCTGAGTAGACTTGATACCCAGGCCATTTATCCTTTGAGGGTGCCCTCAGCTTCATCAGACCCATGCTGGGCAGTCTGGCATAGTGGTAAGAGGCACTTGGAGCCAGACAGACCTGGGTTCAAATCCTGACATCATCACATTTACTAACAGTGTGACCCTTTGGCTGATGACCTCACCTCTTTGAGCATCAGTGTCTCCTTCTACAAAGTAGGGACAGTAATTCTTTCCCAGGGGTATTTTGAAGGATATACGAATTAATATTTGTCAGGTGCCTCTCAGATGTTCAGCACAAAATAAACAGTGTATAAATATGAGTCCTCTCTTATCTTCCTGCTGTAGAGAGAAAGTTCGTTGGGGATGCTCCAAGTTGGTGGCTACTGGCTGAGGATCCTGGAGTAAGAGGAAGGCTACCATGTAAACCCAGAGATGAATCATGAACAATGTGTATTCTCAGGAGCTTAGTATTTGATATGGGAGCCTAACAAGCAAATAGTGTGTCCAGTAATAGGAACTGATTAATAGAGGAAAGATTAATTAACCTTCTAGGTGGGTGGGGTGGAAAAGTAGGTGGGGTATTGAAGGTTCAACAGGAGTTCGACAGAGAAGATAGACCATAAATAATAAATATACGGCTGTATCCACTAGAGATAAAGTTACATTGTTTTTTATGTACATGTTGACTTCTTTTGGCCTTGCCAATGCACTGATATATTCAAATTCAGCTCCTCTCTTTTTCTCTTCCCTTTTCCCTTCACTCTGCCTTTCCTCCAGCCCTGCCTTGAAATACTCAGCCACTGAAAATTTCTTAAAGAATTTCTTTATACTTTAGTAAGTCCTCAGAGGATACCAGTTCACCCTACTGAGATTTTACAAGAACTTTGGTGTAGCTGGGGTTTTTTTTGCATTCCTTTTTCTACGGTAGATATAAGTTCTTTTGGGTTGCCCATCAATGAACAAACTACCAACCATTTGATGTTTACTGCGTGACTCCTGTATACCAAGCACATGTGCCATTTCACTTAGTCCCCAGAATGTCAGAGCAGCTTTGTGAAATGGGCTGCCCGTTCTTTCTTATGGATGAAGAAACTGAGGCTTAGGTAGGTTAATATACTGAATATTATACATGTAGTGAGTGGGAAAGCCACAGTTCACCTCCAGGGTCTTTTTCTCCCTCTTTGCTGCCTTGCTTGGGGTCCTGCTCATAGTAGGTGGACAGCAGATGTTTGTCTGAACATATGAGAACACTGCCTGCCACGTGCCGGTCAGTTTGATTTGTGCTGCTGGTTTTGTAACCCACATGGGGCAATGACAGCTGCTCAGGTACTTTCCTACCTATTAGTGGGGCCCCAGGGTCACACATCAGTCATAATTGACAAAAAACACAATTTCCCTTTCCTCTCAACTTTTATTTCTAAGGTACTTGTAAGCAGGTAGATTAGATTGTTAACTTTTCATTTTTTGCTTTGTCTCTCTCCTTTAAAGACTATGTGAAAGAATACACAGTGCCCTGAGAGCCTGGCCTGGGAATCAGAAACTTAGATTCCAGCTTCGGTTCTGCTGGTAACTCCTCAGTCATTATGGGTAAATAATATTCCCTCTCCAGAACTACTAGATTGTGTCCTTGGTGCAGTCTGGGGTTCGGGTGGTCCTAGGGACCCTGCCTACTGCATGAACCTGTTATCACCATGTGAGGCTGGAAGGATCTCAGCGTTGGTGTTGGGCAGGCCTGAGTGAGCATCCTGGCTCCTGTACTTCCCAGCTCTGTGACCTCGGGCTAATCACCTGACTCCCTGATGCTTGTTCTTGTCTACGAAGGAGGGCTAAGAGGACCTGCTTCCCAGGATCACTGTCCAGATTGAATGAGAAGGAACGTCGGCTTCCTTCCTTCTGTCTCCAACTCCTGAGTGCACTGGTTTTAGACTAACTGGGTGTTTCTGCAGTTGAAACCAAAACACCTTCATTAGGTACAATGTTCATTATACCTCGCAACACCCTGAGATACTCAACTCTTAGATTTCTTGAAGCTCTTTTTTGTTAAGAAACTCCTCAAAGGAAGATACTCTTCTACCCCATTGAGCTTTATTAGTGCTTCAATGACAGCACCTTATTTTTTCACTTTTTTCCCCCTTGCAGACAGAAGCTGCAGTGTGAATCAGTTTGCATTTATATAATTTCTTTTGCATTTCTTTGCAAAGAGGAAAACTCCATTCATTTAGCAAATGTCCGTCATGCCCAGGCCTTATGTTAGGTGAAGGGATTTGGAGAGAAATAGAGTCACTGACCTCAAGAAGCTTACAGGGAGGAAAGGTGTAAATACATAAAGTGACACATGGGTTTGTCCTGTCACCAAGGTATGCAGTAGATGCTGTGGGAGAAGAGAGGATGACACAGGTTCTCTCTTGGAAGACCTCATAGAGAAGAGGTGACTTGTGAGCAAGTCTTTTTTTTTTTTTTTTTTTTTTTTTTTTTGAGAGAGGGTCTTGCTCTGTCACCCAGGCTGGAGTGCAGTGGCATGATCCTAGCTCACTGCAACTTTGAAATCTTGGGCTTCAAGGGATCTTCCTGCTTCAGCCTCCCAAGTAGCTGGAACTACAGGTATGTGCCACTTGCCTGTCTGATTTTTTTTTTTTTAATTTTTTGTAGAGACAGCGTCTAGCCATGTTGCCCAGGCTGATCTTGAACTCCTGGCCTCCAGTGATCCTCCCACCTTGGCCTCCTAAAGTGCTGGGATTATAGACATGAGCCACTGCACCCAGCCGTTGTGAGCAAGTCTTAAAAGATGAGTAGGAAGGAGTCTGTCAGCTGTAGAAGTAGGAAGGGCCCAGGCAGAAGGAGCACAGGGCAGAGGCTAGAGCCCTGGTAGGAGGTGACACACTGGGTGCATGTCTGGAGCTGGAGCCAAGAGGTGGAGGACCTAAGTGGCTACATCTTGGCAGTCACCCATATATTGGCAAGCCCCAAATCTTTGTAACCAGCCCAGATTGTCTTCCTGAGCCCCCAACTCCCATACCCACTGCCCATTCAGCAGCTAGCTGCATGTTGAAGTGTAGTGGTCTTCCCAGACCTAACATAACTAAACAGAAGTCTTGATTTGTTCCTTCAAAAACAAACAAAAAACTAGCCTTGCTCCTCCTCAGTCTTCCCCATGTTATGAGGTCCCCATCATTTTTACCTGGCTACCCAGGCCTAAAATGTGGGCATCATCTTTGATTCTGCTTCCTCCTGTGTTCTTCACATCATCTGTTTGCAATTCTTTTTTTGTTTGTTTTACTGGTTTTAAAAATTATTTATTTATTGAGACTGAGTCTTGCTTTGTCATCCAGGCTGGAGTGCAATGGTATCATCTTGGCTCACTGCAACCTCCGCCTCCCGGGTTTGAGAAATTCTCGTGCCTCAGCCTCCCGAGTAGCTGGGATTACAGTCGTGCGCTACCACTCCTGGCTAATTTTTGTATTTTCAGTAGAGATGGGGTATCACCATGTTGGCCAGGCTGGTCTCAAACTCCTGACCTCAAGTGATCCACCCGCCTTGGCCTCCCAAAGTGCTGGGATTATAGGCATGAGCCACTGCACCTGGCCAATTTATTTATTTTTAATTAACACATAATAATTGTACATATTTATGGGGTACATAGTGATGTTTCAATACATATAATCTGTAGTAACCAGATCAGAATAATTAACATATCTGTCATTTCAAACATTGCAGTTCTTGACAACTCTTACTGTATGTCCTGGAAGCCACCACTGCTCCTTATTATTAGTTTGTTTCTTTATCAACCAAGCAGGCCAGACCACTGCTCTACCCTCGTTCAAACCTCCACTGTCTTTCAGCAGGTCTCTTGTCAGTTTGCTACATAGGCAAAGAGGTCTTTTAAAAAGCAAATTTGTGTCATTTCCCTGCTCTAAACTCTCCAGCGGCTTTCTGGCATCTTTGGAATGGAATCTAAACATCTCGCCTTGGCCTGCCAGCCCCTCCTGCTCATCTTCTCTGGTCTCATCCCTTGGCACTCTCTGCTCACTCCATTTCAGCTGCCGCATCTTTTCTTACTGTTCCCCCTGTTGTCTCATGGGCTTTGCACTTGCTGTCCTCCGCCTGAGCTGCTCTTCCCCAGACACCGCCTGTCTCACCTTCACTCCACGCTGGCCTCTATTCAAGTGTTCTCCCACCTGTCTGAAAAAGCACCGTTCTGCCCCCTCTCCCCGCTGCTTCAACCATTCTGTCCTACCTCGCTTTGGTTTCTCTCATTAGCACTCATCACTCTCTGACTTTATATGATATGTTTGTTTGTCTTCTTATTTAGTGTTTGTCTTACCCCACAAGAATATAAATCCATGAAGATGGGACCTGGTCTTATCTATTGCATTCAGCACTCTAGGGCCTAAAACAGAGCCTGGCACACAGTGGGTGATCCTGAAACACGAGGTGGGTGGATGGACAAATGACTGAGTTAATGCATGCCTGCATGCAAGCGAAGACTTTGGAGTTTATTTCATAGGCAGTGCAAATCTAGTAGACATCTTTCAGGAGGTGAGTGACGTGGTCAGCACTTTTATTTTAGAAAGCCAGCTGGTGGCAGTGTGGGGGCTGGACTGTAGGAGGGAGGCAGCAGAATTACTTTAGCGGCTGTGAAAATCGTCCAGGAAATTGATGCTGAGTGTTGTGCTAGAGCTGTGGGGATGGAGAAGAGGGGACAGATGACAGGACCTGAAGATCTTTGAGTGTCTTTGATTTCTATTGGGATAACTTGGTATAGTGATTCCTTTATAAGAAAAGCAGGAGGGGACGAACTGGTCCAGGGAGAGACTGTTGACACTCTGTGGTGTTTTTCTCACCAAGAAAACCTAAGCCCTGGGATGCATGTTCTCTGTAGTGGCATTGGCTCTCTGGGGAGTGACTCTGCTGCTCCGCAGCCTCCCCTGTTCCATTTTTTAATAAGAGAATAGTCAAGATGGTGGTGTCAGTGAGTGGGAGTCTTCTTCATGCAGATGGATCCATTGATCTTTGCATACTCCAAGCCACACTAAGTCATTGGTTCTTTTCTCGCAGTGGGTACATTTCACCTTATTTGATTCTGATCTGACAAATGCTGCTTTTTTTCTTTTCTTTTTTTTTCTTTTTTTTTGTTTAAAGAATACCTAGACTGTGCTCAAGTTCCAGGTGGGGTTTACAGATAACTGGGGTTCCAGCATCTCCCTTCTTACAAACACGAACAGGAGCCTTTGCCGTCCTTGGGTCTCAGGGAGGCAGACCGGCAGCAGGCACACATTCCTGGCCCAGGCGTAGCCATGCTGTCTGGTGCTGCCTTTTGAGACCTTTTGTGTGTGTGTGTGTGTGTGTGTGTGTGTGTGTGTGTGGGCTTGAATGATTCCTTCTTTCAAAAATTCAACCCTCTCCAAATTTTGATGAAAACCTTTTCATCTCTGAGTAAGCACATTATTTCCCATCTTGATGAGGTGTGTCCCCTCTGTGTCCCTGAGAGTATGTCATCCCAGCCTTTTAAATTTTATTGTATTTTTTTATTTTTTATTTTTTCATACTAGTCAAGTGCAGTAGTGAGAAGCGGGGAAAGAGTAGAACAAGGGGCCGGGGGCGGTGGCTCACATCTGTAATCCCAGCACTGTGGGAGGCTGAGGTGGGTGGATCATGAGGTCAGGAGATTGATACCATCCTGGCCAACATGATGAAACCCTGTGTCTACTAAAAATACAAAAATTAGCTGGGTGTGGTGGCACACGCCTGTAGTCCCAGCTACTCGGGAGGCTGAGGCAGGAGAATTGTTTGAACCCGGGAGGCAGAGGTTGCAGTTGAGCCGATATCATGCCACCGCACTCCAGCCTGGCAACAGAGCAAGACTCTGTCTAAAAAAAAAAAAAAGAGTAGAACAAGGAGTTTGATCTGTTACAGACTGAACTATCAATGGAGATAACTCACTACCTTCGGACCAGCCTCATCCCAGTCTTTTAAGCCTGGTCCAGAATTCCTAATCCTGCTTGTCAGGCCCTTCAAAGTGAAATGCTGTACCATCTGTATAGCTGGATTCTCACCTCCTACCTCTCCTCTCCCTTCCAAAGGTTCCGATGTCATAGGAATCTACGCTAGAGGGCTTCCTGTGTGCCGGGCACTGTGGTAAGCACTTCACATGCATTCTCTCTAATCCTTACCACTTCGGGGATGTAAGGATTATAATCTTCTTTTTACAGATGAGGAAGCTGAAGCTTGCCACTGCTTAGTAGTTAAGAGTATGGGCTTACAGCCAAACAGACCCTGGATTGATTCTCAACTAGCTGGGGACCTTGGGCATGCTACTTAATTTTTTTAACCTTTTTCACATTTAGAAGATAAAGATAATATATAGAGAGATAATATAGAAGATTATATAGGTATTATATATATATATATCTTCTATATTATGAAGATAATACAGAGTTGTGATAAAAATTAAATGAAATGACCAGACATAGTGGCTCACTGTTGTTTTGTTTTGTTTTGTTTTTTTGAGACAGAGTCTCGCTCTGTCGCCCAGGCTGGAGTGCAGTGGTGCGATCTCGGCTCACTGCAAGCTCTGCTTCCCGGGTTCACGCCAGTCTCCTGCCTCAGCCTCCCGAGTAGCTGGGACTACAGGCGCCCGCCACCACGCCCGGCTAATTTTGTTGTATTTTTAGTAGAGACGGGGTTTCACCGTGTTAGCCAGGATGGTCTCGATCTCCTGACCTCGTGATCCACCCCCCTCAGCCTCCCAAAGTGCTGGGATTACAGGTGTGAGCCACTGCGCCCAGCCCATAGCGGTTCACTCATGTAATCCCAGCACTTTGAGAGGCTGAGGTGGGAGGTCACTTGAGGCCAGGAATTCAAGGCCAGCCTGGGCAACATAGCAAGACCACTTCTCTTTTATGAAAAAAAAAAATTAAGAAAAATAAAAATTAAATGAAATAACATGTAATTTCCTAAGTACATTAAGTACGTGCCTACTATGCGCCGGACATTGTGCTGTCAGCAAATAATAGCTCATCGCAGATGCTGTTATCATCATCATCATCCCAAAGCCACAGATTGAGTCTGTAGGTGAGGCCCTGCCTGGCTCCAAAGATTGTGTTTTTTTCTCCTGTTGCTCCCAAGTTCACCTGTCCCAAACTTTCTAGCCCCTAAGTTTGCTTCCTTGCGCTTTTCTGGTTGTGCCATTTGTCCCTGTCTGGGCAGTGGGCTCAAGCTAAGGCACAGCAGTTTTCCAGTCCCTTTGAGCTACTGACCTCTTTTCTGTCATTGACTGAACAGTTTCCGGTGGCTGAATCGTCTGTGTAAGAGCTTGGACAATTTTTTCTGATTGTTACCATCATCGTGTTTACTGTGAAAGGGCTTCCTGTATAGTTGTTTGTGTTAGCAGCATTGTCTAAATGAAACAAGAGTGGCAACAGAAAGGGTTGGTGAGCAGTCCTAGTCTTTTGGGGTCACAGATCACTTTGTGAGTCTGAAGAAATTTATAGACTCTCTCAAAAAAATAAACGACAAGACAAATACAAGCCCAGCATTTTTCATGAGACGTTTTCCCTGAAGTTGATCTGGAAGGCTATGTGCTCTTTTGTCATTGTGCTACTCCACATTCACAGCCATGAAGGGTGTCATGTTTCTGCAGGGTGTTTGTATTTAAGGGTTGTTGGGCAATTTGGCAACACTATACCTGTTTCATTGATACTATGTGCTATTTGCATTTATTTCCCATATCTGAGATACGTATTCACACATGAGAACTGGCCTGGCCATTTTGATGAGATGTACCTGCTGATTTGCACATAAACACAAGCCATGGCCTGCATCTAGAGGATCGACTGGAGAGGCTTTTTTTTGGCCCAAAACATCAGACTAGTAGGAATTTTATTATGAGTTATAGACTAAAAGGGGGGATAAACTTAGCTTCAGCAGGGTTTAATATTCTCAATTCAGGTAAGTGTAAATCTCTACTTTTCATTTTAAACATTTTTGAAATTTCAGTCTTTAAAAAAATGCTTGTTTTTTTTCCTTCCAAGTTTTAAGGTATGGGTTTGGGAGAAGGCAGATTCCAAACACTTTAACTCTTCGACCTCAGACTTGCTTATGAGCCTCTCTTTGGAACATTTCCAGTGAACCGTGGAGCAAGCCTGCCACATCCAGCAGCCGTAGGCATGATGATCACTGGTGCCGATGGCCCCTCCACTCCCTGCCTGGCTTTTGAGGCCCCGCAGAAAGAAAGGAACAGAATCCTTTCATAAGGAAGGCCCCAGAATCCTTTCTCCTGCTGTAGCTATGCTGCCAGTGTCCTCTGTAGATGGAAATGGAACTTGGATTTTGGGTGCCAGAACTGAATTCATCACAGATAAGATTAGTTGATATAAAGCTGTTTCTGATGAGCAGTTTTTCCTCCAGAGTTTTCATTTTTGCTTTTTCTAAATTATACAAAATAATAGACACTCATTACAAAGGGAGGATCATAATGCTCCATACCTGGTTTTGAATTCCACTTCTATCACTTATTAGATGCAGCCCTGGGCAAAACACACGCCCTCTCTGAGCCTTGATTTTTCTCATTGAATGGGAGATCTAATTATTTTACCTCATAATACTGCTGTAGGGATTGAAGGAGATTGGTATAAATAATGGTTTTCTGAGAGTCTGGTGTGTATTTGCTTTTTTTCAGTTAATATGAATTGAGTACCTACTAAGAGCTGGTCACTGTTCTAGTTGATATGGAACCAGTCAAGAGCAAGACAGAGAGGGTCTCCGCTCTCATGGTGCTCACATTCTAATCAGAGGAGGCACAAGAACACAAGATCACTTCAGTTATTAAGAAATTAGAACCCAGGGGTAGCATGAGAGTCACAGGAAGGACCCCTTTACGTCGGATGGCCAGCAGAACCCTCCCTGAAGAGCTCAATGCTTTGTGACCCCCCCGGTCCCAAGTTTTCCAGGACTCCTACTTTTAAAAACACTGCCCCTCCAAGTATATAGGTCTCAATTTTGAGTTTGGAAAATCTGACCACATATTAGTTCTCTTGTTCATTAATGGGCTTCCCATTTAGAGAGTGAGTTCCTGGGGCAGGAGCCATGTCACAGGACCTTTTGAAGGTCTCAGGGCCAATATGGACGACACTTCTCTTGAACACTCACCCAGTTGGGCTGACATGAAAACCTCATGGTGGGAGGTGGGGGGTGATTAGTTTCCAGCCAGAGCCCATTTTGCTCCATTGCTGCTTTGAACATTCTGGTTTCTAAGGAGCTGGAAGTAGTTTCTCTCAGCGAGAATGTGGCACACTGTCATCTCCTGATTCTCTGCATGCAGTTCTTCAATGGCTTGTTGAGGCTGCGTGGAAGCCCAGAGGTCGGGGCAGTTCCAACTCACACACTGGCATTTGAACGGCAGAGCAGTAAGCCCTACACCTGACATAACTGCATTGCCTTCTTGGGGTACGGTACGGATTTTTAAATGACCATTTCAGCCTGCTGGGCTGGGCAACGGTGATCCAAACTGATGAGTCAGGAAGCCACTGAACAGAAAGGCAGGCTGCATCTGACTCACCTGTCATGTCGATAGTTGACCTCCTTTTGTTTGACCTTGATTTGCTCAGTGCAATTAAAGATGCTGTTGTGAGTGCACTTCTGCTACCTGATTTAAATAAAGTCTAACATGTGACAGCTCAGGGTCTTAAATGCACACACGACTTAGGCAGACGGACAGATGGGTGAGTGGTTAGCCTTTCACTTACCTCTGAATTGTAATTCTATCACAAGGAAAGGGCTTAATTTCAGGAACACGGAGTAATTATTTGAGACTAGATACAATGCCAAAGCAGCAGGCCTTGATTCCTTGCTACAGGGCAGCTTAATCAGGAAATGGCCTAGATGGCCGCCTTTCAAGTAGGTCCTTGCAGTAGCTTGGCAACAGGCACAGGGTCATAATTGGAAGAATTTGGCTGTGAGTGTCTGTGGGTGTTTACAGTGCACTATAGGGCAGGGCTTCTCTTATTTATAGAATATTTTGAGCAACAAGCAGCAGAAGGCTGAAAAGCCACTAAAATCTCGATTTATTTTTAACAAATTCCATTTTTCTCCTCATCCCAGAAGGAGAACTGAGTTATTAAAAAACAGTTAAAAAATACATCATTGCAGAGCATGCCATATCTAATTATGGGGTTGCCAGCATCGGCCTGCAGCCACATTTCAAGGGCTTCGTAAATCAACCATCCATTCAATCTGTGAACTTATATGACTCCTGTTCTCCATTTAGATGTAGAGCGAAATTATTGGCAAGTGGGTGCTGATCAGAAAAAGTTCTTCCCTGTCTAAATTAGGAGATGGGAGGGATAAATATAGAATAGTATACTTATGTTCTCAAAAGGAGATAAAATCATTCTTCATTGTCCATTATACTTAGCTGCACAAACATCCATCCCATTGCACTAAATAGCCACTTTAGAGTTTTCACACATTGCAATGGCAGTTCTGTGCCACTCAAAGGCGCAGTATTGTGATATCTCGCTGAGCCTAAACCTGAGTGATTATTGCTCACGTAGTCATGAAGAGACATAAACCCAGTGCTTTTTTGCCTGTGTTGTCGTAGTGTACTAGAGCTACAAGGTGGGCCTTCAGAGAGACACTAGTTTTAAGTATATCTCATTGTAGGTGGGGAAGCAGAGGCCTAGGCAAGGGAGTGACTTGCCTAGGGTCCCATTAAGAGTCATGGCAGAGGTGGGCTGGGGCGGCAGTCTCTGTGCTTCTCTTGACAGTGCCCTGCTGTGCTCACTGGAGCTACTGTATTAAACAGATACCCTTCAGGGGTTCACAGTCTTAGAAGACACAGGCACGAAGATGGCCAAACAATCAGCCCATGCATAAGCAGACCAAGATATGTGTATATAACAGATTAGTTGAGTGGTAGAGAAAATGAGAGTGGGGAATTTTGGAATCTATTTGGATAGCAAAGCAAAGGTAACATCAGTTGCTCTCTGACCCACTTGGGAAAAGCTTATAGAGATGCTATGAAGTTTTCTAATGGAAAAAGGTGCAGTACATTTGCCATGTGTTAGTGGGAAGGTAAGTATGATGCAGTGGTGGGTGGTAGGAGGCAGTGAAGATAAGTATTGCAACTTTGGAGGAGCCCTGGGAATGGATTGTTGAGGTGATTTCATAGGAATACGAAAGGGAGCATAGGACCAGGGCACAGGCCAGAGACAGGCAATCCCAAGTTCCCTGGAGTACCCTGCCCTTTTCTGGGAAAGCAAGTGGGTGGCATGAGTGCTATGTTCCCAATGCTCTGGCCCCACCCCTGGTAGAAGAATAATAACTGATCATGGTGGGTTTTTTCTGAGCCTCTGTATCTTTGAGTAGCATTCTGGTAGCCAATATCAGTGGACTGGTGCCAGCCTGTGTGGTGAACCTCTATCTCTTTCTTGCCCTGGGCTGCATGTCAGGCACAGTGCCTAAGCCGGAGTGGGCTTTGGGGAGTTACTTCTCTTTCTGAGGCTGGAAGGGGCAGAGGGACGTAGGGAAAACTTTGCTAGGGAGGGCAAACTGTGAAAGCCTCTGGAGAAGTCACCTGTTGGGATACCAAAGGCCAGCGGTTTTAGAGGATGCGAAGAGGCCGGGCGGGGTTGGTCTGGGCCTAAACTAAGGCTGTAGCGGCTAGCATGGAGAGGAACAAGCGACGGGGAGTGATTACGGATGAGGAAGACGTACTAGGATTTGGCTACAGACAGACAACCAACCAGAGAGTAAAAGACAGTGACATGCTAGGATGTGAACCACCTACTACAGAGAAGGTCAGAGGTGGGGAGGGAGGAATCAGGGCTGTGGGCAGATCCAGCAGCTGGGATCCAAAGCTGAAGCCCTTGGGTTATTGAATCCATTCTTTCTGAGAAGAGATGGTTGATCTTCCTGCCCAGGGAGTTCCTAGCCAGACTGGACAGTGGTTCTCAAACATGGTGCCAGGTGTTGTCAGATAGCAAACAATTAGTTTGTACACAGAATGTCCCCAAGGTCACCTACACATATTTGTTTTTCCTAATCTTTGATACCTACAGCCACTTACCTGCTTTCGAGTTCTCAGAGTTGAGAACATATAAATTTGCAGTAACAAGTGCACAGGAAATACTTGGAAAATGGCTGATGAGCTTTAGTTTGGAAATTTCATTTTTTTCTTGGATCTGGATTATAATTTCAGTACAAGCTAGCAATTTTTCTTGTTGGTAAAATAGTTTCTAGTTTTAAAATTATTTCTGTAGTTAATAAAGTTAACACTATTTCATGATGGAGGCTGCCCCAGCTCTGAACCAATTTTCAAAAGGCAGATTCTCCTCTTTCTCTCTCTTATTTCTTGCTCTTGAACATTTCACTGTGTTCTAGCAACTTTTCCTGTGTGTGACTCGGCCAGGAGACTGACTTGAGTAAGATCCAGGTCAAGGGGTTGTGTGGGTGGGTCGGTGGTAAGGAGGTGCTGAAGAACACTAAAACCTTTGCCTGAGAGGAGTCTGGGAAGTAGCCTGCGAACTGGAATGACCCCAGGCTTCCTGTCACGGTCATAGCCCATGGAGTTGGCAGACTTGATCACTCTATATTGTGTGCCCCCAGGTAATGGCATTAGTCATCGATACTGTCTTTTTTTTTTTTTTTTCTTTGAGAGAGAGAGTCTCAGTCTGTCGCCCAGGCTGGAGTGCAGTGGCGTGATCTCAGCTCATTGCAGCCTCTGCCTGCTGGGTTCAAGTGATTCTCCTGCCTCAGTCTCCCAAGTAGCTGGGATTACAGGTACATGCCACCACACCCAGCTAATTTTTGGATTTTTAGTAGAGACGGGGTTTTGCCATGTTGGCCAGGCTGGTCTCGAACTCCTGACCTCGGGTGATCTGCTCACCTCGGCCTCCCAAAGTGCTGGGATTACAGGCGTGATCCACTGCGCCCGGCCAATACTGTCTTTAAATCGTCCAGAGTAAGAAAATGTTGATAGCTTGTTGTCACAGCCCTGTCATTTTACACATTCCCTGAATTATTGTCTGGCACCAGCAGGTGTTCCAGAAACACTTTTGGTTCTTTGAGCCATTACTGGTCATTCCTGTCACCACTGCCACCACCAGATGTGGTTCTGAGAGCATTAAGTAAAAGTTTTGAAGGTTGTGTATGTTAAGACTGGTGCAAAGTCCATCCTCCTTCCTTCGGGCTGATCAGCCACACCCTGGCTATCAGCACTTATTTACTCATTTTCAAAGTGACAGAATGGTCCAGTGGGCAGGGGCATAAGGGGTCACTTCCTCTAACCACCCGCCAGTGCAGGAGGATCCCATCTGCGCAGTGGCTGCCCATGACAGGCAGTTCCCTAGCCCCAGTCGGACATCTCCGCACCAGGCATCCTGCTCCTGCTTTATGGACATCTTTGGCTCTTAAAAATCCTCCTTTATTCTGACCGCAGATCTGCCTTTTGGCAGTGTTTCCTTAGTGACCTAGTTCTGCTTTTTGTGGCAACACAGAACAAAGGTCGGTAGGCATGGCACAATTCCAGCTTAGAAGTTTGAAGGTAGTGCTCATGGACCCACATCCTTTCCCTCTCCACCCACTCTATCTCCCTCCACAAGGTTTATGTTCTCCAGTGCCTTCAGCCATTCTTTCTATGGCATGGCAGTCAGTATTAATCCCAGTAAAGGTAACATGTATCCAGAGAGTGCTTGCCATGGGCCAGGCACTGTTCTAAGCTCCGTACGTGAATTGTCTTATTTATGACTCAAAATCACCATATGAGGTGAGCCCTGTCATCATCCTCATTTTACCAATGAGGCAACTAAGGAACGAGGGCTCACATCTTGTCCCGAGCCATGCAGTCAAGCAGCAGAGCAGAGATTTGGGGCTAGGCAGTGTGACTCCAGAGCCCGTGCTCTTAGTTGTGGTGCAAGACTATCTTACAGCCTTTCCTGCATAGTGCCAAAAATAAGCCCATGGTGCACTAGACTTGGGCTGGCCCTGCTTTAACTTATTTTGCAAGAAATCATTAGACAGGAGCCTTAGTTGAACCATTTTCTGTGAAACCTTCAGAGTTTGTTTTGACAGAACAGACTGCAGGGCAGAGGCATCTGCACTGTCCCCAACAAATGGGTTCATCCTGTAGCTCTGCCAGGCCCCACAGGGTTCATAAAATGGTAGCTTTAGATCAAGGTGACAAATACAGGGCTCTTGATGTTTTTTTTTTTTTTCCTGAACATGGTGCCTGAGCAATAGGTTTCTTGTTTAAAGTGCTTAGTCATGGTTTTATGGCCAGAAAGTAGAAGGAGAGAGGTACCTAAGAATTGCAAAACTGGGTCATCTCTTCAAGTGCCTAATCCAATATTCAGTCTCAGAGAACAACTCCAGCAGTTACGGGGGTGGAAGGATGTGATGACCACCTACCATCCAAAACTGGGATGTAGGTGCCAAATACACATTCTCCTGAAATGATCCCTGGTGCCTCTAGCCAGGCTCTTCCAGGAGTCTAGAGAAAGATGGCCCATGACTTCATCCAGAGTCTTTGCTTCCTGTGCTCTGGGATGCCTGGGCTTTTCTGGCCACAGCCATACACTGACAGGGCCAGAAGGGCTGAGATGCTGGGATTGAACCATCTTTCTCTTTGTGAGTTGCTTTCCAGATAGCACGCATTCCGGTCACTATTTTCCAGAGATTTAAGCAGCAAAGTGAGGGACCCTCGGGCATCGACTCAGAGACCTGGAGGGGAGCAGCTTGAAGCAATGTAAAAAGCACTGGATAAAATCTGGTTCTACCAAAAATAGGGCTATGAGAGTTACCTCACCTCCCTGAAAGGTAATATCTTTATCTGAAAAATGGGGATGATAATACTACTAACCTGGAAGATTGACAGGAGGATTAGATGAGATTCTGCATGGACATAACAGTCCTTGGCATGATGTCTAGCAGTGAAGAAACATAAATATGAGAATAATAACTTCCTTCTTCCTCCGCTGTCTATTCCTTCTCTTATTCTAGTCCTGTCTGCTGTTGGGTTTTGTCTGTTGTTTTGGGTAAATAGCTAACCTCTCTGCCTCTTTTTGTCTGTAGAAATGCTACTGGTTCTGAATGGGTACTTCGCGCCCCCTATAGGACATCGTGGGAATGTGTGTGGGTGATCTGGATGTCACAGTGACCCAGACGAGGCTTTTACTGGGGGAAGAGGGGAAGGCAGGGGTGCTAGATATAATGCTTGGGGAACAAAAGATTGCCCAACATCTGCATAGCTGCCTAATGCTCAGTGCATTCTTGTGGGCAAAACCCTGCTTAAAATTATCTGGGCCTAGAGTCTGACTCCAATTAACACATAAACACAAATAATTTTTGCATGTTTTTAATATATACTGAATTTTCTGCGAACACAGCTACCAAGTATATAAGATTTACCTATTTGTTATGAATAGGTGCAAGCATTTCATATATCTTTCATGATGTTTTCTGGTGTAGCGGTGCCCCAATACTTACATATTGATTTACATGTTGTCTTATTTTTAACTATATTTCCTTTCTTCTTTGTATTACAGTTAGGGCATTATATTGATTATTTTTGGAATTATAAGTGTTGTAAGGTTATATTACTTACAGATTTCAAGAGAGCTAAAGACATATTTAAAATATTTTTATTGCATTTTTGACAATATGAAAGAGCAAGAGAGAGAGAGTGTGTGTGCGTGCATGCATGCACATGCTTACAAATTAGCTAGAAAAATCCTAAGACAGACTTTAAATGAAAAGAAATGGTTTCATAGCTCCTAGAAATGTCCTTTTACATAAGGATATGTAGTAGAAGTCCAAATTTTTAACTGCATTCATTGTCAGAGAAATGAGGTGTTTTGATGTTTCCCCTGTCCCTTTTAGAAAGTATATGATCCTAAAAGAGCCTGAAACAGTTTCCATTGTCATATTTTTTCATTTTTGCAATCTCTATTTTTTTCACTCCTCCCACCTGTGCATATATATATTTAAAAGCGTCCCCATATAGACTTTTAAAGAAAGAAAAGCCAGCCAGGCTCCCCACTCTTTACTAAGTTTGTTTTGATTGTTTTGTGGCCTCTGCCTGCACCTCGGCCTGAGTCAGACTGACTCTGGGAGCTGTGGGCAGGTCCAAGGGAAAGTCAAGGAGGTAATGAGGCTTCTCGTGGGGGCAACTTGTAGGCCAAGTTGGGTGGGTTGAAGTCAGTCTACCAGAAGCTTCCTGCCTCAAGCCTGGGCCTCTACCTGTCCTGAAACCTGAGGGCTCTCCAGTTGGACCACGAGGGTCTGACATCCAGGAGGATCCCCAGGAGAGAGCAACCGTCACTAGGGAATATGCTGCCCAGCACTGACTGTACTGAGCAGCAGTGTTGTGTGCCTGTTGGGTTGATGCCATGGATAGCCAGGCGTTCAGAACTGAACACGACACCTAAAAGGCAAACACGAACTGTGAATGTGCCAGTGTCAGATGCTGCCTTGGTGGTCATGTGTGGGCTGGCAGTAAGCTTTTGGTCCCTTAACACTCGCTGTTGGAAATTTCCCAAGGCTTTCATCTAGGGTAGCTGGTGTGTGATTTCCCTGTCCTTTGTTACTCCTATCTGGAAACTAGTTGAAATCTTTTCTATGATATTGATATAGTTACAGAAAATCTGAATACTTACTACTAAGTTTTATAGTTCTGCTTAGTTCAAAGTAACACAACCTCATAAGAGAAAGTTTGAAACAGGTAGAGAAATTGAAAGATGAAAATCACTACCCATTATCTCAGCCCACAAAGATAGCTACTATCAGCATTTTGGTTTGTTTCCTTTCAGTCCTTTCTGTGTTTATGAAATTTTATTATATAAATAATTCATGTCCAATATAGAAAAAGATGGAAAATTGAGAAATTATAACGTTAAAACAAAACTGACCCATCTCACCAGTTGGAGATGTCTTAATATTCTGGTGAATTTTTTTTTGTCTTTTTTCTATAGACACATAAGAAGACTGGGAAATATTGTGTATATACGTTTGTACCCTTTTTCACCAATGTATATCAATGTATATCAGTTCACTAATGAATACTAATTAAATGAAAATTTATTAAATGTATATCTATTTATATCTATTGATATATTAACAGATGCCAGTGCATATCTATTAAAAGAGTACTATGTAAGAGATGATGTTCTTAAACATAAAATTTAATTTAGGCATGAAATTACTTTGTCAAAAGATATATCAGTTTATATTCAGATATACAGTGTACTGACCTGCCCATTTACCACATCTTCACTAATACTGGTATTATCTTTAAATAGAATCTTTGCTAATATGAGCAGTGAAAGTGGCATATTATCTATTAAATTTTGACGGTTATGAGATTGAGCATGTTTTTGTATACTTACTGGTCTTTGTGTTTCATCTTTTGGGGTTTCCTATTCATAGTCTCTGCTTAGTTTTCCACTGAGGTATTTGCCTTTTTATTGATTTATAAGAGATTTTGTTTTGTTTTAACTCAGAAAAGGTAGTATTGCTTCAGTTGTCACAGAGCTTTGGAGTCAGACAGAGCTGGGTTTGAACCCTGGCTTTCCTACTTGTGAGCTGAGGGATTTCAGGCAATTTATCTGACCCCTCTCACAATTAATTAGTTCTTCTTTGAGAACTAAACGAAACAACACTGACTAGCATGAAAAAAAAGCCTGGTGTGTGGTTTCTGCCAATAGTTTTTGTGTTGTTATTTTTGTTGTGATTCCTGCACTGAGTATTTTCTCAGAAAAATGACCTTGAGCTGTACGACTCATGCCTGTTCAGACCCACAGACACATGATACTCACTATATCCAAAGCTCAGAAAAATGAAACTGAAATCACTGAAGTTTGTGGGTTTTTTTTTTAAATTCTTCTTGCCAGAAGGAGACAAATGAAGGAAAAAAAACAAGCCGATTTCATTTTCATTAAGAGGAATTTGTAGAGTTATTTCTGGGGTCAGGCAGGATACATTCAGACGAACATTTTAGATCTAGGGCTGGGAAGATCCCGAGACTCGTTATAGATTACATCATCTTCCTCCAAGTGCACTTGCCAGGCAAATGGACAAGTGCATTTTAGAAAGGTTTTCAGTTGTTCACGTTTAAACAGAAAGGATCACCTGGCTAACTTTTAGTTAACCCATTGAACAGATGTGCCATTCCCCCAGCCCATTGGTTATTCATGTCCTTGTTACTGGTTTTTGATATCCTTGCCCCGTAGGTGGGAGGAGGGATGGGTATGAGCCTGCCCTGCCCTCTTTCTCCTACTTGGGACAGAGCTGTTGCTTTTATTTGCTGAGTCACTGAAGCAATAGAGCATGTGCAGAGTCCCAGCCTGGAGGTGGGCATATCTGGGTTCCAGTCCCTGCTCTAGCCCTTCTCAGCTGTGTGATCTTGGACAAGTTGCCATACCTCTCTGAGCCTCAGTGTCATCTTCTATGTGATGTCGATGCCTCCCCCAAAAGGTCGTTACGAGGACCAAAGGAGACACGTCAGGGCAGGAACCATCCTAGGCACGTGTTTGATGCTCAGTAAACGGGACGTGGTCAGTGTTCAGAGTTGTGGGGGTGGCAGGTGACTGCTCTGTTTCACCTCCACTCACAGCAACAGGGCCTGTGGTGTCACCTAGACATCTCATAGGCATCCCACACTGAACATGTCCCAAACCAGCAGCTCCTCCCTGGATGGGTGGATGGTGTACAGGGACCTCTTCCTCCAGCTGTCACATGGGGCATGTACCTGGCAAGTGGCTTTGCAGCCCTAGCTGCCCCCTTGGCTGGGGGCCTTTGTGCAGTTCATGGACTGGGAGTCACCCCCATGTCTAGACCGTCAGGAAACCCATTGGCTTTTCCTTTAGAGCATACCAAGAATCAACTTCTCAGAACATAGCAAGAGTTGACTTTTTGTCACCCTGCCGTGGCCACTCAGACTGACTCCTCTTACACCTCACATCCCATTGATCAGCACAGCCCCTGGAAATATGTCTAGAATCCAGCTGCTTCTCATCACCCCCACACCTAATACAGAGGGCTGAGTCATAGCATCTCTTCCCCGGACTGTTGTAGCCGTCTCCTAACTCAGCTTCCTGCCCTGCTTTTACACACACACACACACACACACACACATGGTATCTTCTCACCACTGCAGCCAGACTTAAAACCTAAGAGGGATCATGTCACTCCCCATTTTACTCAGAGTCAAGGCCAAGATCCTTACTGGGGTCTGCAGGCCCCCACACCTGGCCCTCTGACTGCACCCCTACCTTCCTTAGCTGTCTCCTCTCCCTAGCATGCCCCAGGTCGCTGGTCCCCTAGCACTGGGCAGCTCCCTGCGGCCCTGTTCACTAGCTGTCCTCTGCCTGGAACACATCTGTCACCTCTCACCTCCTCCTGTCCAGCCTCCTTGGGGCCTTTCTAACTGCCTCCCTCCTGTGGTCTGCCTCCTCCCCATCTCTGACTTTCCTCCCGAGCACTTACTGCCATCCAGCACCCGACATAACTTACTTGTTTCGTTTGCTTGCCTTCCTCACCAGGAGGTGTGCCAGATGAGGACAAGGATTTTTATATCCCTACCCCCATCTGCAGCACTGCCATGGAGAACAGTGCCTGGCACTTGGATGCCCTCAGTAAATATTTGTTGAGAGACTAATAAGTGATCGTGGGCCAGCATGCCAACAGTGTCTTCGTTATTACAAAATTGTCCCGAATTGAAATTTGGCTACTACAAGCAGTTTGTGGTGGAAATTTACTCAAATTACCAATTCTTTCACTGAAGAAATTACCTGGCATATGTGGGTTCTCAATAAACTGTGTTGGATTGCCTCAAGGCTTTGGGGCAGTGGTAGCCGTCTGAGGCCTCCTTGCCAGTCAACCAAACCCTGTGCTGGGTGGGACATAAGAGATGCCCCCAGCATCCTTAGCTGATGCTACTATGTCACCCCAGAATCCCTGGGGCAGCCCACCCCTCAGCAGCAGCTGTCACCCTGCTGGGTTCCGCTTTTCCTCCTGTGGGCTTCGTCTCCCTAAGGAAATCATTGTCCTTGCTTTCTACATCTTATCTCCCTGAGCAGCTCCAAAATTCTGTTATTCATATCCCACTGACCTTTCTCATTGTCCTAGTCCAAGCTTCTCACAGGAGGAGTTGTCTCTCTGTTTTATATTAAAACAAAGCGGTTGGACTCTTAAAACTCTATTCACTTTTCAGATTCTTTGGAGTCCTCAATGCTTCCTGCTATGAAATGCTGCGCTCTGGAATGCCTTCCAGACCCACCCCCAGGATACCTGTAGCCTTCCCTGCAGCCACTCTCCTCAACTCCCTCCTCGTTCCCAGGGGTCAATGTCCTGGATCTCTCCAGCTTTAAGTTCCTTCATGTCCTCTTGCCACCCCTGCTCTCACCATCTCTGAGTTCTTGTATCCCCAGGATTTCAACCTGAGTTTGCATCTCCTGACATCACTTTTCCCAGCCTTCTCCCTTTTCAACCAGCACAAGGCCATCCACTTCCATGGCCATAGTGGACGCCACTGAGCATGCTAGGTGTTTTCTTCTATTCAACTCATGTGGTCTGCACAACAACCCAGTGCGGGGAATCCACCCCTTTCACAGATGAGGCATCTCTAGCTCCTGGAAGTCACCTAACTTGCCTAGGACATGCAGCTAGTAAGTGGCAGGGCTGGGATTGGAACCCAAGAGGCCCCGCCCTGACCACCATCCTGCCCTGCCTCTCCTCGGGCACCCAGAATCCCCTCACTCTATTGTCAAAACCCACCTTGTCCTGCCTGTCTGGTACCTAGGGGAGAACCCTCAGCCTCTTCTTCTGCTGCCACTTGCTTCCTCTTCTGCCAGGAAGGTCCCACGCCTGGCCAGCCTGCTCTGGAGACACGCCCACTGCCTGGCCTTGCCAGGAGGCTCTGATGCTCTGCAGGCTTCCTGTCCCACGGATCCCTTCCTGCCTGTCCTGGGGTCCCACCACCCCACTTTGTAGTTGGCCTTGCTCTTTATTGTGGTGAAAGGTGCAGGCCATTCCATCCAAGATCCTATAATATTCCTTTTCTCTGCTGTTGAATGTTCTTCCCATTCCCCCCACATTCTCAAAGAAGGCATGTGGCTTTCTTCACTGCGTCTCGGCCTGCCCTGAGTCCAGCCCCTGCTGCCTGGCCCAGCCTGTCTTGTTGGCATCCCCTAAGCCCTAGCCAGAAACACAAGCACCTTTCAGGTGCTCCATCCTAACTCCACCCTCCCTCACACTGGCCTCTCTCCCTTTGCCACCAGATAACAGCAGTGCATTCTTTTGTTTCCTTTAGAACAAGATGCAGATGTTTTCCAGAATTTTCTTCAACTTCAGGCAGTAAGTTTTTTGGTGAAAGGAGTATTACTCCCTGAGTCTGTAGAACCAGGCTCTCTCCTCTTATTCTGTAGCAATTAAAGACAAAGACAGGCAAGAAAACAATGAAAAGAAACAGGAGCCAGGCTGATGCACCTTCATTTAGCTGGTCCTTGAGCATGACTCATTGATCCTTCTTGCTTCCATCAGGGATTGCACCCTGTGCCCTCTTTGAATGCAGGGGCATGTCAAGGCCAAGGGTCAGGAAGAGAGCTTTGGCCTCGCCAGCCTGGTCCCCAGAGTGGAAGTGGCAGGGCAGGAGGGGTGTGGCAGACAGAGCACATATCGCCCCCAGCCTTGCCCCCAGATGTTGAGTGCTGGGTGCCGGAGTGCAGAGGGGAACAAGGCCTGGACCCTGCCTGGGGAGAGGCAGCACCTGGGAGATCTTTGTGGCTTCAGATCCCATGTGGTCCTCCAGGTAAAGCAGAGCATCTCTGGGGTCTAGGCTGGGGGAAAACTCTTGCAAAAAATTCCTGGTTCTGGGACAGAATGCATGGGGTCTGCGTGAGGGGCAGAGGACAGTGCCAGGCCAGTGAGCACGCACTGGGCAAAGGAAGTGGCCAGAGACCACTCATAAGAAAAAGTGGGACATGAACCTCAGAGCCTGGGCTGCTTTCAGAGGAGCCAAGAGCCTGGGAAATAAGCATCTTCTGGTGAGGAAATCAGCAGGGGGAGGGGAGGGTCATACAGGAGGGGACTTTTAATCCTGAATGGCCTTGCAGGGCATGGTTCCCCTAGTGTGCCCCATGGAACCCTTGGCTGTTAGATGTGAGGTGATAAATGGTGTGTGGATGCATACACTTGGGACTCAGACTCTGCTGCCCTTAGACTTTCACCCTCCACAGGGCTGCGTTTAAAGGTCCAAGAAGCCCTGCAGAAGAAAAACCTAACTATTGAACCAGCATTCCCTATACGTATTTGGCCCCTGATTTTTTCCCCCGAATAACATCATTACAATCCTATGGGATTAGTGTTCCATGGCAGAACTTTGGGAAGTGTTTTTTGAAGAATTTGTAAATCCCTGCACCCTCTGGACTGTGCCCATTTCTTAGATTGCATGGAGGCTGTGCTGTACAGTGGAAGGAGTATGGGCTTTAGATGGGACTGGCCTGTGTTTAAATCTGCTTTCCCATTATACAAAATCTCTGATCTTGATCAAGTTACTTACTCTCTCAAACTTAGTTTCCTTATCTGTAAGACAGGGGATGAAACATTAGCTAGTTGTCTTATGAGGCTGTTGTGATGGTTAATGGGAAGATAATAATGACACTTACAGAGGGCTTGTTATGCTCCAGACACCATTCTGAGCACTTTATATATCTCACTTACTTTTCACCACAACTGTGAGGCAGGTAATGTTATCCTTATCCTACAGGTCAGGTCAGGAGACCAATGACACATACAGGCTAAATGTTGTGCCCAACATCACACGGCTGGTAAATGTGGGACCTAAGATTTGAACCCTAGGCACTCATACATGATGGGGTCAGGATTTGAAACTTGACCGTCATCTCCCATCAGAGAACATGCTCTGAATCAGTATGTTCTAAAGGGTCTAGAGCAGTAAAAGCACTAATTGGTATCAGTTCCCTTTTCAGATGGTTCGTGGATATGTTAGGGGGATTGATGGTTCCTGGGACTCCAAGTCATTCTGCAGTCATTAAAATCAGCCCTGTTGAAAGAGTAATCTCCTCGATCTGCTTGCCCACTCAGATGCTCCCATTGTGACCATTTTGTTTGCTCTGCTGCCTCATCCTGGGCCACTTCAATTTGGGTGGCTGCTCAGCGTTCAGGTGGAGTCGGGCCACTTTCCACAGCCATCTCATCTGTGGCCTGTGCCTCCACTTCCAGGACCAAGAGTCCCCCCAGGATGCCCAGTGAGTTGGTAGCTTGTTCTCTTTCTACACCTCAGTGATGGACTTGACAAAGGGTTAAGAAGACATCCCTTTTATCATTCAGCAAACTGAGTGCCTTTACTGAGCTAGATGCATGCCCTGGGGGAACTAGCACTGTTTGGTGACTTAGTTAGACCTCTGAATCCCTCTACCAACCCTCAGTAGCTGTCTGGGAGACTGGGATTCTGTGGACTCTCCTCTATCAACGATATTGGGGGTCTTTTCCACAAAGACCAGCCTGGTTTTGATTGACAAAGTGCCTCAGATTTACAAATCTTACCCCTTGCAGGATCCTCTCAACTGATCAAGCCCCATAGCTCCAAATGCCGTCTCCTTGATTGATGTTTAATTTGGGGATCCACAAGCATCTAGAGCTACCAGTTGAATTTGGGTACCCAAGGGCCACAAATGGGCCCCCCTCACACCCTGACCCCTGACAACCAGCACCTTTGAGACTGAAGTACCACTGCATATAGTGCTGTCCTCTGCTCAGGGCATTCTCCCTACCAGCCAGGCCACCCGGCAAACCCCTGCAACACCTCATAAGACCTCTTCGCTGGTCTCATCTCCTTTTATTAACACCTCCTCAGCACCCCTCCACACACACCCAAGCCCACAAGCAAATCATTTTTTCATCTGTTTTGCTCTTGTACCTTACCTATGCTCCACTAATACAAAAAAAGCACGCCTTCCTCAAGACACTTGACTGCCACCTGCTGGAGAGTTGTCATCATGGCTCAACAAATATCTGCCACTTCTAAACCCCCAGGCACCTCTGGAGTAGGGCAGTGCATTGCTTGTACAGCTGTAAACATGGCCTGCCTGTTGAATTGGTCATGCTGTCATGTACTTATTAAAACACTCGTCTTTCTAACTGGACTGAGGACATCTTGAACGTAAGGACTGCCGATTTCTGTCTTCGTCCCCATTGTGGCTTCTGCTAGGGGCTAGAGAAATGCTTATTGAATGATCCTTGTGCAAACACCTGTTACCTTAGGTTCAGGGCATCTGCTGTCATTCAGTGAAGGTCTTCTAAATCTGTCTGTTGCAAAGCAAGGCTCGCCACAGGCTGTCAGAGTAACCATGGAGGTCGGACAGGACTTGCAGTGGGGACAGGGCCCCATCAGCCTCTCACCTCTGCTCAGAGGCACCACCCTCTGAACAGATCAGAGCATAAACAGGTCAGAGCAATTCAGCATTCATTCCCTCTACAGACATCAGGGCAGGCACCATGTAGTGGAGAGTGGGGCCAGGGGCCATCTGCCATGGCTGTTTGGGCTGGGGAAGGAGAGCAGTACTTCTGGAGCATGTGCTGTGCTCAGGGCCAGCTCCCTGTAGGTAGGTTGTGGGAATGCAGAGGTGGCAACTCAAGCACCCCTGCTGGGGATTCAGAGTTTTGTGGAGAAGTAGATCAGTAAGCACATGGATACCAGATAGGGTTGTCAAGGATGTTGATTCACTGTTGTCCCTATTTTCCTAAGCTCGCCACATCATGGAAGGCTGCTACCCAAGTGACATTCTTGGGCTTCACCAAGTGTTTTAACAGAGCTCCACCCAGCTGTCACACTAGGGGTAACACAGTGGGCCAGAAGGAGAGGCAGGCCTTCCCTGGGGTCCCATTTTAAAAAGGGGGAAGTCCTCTGTTCTTTTACAACACTTGTTTACCCCAAGCCATTCAGCATAGTATTACTTAGGTCCCATACAGAGAACCTTCCAACAGATAGCTCTCCTTGCTCAGGCCTGTCCTGATGAACTCCCTGATATTCTTCCAGGTCTTAAAAGAGTGAGAGCTGAGCATTTCCCTCTCTGCCCTGGCTGCCAGGAAGCTCAGAGATAACTTGTTTGCTCAGTTCCTGTAGCTTTCCTGACCCAGGACTTCTTTTTCTTATAAATTCTCCTTGTTCCTTTTCCAGGAATGCTTGCTTTTTATGTTTTGTTTGTTTATGTTGCTTTTGTCTCTGTATTATACTTTGGGGGGTGGTTTTTGGAGGCAGGATTGGCAGCAGCCATGGTAGTTAGAAGCACCAGCAGTAAAGCTGGACACACCTGGGTTTCATCCCCACTTGCTAGCTGTGTCATTTTAAGTAAGATAAGTTGCCTCTTCAGTTCTCGGTTCCTCACCTTGAAAATTGGGATAATGATCATAATGAATGGATAGGTTATTGTGAAAATTAAACTTGTTTATTGTAAATGCATTGTTTCCTGTTCCTGCTCTTGGATCAGGCTTGATCTGTGGCTGTAGAATCCTAGTCTTAATTTCCTTCTTCCTGCCTGTGTCTGTCAGCATATGATGAGTTGTACAATAGTAGTGACTAGGGGACCAACCATCCCGGTTTGTCTGGGACGGAGGGGTTTCCTGGGATGCAGGACTTTCAGTGCTGAATGGGAAGGTCCCAGGCAAATGGATGAGTCGGTCACCCTGGTAATAAACAACCTCAACATCTCAGTGGCTTACTGTAGCAAAGGTTTATTTCTTCGTTGTGCTACTGTCCATCCAGGGCCTTGGCTAAAGGAGGAGCCTCTATCCCAGGAAATTGACAGTCATGGGCACAGACAGAGGAACACATGTTAAAGGTCCTTTAGAAAGTTGTGGCTGTCACTTCTGCCCTCATTCACTGGTTGGGGCCAGTCACATGGCCAGGCCTGCCACCAGGCTGTGCAGAACCTTCCCACTGGGTGGGACAGCTCAGCCTGGAACACTGATCCACTCTGCCAGGCTCACCTTTCTCTTCTTTTGCATTTTAGGGTGCTGGAGCAGGGACCAGGGAAAGGAGAGAGTCACTTGGTCTGAACTGGGGGTCTTGGATGTGATCATCTTCCTGTAGATGGTCGGTATGGGTTTCTTAAGGGGCAGGGTTCAGCTTCACCCTGCTCTGCTCAGAGGAGCAGCTGTGTCTCCTTTGGACGCCTTCTAGTGGTTGATGCCCTCACCTTTCTCAGCTGCCAAGGCCTCTCTCGACAGGGCAGGCTGGGCTGTGACTTCTCTTCCACCCTCCTTGCTCCTTCCTGTGGAGCCCCTGAGATCCTTTCCCCATGCTCCTGGGTGGAATGGAGGGTGCCCTCTCACATTCTTCCAAGGCATCTTGCGCAAGTCCCTCCATGCCCTGCTTTCTCTGGCGGTCCAGCATGCCTCCATCTCACCTTTGGGACTCTCTAGCTTGGAAGTGGGCACACCTGCAGCCCCTGACTCCAGGACCACAGGCTAGGCTCTCCCCAAAGCATCCTCATCACACACCATGTGGATGGCCAGGTCAGGGCGGCCGTCAGAGCCCACCCTCGGCAAGGATACCCTCTCAAAGGCACCTCTGTTGGCTCAAATCCCTTTTGGAAGTAGCCCAGAAAGAGGCTTTCTTTTTTCTTATCTTTTGTTGTTTTATTTATTGTTCTTGCATCTAAGAACACCTTCTTGGTCAGAAAACAGTTTTCCAGAAATAATGTTAAGTAAGTGTCACAACTGGTTTAGCTCCCTAACCTGGTCTAAGCATATAAGAGAGGCTTTTGAGGCTGGGCGTGGTGGCTCATGCCCATAATCCCAATACTTTGGGAGGCCGAGATGGAGGGATTGCTTGAGTCCAGGAGTCTGGGCAGCATAGTGAGACCTTGTCTCTTCTAAAAATAAAAAATTAGCTACGTATGGTGGCACATGCCTGTAGTCCCAGCTACTTGGGAGGCTGAGGTGGGAAGATCACTTGAGGCCAGGAGTTCTAGGTTGCAGTGAGCTATGATCACACCACTGCACCCTAACCTGGGCAACAGAGTGAGACCCTGTCTCAAAAAAAATAAAAAAGGCTTTTTGATTTTTGTTTTGCAGAAGTACCAAAATCTATATTAGCATTTATTATTTTTATTTCTATAAAGTAAATTTGAGTATTGGGAAAATTGATCAAAATGAGAAATTTCATATGGAGTTTAGTACTTGAAATTTGGATCCTTCATCTAAATTTCAGGGAAGTCAGGGCTGGGCATGGTGGCTCACACCTGTAATCTCAGCATTTTGAGAGGCCGAGATGGGCGGATTGCTTGAGCCCAGGACTTTGAGACCAGCCTGGGCAACAATGCAAAGCCTCCTCTCTACAAAAAATATAAAAACAAGCCAGACATGGTAGTGGTGCATACCTGTAGTCCCAGCTACATGACAAACTGAGGCAGGAGGATAGTTTGAGCCCAGGAGATGGAGATTGCAGTGAGCCGAGATCATGCCATTGCACTCCAGCCTGGGCGACAGAGCAAGACTGTCTCAAAAAATAATTAAATAAGTAAGTAAATTTCAGGGAACTCAGAGAACGAGAAAGGACATGAAATTGTTCATTTATTTAGCATTTGTTGAGTACCACCTGGAGTGAGGCACGAGATCAGGCACAGGAGACGCCTATAAATAAGGCCCTACCTGCCTGAAGCTTATGGGAGGTGGAGGAGACACGCCTACAAGCAGAGAATGGTCACAGGGCGTGAAGGAGCCTGGGCAGGAGCTGCTGCAGGAGAGCCAGGGAGAGAGGATACAGCTCTGAAGGCTTCTCCAGGAGGTGTGCCCACGGGCACAGGAAAGGAAAGCAGGAGTTTATCAGGTGACTGGGTGGTTGAAAGGAGCCACACCTGCAAGAAACGTGGGCCCAGCAGAGGCAGGGTGGTTTTGGGAACTCTTGTCTTTTAGTCTGTCGGGGGGCTTTGGGTAGCAGATGGGAGGGTTGGGCTGAAGACTAAGCAGTGTTTCCTGCTGGGTGGGTTTGAACTTTGTTTGGAAGACTTAGGGGGAACAGTGAAGCTATTGCAGTGGTCTGAGCAAGGGGGTATCCCGCCTCTGACCACAGTGGAGAGGGGATGGGGCTGGAGACGACAGCAGACTGAACAGAGGCAGTGACAAGGATCTGGAGGGAAGTGGCTGGGCCCATCCCTTAGAGGGCTGTGTGGGGGCTGTGGGGTGTGGGAGGAAGAGAGGAAGGAAGCCCAGGGTAGGTTCTGGGTTGCTAATTTGGGGGCTGGGAGGATAGCGTGTGACCTAAACAGAGAATCAGATTTAGATGGAATTACCTATATTAAGCCTGGGGATTTCATATCTATTTGCTGCTGCTTTACCAGTTGAGGCTCAAGAATGAGAAGCACAAAATTTCTGGTCACATTATTTGCATGTGCCCAGACTGGGGTTAACAGAATCGGACAGTGAGCGTTCCTGAATCAGACTGCAATGGGGAATGAATGCCTTGGGAGGCTGGAAGCAGTTGTATTCGCAGATATTCATTTGGAGATCTCTATAGCGATCGAGGCAAAGATACCCCAAAGACTGCAAGAATTAGCCAGTGGAATTTGAAATGCCAAAATTTTTTTTCAGAAAGGTCAGGAAAGCCCCGTTTAAAATCTAAATTTTGCCATCTCAAGGCAGTGCAGGGATGGATTAGGAGGATGTGGGGTGACCCTTTTCTTCCTTTCAGAGCCAGTTTCTGCCAGACACAGGAATCCTCCACATGAGTCATAGGGTGGAGAGGAGACCCCTCAGTCCTTTCAGTAAGGTGGGAGGGCAGTACCGCCCGGTGGCTACCATGAACCCTGTTTCAGAATTTCTTTCTTAACTTCGTGTGTGCCCAGGTGCACTTGAGATTCACTGATGTTTTCTTTAGACCGAGGAGCTCGCTTCAGCAGTTAGTTTCAGGTGTTGGCTCTGCTGGCATTATGCTTCGGCTTAATGTTTTCTGAAGACTTGTTTTCTGTTGTTTTTCATTGTTCTTGTTGTCTGGCTTCAGGCCACTACCTTCAACCTAGCAAGAGCTGAGTGGTGCCTTCAGCAGTGAGGTAGCTTCTGAAGGCCACCACTCTCTTGCTGTGTGACTTTGGCTAGTTTCTCCACCTCTCTGTGCCTCAGTCTCTTCTGTAAAACGGAGAACACAGGAGTATCTCCCTCATAGAGTTACTTTCAGGTTTCAATGAGTTAATCTACATAAAACAATAAGGATAGAGCCTGACACAAAATCACACTCAACAAGTTTTCACAATTATGATTACTTGACCCAGTAGGAGAAATAAAAAACACAACTAACTTCCTTCTAAGGACATGCCCAAGAATCCAGTTTTAGTAACTTTGAAGGCATTGTTTTTCACCGAAAATATCTCCTGCCAGATTTTTTCATGTGTTTGCAGCTTAGCTTTAACAAGGAGCTGAAGGACGGCCAGGCAGCAAGGGGTGGTGAGTGCCGGTAGAGTGTGACGAGCTCGCCCAGCCTTCCTCCCTGTAATTAGGAGTCATGAACCATCTACACCATCTCCCTTAGCTAATAAGAGATTTTTACATTTACTTACCTCAAAGTGACCTGTCTGGGTTTTCTTTTCTTGTGGCCCCCACTGTAGGTTTTTGGAAGAAGCTGACCGCCTGAAAAGAAATTATAAAACATGAAAATCGCTTTGAGGTGACCAAGTCCAGAGGCCCCTAACTCCTCCCAAGCTGGATCTGGGGTGTAAGAACTGTGACTTCAGGTAACAAAGTAGTATCCCCTCCCTGCCCCCTGTGAACTCATGATTCTTGGTAGCTTGCATGGCAGTTCTTCCTTTAGGAAGTGTAGTTTCTTCCAGGAACTCTGAAACTTGGGGTATTCTACCTCATGCGGTTGTTTGGCTGGTCAAAAAAGGGAGTGGGGGATTCTGGAGGTACTTCATGTCTGCTGCATGGCCCAAGGGGGCCAGGGCTCCATAAATCACCAAGACCCTGAGGGCAGGGCTCTGTACTCATTCCTGGCCCTGCTTCTGTAAATGTTAATGACAAAATAACAATGTCACCCACCCAACAGGGTCTTTAATATGATTAAATAATCATGAAATACTTCTTGAAGGATAAATCAGAGAGAATAGCTAGGAAATTTCCAAAAATAAAGAGCAGTAGGAGAGTATTTGTTCTGCTAGCTATTAAAATGTATTCTAAAGCACAGTTGTAAAAACAGTATAGTACTGTGATGGAAATAACTAGATCAGAGGAACAGAGTAGAGAGTCCAGAAATAGGTGATAAATCAATAAAGGTGTATTTCAAGTTAGTGGCAATGGGATGCATGGACTAGCAAATGGTGTTAGAAAAAATCTCCTATCCATTAGAGGGAAATAAGAAATTCCTAAGCTTAGGTAGTATATCAAAATAATTTCCAAATAGCATTAAATTAAAAAAATCATTAAAATCTTAGAAAAAAGAATATTTATATTATTTTGGGTAAGAAAAGACTTAAAACATGTCACTTTTGGTCCCACATACAAATATCGTAAACAAAGTTAAAAAGCAAAAGGGTGGGAAAAGTGTTTACAACATCAATGATGAACAAAGAATTAATATTCTTAGTATACAAATTTATTCGTTCATTCAATATTTATTGAGCACTTAGTATGTACTAGAAAGTATTCTGGGCACTAAGGGCACAAGCAGTAAATAATGTTCCTGTTCTCCTGGTACTTAGACCCTGATGGAGAGGACTGCCAGTGACTATGGTAGATTATTGTAGGTCACATTTTGATAAGGGCTAAGGACAAAACATTACGTAGGTGGCTGGGCTAGGGAGGCTTGGCAGGGTTTGCATTATGTGGATATTCAAGGGGGCTTCACTGATGGAATGACATGTGAAGAAAAAGGGAAAGTCATTGAATGTCGAGCTGATAGCACATTTGCTGTTTTTGGAATGTCGAGCTCATAGGATTTGCTGATGGATTGAATGCGGGTTGTGAAAGAAAGGAGTCAGGGTGGCTTCTAGGTTTGGGGCCTGGCAACCAGAAGGATTGACATAGGAATGACTGAGAGGCTTGGCTTGGAGATAGAGTTTTGGTTATGGATGTTTCAGTTTAACATCTCTCTTGTATATTCAAGTGAGGACGTCAGGGAGGTGGTCGGCCATAAATATCTGTAATTCAGGGTGACATCTAGGCTGGAGATATAAATTTGGGAATTGTTGCAGTGTTGATAGTATTTGAAAGAATGACACTAGCTAGAGCCCCTGGAGAGTGTGTGTAGATACAGAAGAGGGCCCAGGACATCCATGGGACCCTCCCTTAGAGTTGAGGGAGATGGAGCCAGCTAAAGAGAGCAAAAAGGAGTGACCACTGAAATGGAAGGAGTCCCGTGAGAAGGGGGATCTCCCAAGCCAAGAGACAGTGAGAAGGGCGAGGTCAGCTCTCCTCTGGATGTGCTGATGGGCAAGGAGAGAACTGGCCATTGGATCTAGCAGTGAGGAGGTCACTGGTCAACCCAACAAGGGCTGTTTTATGGGAATGATGGGGAGAGAATCTGTTTGGAGTTGGATTATTGAGAATAAGAGGAAAAAAACTGGAGACAGAGAAATGGGACAATAGCTGGAGGAGGATGGTATTCAAGTAAGTTTATTTTTCCCAAGATGGGAGTTACATAACTCTTGTTTTCACCCAAGTGGAAATGATTCAGTAGCGTGGGGAGAGTGGATGGTGCAGGATTGGGCTGGGGTGAGGGTTCTGAAATGGTGGTCTCGAGGAGGTGGGAGAGGTAGAATCCAGGCATGAGCTGGGGAAGGGATCCTAAGTAGGAGCATCTAAGGAGGTGGTAGGTGTGCACCTGCCTCTTTTCTCAGTTCACTAAGAAGCAGAGTCCTCAGCGGAGAATGGAGACTAAGGAGACGATGGAAGTTTGAGGAGAGAGGGCAAAGTATGAAGTCCTTCATAGCAGAATGAGAAAATAAATGGCCAGGGGAATGAAGGATTGCTGGGCGGCATGCAGGCCTCTAAGGGGTATGTTTCTCCAGCCATGTCCTGTTACACAGGTGAACACGGGGTAGGAGGCCATTGTGGTAGAAAAACAGGACATGAGCAGACACAACGTAAGACAGAGAAACGCCTGTAAAGAGAAAAAGCAACATCAGTAATAGCTGAAGAATACAAGTAAAAACAATGAGGTTTTCTTTTTTTCTCTTTAGACTGGCAAGAGCTCTTGTTGGGGATAGAAATTATTGTCGCTTTTCTGGAGCACAGTGTTACAGTATGTTCCAGAATACAACGTGTGTCCCGTTTTGACCTGTCAGTCCCACCTTTAGAAATTTATTCTAAGAAATAATTGCTCAAATGCAAGGAAATATATGCACAAAGATGTTCACCCCAGCAGTGCTTATCAAAGTGAAAAAATGGCAGTCATCTAAACAGGAGGCAGCTGGTTCACTTATCTGTCGGCCTAACAGTGATAGTGGGAAACAGTAGCTCACACTCACCCTCCTGTTTTGCAGATGAGGGAAGTTGGGTCCAGAGAGGGGTAGTGACAGCTCCAGTCCTACTCCACGGAGCTCAGACCCCCTGGCTGTAGGCAGGCACCCTGCCCAACCTCTTCAACTGGGCTTGGAGTCAGAGTCCCTTGCAAGGCACTTGTCAAGCCCTTTTCAAGGGCCGGTTTGCTTAATGCTTTTAAAATACGAGTTCTCAAAATGTTTTGCAAATTTGTTTACAATGTCTTCATTTCATCTCATGGCTTTCCTTGCAAAGGATGCTGACAGTGGGGGGAAAACAGGCCGACTGCCTGGCCGTGATAGAGGGGACCATATTTTCCTGATTCCCAAGTAAGACTTACAGTGGAAGAAAGGATATTTTCTGCTTTCTTACAGTGTTTACAAAAGTCATAACAGGATGTGAGGACTATCTGGCTGCAACATCTGTCACCCCATTGGTCGCCAGAGTTGATTGGGCTGATCTGGCTGGTTAGGCAGGTGTCCCATTCCTCCCTCACCACTCCATGTGCGTCCCTCCCAAAGCTGTATGCTCAGAAAGGATGACCATCCCCGATAGAGGAGGACTGGTCTTTGGTCAAGGGTATATGAGTAGCTGCAATCTTCTGCTAGGGACCCCCAAACAAGCTCTCAAAAGTCATAACAGGAGTACAAAGATAATAAGGAACTTGCATTTATTTGTTTCCTTGATCATATGTTTATTGATTAGAAGAAAATAAAATTAGCAGCCAGCCGTGGTGGCTCACACTTGAAATCTCAGCACTTTGGGAGGCTGAGACGGGCAGATCTCTTGAGGTCCAGAGTTCAAGACCAGCCTGGCCAACATGGTGAAACCCCATCTCTACTAAAAATACAAATATTAGCCAGGTGTGGTGGTGTATGCCTTTAGTCCCAGCTTCCCAGCGTTTTGGATGGCTGAGGCACGAGAGTCACTTGAACCTGGGAGGTGGAGGTGGTAGTGAGCTGAGATTGCACCACTGCACTCCAGCCTGGGTGACAGAGTGAGACTTTGTCTCAAAACAAATAAAAAATAAAAATAAAATAAAATTAGCTTTGTGTGTGGAGAAAAGGGAGGAAAAATAATTAGCATTGTCAGAGAACATCTGGGTTATTTGGTCCCCTCCGTGGGAACTGCCCTGGGTTTTCACTTCTAGAGTTTCTGGTTCTGGTTTAATTTTTCCACGCCACAGCACAGGGACCGAGAAGCTGCTCAGCTTCTCTAGGCTTTTATGTCTTCACCAGAAAAATGAGCGGGTGGGCTTAAATTTCCTACAAAAACTCTTAAAATAAATATGATGCTCTTTCCATTCTATCACATGCCTGTTCTGGGTCCGGGGGTGTGAGAGATGCATTAGTGCTGCTGTAAACCAGCCCCGGGTCTCCCCCCCCGGCCCCCCACCACCAAACCCCCAAGCACCAACCTGGGTTCTCCACCACTTTTGAGAGCTCATCGAAATAAACACACCTTTGTGCCTCTTGTAACAATTCCAGATCATCCAATGGCAGACCAGAGAATGGACATTTCTTCAACCATCAGTGATTTCATGTCCCCGGGCCCCACCGACCTGCTTTCCAGCTCTCTTGGTACCAGTGGTGTGGATTGCAACCGCAAACGGAAAGGCAGCTCCACTGACTACCAGTAAGGCCTTTGGGGCATGTCTTCCTCTTGTTAAACTTGGTGTCAGTTCTCGGGCATGGAACATCTAGCAGCCAGCTACTGTTTCATCCTGGAAAAGGGGATGGGAATAAAAAACCCAACTCTAGGTGGCGACACAGTTGGTTTTTGGCTTTACCTTCCCCTAGTTTGTAAGCAAGAAGGAGCCTTCAGCAGTGCTGAGGCATTTAACTTCCACTTCCTGTCCCCAAAATGTTCTACACCCAGAGAAAAAGAACAGCCTTAAGGCCAAGTTCTGTCTTTTACCCCTTTCTTCGTCTTCTTTCTTTGCTCCTTTGAGCAAGAGGGTTAAGTCTATGGGTGTCATCTCAGGGGGTTCAAAGAGAGCTTTGCCTGAGGGCCTCTCTGAGGAAGACAGCAAGTGTCAGGTGCTTAATGAATGTTTATGGAAGGAATGAGTGGAGGTCCTCTCTGAAAACAATTTAGGAACATTGATGTTGTCCTTAAACATTATTTAAATTAGTATGAACTTGTTATATTAAATAGTATTTTTGTTTATTTTTAGACTTGTTGACTTTTCGTTTGAGTAAGTAAATTTTCACACTTACAGTCATCCCTTCTATATATGTACAAACACCTAGGGAATAAGGCAGTGTAGAATATTCAAAGGCACATTTTGTTTTGCCGAAGCACCTGCGTGGAATCTTACCCAAATGTCCATTTAAGAGGTTTTCTTTTGTTTAATGAGGGAAAATCTCCGAGGAGGTATACCCCCTACAGCAGATGTCCTTTCTGCTGAAGTTCACAGGTCGAATTTGGGGAGCACAATGGCTGGAGGTCAGATGCCCACTAGGAGATGCTATGATTAATATGTAAGTTATCCCAGATGATTAAGACAGCCAACACCCAGGGGCTGGAGAGTGGGTATGAGGGCTGTGAGGGCGTTCTTCCATAGCAGTAACTCCCCAGCAGAAAGACTGCGAGATGTTGGCCACAAACCCTTTGTCTTGAGCAAGCGCTAAGGGAGCCACTGATGTGTTCTAAGGCCTCTGTCATCTGGACCTGTGGGTTCCAGCCTGGTCACCACCCAAGATTTCCCTTGTGGACTCTGGTTTGCTAATCTTCTGTAATTCATGGAGACTCAATTAATTAAGCAACCTTAATCCCTTTCACTATCATTTTAATGTAACTGAAGTCATCTGTGACTGTCAGGCAGAGCTTTTTCTCACCTGAGATTATCACCTGGCCTCAAGGAACAGATAGAATTCTAGACAAAAGGGAGAGGGGAGTTTTTGTCCTTCCGTGCGGCCTGCGTGATCTCTGAACTTTAGAACTAGCTGGGGAAACTCTCTGCCTGTGAGGAACCCCAGGGCGTCTAATTGGGAACACTGTTCTAGAATGCCCATGATATGATCCAGTGCTCCTAGAAACAGCTATTTTTGCCCTTGGGATTACATTGTTTGAAGGGCCATGCTCTCTCCTTTCCTGTGGGATAAAGGAAAAAGGAGAGAGGCCCAGCTGGCAGTCCATGCCCTCCTGATAAATGTATGGATTGGAGAAGGCGGTGAGGGGGATTTGGAACTCCTTCCTCTGGGGATTTCAGTCTGTTTTCTTCTACTGAACCACAGGATGCAACGAAACTTGGTTTTCTGAAGTCTGTGAAAGGGAGGGAGATCCTTGCTGTGACCCCAGGACTTCTGTGGCCCTCAGCCCCACTACGCCCCTCCATCCCAATTCCTAAAATCTAGGGGTTCCCACCTACCTGAGAAGCAGAATATTTGGCAGTAGTGCCTTTGAAAAGCTGCCTGGGGCTCTGCTCAGTACTTTGTTGGTACTTTAATTCCACCCTCCTCACTTCGTCCCTTCCCTGCCAAATAGATATGTATGCACATTTATCTTTGATGCTCAATATGTTTTGCAAACAGAATAAGCTTCATTTATCCAGAATGATGGGGGGGGAGAATGAGAGGTTATATAGATATTTCAATCCTATGGTTAACTAAGCATTTTTATAAACACTACATATTCCCAATTTTCAAACAATCAGAATATGGTAAAATATATGTTAACACACAAACTCTTTTGAGATGATAACTTTTGTTTGATAACCTGAGAAGCTGGTCCAGGTTTTATAGTAAGTTCAAGTTAATTTTCATTTGTTTTACCCTTATTATACATCATTAATTGATACTGTGGCTGTTCGAACTTTATGATTGTTTGGTTTCTGGATAAATGAGAGCCTTCTGTCTTATGATAAGAAGCTCTTCTGTATGTCTTTATTAACATGCAGTCACATTCTCTTTTGTTTTTTCAGAGAAAGCATGGACACAGACAAAGATGACCCTCATGGAAGGTACCATGAACCTAGTAATTTGAACTTCAGCATCCTTATAGCCATTTTCTTTGCACTGTTACACATTCTGTTACTTGGGGCAGCACCCATGTCCTCAACTGGAGATGAGCAAGGAGGCCGTGAGCCTGTGGGCGCTCACTGTGTCCCTCCAACCCCCAGTCCCCTTGTGTGTCTGCAGAGAGATGACAGGATCAGGCAGAAGAAAACAGCAATGTGTAACTTTGCCATTCATCTCCAGAGAATTATGTTTTTATCTTTTGCTTTTTCCTCCCCCCAGGTTAGAATATACAGAACACCAAGGAAGGATAAAAAATGCAAGGTAAGCTTGGACCTTATTTTGTCTACAAAGCATCCTAGTTCTGGTTGCTTAGAGAGCAGCTGAGGAGGCTCTGCATGTTTGGTCCTGTCTAAGAGTTCTGTTGGGCACTGTCACCTCCTTAGGGAATAGGCAGGTAGTGGGCCTTGGCCGAGGTGGCCTTCTGCCCTCCATGCTCTCCATACTGGCTGGCCTTTACTCTTTGCTGTCTAAGCACCTTTAACCTGAAGTGGATTTGAAGGTAGCAGAAATCAATCAAGGCTCAAGTTTTTCCCCAGTCTTCAGCAGAGAACGTCTTCCTGACTGGAGCGCCCTCCGCAGGAGACATGGCTCAGTGATTTGGTTCCTGGGCTGGGACTTGCCTCTGTCAGGGGCCCCTATTGCACTGCGAGTTGCAACTGAATGCACCACATGGGGCATGCTCGGTGTCTCGAGTAGATTCTCTGCCTGGGTCTGTCCTGCCTCCAGCCACACTTGCTGACCTCTTCCCATTGCGTCCTCAGTTCTTCTGCCGTTAGTACCAGGCTGTGTTCTGAGGCTGCGTCATGACAGACTGATACAGGGGGCTGCAGAAATTGGCTGCCCTAAGGCTTCAAGCTCTTCCCTCGGAGGCCAGCCTTAGCAGGAGCTCCCATGGCTCTGTATCTGCGGCAGCTGCAGCAAACTACATTTCCATCGTTGCTGCACCTCCTTAGGAGGACCATCACCAATGGCAGGTGCACATCAGTCAGTGTCACCCTGCCTCAGCGGGAGGAGTGTGACATTCCTCAGAGGAGGCTCCTGGGGACAGATGTAGCATCTGCTGCACCTAGGTGGGGACCTAGTTTTGATCCAAGGATGACGGCGTTGGTTACTGGGTGCCCTAGTCAGTGAGGCTGTGACTGGAAAGAATTGGTGCCCTGCCCAGGTCACATGGCCACACAGCGGGCTCCTCACAGACCTCAGGGACAGCCCACGGGGCTCTGGATGCTCTGTGCTATGAAGCCACCACCTCCCTTCTCTTTCCTTTCACCCCCATTTCAAAATCCAATTTGACAAAGGCTGAGAGGAAAAGAAACGAGGAGAAATGAACAATTCAGTTTACTCTGAAGAGACAATTTTTGTAGCTTTTCTCCTGAATTCTAAAGATGAGGTAAACATAAAAAAATTAATACTGACCTGGCAGTGAGACCATTTTCTTGGAGACTTTAGTTGAAAAGTCTAATTTTAAACATTCTGCAAATTCTAAATTTGCCTTGTCAGATGAACATTGAAAACAGTTACAACTCATTTATTTTTGTCATCTTTTCTTGATGCTTGGTTACATTTTATAAGAAATCGTTTTTCATATTGTTGTTCAGGGAAGCTCACAGTCAGATTGAAAAGCGGCGTCGGGATAAAATGAACAGTTTTATAGATGAATTGGCTTCTTTGGTACCAACATGCAACGCAATGTCCAGGAAATTAGATAAACTTACTGTGCTAAGGATGGCTGTTCAGCACATGAAAACATTAAGAGGTGAGACCCTGGGCTCTATTGTCCTTTATGTCCTTGCCCACAAATGTTACCACCCTTGCCTAGAATGTTCCTATCCCTAAGGCAGATGTTTATTACTTGCAATTATGTAGCCTTCAGTAGTATGCCTTTACTCTTCAGCAACAGCCGTGATGCCAAATGAAGTGATTATTGAGCTTATGTGGGTTTTGACATGCAATTTTGCAGTCACACATTCTCAGAGCATAGAAACTGTGCTTTGCACGTCTCTGTATATGCATGTAATCAGGCTATGTGCCTATCAGAGATGATACTGCTCTGATGTCTCACATCTTGCCTATGTTTGTGCCTGGATCCCATCCTTACAATTATAACACGCAGAAATGTAGGTGCACACAGTGACACAGAAAAGTCAGTTCAAAGATGAAAATTCATCATGGTTCCTTTGAAAAGTGAGTCATGGGTTGTGGGTTCTCGCGACATTTTGTTGTCAGGAATGAACACTGAAGATATTTTCATCTTCCTGGAATTTTCCCGAACCAGATCCACTCTTTGTGAGGGAGGCAGTATTTTCCTTCTTTTCTGAGTGTGGGGAGGGTGAGAAAACATAGGCAGAAAAGTGGAAGTGACTTATCCAAACCACAAGAGAAATCTGAAATATATCAGGCATTTTAGTGAATGCTGTTCCTGGAATTTTCCATAGCTAGTCTTGGACTTTTGGAGGAAATTGGAAAGTGGGCGCTCAGTCAGATCTCTGACCTGCGTGGTAGAAGAATTGCGTCTTTTTATATTTGCACAAGGCCACCAGAAATAAGAAGTAGCTGGTTTTGTCTGACTTTAGATCATTACCCAAAAATATAAATGTTGTATCCTGTGCTGGAAGAATGGCATTTAAAAATTCATATTAGCAAAGATAACATGGGTTAAATTATTATAAACTAATTTCTATTAAATTGGAAAAAAGTGGCAAATCTCAAGTTACAGTAAAGAGCAGGGATAGGGATCAATAGGATGGTTGCAACACGTCCTGTCTCCTTCCCTCCCCATGGTACTTTGAATTGTTACAGATCCATTTCCTTTTATTCCTTCACTATTCTACTCGCTATTCTACAGACTCCAAATCATTTACTGCTGGCATTTTTCTCTGTTAAGTGATTGTTCTCCTGAAAAATGCCAGATTGACAGCCTTTTAAACCTAAGTCTTGTCCCCTTTCAGTCCTGGGAGTGCGAGCTGCATTGACTGAAGCAATGCATTCCTCCACATTGCCACGCTCGTTTAACTCACCCCTGATGAAGAGTAACTCACATTAAATGCCTTCCACAATATATTTACTCAGGGCCTGGAAGACTGAATGGTTTCCCAAGAACATTTAGAGTGGTGATTTGAAGGACTACCAGACAACCCATTTAATACAGATCTTAGGAGGAGGGAACTCTCTGAGGAGCCTCTACCAGTTTACTTCCAGAGCTGCCTTCTTTCTTAGAAGCAGATTGTTAAACTTCCTTCTATTATCTCTTGGTTTTCCCTGTAATGAGAAAAACAGGCTTGTTAGGTCTCCTGTGGGTAACAGTGTTCTCTCTTCCATGGAATTCTCTTTGGCTTACAGGATTCTGTCCAAAGCCAGATCTAGGCTCATCTCAGTTAAGGCCTAAACAATAAAATTTAAATACCAGGTCATAGAGACTAGGCCACTTACAGAAGGTTTGAGGCAGCAAGTTAGAATGAGACATTTTCTGAATATCAAGTATACCAATTCTTTCTCTTTTTGCCCCTAAGGTGCCACCAATCCATACACAGAAGCAAACTACAAACCAACTTTTCTATCAGACGATGAATTGAAACACCTCATTCTCAGGGTATGTTCAATTATGGGATTGTTTTACAACGTTTGTTTTTATAAATTTTCAAGTAAGTACCAGCATGTGGGAATTTGATGTTTCAACACTGAGCTTTTTTTTTTAGGCCTGCTTCCTCTCTCAGGTCCCTCCCTTTATCTTATTGTTTGGACAGGCTTCACATTTCTTCCACAAAACCATTCTCCTCCTCTTTTAACCTCGTCTAGACAAAAATGGAAGGTCTATGCCACCGCAATTTAAAATCAGAAGAGTCAGGATTTGTTAAAAATAAGGGGGATTTGAGAATCACATTTCTGCATGAAGATTTTAGGAAGGGACTGAAACCAACAACAATTGAGAATTTCTCTTCACCTGATTTAACCACTAGCACAAAAAAGTCCACCTAAATCTTTACACCAAAATCTCATCAAAATAACAAAACTGTGGCTCACGCCTATAATCCCAGCACTTTGAGAGGCCAAGACGGGCAGATCACCTGAGGTCGAGTTTGAGACCAGCATGGCCAACATGTTGAAACCCTGTCTCTATTAAATATATAAAAATTAGCTGGGTGTGGTGGCAGATGCCTTCTTGGGAGGCTGAGACATGAGAATTGCTTGAACCTGGGAGGTGGAGGTTGCAGTAAGCTGAGATCACTCCACTGCACTCCAGCTTGGGCAACAGAGTGAGACTCTGTCTCAAAAAACAAACAAACTTACAAAGACTAGTGGTCCAAAAAAGAAAAATAAATGCAAGAGATATATGCTTTCACCTGCTTGACTTGAGTGCTCTCTCTGTCTTGCTAAATCTCTGCTGGGAGATGGTTGAGGTGGCACTATGGGAACCTGTTGTCTTCCATGAAGAATTAGGTCGGCACAAAGCTCTAAGTTGTGTTACTAGGTAAAGTGAGATTAACTTGGGAATTGAAGGGAAAGAAACTGGATTCAGAAACGTGTTCTTGTAGATTGTAAACAGATGAATAGAAAAACGTAACTAAAAGGAAGGATACCCGCTTCCACCTCCCACAAAGTCAGGGCTGACCTTACCTGCACAGCCAACAGAATCTTCCTACCCATCTTTGAGCAGAAGTTTGCAAAGCTCTAGAGTAGAGGGTAGTCCATCTGGAATTTTGCATCATCACTATCCATTTTCAGCTCTCTATAAGCCTGGCCTGTCTGCTCACTCCAGCATTCTCTATTTATCTCCTCATGACGTGCTATCTCAAATTGGAAAGCATTCACCTGCAAGGACCAGAAGACCTGATGAATAAATAGAGTTTAATTTCTCAAGTATAACTGGTCTGGAGTAGGTTATGTTGGGTTGCTGCAGTGGTTCAATGAGGTCAATAGGAACCAGGTTCTTTGTCTTTGCACTCAGCCACACCAAGCTAGCATGCTAGCTTGTTTCCTTAATGTAGCCAGGTACCTTTGCCAGGTCTAAGTAGCCAGACCCACTGTAAAAACAGGGGTAAATGAAGCTCTAGTCTGGCTGTCCTTTTTATCAAGAAAGGATACACCTTCCTGAAAACTCAACAGTGGACTTCAGCTTATTCAAAAGTGTGTCACTTGGTCACGCCTAGCTGCAGGGCAGGGTGCAGAAACAAGTGTTTATAGATTTTCCAGCCTCCCTGGTGGAGACAGGCAAGAGAGAAGGGGCCTGGGAATGGTGTTGGGAATTGGCTTCCCCAACAGTGTTTGCCACACACACTTTCCAGAGCCACATGCATTTGCTCGATTCCTTCCAGAAGTGACTCCCACAACCCAATATAGTGCTTCAACTGTGGTCTGATTGGCCTGAGGTTGAATGGGACTAGTGCCTTCCTTGCCAAAAAAGCCATCTGATTAGTACTGTATCATTTGGGGCAGCTGCAGTACTGCCTCCTCCCCCTTCTCTCCTGAATATGAATTATTGTTAGGTCAGGTTTTTTACATCTTGTATAGGTGCTTTTTTGAACTTAAGATAGGACTTCTCTTTCATTTCTGTCAAAACCTGTTTGTTGAATGGCCCCACAGTCCAGCTTGTCATTAGTGACCCTTGGAATCTTTGTGTGACTTGTAGATCCAATACATGCCTCTGTGCCTTTCATCCTTGTTTATTCATAAATTCAACAAACATTTTTGTTTACTTACTAGATGCATGGCATTGTTCTAGGAACATCCAAATCAATGATAAACACTTTAGGGTGGGACCAGGCTCCCGATCAAGTGAGTGATAGTCTTTTGGCTACCACTCTCAGGACACAGTTATTCAAACACCCAACTTTGCCCACCTCTCCATCCTTTTCGTAAAGATGTCCGTGTTCTCAGAGAGGATTTGCTGAGGTTAAAATATGACCGATGCCTGTAGCATCTCGAGAGCTGCCGTCGGTGCCAGCTTCATGGGCATGTGACCTCTGCAGTTTCACAAGGCCCCATGCTTGGTTTAATGCCCTGTCACCATCTTGAAAACGTAATTTTTGAACAAGGATCCCTGCATTTTCATTTTGTACTGGGCCCCACAAATTATGTAACTGGTCCTGATTCCCATACTGGTAACAGATCTGCAGCTGTAGATGTGATAGGCCTGCCTCTATGCCTTTCATTCTTGCGTATTCATGAATTCAACAAACCCTTTTGTGTACTTACTAGAGGCTTGGCATTGTTCTAGGAACATCCAAATCAATGACATTTTGGGCTGGGGTACAGGCTTGATTATTTTAAGAAAAAGAATCTATGTCTTTATTTCATATATATATATATATATATATATATATATATATATATATGTAAAATAATTATCAAGCAGAGTCCTGTGGATGGACAAATTTAAAAATAAATAAAACAAGCTCCTTTTGCAGTGGCACGTGCTTAATCGTTTTCTTGTTGCTGCTTTTCTTAATAATTTTCTATCAGATACCCATACTTACCAGGGTATGGAACAAGGATTATCATGCTATCTCAGCTAAATACTTCATGTTGGGCTTGTCTCTTCTACTCCCTTGTTTATGCAGCACTCAAGAGTGATCTCTCTTGCCCGATGAAGGTTTTGTCACCTCTCTAGCACGTGTCAGTGGCTGTGAAATACTGTCCAGTCCCTTATCACTTCCAGGGTCCCAGTTCCAGGGACTTGCTTCCACAGAAAGCCAGGTCTACTCAGATGATGTTCAGACAGTTTGGCCGCAGGAGCTGGACTTCTGCTTTTCCTCAGCAATGCAAAATGGACAAACTGCTTTCTTTACTAAGTGCTTTCAAAATATCTTTAATAAAGTGTATGTCAGGGATCAGTCAACTGTATCAGTTTACAATGTCTACGTTAGTCTACTTCCCCATGTTTTGAAAACTAGGCAGACCGTACCAAGGCCTCTGTGTCTTTTATTAACCAGCACCATCTTCCCAAGAGTGACCCTGCCACTGGCTGGCCCCTGTGGCTCTGTGGTGCTGGTAGTGTTCTCACAGCTTCTGCTCCTTAGCTGTCCTTCGGGCCCGGCTCCTTCACAGATGGTCTGCTGGCCAGGGTGCTATGGAGTTGGAATGTCCAGAGCCTCCCCTCGCTGATGCATTCACTGCTTTGGAACCTGCTGGCTTTCCTCTGGAGTACTGAAATAGCTTTACCTGTGTTGTCGGTTCAGGCCTGACCCTGCCCAGCATTACCTCCAGGGTGTCACAGTTCCCTTCTGTCCAGGTACCTTTCAAGCCACATTGCCACATCAATGAAAAGCCTCAAAAACACTTCCATGAGATACAAGATTATCTGCAAGGCAAACGAGGAAGTTTTTAATACCCTATTTGTTGACAGAATGAGGCTTCCAGCAGATGGTGCTTGGAAAGTTACTTCCCCCTCACTGTCATCCCTTGCCCCTGGGCCAGCTTAGGGACCTAACTTAGGAAAGGATCCTCCCCAGCTTCCTTCTGGCTGAGTAGCCTGCCAGGGTCTTAAGCAACAGTGATTCTGTTCCCCTCTCACTCATTTCTTCTGTCCCAGCACAAGTACATGCACCATTCTTTTACCTTCTGGCACATTAATTCATTTCCTAGTTCTTTGAATTAAACCACATCATGAAGGCCCTTTTGTGGAAAAAGAGAACAGTTTCTCTGTATTTTTCCAAAGAGCAGATTAAGGACCAGTGAATAAGGTGAGAAACTAGTCCACTGTGTATTAGAACGAGGGAGGGCTGAGTCATAAGAGCAAGGGCATGACAGAGTGGGGCACACCCTCCTTGTCACCGGAAGACCCCAGCAGGAGTTGAGTGGTTGTATGTCTGGAAGGCAGTGGGTGGGATTCACACAGCCCAAGCTCTCAGGCACTATAGCTTGGGTATTTACCTGCTTCAGTCTCTTTACCAAATGTTGTCCTATCTTAATGGCTGGCTTTATTGGAACATTTAGATTTTTTCCTGTATTTAAACTGAAGAAGGGGTAAGAAGAATCTAAGCGGGGAGTTTTGCTTTTCTGAATGCAAATAGTCCGGCCCTGGATGGAGGGATAACATTTGAGAGTAGTAGTTCTCAGCCCTATGTACATTAGAATCACATTAACGTGGAAGTGGGATGGGTTTAAAAATACCCCAGTGATCAGCCCCATGCCAGACCATCAGCATAAAAACAAAAACAAAAAACACTGCTCCGAATGTTGAGAACCACTGTTTTAGAGAGCTCCCTGTACGTGGAGGTTTTCAAGTTGAAGGCAGATGATGGCTGAGATGTTGGAGAGGGGATTCTTGAAGAGTCCTTCCAAATCTCAGATTCTCTGACTCTCCATAGAGTTGTTATTATTAGAGCAATGAAATATGATTCTCTGGACCATGATACCTTCAAAAGAACACGTGCAAGCTGAATTCTGCTTTGAAATATAACTTACTTTAATTGGACTTTCTTCCTATAATAATTAGATGATATGCAGAAACACACACACACACACACACACACACACACACACACACAATCTTACAGTTCTTCAGAGACGTTTGTTTTCAGCATCCTGCACTCAGGATATCACTGAAACTGTTAGTGTTCCTGTGCTTTGGATGCTTAGAAAGCACATCCTCTATTTGTTATCAGGGTGATTACAAATTATGTTTCCTACAGTATGAGAAATTGATTATCCATTTCTCCTGATTAGGCAGCAGATGGATTTTTGTTTGTCGTAGGATGTGACCGAGGGAAGATACTCTTTGTCTCAGAGTCTGTCTTCAAGATCCTCAACTACAGCCAGGTATTGTTCATGCTCCTGTTGATGGTGGGCAGCCTCACAGCAGTCAGAAGTGTCACTCAATTTTGTCAGAATAATTATAGTATACAAGTCACATGTGAACTTCTTCCAGAAAATTCTTAACTTCTTAACAGATAAATTAATTTAGACTTAGAACAATCTTGTAATATGTTCCGTATTCCCCCCATTGAAAGATCTGACTCTGATCTGATCGATAGCATTATGGCTTTCTTCTATTGCTGCAAAATAAATATCCCACAATATGTGGCAAGGACAGAGGGTAAGAGGCTATCTGACAAGGGAGAAAGGTAGGCAGGTTAACACAATACCAGAGAATACGTCACTTGGAAATCCACTCCATACTGTGTTTGCAGTGCTGTGTCACTTCTTAGCTCTATTGAACCTCAGTTTACTCTAAAAATTAATGATAACTTATAGGATCAAATAAGAGTAACATTTATAAACGCTTCTAGAACAGAACTTTTCACCTATTATGTCCCCCAGAGTTTTTATTCATTTATTCATTCACTCACACACTGGTATTTGCATGGAAGCTTGGTAGGCAGAAGACTTGAAGAATCAAAATGACATTTATGTAAATTAGAATTAATGTAAATTTAATTTTTCCAAAGATTTCTGCTCTTTTTAGTCTCAGAGCAAAGTTATGGAGGAAGTTGCTGTTATCTCTGTTAATAGACAAGGTGACTGAAGCATATGATATGCGTGACTTGCTTGAGAACAGAGAGGCTGAACAGCAGAGCTGGAATCAGAGCCCACCCCTATCTTCTGCCTTCTGAGGTCTTACAGGGGAATTCCAAGATTGTTGCCTTAGAAGAGCATAAACTGTTTATATAATTGAGGGTTTTCCCGTCATGTTATCAAAACCAACCTCCAGATGCCTCCTTCCTGGTGTCAGGCAAAGTGGTTGGACATATGTACAGGTTCACATAGGAAAAGTTTGAGGTCTCATGCACAAAAACACAAAGGCAACATGCAGACTGTGCATGCTTACTTGTTGCATAATTGATTTTCTGCATGCAATTGACTTGTCATGTTTAACATTTCATCTCCCCAGAATGATCTGATTGGTCAGAGTTTGTTTGACTACCTGCATCCTAAAGATATTGCCAAAGTCAAGGAGCAGCTCTCCTCCTCTGACACCGCACCCCGGGAGCGGCTCATAGATGCAAAAAGTGAGTACCAGAGAGGCCTCGCATTTCCTCAGCAGCCCACTCACAGGCAGCCAACCCTGAGTGAGCAGAGGGCGGGTGTGTGTGATGGGCTCAGCCTTTCCAGTCCTACTTCTCTGTCCTCTTTCTGGGGCACCAGAGCTATCTTTGGCTAAATGGAATTATTTATGTTCTTTGGTCTTTTACATAAAAAGAAGAAAAAAATCTCAATGTCCAAATTTATTGAAAAGAAGAGCTATTTAGACTGGATTCTTTCTGATTTTTAGACTTTTCTTTTTTCTTTCAGAATCTAGAAAATCCCAGTTGTATGCTCCTGAGTTTAAAGGGCTAAGTTTGATTTGTTCTCCCAGAACAAATGGGCTCTATTTACCTGAATTGCACACAGGCAGCCTCATAAAAGTAAGAAAACGTCAACTATAAATATGGTGTTTCTTCAACCAAAGTGTTCCTCCTTAGGTTGGCTCCCCCACCTGGCTTTCTTCTTTTGCAGTAGTGGAACCACCATCCACATCGCTCCCTCTGCCCCCAGCTTCCTGCTACTGCACACACTTCTGTGCAAGGCCCCAGTAGCTGTCATCTACTTTAGTCCTGTGGGAGGCTGTACACTCCTACAGTTAAGAATGAGAGAATGAGGACTCTGGCTGGGCGCAGTGGCTCACATCTGTAATCCCAGCACTTCGGGAGGCTGAGGCAGGTGGATCTCTTGAGGTCAGGGGTTTGCAACCAACCTGGCCAACATGGCAAAACCCCGTCTCTACTAATAATACAAAAATTAGACAGGTGTGGTGGTGCGTGCCTGTAATCCAAGCTACTTGGGAGGCTGAGGCAGGAGAGTTTCTTGAATCCAGGAGGTGGGGGTTGCAGTAAGCTGAGATTGTACCACTGACTGCACTCCAGCCTGGGTAACAGAGCAAGACTCTGTCTCAGAAAAAAAAAAAAAAAAAAAAAGAATGAGAACACAAGGGAGATTACTGGGCTCATTCCGGCTCCACCATTCACTAGCTGTGTGACCTTGAGCAAGTTACTTAACCTCTCTCTGTCTCAGTTTTCTCATTTATGGAAGAGTACCTATTTCTTTGGGTTGTTGTGAGGATTGAAAGTGTTAATGTATATAAAGCAGGCAGAACAGTTCCTAGCACATAGTAAGAACAGTATCAGTGTGGCCTAATGTCTTGCTCCCAAGCTGTCCACGTTAATCCCTGGAAAAAAATACCACCAGATAATCTCCTTCAAGTCATCTCTTTCATTACAGCACACCGCTTGTTCCTAAAAGTAAAATGCAGACTTTGGTATCTGTTGTTCTTTATAGTCTAGCCTTGGCTTTTTTAAGTGACCTTAGGAGAAAAATATGAATGGCATTTGGGCCTTGCCTTTGAGGCTCTTAGCATATAGTCAGAGAAATGAGACAGACAGCACCCTGCATAGTAATAGGTACAGCCATAGAAATAGTGCCAGGCATAGAGAACGGATGATTAATTCTCATGTGGGCGCAAGGACAGGCATCACTGAGTAGATGACAACCGAGGTGGGTTTGAAAAGATGAATTAATGTTTGCCAGGTAATGAAGGGAGGAACAAAGAGGAAACAATCTGTGCACAGGTGCAGGGGTGTGGAGCCACATGGCTTGCTTGGTGCTATTGGACAAAACGTGCACGGAGGGGAAGGGCTGAACCATGAAGACCATTTGTTCTGTGGGGACACAGTGAAGAGCTCTGAGTTGGGTGGGGCAGGCTCGGATTGGCATTCTAGGGGAGATCGCAGAGCTGGCAATGTGGGAGGTAGATGGGATGGGAGGAAGCCCAGAAGGAGCCCTGGGCAGTGGCCATTCCTCGGCACACTTGCTCGTGTGATGGCCATGGGTGTGTTTTCCCTCGGCTTCTGTACTGACACCTAGCCAGTGTTTGGTAAGGAGGTGTGCTCCTCAGAATCACCTGGGAGCTTTTCAACATAGTCATGCTCCACCCCCAGAGATTCTAATTTGGTTTTTCCAGACAGCACAGTCCAATAAAAACATAATGCAAACCACAAACATGAGCCACATATATAATTTCATATTTTCTGGTAGCCAGACTTTAAAAAATAAAAATAAATGTAAAATTAACTCCAAAATATTTCAGCATGTAATAATTATAAACAACTAATAAGTTCGTTCACATTCTTTTATTTTTCTATACTGTCTTTGAAATCCTGTGTGTATTTAACACTTACAGCACATTTCAATTCAGAAAAGCCACATTTCAAGTGCTCAGTACCTGCATGCAGCTAGTGGCTAATGCATTGGACAGCACAGATCTAGAATGGGGTCCAGGAATCTGTAGGTTGATCATGCATCCAGGGTATTCTGGCCTACAAGCCAGGTTGAGAACTTAAGGCAGTCCGGCTCCCACCTTGCCTTCCCAATATCCATATCCTACCCATCCTTCAGTGCCAGCCCAAGTTCCTTCTCCTCTGGGAAGCACAGGTTGTCTTTGCCATTTATTTGGCACTAATCATACATCACCCTGTCCTATTATTAATCTTTTCTTGGTGCACCTCCATTTGCCCTTTGTTAGCCATAAGCGTCTATTGGGCAAGAACCCCATACTATATTTCTTTTCATCCCCAGAGTACCTAATCCATTTATTTAGTAGCACACTCTGTGATTTATAAACATTTCCAGACTGACAACACACCTGTCCATGCTGCATCTGTTAAAGCCTAAACTTGGGAGATATTTATCTCATGTCATCATTATAAAACAGTGAGGCAGGCAAGAAAAGGCTTTGCTCAAGGTCACACTCCCCCTCCTGACAGACAACACTGCTCTCAGTTTATCACATTTTGTGTATTGATTTGCAGCTGGACTTCCAGTTAAAACAGATATAACCCCTGGGCCATCTCGATTATGTTCTGGAGCACGACGTTCTTTCTTCTGTAGGATGAAGTGTAACAGGCCTTCAGTAAAGGTTGAAGACAAGGACTTCCCCTCTACCTGCTCAAAGAAAAAAGGTAACAATTTAACAGTCCATTAAAACCCTGTGACAGGTGAAGCATGCTTTCTGCAGCGGAGCTCTCAGCTGGGCGTTGGTTCCATGGTTTCTGGCTGGCCAGAGTGGCAGGTCCCAGGACTGCAGACAGGACCCTGCAGTCCTCCCTATGTGTAGGGCAGTTGGGAGCAGAGGAGAGAGCTGAAAAGCCTGATGGCAGAGATTTGTGGAGAGGCCTCCTCTGTTTAAATTGTGTTTCTTTTAACATGATTGAGGAAGAATACTCTCAGCCACAATCCTAACTGCCTTATGAACAGCCACCAGTCCACCAAAATTACTCTGAGCTCACCAGTGACCTTGATGTTGTTAAATGCGATGAACATTTTTCCTTTGTCTTCCTTCTTGAAGTGTTCTCTTCTCCTGGATTCCATGAAACCACATTCTTCTTCCTCCTCCCCGACCCCCTGCTGCTACAGGCTCTCTTGCTGGCCCCTTTGCTGGCTGCCCCTCTCTGTCCTGGGCTGCATCTCTGTCTGCAGTCTCTCTCTGTTGGTCATGTCATCTACTCCCTCAGCTTTAAATGCCAACAACTTCCACATTCATATTTCCAGCCTAGACTTGTCTTTTGAACTCCAGATTCATAAATATACTGCTTACTAAATCAACCTGCTTTGGATATCTCAGGGGAGTCTCCAACAGGATACGTGCCGAAGTAATCACCTGAGCCTCTCCTCCAGCATAAATGGCACTGCCATTCAGCTGGCTGCTCATGCTAGAAGCCGGGGAGGTGCCCTCACTTCTGCTTCACCACCCCACTCTTCAATCCCGTTAGTTATGAAGTCCTGCCACAATGAGTCCCATCTGCAAAAGTTCTCTGAAATGTTTGTCCCTTTCCATGCTGCCTACTTTCACTCAGCTCCAGGCTGCCCCCAACTCTCACCAGGTCTCATAAAGTGTAGACCCACATGCTCCCCACCCCCAACACAGCAGCCAGGATGATCTTTTTATCAGTCCCCTTTTAAAAACCCTTCAGTGTTCCCTATTGTTCTTGAAGAAAAGCTCAAAATATTTAACGTGACCATGCAGCCCCCGACCCTGCCACTAAGCACATGTGAGCCATGTTGACTTCCTTTGATGCCTCAAGCCCCTTCTGGGCAATGCTTCTGCACATGCTGTCGCTTCCTGGTTGGAATTTCTTCCCTCTCCCCATGAACTCCCTTCACATGGCTCTCTCCAACCTCAGACTGCCTTATGTCTTATAGCACCCTACTGGTTTGCTTTCTAGTGCTTTCTTATACTTGCTGTTATATAGTTATTTGTGCGATTATTTGTTTAAAGTCTGTCTCCCCCACTAGGCTGTAAACTCCACAAGGGCATGTCTGATTTGTTTTTCACTCTATTCCAGTAACCAGCACAGACTCCACGCTTGGCAGACACTCCATAGTGGTTTGCTTGTTGGTGAAGTCTATAGGTGCTCCACATTTAATGTGTCCCAAATCGAACTATCTTTTTTCTCTCTCTCTCTTCTAGTCTGTTTTCTTTCTTCTCTGAGTCAGTGAATGACACCAGCAACCACCCAATCCAGAAAAGTTAGAGTCATCTTCATTTGTTTCTTTCCCTTAAGCCTGATATTCACAGCAAATCCCAACAGTTTGATCTCAGAAATTTCTCCTGCTTTCTTTCTCTGCTCCCTCTCATCTTCACTGCACTGCCATAGTTCAGTCCTCCTAATCTCTTGCTGTATTATAGCCACTGGCCCCTGAATCAGCCTTCCTACTTCTGTTTTCTACTGTCTTCCAGTTCATACGTCACTCTGCTCCTACAGCATCCAAACCACAATTTGATTTTGCTGTTTCTGCACTTAAATACCTGTAGATGCTCTCCATTTCCTGCCTTAAAAAGACAGACCAACATTGGTTAGAAAGTAATCCAAGGCCCTTTTAATCTTCCTCCAACCTGCCTTTCCAATTTGCCCCTCACTCCCAGTACCTCCAATTTCACTTCAACCACACAGAGCTCTTGGCCAGTTCCTATATAGGCTGTGCCTCTGTGCCTGTGTACGTCATCAGCCTTTATACATTCTAGTCCCTCAGCCACTGCTCATCCTTCTTGATCCACCTCCTCTACTGGTTTTTTGGGGGAGCCTTCCTCTCCCTAGGAAGAGTTAGATATTCCTTCCTTGGTGTATGTAATGAATGTCCATGGTATAACTGGCCCTACTTAAGCATTCTGACACTGGATGACAGTTTGTTTCTCTTTCCGTCTGCCCCTTTCATTAGATGCTTACTTCTGGAGAGTGAAGCCTTGATTTTTTTTTATTTTTTGACTCCCTACCTACATCCCATCCCACCATCGGCCGTGTACACCTCCATGGCCCAAACCTAGTGCTGACACTAACCACGAACTTTGCTTTCTAGCAGATCGAAAAAGCTTCTGCACAATCCACAGCACAGGCTATTTGAAAAGCTGGCCACCCACAAAGATGGGGCTGGATGAAGACAACGAACCAGACAATGAGGGGTGTAACCTCAGCTGCCTCGTCGCAATTGGACGACTGCATTCTCATGTAGTTCCACAACCAGTGAACGGGGAAATCAGGGTGAAATCTATGGAATATGTTTCTCGGCACGCGATAGATGGAAAGTTTGTTTTTGTAGACCAGAGGTAAGAGTCTACATACTACCCTTGAGCAATGATGGTAGAGGATTTTCAACCCTGATCTAAAAAGCAGAGAAGACTGGGCCATCAGCTGGCTTTTCTAAGAATGAAGAAAGAAAGAAAAAGCTGGGTGCAGTGGCTCACACCTCAAATCCCAGCACTTTTTGAGGCCAAGGTGGGTGGATCACTTGAGCCCAGGAGTTTGAGACTAGCCTGGGCAACGTGGCAAAACCCTGTCTCAACTAAAAATACAAAAATTAGCCAGGCATGGTGACACATACCTGTAGTCCCATCTACTCTGGAGGCTGAAGCAGGAGGATCAGCTGAGCCTCGGGAGGTCAAGGCTGCAGTGAGCTGTGATTGCACCACTGCACTTCCGCCTGGGCAACAGAGTGAGACCCTGTTTCAAAAAAAAAGAGACAAATGATGAGAGTCTCTGTTAAAAAATGAGATTCAATAGGATATCATCATAAATACAGAGATTTTTCTGTCATTCTTTGGCATATAGAGACAATTAAGTGGGGTGCCTTGATGTCCATGGCTAAAAGAAAAACAGTAGGGATAGCATGCTGTCTGAATCTATGGAATGTTCCAGAACCATTATTGTGATTGAAATTCTTTTGAATCTAGGACTTGGAAGCAATTATTTAGTCCTGAGCTGTCCAATAAAATACTCGTTGGCCATGGTAGCCTCCCATGTGGCTAACGGCACAGACATAGAACATTTCCATCATCACAGAAAGTCTTGTTGGACAGCGTTGATCTAATCCAACCTCCTTATTTTATGGATGAAGAACAGAGGCCAGCCTGGGGACTGGTCTCCTGTAGGATTCACAATTAATTGGTAATAGACCTGGACCAAGGACCCAGGTGTCCCAAATTTACTGCTGCCTACTGCTTTCCCTCAGAATATGCACAGGCTAATAATTTTTCTGGCTACTAGAGACAGCCACAACATGCTGGAAAAAGAGACAGCCTCAGCTGTCTTGTGGCCTCAGCTGCTGCAGCTTCTGGCATTTGGTTGTCCTGATAAAAAGGAGGCAGCAAAAACTAGAAGCCTTGCACTGAGGTTTAGATTTATACCACATTTTAATCTAATTAATGTGGTTCCTTTTTTAAAGACAGATCTCAGTCTGTCACCCAGGCTAGATCTAGTGCAGTGGCGAGATCTTGGCTTACTGTAGCCTTGACCTCCCGGGCTCAAGCAGTCCTCCCACCTCAGCCTCCCAGGTAGCTGTGACCATAGGCATGTGCCACCATACCCAGCTCATTGTTCTGTGTTTTTGGTAAAGACAGGGTTTCACCATGTTGCCCAAGCTAATCTTGAATTCCTGAGCTCAGACAATCTGCCCAACTCGGCCTCCCAAAGTGCTGGGATGACAGGCATGAACCACCATGCCCGACTGGTTGCAATTTTTAAAGCCCCCTCAGATTTGATTTCTTGTGATAATAGTCCCTTTACAAAGGCTTTGCTCTGTTTCCCTCTATTTTTATAGCCTTGATTAAATTCAGATGCCTGAAAAAAAGAGAGAAAGATCCACACAGTGAGCCCTCTGAAAATCCATCCAGCTCTTTTGCCTGCAGCTTTGACCTTGCTCTCATAGGCTGTAGCAGGGTTTATCCATTGCAAAGTTGCAATTAATCATCTGAATGGCTTTTTCTTCTTTAAATATTCCTTTATTCCCTTTTAGGGCAACAGCTATTTTGGCATATTTACCACAAGAACTTCTAGGCACATCGTGTTATGAATATTTTCACCAAGATGACATAGGACATCTTGCAGAATGTCATAGGCAAGGTAAGCTAGGATGTATGAAAGATCTTAAGTTGAAAGTGTCCCCTTGCTTCTAGACTAGTCAACATGACCTTCCAGGGAAATCTGTCCACTGAGGATGTAGAGTCAGCCAGCCTAGGACTCTTCAGGTCAGAACATCTGTGTGAAGAGGAAGCTGATACCTGCAGGCACTGTTTATCCCCCTTGTAGTTGCCCTGTGCTGACTGCATGGCAGTTTCTGAAAGACATCTCTTGTTCAGAGGGTTTTCCCAGACCCTGTAAAGATTTAGTATGGCCCAGACTGATCTGATTCTCTTTTCCATTCAAGCCTGCACTACCTCCTGTGTTTTCTGTCTTGACTAATGCTGTGGCTTCATGTGCAGGCTCCTGAGAGAGACCAACATTGACCCCTTCTTTCACTGTGTCTCCACCAGATCCTGTTCATTCACCTCAGACATGCATTTCCAAAAGTCTACTTTTTACCACCTCTGCCATCACCCTGGTTCAGGCCCTCGTGCCTACTTAGAGACCTGTGATAGACTTCTCAGGGTTTCTCTGATCCCTCTCACCCCCAGTTCATCTTCCATAGTTATCCTATTTATCCCCAGATAGATTGAGCCTGGTAACATCAGCCTGCTTAAAAACCTCCTGCTTTAGACTCAAGCCCAAATGCTTTTGACAGGCAATCAAATGTGAGACCTTCCACCTTCTGGCCCCAGCCCACCTCCTCAGTTTCAGTCCCCATCCCTGCCTGCAGAGGCCTGTGCTCCAGGCACACTGACCTCACTGGCCTCTCCCCAACCAGACCCTGCTGCTCCTCAGGCACTGCTGGGTTCTTCCCTCCCTCCTTCTCTTGGCAAACTCGTGTTCATCCCTCAAGGCTCTGATCTCTTCTCCCTGTATAGCCTTCCCTCACTACTCTTCTTGAGGGCAGGAGTCATAGCCTGTCTCCTCTTGTATCTCCAGTGCCTGGCACATGAGAAGGGCTCATTACATGTTACATGAAAGAATGAGGTTGAATAGGTGAGTAGCCTCTGTTGATTTGGATGTTCTTAGAAATGAGATAAGTTCTATATTGCCCTTGGGCTTTGTGATTGAGATAAAGCATGACATTTTGGACAGTGCCTTCTCATTTGCTGGTGGTCATGTTAGAGCTGATTCCAGTTAGATGTATAACATGCAGTCAGTAATTCCCTAGAGCCTCAATTTTACAGACTATGGAAAATCATGACAGCTTCACAAATGAATTGAAAGGCTCTGAGTTAGACCCTCAGAAACAACCTATTTCCTGAGTGTTGACCACTGCAGTTTCCTTGGCTTACTAAAGAGCGATGTCGTTGGAGCTCAAGTACCTTTAATATTTTGTATTGGATGTCCTGTTTAATACTTTGGTCTGAGAAAACAACAATGTCCATGTTTTCTTTACATTTTCAGTTTTACAGACGAGAGAAAAAATTACAACTAATTGCTATAAATTTAAAATCAAAGATGGTTCTTTTATCACACTACGGAGTCGATGGTTCAGTTTCATGAACCCTTGGACCAAGGAAGTAGAATATATTGTCTCAACTAACACTGTTGTTTTGTAAGTACTTTTCCTATATCTGAAGCTCCCCTTGCTTCAAACAGATGCCTAGGGTTCCTCATCTGGGAAATGGGGTGCAGGCAACATCCAGTATCACATCCTTTAATGCCATCTTGCTAATACCTGTGAAGCCTCAGGACTGGCAGAAGCTAGAAAGGATTGTTAACAAAGGGACAAGCTTCAGGACTTGTACCATGCAGGCCCTGGCTTATGAAACTGCTCCAGGAAATAGCAACATTTCCTTCCAGATAAAGCAGCTAACCTTTGAATTCCACAGGCCCTGCACCCTAGGCATCCACTTGTGCTGCTGTGGAGGAAGGGGTTGGCAATCTATGAAAGGCTCATTCAGGCACTAGCTCACACTGGCCTTGGCTGAGGATGGGGAGGTCTCCATACCTGTCAGGCAGGGGGCCCAAGCACTGGCAGCTGGAATGCCATCTCAAAAGGCTGCTACCTGCTAGATGAGCAGAGGGAGGTGAAGGAGCCTCTCTTTGGCCAGGCCTGCTCCCCACTTTTCCTTCCCCATAGTGTCCAAAACCCCACCTATGGTAAGAGCTGTGTGAGGGGCCGGGGCTAGGTGCACTGCAGGCTGGCAGGAGGAGGTGCTGTAATGATGGCAGTAGGTTACTGCAGCCACCACCTCTGCTGAACTGTGTCCCACACATATTAGGAAGGCCTAGGCAGGCAGTGGGGCCAAAGGCCAGGATGCTATCCATTATATTATCAAACAGTGAGACCTGTTTACCCACTCAGACAGACACTTCATTTTCTGGCCTGTCCAGGTCCAGAGTGGACACCGGACACCTTGGCCAAGTTGAATGGTGCACAGTTCTGAGCAGGCCTGACTCACGTTTCCTTATTGCTGGGATGTTCACAGAGCCAACGTCCTGGAAGGCGGGGACCCAACCTTCCCACAGCTCACAGCATCCCCCCACAGCATGGACAGCATGCTGCCCTCTGGAGAAGGTAACTATGTGCTGCTGGGGCCCTGGGGCTTGCCCGTGGGAAGGTGCTTGTGGTCAAATATCCTCCCCTAAAGTATTCAGGGTCCCCTCCATTCATATTCTGTGGAACAAGGGAGGCCTCGAGGGGATGATGTGCGGATTTCCCCATGAATGCAGAGGACACTGTCATGTCACTTTCTCTGTTGAGCCGGAATACTAGGAGCTCACTGCTGCACTTCCCAAAGCTGCTGGCCCCTGGAAGCCCTTGAGCTCGCAAACTCCCTACTCCCCTTGTGCTTTCCTCCTGTGTTGGCTAGTGGCCATGATGTGAAGTGCTCTTTCGTGACTGTCACTAACTCCTGTGGTTGGCAGGCAGGTGTCTTTCGGCACCAGGGTGTGTACCATACCCACTGGGCTCCCTTCTCAGGCTCAGCCTTGGCCCTGCCCCTGCTGTCCACGCTGGACTCATCCTTCCTGGGACCATCCCCACATGCATGGCTGCAGCCCCCATCGATGACTCCCACATCCACATCTCCTGGCCCAGTCTCTCTCCCGAGCTCCAGATCTGTCTCTCCAAATGCCTCATAGACAGAACCACCTGGAGTCTCAGAGGCACCTGAAATTCAGAATATCCCAAGCTGATTTTCTGCACTCCCCTACCTGATTGGTTGTTTAAGCCAGAAACCTGGCTGTTGTCTCTCCCCCATTATATCTAAACACGGAGTCCTGAACCTTCTATCTCTTAAACTTCGTCACCACTATTGCTATTTCACCCTCCTCATCTGCTGCCTGGATTATTGCAAATCACTTCGCAACTCTAGTCCCCCTCTCCCCACCCCATCCTCCATTGTAGTTCATTCTCCCTGCCGTGGACTTTCTAATAACCCAGTTCTCATTTGTGCCTTTTCTGTGTATCGTCCTTTGGTACTCCTCATTCCCTTGTGGAAACTGTCCAAATTCGTTAGTACGGCATCCAAGAGGCCCCTCATGATCGGATTGGTACCTGCTGCCCCAGTTTCATCTATCATGCTCTCATCATCATTTATGATGAATTCCTTGGAGGAGTCTCCCAAGTTTTAACCTGCCTCAGTGCTCCTGCACGTGTTGGTTGCTGTGCCTGGAATGCTTTCTCCTCCTTACCTCTCTGCCAAGCTAATTCATATTCATCTCTCAAGACTCAGCTCGGGGTTAACTTGCTCCAGAAGCTGCACCTGGCCCCAGATGAGTTGGTTGCCTCGTGCTTGCCTGTCAAACTTACAACATTTTGCTTTAGCCATTGTTCATCTTGTTGGTTTTCCTGTTAAACTGTGAGCTCCTTGAGGGCAGGGACTTGTCTCTGTAACCCTGGCACATACAGTGGTCTTCAATAAACGTTTTTTTTCAGTGCATGAAGGGAAAGAATTAGATGCTGTATGAAGGGAAAAAACTGGCCTCAGATCCTAGAAGGAAACTTGAGCCTTTCCCTGCTGGAATGCCTTTTCCTGACAAGCTGTAGCCCTAAAGTCCCTCAAGGCACAACTCTGATGTTGAACTGCAAATGGATCATGGGATAAACTGGTTTTACTTTAATACATAATAGTATTTCTTCCTCAGTTTTCCCCTTTCCTACTCTCAGATTCCTTTGTTGTAGGTGGCCCAAAGAGGACCCACCCCACTGTTCCAGGGATTCCAGGGGGAACCCGGGCTGGGGCAGGAAAAATAGGCCGAATGATTGCTGAGGAAATCATGGAAATCCACAGGCAAGTAACACCTTCTAGTTCCTCTGTTAAACCAGTGGTTCTCAACCCAGGGAAATTTTTTCCCCCAGGCAATATTTTGCAATGTCAGGAGACATTTTTGGTCTTCACAACTGGGTGGGAGGTTGCTACTTAAACATCCTGTGGATAGAGACCAGGGATGCTGCTTGTTAAACATCCTACAGTAAACAGGACAGTTCCCTCCTCCCCACCCAACAAAGAATTATCCAATCCAAAATGTTAGTAGTGCCTAGATTAAGAAATCCTGCCTTAAATAAAGAAGCTAAACCAAAATAGCCCAGCGCTAAAGAGAATTCTTGAGAAGACTTAACTTTCTTATGGCTCAAGGAGCTTCTCAGTGCGGATAGATGTACCTTTACTTTACAGGAATGCAGGAGTAGAGCTGTGAACTATCAGAGTGATCTGGACCTTAACAAAACATTCACTTTTTTTCAATCAAAGAGCTGCCCAGGATTAGTACTAGAAACCAAGCAGATCAGCTAGTTATTACTAGCTGTCTTGGGAGAGACTTCCTTTCCATATGAAAGAGAAGGAGCTTAGAAGCAGTCCACCTGGGTCTGAGTCCTGGGCCTGTCTCTCTACCTGGCTATGCTGAGACTTACTTAACCTCTTGCTCTCTGTTGATTTAAACCATAAAAAGAAAGCACTATTTCCCAAGAATTGTGTTAGGATTGTGAGGGCACTCAGGAAAGTTCCAGGAACACAGCCTGACATATAGTGAGTGCTTAAAAATTAATTAAATCTGTCTTTAAGAGCAGTCGAGAGGGAAGCAGTTATCATAAGTCTGTCCAAATTTGGGGAATAGAGAAGGTGGTAACCAGATTCTTCAGAACGAAACTTAATGTAACATAAGAAAAGGAAGAAAACACTGCTGCCGCTGGATTCTCTCAGGAGAATTAGAGGCTGGCCTGTTTTCCAATTGGCCATAAAGGGGCTGTTATCCCCCTATAGGTAACACAGCTCTTTTCCAACCCCACAGGATTAGTGGGTGTGACTTCTGCATCAGGAAGGAGACATGAGGGTAGTGTGCAGTGTAATCAGGTTCAAACCCTATACTTTGCATTTGCATACCCTGTATTTTGCTTGAGACCATCCAAGAACAGTATCAAACAGTCCTTGACCTCAAGAATTTTAAAATCTTTTATAAGTCTATTTTCTTTATGATAACAGGAAAAAGGGAGGGTGCATGGGCCAAAGCAAGCAAAAGAGGAAAGATTTGAACTTGGCCTTAGCCAGGGTTTGCAATAAGAGTGGATGTTCCCTCTAGAAAAGCCAGGGCTATTCTTGAGTGGGCATGTGAGTGGCAAATTCAGGGTCAAGAAACAAGCTACCTAACTGGGCAGGCTTTGTGTAGGAAGGAGACACAGAGCTATGATAGGCGATTAAGAAACACAAGAAATGATACTGTGCAGTTTGGAAGAAACCTGTAAGACCCCATTTGTTGTAGGATGCTGAACAAGCATCCAAAGTCTTGTGTTACGCTTTGTGGAAGTTGCATTGGAATAGGGAGAGATGAAGGTGGGCATGTTTGACAACTCAGGAATGAGGCCTTATCCTACAGAGATGACACTGCCAAAAGAGAAATCAATCATCTAAGGTCTAGCGTTTGAAGATGAAATCAGGAATGATGAAACAGCAATTCCAAGATGAGAAACCTGGGAAAATAGTGGTTTCATAGACATAAGTAGAGAAAGGTGGGGGACACTCAGCAATTTTTCCGTAAGCAATTAGCAGCCGTTTGTGCATGCTGAGAATACATGATATGTAGTTGTAAACTGCCGTTAAGAAGCTTCTAATCCAGAAAGAAAACTTGTTCACTCATAAATCTAGAGAACTAGGCAGTACAAGAACCAAAAGACTTCTGGGTGGTGGAGGAGTGGTCTCTGGGTCACCCAAAAGCTACATTCATCCATGTAGGAGCTGAGAGTCCTGTGGTTACACAACTGCCATCACACTCTCCCTAAACTGTAGCTGCAATGCCAAGTGATGGATTCTTTCCTGAGGTCCTTCAGCCTGACAAGTATTTAGGTGGATTTACAGTTCTAAGTCTTCCCTTCTATAAATCTTCTGAGAGATATGCTAGATAAGAAAGGCCTGGACCCATTTTTCATCAACCACTGCCTTCGAAGGCTGCTTTTCCTGTCACTACTACTAGGCTACCTTTTAGACCCTGGTGCCGTCCATGTCCTAAGAGTATTCACTAGCTAAACAGTGTTTGTGGAGAAGGGGACAAATTGTTTTCTGTGGATCAAAGATGGAGGTTGATCTTAGAAGTTCTCCTCCAATTCACCTGGATTCTGTGAGGAAATAAAACTGGCCACTTACTTGAAATTCACCAACTGAATGCAAACTCCAATCCAAGGGCTTTGTCAGTGAGATGCTTGACTCTAGGGACTGCATTCTAGATCAGGTGCCTGTAGAACAAATCCAGCTTGTCATCTGTTTTTGTAAATAAAGTTTTATTGGAACACAGCCACACCGATTCGTATCTGTGGCTGCTTTCAAGCTGCAGAGGCAGAGTTGAGCATTTGTGACAAGACACCATATGGCCTAGAGAGCCTACTATCTGGCCCCTTACAGAAAAAGCTTGCCAAACCCTAATCTAGATCTTCATCCCCTTTCTCACCTTTACCCCTTAACAAAGCACATACACTCCACTGAAAAAAGAAAAGGCAGTGTAATTCTCTTTTCTGACAGGATAAGAGGGTCATCGCCTTCTAGCTGTGGCTCCAGCCCATTGAACATCACGAGTACGCCTCCCCCTGATGCCTCTTCTCCAGGAGGCAAGAAGGTAAGACTGATGATTCTTAGCCTAAGCTAGAGAACCTCTTGCCCAAGATCTGAAATGTTGGGGGTGGGAGTATGGAATTGCAACTGCGATTGCTGAAACAATTTGGACTACTTCCTCCTTGAAGTAAATGCATCTGTGTGAGGCTGGATACAAAGCATACTGGTAGGGCTAGGGAGGCTTGCTGACATCCTCAGAGGCTTTCTTCCATGTGAGTGGAAGAAGGGAGAAAGAATAAGGAATGGGGAACTGTCAGTTCATTTAATTGAGGGAGCAATTCAAGAGTTCCCATGAGGGAAAGATTATTGAGTACCTCACATAGAAAAGTTTCTCATTTTCTGCCAGGAATTTTCAAGGGAGAAAATATTAGTGTCTAGGGCAGGCAATGGAAACAGCAATGCCACCAGCAGTGCTTTGGAAATCAAGCCATGCTTTATAGCTGCAGAATACTTGGGGATCTGCTGCCTGGGGGTTCCATTGGTGTGACAGCATTGGATCCAAGCAGTGGATCAATCACCAGCCCTCATGAAGAGCTTGCTATAAGACTACACTATAAATAGGTTTAGGAACCAGTCATTTGTTTTCATCTTTGCTGGAGAACTTATAAGCCTAGGCCCATCTTAATCGTAAATTATAAATCTGTTTATATTGCCTGATGCCAGTAGAGCTTAGGACAGTTTAAAGGCCATCATTTTGGACACAATGGCTTCCTTTCCCCATCTCCTAAAACAGAGAGAGAGAATATCAGGAATTTCCATAGGCAGGACTCCTAGGGCACAAACCATCAAAAGCAGGGCAAGGATTTTCAAAACTGAGCTCCTCGGAGGTTTGTTCAGGTTACCAAGAGCTGTGGTGTTACCAGGTGGGATGGGCGTGGGGATAGTTGCTAAGGAGAGAGGGTAAGAGTAGAAATCCTGCTTCTACAAGGGCAGCAATACTTCTTTTTTATACAGGAATCTTCTGCAAACATTTCTATTTGAAAAAGCGTTTTGCTCCCCCCAAAAAAGGTTGAAAGTTAACAAATTAATGGGTAAGACTACAAAGTAAGACCTGGGTTCGAAGCTTGGCCTTGCCATGTGCTAGTTATGTGAACTTGTACAACTTTCAAGCCCTAGTTTTCTTTATAATGGAGCTAATAATGGTTAGGGTAGCCAGCATCTTTGCACGAGGTCCTACTGTGAGATAATATATGTGAAAGTGCTTGGCCCAAAATACCACTGACAGATGAAGTCTGAGCTTGGTGTCCCGTGACCCCCGCCCCCCTGCCCACAACACACACACTGCTTGCCAGCTGTCTTCTTAGCTGTTCTTCTGTTATACCTCCAGGTCCTTCCTGCATATTGGATCCACCATCTTCTTAGGGTGGTCTTCCAGTCTCTGCTTCTTAAGTTAACTTTTAGGCACTTGACTTGACTCCTGGTATTACCAAGGATTCTACTTCTTGGTTTTGAAAGGTTATCAGTCCAGTATAGGCTTAAATATTACTCAAAGAACTTTCATATACATTGTCTCATCTCACCTTCACAACATTATAGTGACAAGATCCAGGCTCCTCAGCGTTCGTTTTATAAGTATGGCCCCCAGGCTACAATCCTGGGCTCATGGCTTCCAATTCTTTTCACATCAACAACTACCAGAAATCAAAAGCTGTGCTCTGCATCATAAAGCCCCAGCTATTTTTGAGGCACTTATGAAAATTCTCCCTTTTCTTTGAGAAGAATGGATTATAAAATGGATCTGTGAGAAGAAATTTGGATGTGTTCTCACGAGATGAGTCCTGGGCAGCAGGACTTATAAGAAAAGCAGCTTAAACAAGACAGTTAAAACTGACAGCAGTATTAAATGGTGCACCATACCCAGCCCTTTCCAGTCACTTTCAAATTTGGAAGGTCCAAAAATGAACCATTTAGCCTGCAGTTGTTTGTCAGGATCAAGCTAAAAAGGAAGCCTAAGTGAGCCTCCATAGGTCGCAAGAGAGTACAGACATCCAGAAGCACTAAGGAAAATTCAGATAAAGCAGCAGTTCTACAAATGTCATCTGCAGTCTTTTTCCAGAAAGAGAGGGGGCACAAGATCCTTTTAAGGGTCTGCAAGGTTAAAGCTATTTTCTTAATAACATTAAAACGTTAATTTTTTCCCTGTATTGATAATGTGCACTATTCATACTAAAAGCACGGTTGGGTAAAATTGCTGGCATTTTACAAAAATCAGACAAGTGGCACCAAACTATACTAGTAGTCATTGTATTCTTCACCACCACACACTCACAGTAAAAAAATAGTTTAAAGCCAGTTTCATTTAAGATTGTCCATCATGGCTAGGTGCAGTGGCTCACCCCTGTAATCTCAGCACTCTGGGAAGCTGAGGCAGGCAAACTGCTTGAGTCCAGCAGTTCCAGGCAAGTCTGGGCAACATAGAGAAATCCCATCTCTACTAAAAAATACAAAAAAAATTATCCAGGTGTGGTGGTGTACCTGTAATCCCAGCTACTCCGGGGACTGAGGTGGGAGAATCACCTGAGCCCAGGAGGTTGAGGCTGCAGTGAGCTGAGATTGTGCCACTGTACTCCAGCCTGGGCAACCAGAGTGAGACCCTATCAAGGAGGGAAGGAGGAAAGGAAGGAAGGGAGTGAGGGAGGGAGGGAAAATGTCCATCATTACTTTTATAAAATTCTCAAGCACACATCTTTTTAATGCTCTGTGACAAAATGAGAAGTACACAGAACTTGTGCTGCATACCAAAGTATGATGTTTGTCTCAAAAACTACTTGTGTGATTAAGTTGTGAGTTGAACTAGCTACTATTTTCATTGGACACCATTTTTATTGTATATGGTCATTCGGTTTTGGGTATTTAGAATACTTTTTTTTTGGAAATGAATGAAGTGAACCTGTCACTTTAAGGAAAATGACTGACATTTGTTGCCAATGATAAAATCTGAGCTTTCAAGCAAAAATTGGAATTTTTAGAAAACTTGTCTCTGCTACTTTGACCTTGAGATCTTCCTAAAACTTAAAAAATGTTGTTGATGAGATAGGGAGTATTAATAATAGTGATATTTTGATGCTCTATAATGAAATGTGTCAATATATAGAAGATCTGCATAACTCAGTGAACCAATATTTTGTAACTAAACAATGCAAGGTATTTCAAAATCATGTAAGGGTAAAAGATCCATCCTAAGTGCCAAGATATAAAGAGTACAAAACATTCATTGATATGGTTTCAGATTCCACATTGCAACTCACCTTTAAGAAACTTCTACGTGTCAAGTTTTGAAGTGGTATCAAAAAAGAATACAATTATTTGAAAAGTCTATTAAAATATGCCTCCCTTTTCCAACTACTTATCTGTGGGAGGTTGGATTTCCTTCATATACTTGAATCACAAGACGTATCTAAATAGACTGAATGGAAAAACATATATGAGAATCCAGTTGAAAATTATTAAGCCAGACATTAGATTTGCAAAAATGTAAGATAATACTCTGCCTGGTAATTTTTTGTTACTGTTTTAGAAAATAGTTATTTTTCATTAAAATACTATTCATTATTTATGTTAACATGTAGCGGGTTTATTACATTTAAGAAATCTATTAGTTTTAATTTCAAATACAGTAAATATTGATAAATACAGCCTACATAAGCAAAAGTTCTTTGGAGTCCTCAATGATTTTTTTAAGAGTGTAAAAGGGTCCCTAGACCAAAACGTTGCTGTGGAAATAAAGTAAGTTATAATGCCACCTGCTGGCAAAGCCTGAAATCATTGCTGCTCCTGAAAGCAGCAGCTACCAAACTGTTTCCTCACGTATATCCAGATAGGTCTCAAAGAATGCTCTTCTTTGAGACTCAGCCAGGGGAAGGCAGCTGGGGTGAGTGGGGGAGATTTTGAGACAGAGTTCTCTTACTGAGTAGTAGTAATAATCCTCCCCAGTAGCCTGTCTTAACTTAAACCACAGGTTACTGAAGTTGGCACCTGTAGTATAAGAGATTTACTTCTGTTTTCTTCATTTGACTCCTTGAGCTGTGTCTCTTCACAGCTTGTTAACTCCACTTTTTCTTCTTCAGAAATATCTGTCACTATAAGATGTTTTATTCCCTTATAGGGGAAACGTCTAGCTGGGCTCATTGAAGTTTAGGCATTGGTCCTAAAGAAATATGTGGGCATCATGATTCCAGGCAGTTGAATGCTCTTGGGATTTTATTCAGCCTTTAAGTTGCCTCTGTGGGCTCACTAAAATGGAGAGAAAAGAATAGTTCGGGGGAGAGGTTTTTTCTTACTCTGACCATGTCTGTCTAACAGTTCCTTGTTTGAAATCATCCAATAGAAAACTGAAGCCATTTGAAGCTTCTCCCCACCCCACCCCATGCTTCATTTTCCTTTTGGCATTGCTCATAATACTGATTCAAACTTCACACTTCCCTCCTTTTGTTTGTAGATTTTAAATGGAGGGACTCCAGACATTCCTTCCAGTGGCCTACTATCAGGCCAGGCTCAGGAGAACCCAGGTTATCCATATTCTGATAGTTCTTCTATTCTTGGTAAGTGGCATCATTATTCGTTTCCATTGCAATGAGCTTGCAAAACATCTTACATAAAGTCAATTTTAAGAACTGAACTGTGTGAAACAAGCTAATCCTAGATAAATTTGATAGGAACAGAATAAAAGTTTAAAATTTGTTTAAATCTCTAAAAAGTTGACCAGTATTTGAGTTTTGGTGGAGGTCCAAGTTTGTGCCTGGAACTCAAGAGGAGGCTACAGCTACCTAGACATAGGCTTTCTCCCATGTGGGGCATAATCTCTTCAGAGAGAGAAGGCTAATGAAGGTTCAGAGATAATGCCTAGAAGGGTGATTAGTAAGCATATCAGAAGGTATTAAAAGTCATTAAGTGAAAAGAGTTTGCTTTTCCCATCACATCCATCTTTTTCTCCCCTGGGCTTTCTAGATCTGTTTTTTTCCTAAACTCTCCCTTCCTATTTGCCTTTCTTTTTGTAACTCCTCTTAACTGGTTACATCAGATTATTAAAATAAGCTTGACTCAAATATTTTTAACATTTACTAAATTTTAAGCGCTTTGTACTTATTTCTAAAATGATCATTTGATTCCTTAGAGCTGTCTCTTCACAACGTAACCCCACTTATTTCTTACGTATTTTTAAAAAATTGGTTCTTTCCTCTAAAAAACAGCGATATAAAAAAAGATAGCCATGCAGCCCAAAAAGCAGCATCTCACCCTACCATTAAATGTAACTTTCTTATTAAAAATGTGCTTAGGAATTGCTTACTTAATCTGAAGATGCTTTAAAAAAGAAATCACTGACCAGTCTTTATCTCCTCCCACAGGTGAGAACCCCCACATAGGTATAGACATGATTGACAACGACCAAGGATCAAGTAGTCCCAGTAATGATGAGGCAGCAATGGCTGTCATCATGAGCCTCTTGGAAGCAGATGCTGGACTGGGTGGCCCTGTTGACTTTAGTGACTTGCCATGGCCGCTGTAAACACTACATGTTGCTTTGGCAACAGCTATAGTATCAAAGTGCATTACTGGTGGAGTTTTACAGTCTGTGAAGCTTACTGGATAAGGAGAGAATAGCTTTTATGTACTGACTTCATAAAAGCCATCTCAGAGCCATTGATACAAGTCAATCTTACTATATGTAACTTCAGACAAAGTGGAACTAAGCCTGCTCCAGTGTTTCCTCATCATTGATTATTGGGCTAGCTGTGGATAGCTTGCATTAATTGTATATTTTGGATTCTGTTTGTGTTGAATTTTTTAATCATTGTGCACAGAAGCATCATTGGTAGCTTTTATATGCAAATGGTCATTTCAGATGTATGGTGTTTTTACACTACAAAGAAGTCCCCCATGTGGATATTTCTTATACTAATTGTATCATAAAGCCGTTTATTCTTCCTTGTAAGAATCCTTTACTATAAATATGGGTTAAAGTATAATGTACTAGACAGTTAAATATTTTTAATAAATGTTTCCCTTGTTCTATAAATACTGTTCACATTTCAAATAATTAGAAAAAAAATCCTACGTGTTGCAGGGCTGGATTATAAGTTTCTACAGTGGGTGTTCAAGGATGATCTACGCCAGTAGCATTTGTGGTGCTTTTCTGGCCTTCATAACGATTCTGGGCTTGCATAATTTCCCCATGCTACTAGCTTAGCTGTGTTGTTAAAATAGTTCATTTATAAATTGTTGCAATTTTAATTTATGTGAGAACAAAGATGTTACTGCTTATCCACAAACATCGAATCCTCTGAAATTATAAATTCAAGATTATATTTAACAAATTGGCTTCTCTAATGCTGCACCTCTCTAATACTACTTCAGTTATATAGTAAGTGACCCCAGTCCTAAAGCACCTAAATATTTGATCCCTTCTTGAATTGGACCACAGAATATTTAGAATAGCATTTGCATAAATAATTTGCTAAGCAAAGTAGCATGGTATAATGGAAAAAGCACTGAACTAGTATGAGAAACTGGCTCTGAAACTTAGGGTGACTATATGACCTAGTAAAGTCATTTTGCCCTTCATATCAAGTTGGACTAGAAAATACTCTTTTCAGCTCTAATAAATATTGTTTTGATTTATAGTACATTTTATAATTAGGGAATTTAAATGCCTCATCACACATATAGTAAAAGTTCCTTGAGCTACTATTTCTAATAATACTTACACCACCGAGATGGGAAATTATGAGACTAAAAATCTGGTCAATGTGGTTATAAATTTGGTCAGAAACATTAAAACAATGGAATTTTATTTTGATGAAAAACTCAAGTTTACAATCATTTAGTAAATGAAGAGCAAACACTTCATTTTCCTATCCCATAACTCTTAAGAAAAAAAAAGCATTAGTAAATAAATATCTGTGAACAGATTAAGGGTAAGGCAGACTGGATAATAAACCACCTCTGACATTCACACTCCCTGCATGTGACTCACTCTAAAGGGTGAAATGGCTCTGGAGATAACTGAACTGGTAAGATATGGGCATTAAATCTCATCCTGATCATTCAGATAAGCCCAAGATAAATACTTTTTGCTCATCAAGGGCAGCAAACTATACAAATTGTACTGGAGGAATACTTTGACAGAAGCACTTAAATTATATTGTGCATCACAACTATAAAATGGCTTGAACATTTCCATTTAACCACCATTTATAAAGTGCAACTATATATTACTCTGCATTTTATCTGAGGTGTGATGAATATCAGTCCAAACTGAAAGTACCCCAGCTGCCAATTTCCACCACTTCTGAAAAGACCTAGCTGTGTGAAAAAGGACCATCCCCCATACAAAGAACCAATTTCACAAACCTACTGGTAAACAAATACATTTACAACTGGAACTTCAAAATGCTAGAGTTGTACTCATTTAAAAAAAAACCATTCAGCTACCTTTGGTCTTTAAAAAAGCCTACACTGCAATATCCTAAACATTGTTATGTGCATCTCACAATGAAGAAGAGTGGCCTTGCAGTGCAGAATGAGGAGAGTACAACGTCACTGTGAAGAGTAGCATGCTATGGTTTCAAGGAAGATCAGCATCACAGCATTGGATTCTGTGCATCAGGATCGAGGTCACTGTTGCCAGAAGGGGGATGGATAGGGAGAATATCCAGCTCATCCACTTGTGGAGTTGGATGCATGACTACCAGCTGGTCCTGGGGAATGTCTGCTGCAGCTGCTGCAAGATTGGTGATAGATTTACTCTTTACACACTGAAAGTCTACATGCCGACTCTTTCCTTCTTCCTTCTCCCAGGACATTCGAATAAAGGGTCTTTGGACATAGTTGTAGATCACTTCTGGGCGGCCTCCAGGCCTTTTCTTTACTTTTTCTTTGTAGGTAGGATAACCTGAAAGAAAGAAAGATTTTAAAAACTGAGGAGACACACACAGACCTCTCACCCAATTTCGCCTTAGAAAGCTTTTCTGCTATAGATCCTAAAGAAACAAATTTAAAACAAAGAAGTGAAAACAATATTCCATCCACCTACTCATCAGTTCATGAGCCAGACATGAAAACCCTACTGATGTAATTCATAAAATCTTCTATCATTCTTTCAATTACTCAATATATCAACCATCAAAAAAACATTATTAAAGTAGGAGTATGTTGGAGCAGATCTTGGTCTCTAGCTATGTATCCTTTTTTTTTTTTGACATGGAGTCTCACTTTGTCACCCAGGCTGGAGTGCCATGTGTGACCTTGGTTTACTGCAACCTCTGCTTCCCAGGTTCAAGCAATTCTCCCACCTCAGTCTCCAGAGTAGCGCGGATTACAGGCATGTGCCACCATGCCCGGCTAATTTTTGTGTTTTTAGTAGAGGGGGGGTTTCACCACGTTGCCCAGGCTGGTCTCGAACTCCTGACCTCAAGTGATCTGCCTCGGCCTCCCAAATTGCTGGGATTACAGGCGCAAGCCACCATGCCGGCCTCTAGCTACGTATCCTTATATTCTCGTCACAGGATTACCCGGCCTACAGGCCTGGAATTTAGCCACATTAGCCTGCTAGTTTCCTTAAACCTACATCTCGTCTTTATATTGCTCTGAGTTTTTTCTTTTCTTTTTGTTAAATGAAAAAGCTGTACAGCTGTCCAGGTGGTTCTAGATACTTCTGCATCTAGATCAGCAAGGCCAATATTTTAACCTCCCATATCATTTTAACATTACTACTCCCAACAACCAAGCATTCAATTTACAGTCACATTCCCGAAGCAGCGTTCCCTGATTAATAGTACCTAATATTACCTTCCTCTTTTGGAACATAGTCACTTAAAAGTAAGGACAACCCTAGATTTGAAAAAAAAAATTAGTTATTTACTAGTAAGGCCACTTCTCCAAAGATCAACTGTCCTTAAGAAACTATTATAGACCCCTTCCCTCCTTTCTTCTAGTAAGAATTAACTAGTTTGGGATTGGCAAACATTTTCTGTAAAGGTCCAGAGTAAATACTTCAGGCTTGTAGGCCACATGGTTTCTACTAGAGCTACTTTTCACTCTGCCACTGTAAAGTGAAATCAGCCACAGAGAATACGTAAATGAATGAGCACGTGTATGTTTTTCTTTTTTTTTTTTGGAGATAGAGTCTCTGTCACCCAGGCTGGAATGCAGTGGTGCTGTCTCGGCTCACTGCAACTTCTGTCTTCCGGGTTCAAGAGATTCTCCTGCCTCAGCCTCTCGAGTAGCTGGGACTACAGGCGCCTGCCACCACACCTGGCTAATTTTTGTATTGTTGGTAGAGATGGGGTTTCACCATGTTGGCCAGGATGATCTCAAACTCCCGACCTCCAGTGATCCTCGGCTTCCCATAGTGCTGGGATTACAGGTGTGAGCCACTGCGCCCAGCCACATGTGTATGTTTCAATAAAACTTTATAAAAAAGAGGCAATGAGCTGATTTTGGCCCATAGGCCAAAGTTAGACCATAGTTAGAATCAGAAAAAATAGAATGGTCTCACATAGTAGGGGATCAATTAATGATTACTGCATAAGGGAATGCATGTAGGCATCATTGGTAGCTAGTACAAATAGCCATGTGTGGAGTATGTGTGTATGTGGTGGGGGTGAGATAGGTGCAGCAGGTGAACAAAACTGAAAATCTAAAAACCTGTAGAATGTCTTCATTTCATACTTTTGGTCAATTACCTCTGAAGGCAGCACCAGAAATCAGAAAGGTCTCCATCTCCATTCCCTTGTCCTTGATTCCTCCTGGACTATTAGAAAGACTTTAAAATTCCCATCTCCTTGTATTCTGTCCCCACACAAAATAACCACTCCAGACAAATGTAATCATATTACAATCCTTGCTTAAAAACTACCAATGGTTTCCTCGTGCTTAATTGGAAGGTCTGTACTCCTCAGAATATTATACAAGGCTTTTTTTACAGCCTGGTTCCATATCTACTTACTGTCATCTACTATCATGCTACACTCTAACTCTAGAGTTCTTAAATACACCTGCCATATTAAGCTTTCCCCAAACATGCTTTTACACAAATTGTTCTGCTGCCTCTTCCCTCTCAGCCTCCTGATCCCTGCGCTCCACCTTCTTTTATCCCTGGCAAAAACATTAAGACTCTCCACACAGTTAATCATTCACTTCTTATGCTCCATAGCACTCCCATATGTTAACAATACTTAACAGAACTAAACTGTAACTAAACTGTAATTACCTTTTTGTATGTCTGACTCTCTGACCTAAATAATGAGTTCCTATATGGCTTTGACTTTATGAACAATTTGTTGGTGTATCCTCAGTGCCTAGCATAGTACCTGATACACTGCAGGTGCTAAACAAATATTTGAACAAAGAGTGAATGAACTACCAGGATATGCCAGTTATAAGTAATAACCTCTTCCAATATCCATCTTACTCAACATTTTTTCCTTTAAAAATAAAGTAAAATCAGCCCTTTGGGAGGCCAAGGCAGGCGGATCATGAGGTCAAGAGATCGAGTCCATCCTGACCAACATGGTGAAACCCCATCTCTACTAAAAATACAAAAATTAGCTGGGTGTGGTGGCGTGCGCCTGTAGTCCCAGCTACTCGGGAGGCTGAGACAGGAGAATCACTTGAACCCAGGAGGCGGAGGCTGCAGTGAGCTGAGGTTGCGCCACCGCATTCCAGCCTGGTGACAGAGCGAGACCCTGTCAGATAGATGGATAAATAGATAGACAGAAGACAGACAGACAGACAGACAGGGCAAGCCTGCCCCTGACTTGCAGATTTACCAACCTATTCAGTCAACAGTTAATGGTTTAGCAGCTACTGCATCACAAAATTGTAATGCCAGATCACTACCTTAAGGTGTTTATGGTCTATTGAGAGTCATTAAATTGTTCATAAAGTCAAAGAATATTCCAAAGAGCAAATATACGTACATAAGAGAAAGTGTTAAAGCAATAGTGGAAGCGTAAAGAATTCAGAAGATGAATGAGATTCTAATGGACTAAAATAGAAAAAGCTTCTTGAATGCCTTCCTTAATCTTCATGGATGAGCAAGATTGGGATGGGCAGAAACAAGGGGAGTGCAAGGTAGGCAGACAGAGTATCATTCTAAGGAGAGAATGGCATCAGGTAAGCTAGAGAGGCAGGAACACAGAAGATGGTTTAGGAGACCCTAACACATGTATGACTGGAGCAGAAAGTGTACTGGGAAATAGCTGGAGGTAACATTAGAAGACAGATTATGGTCAAATGGAGGACAGCCATGAGTAAATTCTACTCTTTAATAAAGAGTAAATTATACTCTTTATTAAAAGAGAAGCTCAGATTTTTTTTTTTAGCTTAGTTTGTTCAAATCTTGCAGAGAACAAAATTTTGTATGCAGTTCCAGAAACATGGAATTGGGAAATGAGAGGTTCTGTATATAGGTGAACTTTCAGTGATAAGAGCCAGTCCTACTACTGTCTTGCCATTCCTGCCCAGGATGCAGAGGGTAGAATAATTCACAATCCCATCCAATTAAAGACTTCATTACTTTGCCTCGCATTTCCTATATTCTATGGGAACTGTAATTCCACAATTATTTTAGAGTTTGTTGTCTTAAACTTCAGGTTCTGTTCTAAGTCTCAGCCAATTACTCTGACAGAAGAGAGCTTTCTACTGAGTTCAGGACAAGGACTAATGATGGGAGTTAAGGCCACATCCAATATGGTCTGCTCGATGGGGTAGCAGTAGTCCTAAACTGCCTTAAGAACCCAACCCTAGGAGGTTGAGAGATGTTGTTCCATTAAGGGATAAGTGAAACAAACAAAATGAAAAACCCCAAAGAAGTGCCTTTTGGTGGAATTGTGGTGTGGAGAATGATTTAGGTAAGAATTATTTGTGCTTTCCCACAACACATTTGTGTTTAACAACAGCAATAAACCCAAAAAGCCTGCTTAAAAGTAAGTAGAAGAGGCCTTAGGTAGGCCTGACTATAGCAATCTCTCAATATGAATATGGGACCACAGAGCTAAAATTATTTTTTGAATACTTCCGGCCTTATATTTCACCTTTTCTCACATATCCAAGTTCTCTCTGGTCCTCCTCATGTCTCTTATACACCAACCCAATCTAGCTCCCATAAAAGTCAACACATTTAATATTCTAATAAACTCTTTTTAAGGGACTTGGGATTGGTATGGCAGGGGCATAGAAATGGTGGGGGAGGATAGTAACAAAATGGCTAACTCGGAAATCTCAATTTTTTTTCTGTAATTCCAGGAAAGTCTCAACACTTCTGCTGGGGTTATGACTATTCTACTTATTTTTTCAAGAGGTAAAAGTAATAGACTTGAAAAGAAAATACGGCTATTGGTGTACATATTAGTGGAGAAAGAAAAGAGTGCTTCAGTACATAGAAGCAGTTATTGAAAAAAAGAACAGAAGAGCCTGGTTAGTTACCGTCCTGCCAAAGTCAAGCCCAATATCATAGATTGTAGTACACAGGCAACTAATATTGGCTATTTAAGTGGAAATTTTTTTAATTTTAAATTTTTAATTTTTAAAATTTCTACTTAAAATAATATTTCAAAACCACTCACAGACTCAAATCACACAGACTTGGATTCAAGACCTGGCTCTGCTATTTATTCCCCAAAAAACTTTAATAAGTATTTAACCTTTTAAGCTTTAGCTTCTTTCTCTTAAAAACAGAGATAATGATAGCTAACCAAATAACCTCACTAGGTAGAGGAAAGCTGTTTTACAAAATACCAGCTGATAAATGTAAAAGGAATGATAAATGAGAAAATTATCATTTTGCAATCCTTAATGAAATTACAAATTCAGGCAAAAATTATCAACTAGAATTTAAAATTTTTAGGTAATGATTAGCGGGGAGCTGAACATTCTTAGTGTCAAAATAATACCGCACAAAGGAGCATCTTAATCTTATAATGGAGAGATGAGGTTGTCACCCACAGATATGGTTTGGCTCTGTGTTCCCATCCAAATCTCATTACAAACTGTAATCCCAACGTGTCAGGAGAGGGGCCTGGTGGGAGGTGTTTGAATCATGGCGGCAGTTTCTACCATGCTGTTCTTGTGATAGTGAGTGCTCATGAGATCTGACGGTTTAAAAGTATGTGGCAGTTCCTTCACTCTCTCCTGCCACCATGTGAAGAAGGTCCTTGCTTCCTCTTTGCCTTCTGCCATGATTGTAAGTTTCCTGAGGCCTCCCAGTCATGCTTCCTGTTAAGCCTGCGGAATTGTGCACCAAATAAACCTCTTTGCTTCTTCATAAAAGACCCACTTTCAGGTAGTTCTTTTTATTTTTTTATTATTATTATACTTTAAGTTTTAGGGTACACGTGCACAACGTGCAGGTTTATTACATATTTATACATGTGCCATGTTGGTGTGCTGCACCCATTAACTCGTCATTTAGCATTAGCTATATCTCCTAATGCTATCCCTCCGCCCTCCCCCAACCCCACAACAGTCCCGTGTGTGATGTTGCCCTTCCTGTGTCCATGTGTTCTCATTGTTCAATTCCCACCTATGAGTGAGACCATGCGGTGTTTGGCTTTGTCCTTGCGATAGTTTGCTGAGAATGATGGTTTCCAGCCTCATCCGTGTCCCTACAAAGGACATGAACTCATCATTTTTTATGGCTGCATAGTATTCCATGGTGTGTATGTGCCACATTTTCTTAATCCAGTCTATCATTGTTGGACATTTGGGTTGGTTCCAAGTCTGTGCTATTGTGAATAGTGCCGCAATAAACATACGTGTGCATGTGTCTTTATAGCAGCATGATTTATAGTCCTTTGGGTATATACCCAGTAACGGGATGGCTGGGTCAAATGGTATTTCTAGTTCTAGATCCATGAGGAATCGCCACACCAACTTCCACAATGGTTGAACTAGTTTACAGTCCCACCAACAGTGTAAAAGTGTTCCTATTTCTCCACATCCTCTCCAGCACCTGTTGTTTCCTGACTTTTTAATGATTGCCATTCTAACTGGTGTGAGATGGTATCTCATTGTGGTTTTGATTTGCATTTCTCTGATGGCCAGTGATGATGAGCTTTTTTTCATGTGTTTTTTGGCTGCATAAATGTCTTCCTTTGAGAAGTGTCTGTTCATATCCTTTGCCCACTTTTTGATGGGGTTGTTTTTTTCTTGTAAATTTGTTTGAGTTCATTGTAGATTCTGGATATTAGCCCTTTGTCAGATGAGTAGGTTGCAAAAATTTTCTCCCATCCTGTAGGTTGCCTGTTCACTCTGATGGTGGTTTCTTTTGCTGTGCAGAAGCTCTTTAGTTTAATTGATCCAATTTGTCAATTTTGGCTTTTGTTGCCATTGCTTTTGGTGTTTTAGACATGAAGTCCTTGCCCATGCCTATGTCCTGATTGGTATTGCCTAGGTTTTCTTCTAGGGTTTTTATGGTTTTAGGTCTAACATGTAAGTCTTTAATCCATCTTGAATTAATTTTTGTATAAGGTGTAAGGAAGGGATCCAGTTTCAGCTTTCTACATATGGCTAGCCAGTTTTCCCAGCACCATCTATTAAATAGGGAATCCTTTCGCCATTGCTTGTTTTTGTCAGGTTTGTCAAAGATCAGATAGTTGTAGATATGCGGCGTTATTTCTGAGGGCTCTGTTCTGTTCCATTGGTCTGTATCTCTGTTTTGGTACCAGTACCATGCTGTTTTTGTTACTGCAGCCTTGTAGTATAGTTTGAAGTCAGGTAGCGTGATGCCTCCAGCTTTGTTCTTTTGGCTTAGGATTGACTTGGCAATGCGGGCTCTTTTTTGGTTCCATATGAACTTTAAAGTAGTTTTTTCCAATTCTGTGAAGAAAGTCATTGGTAGCTTGATGGGGATGGCATTGAATCTGTAAATTACCTTGAGCAGTATGGCCATTTTCACGATATTGATTCTTCCTACCCATGAGCATGGAATGTTCTTCCATTTGTTTGTATCCTCTTTTATTTCACTGAGCAGTGGTTTGTAGTTCTCCTTGAAGAGGTCCTTCACATCCCTTGTAAGTTGGATTCCTAGGTATTTTACTCTCTTTGAAGCAATTGTGAATGGGAGTTCACTCATGATTTGGCTCTCTGTTTGTCTGTTATTGGTGTATAAGAATGCTTGTTGAGTTTTGCACATTGATTTTGTATCCTGAGACTTTGCTGAAGTTGCTTATCAGCTTAAGGAGATTTTGGGCTGAGACAATGGGGTTTTCTAGATATACAATCATGTCATCTGCAAACAGGGACAATTTGGCTTCCTCTTTTCCTAACTGAATACCCTTTATTTCCTTCTCCTGCTTAACTGCCCTGGCCAGAACTTCCAACACTATGGTGAATAGTTGTGGTGAGAGAGGGCATCCCTTTCTTGTGCCAGTTTTCAAAGGGAATGCTTCCAGTTTTTGCCCATTCAGTATGATACTGGCTGTGGGTTTGTCATAGATAGCTCTTATTATTTTGAGATACGTTCCATCAATATCTAATTTATTGAGAGTTTTTAGCATGAAGTGTTGTTGAATTTTATCAAAGGCCTTTTCTGCATCTATTGAGATAATCATGTGTTTTTTGTCTTTGGTTCTGTTTATATGCTGGATTACGTTTATTGATTTTTGCATGTGGAACCAGCCTTGCATCCCAGGGATGAAGCCCACTTGATCATGGTGGATAAGCTTTTTGATGTGTTGCTGGATTCGGTTTGCCAGAATTTTATTGAGGAGTTTTGCATCAATGTTCATCAGGGATATTGGTCTAAAATTCTCTTTTCTGGTTGTGTCTCTGCCAGGCTTTGGTATCAGGATGATGCTGGCCTCATAAAATGAGTTAGGAAAGATTCCATCTTTTTCTATTGATTGGAATAGTTTCAGAAGGAATGGTACCAGCTCCTCCTTGTACCTCTGGTAGAATTTGTCTGTGAATCCATCTGGTCATGGACTTTTTTTAGTTGGTAAGCTATTAATTATTGCCTCAATTTCAGAGCCTGTTATTGGTCTATTCAGAGATTCAACTTCTTCCTGGTTTAGTCTTGGGAGAGTGTATGTGTCCAGGAATTTATCCATTTCTTTTAGATTTTCTAGTTTATTTGCATAGAGGTGTTTATAGTATTCTCTGATGGTAGTTTGTATTTCTGTGGGATTGGTGGTGATATCCCTTTTAACATTTTTTATTGCGTCTATTTGATTCTTCTCTCTTTTCTTCTTTGTTTGTCTTGCTAGCAGTCTATCAATTTTGTTGATCCTTTCAAAAAACCAGCTCCTGGATTCATTGATTTTTTGAAGGGTTTTTTGTGTCTCTATCTCCTTCAATTCTGCTCTGATCTTAGTTATTTCTTGCCTTCTGCCAGCTTTTGAATGTGTTTGCTCTTGCTTCTCTAGTTCTTTTAATTGTGATGTTAGGGTGTCAATTTTAGATCTTTCCTGCTTTCTCTTGTGGGCATTTAGTGCTATAAATTTCCCTCTACACACTGCTTTGAATGTGTCCCAGAGATTCTGGTATGTTGTGTCTTTTTTCTCATTGGTTTCAAAGTACAGCTTTATGTCTGCCTTCATTTCGTTATGTACCCAGTAGTCATTCAGGAGAAGGTTGTTCAGTTTCCATGTAGTTGAGTGGTTTTGAGTGAGTTTCTTAATCCTGAGTTCTAGTTGGATTGCACTGTGGTCTAAGAGACAGTTTGTTATAATTTCTGTTCTTTTACATTTGCTGAGGAGTGCTTTACTTCCAACTATGTGGTCAATTTTGGAATAGGTGTGGTGTGGTGCTGAAAAGAATGTATATTCTGTTGATTTGGGGTGGGGAATTCTGTAGATGTCTATTAGGTCTGCTTGGTGCAGAGCTGAGTTCAATTCCTGGATATCCTTGTTAACTTTCTGTCTCATTGATCTGTCTAATGTTGACAGTGGGGTGTTAAAGTCTCCCATTATTATTGTGTGGGAGTCTAAGTCTCTTTGTAGGTCACTCAGGACTTGCTTTATGAATCTGGGTGCTCCTCTATTGGGTGCATATATATTTAGGATAGTTAGCTCTTCTTGTTGAATTGATCCCTTTACCATTATGTAATGGCCTTCTTTGTCTCTTTTGATCTTTGTTGGTTTAAAGTCTGTTTTATCAGAGACTAGGATTGAAACCCCTGCCTTTTTTTGTTTTCCATTTGCTTGGTAGATCTTCCTCCATCCCTTTATTTTGAGCCTATGTGTGTCTCTGCATGTGAGATGGGTCTCCTGAATACAGCACACTGATGGGTCTTGACTCTTTATCCAATTTGCCAGTCTGTGTCTTTTAATTAGAGCATTTAGCCCATTTACATTTAATGTTAATATTGTTATGTGTGAATTTGATCCTGTCATTATGATGTTAGCTGGTTATTTTGTTCATTAGTTGATGCAGTTTCTTCCTAGCCTTGATGGTGTTTACAATTTGGCATGTTTTTGCAGTGGCTGGTACTGGTTGTTCCTTCCCATATTTAGTGCTTCCTTCAGGAGCTCTTGTAGGGCAGGCCTGGTGGTGACAAAATCTCTCAGCATTTGCTTGTCTGTAAAGGATTTTATTTCTCCTTCACTTATGAAGCTTAGTTTGGCTGGATATGAAATTCTGGGTTGAAAATTCTTTTCTTTAAGAATGTTGAATATTGGCCCCCACTCTCTTCTGGCTTGTAGAGTTTCTGCTGAGAGATCAGCTGTTAGTCTGATGGGCTTCCCTTTGTGGGTTACCCGACCTTTCTCTCTGGCTGCCCTTAACATTTTTTCCTTCATTTCAACTTTGGTGAATCTGACAATTACGTGTCTTGGAGTTAGTTGCTCTTCTCGAGGAGTATCTTTGTGGCGTTCTCTGTATTTCCTGAATTTGAATGTTGGCCTTCCTTGCTAGATTGGGGAAGTTCTCCTGGATAATATCCTGCAGAGTGTTTTCCAACTTGGTTCCATTCTCCCCATCACTTTCAGGTACACCAATGAGACGTAGATTTGGTCTTTTCACATAGTCCCATATTTCTTGGAGGCTTTGTTCGTTTCTTTTTATTCTTTTTTCTCTAAACTTCTCTTCACGCTTCATTTCATTCATTTTGTCTTCCATCGCTGATACCCTTTCTTCCAGTTGATCGCATCGGCTACTGAGGCTTGTGCATTCGTCACGTAGTTCTCGTGCCGTGGCTTTCAGCTCCATCAGGTCCTTTAAGAACTTCTCTGCATTGGTTATTCTAGTTAGCCATTCGTCTAATTTTTTTTCAAAGTTTTTAACTTCTTTGCCATTGGATTGAACTTCCTCCTTTAGCTCGGAGTAGTTTGATCTTCTGAAGCCTTCCTCTCTCAACTCGTCAAAGTCATTCTCCATTCAGCTTTGTTCCGTTGCTGGTGAGGAGCTGCATTCCTTTGGAGGAGGAGAGGCGCTCTGATTTTTAGAGTTTCCGGTTTTGCTGCTCTGTTTTTTCCCCATCTTTGTGGTTTTATCTACCTTTGGTCTTTGATGATGGTGACGTACAGATGGGTTTTTGGTGTGGATGTCCTTTCTGTTTGTTAGTTTTCCTTCTAACAGACAGGACCCTCAGCAGCAGGTCTGTTGGAGTTTACTGGAGGTCCACTCCAGACCCTGTTTACCTTGGTATCAGCAGCAGTGCCTACAGAACAGCAGATATTGGTGAACTGCAAATGCTGCTGCCTGATCGTTCCTCTGGAAGTTTTCTCTCAGAGGAGTACCCGGCCGTGTGAGGTGTCAGTCCGCCCCTACTGGGGGGTGCCTCCCAGTTAGGCTACTCGGGGCTCAGGGACCCACTTCAGGAGGCAGTCTGCCCGTTCTCAGATCTCAAGCTGTGTGCTGGGAGAACCACTACTCTCTTCAAAGCTGTCAGACAGGGACATTTAAGTCTGCAGAGGTTATTGCTGTCTTTTGTTTGTCTGTGCCCTGCCCCCAAAGGGGGAGCCTACAGAGGCAGGCAGGCCTCCTTGAGCTGTGGTGGGCTCCACCCAGTTCGAGCTTCCAGGCCGATTTGTTTACCTACTTAAGTCTGAGCAATGGCGGGTGCCCCTCCCCCAGCCTCGCTGCCACCTTGCAGTTTGATCTCAGACTGCTGTGCTAGCAATGAGCAAGGCTCCGTGGGTGTAGGACCCTCAGAGCCAGGTGTGGGATATAATCTCCTGGTGTGCCGTTTGTGAAGCCCGTTGGAAAAGTGCAGTATTAGGGTGGGAGTGACCCGATTTTCCAGGTGCTGTCTGTCACCCCTTTCTTTGACTAGGAAAGGGAATTCCCTGACCCCTTGTGCTTCCCAGGTGAGGCGATGCCTCGCCCTGCTTCGGCTCACGCACGGTGCGCTGCACCCACTGTCCTGCACCCACTGTCCGGCACTCCCCAGTGAGATGAACCTGGTACCTCAGTTGGAAATGCAGAAATCACCCATTTTCTGCGTCGCTCACGCTGGAAGCTGTAGACTGGAGCTGTTCCTATTCGGCCATCTTGGCTCCACCCCCCAGAGGTAGTTCTTTAAAGCCGTGAGAAAACGGACTAATACACGGACTAAGCCTTTAATCTAACTTACAGTTCACAGAAATTACAGAAGAGAGGGACTAAACTGAAGAACACACCAAGGAAATAATAGGGCAAATCCAGAAGTGGGACCTTCTACAAGACAACTGGCCCAGACTCTTCAATAGGACAATATCATAAATAAGGAACTATTCTAGATTGAGAAATTTGACAAAACAAGCAGTTAGTTGTAAGATGTGGTCCCAGATTGAATGTTGGTTTAGAGAAAACAGCTAAAAGGAAATTTGGGGAGACCACTGAGAAATTTTAATATGGATTGATTCAAATAAAGTATTCTTTAATTTTGTTGGGTATGTTAAAATATTTTTAGAGCTGCATATTAAAATATTTAGGAGTGAAATATTATATATCAGATATATATATATTACATTATATATATATACACACACACATATAATGTACTATTTTAAATGAATTTTATATGAGGTTAATAGTAACTAGTACTTGTTATAGGTCCTTACAATTATATGAAAATTCATTTAAGAGTTATGGCCCAATGCTTTAGAGCACTGCTATTATCTCCCTGTGACAGAGAAAGAAGTCCTCACTTTCAGTAACTAATTTACATATAGCTTTTCCATAAATCATTTATTTACTATTTGAGAACCACCTATACCTAGGAACTAGACCACATGTTAGGTATGCAATATGCAACTTGACTTCTCTCAAGGAGCTCACAGTCTATGACCTGAACAGAGTATTATTTAGCAAATTATTCTAACGAATAATTTCACAGAGGTTCCAAGAAGGTTTCAGAGGATTTAAAGGATGGATAATAGTCGCCATGTAGAGAAAGAGGAAGTAGAGTGGGAAGGAAGTAATTTCTAGTAAATAATATTTGATTATCACAACTATCCTCTTGGGAAGGAAATAATTTCTAATAAATAATATTTGATTATCACAACTATCCTCTAAGATATACAGAGTATTACACTCACTACTAAGATAAAGGAAACTGATGCTCAGAAAGGCTGAGGGACTTACCTTAAGACACTTGGCCAGTATACTCCTTATCATGGCCTATAAGACCCTGCATCTTCTGATCCTACTTTATCTCTTCTACTAACTTTCAGACCAACTATATCTCTTCAAATCTCCTCCTCATTTATTATACCAGACATATGTATGTTTTCTGTACCACAAATATAGTAAGCTCATTCCTACCTCAACACTTTTGCACTTGCTATTTTCTCCGTCTAGAACCATTTTTGTCACCAGGCCTCCCCTTGAATGTCTTCTTCTCAGGAGGCCTTCCCTGTCCTCCCAATCTAAAGTAGCTCCCAGTGCCTTCTCTCTAGCTCTAAGACCAAGTAGCTAAATCTCACTGTTTACAAAGTAATGAACTAGGACACTAGACCAATGCTTCATATATCAGCAATTCCACTGCTTTTTAAGCCCAAAGTCTCTGCCCCTTCCCACACAAAAATCCTGTTTCTGGTTATTCTTCCTATATATCTCAGCAGCCCATTACTATTCTCCAACAGTTCAATCAGGTAGGTCAATGATCAACACTATTATCTTCATTATCACCATCACAAACATATACTGCAAACTTACTATGTACTAGGCAGTGTTTTAAGTGTTTTTCATATATTAATTCATTCTATCCTTACAAAAACCTTATAAAGTACTCATTAATGCTCTCATTTTAGAGGAAAGAAACTGAGGCACAGAATTTTTAAGTGCCTTGGCCAAGGTCACAGGATTTGAACATAAGTCACAGGATTTGAATATAAGTAATCTGGCTCCAAAGCTTTTACTCTTTACATTGTCATGTTATATCAATTAAGACACTTTGTTCCTCTTATGGGTATTTTAAAATAAAAGAGGCATCTGATAAAACATTACAGAAAAATTATTTTAATTCATAAAGTAAGCTATCTAAAACTCTGTGCATTTACATAAGATGAAAGAATATTTCATAATTTGTACTTACCTTGAAAATAAGCTATTATCATACTTTAAGACATAAGTAAGCTACTAGTAGTGCTGCTTTTACATGAATTTTAAGGAAGTAATTTTTAATTCTGTTGGGCTTCAATGATCACTACTATGCAAAAAGCCCTGCCAATCCTATGGGAATGTACATATATTCATGTCCACACACACCACATGGGCTTTGTCAAAAATGAATTAGGGCAAACTAGGGCAGAAAAAGACAAATTCATATCTCTATCACTAGAGAATCTTATGGAATAACAATTTCTAATGGCCTTTTATCTGTCTTCTAAGTGCAGCTGATTTTTGTTATTTATAGGTCTACTGCATAAGCATGTGGTAATCATTTGTCAGAGTTTTTCTCAAAGTATTCCAACTGTATTCTAAATAAGATCCAATTGTTTTTAACCTTTTTGTTTTAAAAAGAAAACTAATAGAAAATAATGAAAATGTCTTACCTTCTATTCCCAATCTAATCTTCTTAAGACCCCTCTCCTTCAAAACTGACTTGGCCACATCTCTGTTTTCAATATACTTGAAAAATCTATATAATTTTGTGCTATAAATAACTAGAAACAAAAAGAAAAATATTATTGTATTAAAATTAAAGGATTTAGAGATGAACTTAAATTTATCTTGCTCATCAAAGGGGCCTAACAGTCCTAAAAGCCCAAATAATGGATGCAGTAATGCCAAAGGATGACTAGCCAACATGACAGGGCAGTATTCAGTATAGTTAATGTAGAAGCAAATGTCTACTTAAGTGGAAACAAGAAAAGCTTTGACAACCAATCAGAAAACCCAATCCATAGGAAGAATCTCCTTCTGAAAGAACATCATCTACACATTTATTGGAATGGGATCTGCCCCAAGTTTCAAATAAGAGAATCCAAAGAAGATATCAATATCGCATCATTATCAAGCAAAGTAAAGGACTTTGCTAAGATGTCTACAAGGCCTAGTCTAGAGGCGGAAAAACTGCCTTGTCAAAGAGTACAAAACAGATACATTTTACATTTCATGGATTGAGCAACTATTAATAATTTCCCAAAAGGCAAAGACCCTCCCCACAAACTGTTTTCCATTCAGGCGAACAGCCCCATTTAATACTGATGTTAAAAATGGCAGATTCGAGCAAGTTCTGCCTAGGTTAGTCTGTTTAGAGCAAACTGGCTTTGCAAAGGACAGACATTCCACTGACAACATGTTGAGTCTTCCAAATGTGCTGAGAACTTCAGGGAGTTAGACTGATGGACATTCCTCGCCTTCTCTCTTTCGGGTTGAGTTATCTCCCTTAAAAGGTGAACTGCAAAGGTTTTTTCAAAAAAAGAAAAACACACTCACAAACCAAACATGCTGGTTTAAGAGCCAAAAAAAAGAAAATACGTATATAAACTCTACTCATGGGGTAAATTTGTGATTATTACTACATCCTTAAGATTTACTGGTATTTGAAGATAAAGATTATTTTAGATCTTAGAAAGGACAATATCTGTCATAAAGTCACATATAGAAAAATCAGGCCGAAAGGCTATCTCTAGCTCCTCAAATGAATCTTCTTTATGTTGGATCATCTTGATACAAAATAATACATATTTAGACCACTAAGTAAAAATGTTTTCAGGCCTTTTAAGCTTTAAGATAAAAAACAAGAAAACAAAAATATTGAAGTGAAAAGTTCAACAATGGAAAAGAAAACACCAGGTTTATTATCATTCCTTTATCACTATAATATCATTTCTATCTTCTATGGTTGACTGTACCTTCTTGGGGTCAAACCTTTTGAAAAGTAAAATGTAAGTTATAAGCTTGTTCACTCCTTTTCCTTAACAGAAAATAATTTAGTATACCTCTTTTATTTTTGACAACCTTTCACTTTTCTTGGGTTTTGTTCAACTTTTTATTCCACATATTATAGAAAACCATTGTCAGCAAAGAGCCTAGAACTGAGGAAATAGCAACAGAAATGTCTATTACTACAACTATCCACAAAGGAATCACAACACTCATTTAAGTACATCATGCAAAAGAAATATCTCAATGCAAACTCTGTAAAGTGCTACCATAACTTGTGTTAAAATAATCTTTCAAAAATCTCCTTCGGAAGTTAAAAAGAATGCCATCTGGAGTCTGCTTTGTTTTGATTTTAGAAAAGCATATGTAAAATGGAAAAATCAGAGATAAGGTGTTTTGGTACTTTCTATATTAAACCCTAATCCTTACCAAGTCAACAGACTATATAGTACAGAAGAAGATGCTAGGCTATTTTATTCAATTCCTTGAGTCATTCTTTTTCAATTCTTCCTTATTTATAAAACTGGTCAGAAATACTAATATTGGGCTCATCAAGAAAAAATAACAAAAAAATAAGAAAAAATGTCAGTGATTGTTGCTCAAGATAGGCCATTTTGGTTAGAAATGCCCAAAAGAACTATAATTCTACAAAGCCTTATGAAGGGTCATTGTATCCTTGATGAACATACATGATATTTTAAAAAAGGGTACCTTACAACTTAAAGTTATCCTCAAAATCAATGAGTTAAAGCTTCCAAATTTACGTAAAAAAACTCATTTTTTAAACAAGCTATTTTCATAAAGGAAGTAGTTCTCCTGAATGCTTTTAAATACAAAGAAAAAAAATCTATCAAGTTCCAGAGAGTCAACAAATAACTAACCATGTGTATATGGCATGGGCGGGGCATATTCTTCTGTACAGGGACATATAATAAATACTTTGGGCATTGCGAGCCATGCAGTTTCTGTTACAACTACTCAACTCTGCCACTGTAGCATGAAAGCAGCCATAGGCAATACATAAAACTTAATTTATAAAAATAGGTGATGGGCTGGATTGACCCCCAGGCTGGTCTATGAGAAGAGCTCTTCTTTACATAAACAAGAAATAATTCGTGATGATTCAGGGGAGAGAAAACATGCCAGAGTACGTACTTTGTGAATATTCTTCTCCCATCTGTGGTGGATATTCTTCATCCCAATCAACCACATCATCATCTGTAAGCACCACTATATGACATTCCCGTTCCCCACTCTGGGCACTAGCTACCATGAGAGGGAGGATCATTTCTTCCAGATAAAATTCAAATTGTCTACGAGCACCATCATTTGATAACTCATGCATTAGGGCACCTGAAATGAAATCCACAAAAATATCTTACCAAAACTTTTCCTAAAAAGAGTTCTTTTAGAAATATAGACTCTTATAACAAGAAAGGCCAGGCAGCCTACATAGGCCCCCTCATTTTACACATCATGAAATAACTTGCCTAATATTACAAAACTAATTTGCAAAGTCAGAATTAAAACCCTATCCCTAGCCTAGCGTATTTTTCACTATACCATATTATCTTCCATCAGTATACACAATATGTCTTAAGGTATATCTTAAAGATACTTTTCAGGTTATCCACATAAACTGAAATAGTTCTTATATTCCATTTCCTGCATGCTCTCCTTCTCCAAAAGTTATAAACAGAATTAATATTTCAGTGCAGGTTGAGAGGTGAGCTGAAAAGGGTCAATAGTCTTTAGAATAATGCAGGCAAAAGATCAAGCAAAATACAACATGATGCAGGAATTCCACAGCAAACTTGATACTAGAAGTGAGAGAGCTGAAAGAGACTTCAACCTCCTTAAGCACAGACATAATGAACAACTTCAATTTCCTAAATGCACAGCCACAAACTCACCTGCACTGCTTTTTTCTTTTATTTCTATTTAATGGCAATGTCCTATCTCCCTACTGAAGATGCCAACATCTCAAGAACTACTGCTACTGCATCAGCCTGGAGAGCGAAGTTAAAGAAGCAACCATGGCAACCATACGCATGAGTGAGAGAGAGAGAGAGAGAGAGAGAGAGAAACAGAGAGTGAGCCAGAGAGAGAGACAGTGTGTGTGTGTGTGTGTGTGTGTTTGTGTGTGTGTGTTGTAAAAACTGGAGAACTGGAGAAGGGGTGAAGGAAGACGCTAGAACTCATAACCTACAGTCTCCCAAGGGAGAGCTTTTCCTCCCTACAAGATGTCTCTATAATTATATATTATATAATAAACACTATATAATTAACATATTACAATTAATATAATTGATTAGATAATTAAATAATCTACATTAATATTACTTAGCCATGTCTCTCTCCAGGCTGGCTATTTCCCATTATCATTTTAAAAAGTTATCTTTATAGACAATTACCTATATTTCAACACCTTCTCTCTCCCCAACTTCTGAACCAATTCCAATCTGGCTTCCATTCTCACTATACTACAAAAATGTCTTGCTATGGTCTCCAAATAGCCTTTATATTGTTAAAGACAATAACCATCTTTTGGTCCTGATCTTATTTGACCTCTCAGTTTAATCTCCTACAATGGAACACTCTTTCTTGAAACATACTCACCCCTAAGAATCTCTGATACCATTATCCCTGTTTTTTTCCTCCCACTGGCTATTCTTCCTCAGTAACCTTTGCCAACTCTTTCTCCTCCAGCTGTTCATTAAATACTGGTATTTCTCAGGACAATTTTAAGTTCTTTTCTTCTTTATCCTATGCTGAGAATTCCCAAATTTATTTCTACTAATTCAGTCTTCTGTATTCGAGATGCATTATATTCAGCTGCTTTCTGGAAATTTCCACTTGGATGTAACTTCAGAGGTACGTCAAACTCAATACATCCAAAATTTAACTTACCGTCTCTAACTCTCTCCACGGTATTTTTCAAATCAGTAAATGGCATCACTATCCACTCAAGTTTTCAGAACTATCTCAGCACAGTGCTGGGCATATAATGGGAACTTAAATGTTAGTATACTAAATGAATAAATCCTGGATTTCTCCTTTACCACCTAATTCAAATAATTCCCCAAGTCTTCTTAAACACACCTTGAATTGTGTTATTTCCTTCTTTTGGCACAAAGATAGCTGCAAAATCTCCTAAGCCACATACTTTTCTGCAAGGTGACCTTGACATCTCTTCCCAAAAAGTGGAGTCTAGCTCCCCTCCCCTTTAATTAGACTGGTAATACAAACTTGTTTGTAACCAGAGGAGCATGGCTGAGGAGACAGCACATGACTTTGGAGGCTAAGTCAAAAGAAGCCTTGCAATTTCTGCCTTGGTTTCTGGAATGCTTTTTCTTCAAATGCTTCCTTTCTGAATGCAGCCTCCAGGATTTGAGAAGTTCAAGTCATACGGAGAGAGCACACATAGGTATTCTGTTTGACATTCCTAGCTGAGTCCAGCCTTTCAGTCATCCCAGTCCTGGCACCAGACATGTGAATAAAGCCTCCAGCCTTGTGAGCCACCCCAGCCCATCAATTCTTCACAGATGAGGCCTCAGATATTGTGATACAGCCATAAGCCACCTCTGCTGTGCCCTGTATAAATTCCTGACCCACAGAATAAATGAGAGTAATAAAATGGTTATAGTTTATGCTAAGCTTGGGGTGGCTTATTACACAGCAATAGTTAACCCGACATATTCCATCCTCTTGCCTCCATCCTGGTTCTGTTCATCATTAACTCTCACCCAAATTACTACAAAATCTTTCTGATTACATTCCCCCAACATCTGCTTTTGCCTCTCTGCAATTCATTTTCCCCACAGCAGCCAAATCTAATTGTCTCTCATGACTTGTACTATCCTTAAAATAAATCCTCAACTTGGTACATAAAGCCCTGCTATGTGAAAAAGAATGTTATAGATCAGTGTCTAGAATCAATCCTTTAATACACTTTGTTTAAATATTATCCATATACTGATGACTCCCACTTATATCTAACCCACATTTCTCTGCTGAACTTTAGACATGTATACCCAATGCTCCACTTAACATTTCTACTTGGATATCTAACAGGTATTTCAAACTTAACGTGTTCAAAATCAAGCTTTTAGATTTTTGCTCCTCATGAAGTCTCCCCCATCTCAATTAATGGCAACCTCACACTTCTGGTTAAAGCTCTCCTCTTCTTTCCACTCCACATTCAATTGAAGAGGAAATTCTGGTAATCTGAACATCCCATATACCCAGAATCTGACTACTTCTTAATGCTTCCACTCTAATCCAAGCCCCTACCATCTCATACCTGGACTTTGACAGTGGCTTCCTAATTGATCTATTTGCTTCTAGCACAATTCCCCTTTTGGTCCATTTTTAACACAACAGCCAAAAGTGATTCTTTTAAACCTTAAGTCAGGTCAGGATTATAGCACTGAACAACTCTACACTGACTTCTGTGTGAACAGGGCCCCCATGAAATGGTACAATGTGACAGCCTTACAGATCATATCACTCTTTTGTTCAAACCCGTCCCATATCTTCCAATCTCACTCAGAGTAAAAGCCAAAACATAAAGGCCTTATTTGACCTAGGTGCCTTGTTACCTCTCCGACCACATTTCCCATTACTGACACTCTCACTCACTCCACTCCAACTATCCTGGCCTCTCTGCTGCTCTCAAATATACCAGACAAGCTCCTTCATTGTGTGCATTCACTAGCAACCTCTGCTTGGAATTTAACATTTTTATTTCCAATGAAAGTTTCTCTGGCTCCTCTAAGTAACTTCTTCACTTTTTTCTCCTTGGCACTTATCACTAACATAGCATATATGATTTATTTACTTTGTTTATCACGTTTTTCCCAATAGAGTGTACATTCCATTAGAACAGAAAGTTATGCCTGGTTTGTTCATACTGAATCCCCAAAACTTAGAACAGTGCTTAGTACAGAGTAGAGTCATTAAATATTTGTTTAATTCATAAATTTTGTTTCCTCTTTACCTCTCAGGCCTTATTCCTCACCACTCATATTCCATCCCTCTGCTCTAGCAACATTTGCCTTTTTTTGAGTACCCTAAATATGTCACATTCCTTCCCACTTAAACCTCTGCACACATCATTTCTACTGCTTCTATGGTCAGCTTTCCCTCACTCTTTGCCACTCCTTCAGGTCTCGGCTTTAACGGCACTTAGATAATGATTCTCCACAGACCCTTTGTCATACACTTCTAATAATATCTCATTTCTTCACTGCATTTTTCACAGCTTTTATTACTTGTTAAATGTCTGTCCTCCCAACCAGACTATAAACTCCATAAAGGCAGGGACAATGTCTGTCTTTATTCATCACTATATGTACTATATGCATGAAACTCATAAAAAGCTTGATTAAGAAGGAAGAGGGGACGAAAGGACAAGTTAAATGGTAAACTAGAAATGAATAGTTGATCAGGACACAGAGGCACAAGAATGATACAGTGGACTCTGGGAAGTCGGTGAGGAAGGCTGGGAGGAAGTGAGGGATAAAAGACTACATACTGAGTACAGTGTACGCTGTCCAGGTGATAAGTGCACAAAAATCTCAGAAATAACCACTAAAAACTTATCCATATAACCCAAAACCACCTGTATCCCAAAAACAACTGAAATAAAATTTAAAAAAAATTAAAGTTGACACTTAGAAATTAAAGATAAAAAGGTAGAAATCCCCAGTGTAAAGATAATATTTGAAGCCACAGTGATGAATAGCACCACTTAGAATAAGTGCAGATTCTGTGAGAGAGAAAGTAGCTAACAGTGGAGAACAACCACATTCCAAGGATCAGGAAAAAGGATGCCAAAAAGCCAAAGGAAGGGAGAGTCAAGAAAAAATGAGTAACATCGTAATTAAGCCTAAAAGAAATGTCTTTATTTTTCTTAAGACAGGGTCTTGCTATGTTGCCTAGGATGATTTCGAACCCCTGGGCTCAAGTGCTCCTCCCACCTCAGCCTCTCAAAGTGCTGGGAATATAGACATGAGCCCCACGTCCAGGGAAATGCCTTTAAAGACAGAGATGCCAGAATTCCCATTAAACTTAACATTGTTCAAAATCTTCTAGCCAATTTGACAGGACAAAAAAAAGATATAAAAAGTGTTATTTATAACATAGTCAATTAACTGTGAGGCATATATTAGGATCAACTAAAAAATTATTAGAAACAAACAGGGCTCTATGAGGTGGCTAAATGTACAAAATTCAGTAACTTTATTATAAGTTAGCACTTAGAAAAGTTAAACATATTCTACACACAGCAATAATAAAAACACAAAATATTAACAAGACCAGAGCAGAAACTATATGAAGAAAATGATAAAACTCTACCTAAAGACACAAAAGTGTGAATAAATGGGAAGACACAGCATTTGGAGCTATATGTTAATTCTTCTAAAAAGTTAACTTCAAAGGATTCCAATGAAAAGCTCAAGTTTTTTTTAAAGAGAATGTTTTTGAACGTCTAGAATAGACATAAGTCAGATTTGAGTATGTTTGAGACTGAGGTTTACTACATAGAGAAAGGGAAAGACTGATGATACCAGAGAGGACAACCAGTGGAAGAGGGTCCTAAAAACGCACAAGGGAATACAATAATTTATTAGTTCAGCAAACATTTTGTTGAGTCCTTAGGATGTGCCACACACTATAGACACAAAGTCAAAAAGATACAGTCTCTGTCCTCAAGTCCAAACTAGTTTAATGCCACAAACTGAAAAAGAGTGCCTCAACCAGAGAGAGAGAACATGCAAGCAAATTGTATAATTTCTTCTTAAATTAAGATATAAGCCCAGATATTTTAGTGCAAAGTGCCATTCCAAATATTCAGCAAAGGCATATATTTGCAAGAAAAAAAATTTACTTTTGGATTAAAGTCTACCTACATTTTTACAAGACCACTTCCATCTCTTCAAATTCTATATAGTTTTTTTTTAAAACGTCTTTGAGAATCTCTAAATTTTTAGTAACATATATTACAAGTAATCTAGAAACAACTACAAATATTACTGAAAAGCTAAAAGTCTAGGATAATCATGTTACACATATTTTACATAAAACCCTTACTTTTAATCTGTAACAAATAAAAGATACTTAGTAGTAATGACAAGGTAAACTACGCACAACAAAAGATTGCAGAACTAAGAGATTCACATCATCTGTAAAAAATTCTAGTTTTTTTCTATCTCTGCCAGTCACCAAAATTCAACATTAATTATATAAAGATTAATTTAAATGGTCGTATGAATAGACACAAAACTTGAAATCAGGGATCTATAATGCTCATGGTTTCAACTAAAACTTTTTTTTTTTTTTTGAGATGGAGTTTCACTCTTGTTGCCCATGCTGGAGTGCGATGGCGCAATCTCGGCTCACCACAACCTCCACCTCCCGTGTTCAAGCAATTCTCCTGCCTCAGCCTCCCGAGTAGCTGGAATTACAGGCATGCACCACCACGCCTGGCTAATTTTGTATTTTTAGTAGAGAAGAGGTTTCTCCATGTTGGTCAGGCTGGTCTCGAACTCCCGACCTCAGGTGATCCGACCGCCTCTGCCTCCCAAAGTGCTGAGATTACAGGTGTGAGCCACTGCACCCAGCCCCTAAAATCATTTTTTTAAGATGTGAAAAAACAGCAACTCTGGCCAGGCACAGTGGCTCACACCTGTAATCCCAGCACTTTGGGAGACCGACGCAGGTGCATCATCTGAGCTCAGGAGTTCAAGACCAACCTGGCCAACATAGTGAAACCCTGTCTCTATTAAAACAAAAAAATTAGCCAGGTGTGGTGATGGGTGCCTGTAACCCCAGCTACTGGGGAGGCTAAGGCAGGAGAATCCCTTGAACTCAGGAAGCAGAGGTTGCAGTGAGCTGAGATTGCACCACTGCACTCCAGCCTGGGTGACACAGCGAGACTCCATCTCAAAAACAACAACAACAACAACAACAAAAACCCAGCAACGTTGTTCAAATGTACAGTTGTATGTTCTGGCTGTCTAACAATCTATTGGACAATCTATTGGATCTACTGTATTTCCAAAGTATACCTACTACATCTTTACTCCAGAAACCTCAGCTCTGAGAATTTTTTGTATTACCATGTAGGATGATATCCTGGGCACTATGGAAGATATAAATAATTCCCCAAAACAATACTATCTACTCTTTGTAAATCATTTAGTTCATTCTTTACTACGTATTTCCACTGAACTCTTCCACGATCCTTAGCCCACAATGACTTCCCCTTCCTCTGAACTTCTCCAACCACTTAAGTGTTGGCTTAAGTACCTAAGTCAACATTTGATACTTCTCATACACTATTTTGACTTTTTTGTGCATAATCACATCTTTTCTCAGGGTTGGGAGAAACAATGGGAGTAGGGGTGCTGAAGAAGTAACAATGGGAGTAGGGGTGCTGAAGAAGTAGTGAGAGAAGAATACCAATCAAAGAGTTGGGATTAAAACCTTCTACACACTGCTTTGAGACAATATTTGAAGTTCTTGGATGAAGTCATTTAATCCTATGTATACATGAGGGCTAGACATTCAATCTAGGATCTTTAATGATAGGTATTGTTTTTGAGAATTATTTGTGTTTTCCATAGTGCTCATATTATCACACGTGGTAATACAAAAAATTATAAATTTTTGGATGATGTAATCAAAGAAATGCAGCCAAATGACCACACTTGACCAAAGCCAAGGATCCAAATCTAGGAGATAAAACTGGTAACAAATAAATAATATAGAAAACTGTCTAGGAGGAAATCTGGGTTTGTCAAAAAAGAAAATTATTAAAATTGAAAAAATATTTGGAAAATTGCACAAGGAGATCATCAAGGTCTTTGCAAGCTTTCATTAATAATCTTTGTGGTACTAGAATGCTTTATAATTGAATTAAATACTTTAAGTCTAACTAGGTAAATAGCACTAATTTCAGGCTTTTTGTTCCAATATATTCTAATTCTACAAACCACTTACACACAAAACATCATACTTACTGAGATCTCTACATTTAATAGTGCTATATTCAAAAGAGATACAAAGATAGTCACATGCTTCTCTCAGTTCAGGAATAGATATGCCATCAGGACAACGGATTATTCCTGTTTTATAGTAATCCTGGAAAAAGAAAAGTAAAGAAAGCATAAAATATCTGGAGCATAAGGTAGCCAAAACTTATTATTAAGGAAGGGCTGGTAACATTTTCAGAAACAGTAGAGAACTCTGACATCTCTGAAATGTGGAAGTTTAAACTTAGATGAGACCTCCGTTCACCTAACTACTTTTTCATTTTACCTATAAGGAAAATTCAGGTCCAAATGAATTCACCGACTTAGCCTGTCATAAAATTATTTAAAAGCAAAGGTAAGATTTGAATATAGGGCTCCCTGTTACCTAATTCATGTCTTCTTTATGACATCACACCAATGCATATGTATTTTCCTTCTACAAGTTATATTTCTACGAAACCATCATAAAGTTTTAAACATTTTTTTAAAAAGTAAGGAAATTGAATGATATGTTATCTTAAATACTACCTAGATAATTTAACAAAATGTGAGGTTTTTAGTACAGAATTATAGTCATATTCAAGTATTAAAATATGTAAAATAAGACATACCATTAGATATTCTTCTTTTAATACTACCCTTTGGTGATTCCATATTATGACAAGCAATATTAATTATTTCCAAAATCCACTTAGTAAGTTGTTAAAGGACAACCCCAGAATCACAGATAAGTTACTTCAGAGATGAGTGATAAAAATTCTTTTCAATTCCACAAGGGGAAATATGGACAGCTAAAAAAACACTTTTTCCCCAAAATTAAGACCTGGCTCAGCCAGGTACCATGACTCACGCCTATAATCTCAGAACTTTGGGAGGCCGAGGTAGACAGATCACCTGAGGTCAGAAGTTCAAGACCAGCCTGGCTAACACGGTGAAACCTTCTCTACTAAGAATACAAAAAAATTAGCCGGGTGTGGTGGCAGGCACCTGTAGTCCCAGCTACTCGGGAGGCTGAGGCAGGAGAATGGCATGAACCTGGGAGGCGGAGCTTGCAGTGAGCCGAGATCGCGCCACTGCACTCCAGCCTGGGCGACAGAGCAAGACTCCATCTCAAAATAAAAATAATAAAAAAAAAAAAGAATACAAAAATTAGCCAGGCGTGGTGGTGCACACCTGTAATCCTAGCTACTCAAGAGGCTAAGGCAGGAGAATCACTTGAACTCAGGAGGCAGAGGTTGCAGTGAGCCGAGATCACACCACTCCACTCCAGCCTGGGCGACGGAGCGAGCCTCCATCTCAAACGAAAAAAAAAAAAAAAAAAAAAGAAAAGACCTGTCTCAAGTTTTCCTGAGGTTCCGAACCAAAGTAACCAGTAACACAATTTCTAAGGTTGCTGCATCAATGGAAGTGAAACATCTTCTGGTACTTGTATGAATACTCACCTGATCAAGATCAACTATTTTCCCTATCTGTCTTCCATCACAGCATCCTCCCTTCCCTCAAACTATTTAAGAAAATGGTATTTTCAGGCTGTGGCACAAACGGTCACAAACTATCAATCAAACCTTTTTTTTTTTTTTTTTTTTTTCTGACACAGGGTCTCACTTTGTTACCTAGGCTGGAGTGCAATGGTGTGATCTCAGCTCACTGCAACCTTCGCCTCCTGGCTCAAAAGATCTTCCCACCTCAGCCTCCCAAGTGTTGGAGGCCAAAAGAATGAGGGTGGTGACCAACTCAGTATACCACTGGAGGCTATATGAGCAAACAGCAAACTGTTCTCATGAAAGCAGATTGTTGGCAAACTGACAAACTGCATCTGCCGCCTAAAACGAATGCTGAGGGCAGTCATGCCCCAGGCGCAGTGTTTCTTGTGATTATCTACAGGCACAACTGAAGCCTGTTAGCAATCATGTGAACCTGTGACAAATCAAGCAGCTGACCAACAGCACCTCCTCCCTGCTCCTTCTCCCCAGTAAATACAAAGGGCTGTGGAAGCTCAAGGCCTTTGCTCACTAGAAGCAAGGAGCCCCCTGCCCCTTCTTTTTTTTTTTAGACATATATAACAAAGTTTATTTACTCAGTTTCTTTCTTGACCACTATATTTAATCACACTTTGTACTTTTATAGAATGTTACGTAGTTTGTAAATTATCTAAATATTTTCTTTTATCTTGTCTTTGTTTTCATTTCTGCATTTGTCCCCCTTCATTCAATCCTGTAGTAACTGTCACATCCCAAGTACCTGGAACTACAAGTATGCCACTACACCTAGCTAATTTTTGGAAATATTCTTTTGGTAGAGATGGGGTTTTGCCATGTTGCCCAGGCTGGTCTTGAACTCCTGGACTCAAGCCATCCACCTGCCTTGGTCTCTTAGCGTGCTGGGATTATAGGCATGAACCACCACACCCAGCCTTATGAACCAAAATCGCTGAATTTAAATTACAAGTAGGGACTCTGTGTGATAAAATATTTTTCAAAAAAAAAAACAGTTAAAACCTCAAAAAAAAGTTTTAAAACAAAGACGTCAGCTGGGCACAGTGGCTCACACCTGTAATTCTAGCACTTTGGGAGGCCAAGGCAGGAGGACTGCTTGAGCTCAGGAGTTCAAGATCAGCCTGGGCAACATGGCGAAACCTCATCTCTACTAAAAATACAAAAAAATTAGCTGGGCGTGGTGGCACACACCTATGGTCCCAGCTACTAGGGAGGCTGAGGTGGGATGATCACTTAAACCCAGAAGGTCAAGGCTGCAGTTAGCCGTGATCACACTACTGCACTGCAGCCTTGGCAACACAGTGAGACCCTGTCTGGGGCAAAAAACAACAACAACAACAAAAAAAACCCAATAAAAAACTAAAGATGTTAACAAATACATTTTGGAGATGACTTTTAGATGTTTCTAAGTTTCCACACTGCTAGTTATGTGCAATAAAATAATAGAATCAAGTAGTCATATTCATTCTCAGATAGTAAAAATGATCGATTTACTGTATTTAGGAGAAAGAGAAGTAAATATGACTCCAGAAATGTTACTAAATACCTAATATATGCAAACCTAAGAGATTAATAATCCCCTATCCTATCATCCTGAAGGTCATAAAATTCATTTGCTTATATTGTATTATTTGTATGTACTAAAATAAAGATGAGAGCATGGCATGGTGGCTCAATGCCTATAATCCCAGCACTTTGGGAGGCCGAGGCAGGAGGATCGCTTGAGCCCTGGAGTTCGAGAACAGCCTAGGTAACACTGTGAGACCTCGTCTCTATAAAAAATGAAAACAAAAAAAATTAGCCAGGCATAGTGGTGCATGCCTGTAGTCCCAACTACTCAGGAGGTGTGTGGCAGGAGGATTGCTTGAGCCCGGGAGGTTGAGGCTGCAGTGAGCTATGATTGTGCCACTGCACTCCATCCAGCCTGGGTGAAAGAGCAAGACCCTGTTGCAAAATAAAAATATAAACAAAATAAAATAAAGATGAATTAAATGGTATTTAAGGAAAAACAATACCCTGGAATAACTCCAGAGAGATATTCAAATAGAATTCTGCGTCTAATCCAAGTACCTCCAAGAAGGCGTCTTATGATTAAGTCAATACTCATAAGAAACACTCACCAGAATCGCTCGAAACACAGTGGAACCAATTCCCTCTGCCACCTCATACTCTCCTTTCTCATTGGGTCGTGTAAAGTTATGTTCTCGGCCAGATCCAAACATCCTATGATAGTAAATAATTGAGAAATACGTCAATAGAATACTTCCTTCAAAAGGGAAAATAGATTTCATGTACAAAAGAAAAAAGGAATTATATCATTAAATTTAGTTCAAGAATTTTTATCATTAATTTATTCTGGCAAACATCATAAAAGAAAGAATATTAAAAACATTTTCTTTTTGATGGTAGGGAACACTAGTATAGATTTCCTGTAAGCAACAATAAAATAAACGACAAAATTCAGAAGCTAAAGAGCTTTCCTACCCCTTCTCAGAAAACAACACCAACCAATTAGTCTAGGGAAAAAGATGAGTTTTTAATACCAATTTTACCAGGAAGAAAAAAAAAGGGAAACCAGGTTATCTGTGCTTTTTCCTTAAAACTGCTATTTTCATTGTACAGTTAATGCCATAATGCAGCACATAATAGCAAGCTAAACTGAGACAAAGTGATATGATACAGGACAAGTCAGGTTGTTTTACATTTCACAATCTTAACTATAAATGTAACAAATCCTACTCAAAATTATTAGACTTGCATCCTAGAACTGAAAGACAAGCAATCAAATGCTGGGATAGACAGGAATGAAGAAATAAGACAAGGGCAAGTTTAAGAAAATAAATTTAAAAAGCTCTTATGTAAGAAAATACAAATGACTTTATGATTTTTTCAAGTCATGTTGTTGGCCCTTCAACAGTGGCTGTTTAGAAAAGACACAATTTCCAAAATATGTCCTAAACAATAAAAAATGTATTCTAGTACTCTCCAGAAAATTTAAAAATCATGATTAAAGAAAGGTGAACCTCTAGATCCTATGGTACGGTTGAACTAAGTTTTCTACTCAGTAGTTTCCTAATTCAAATAGTTTTCTCTTTTGTTGTAACACAGAAAACTATGAACAACAAAGCTTTTTCTTTCAAAGTTTCCAAAAAAAAATGCCAGCTGCTTTTTACAGTTCCCATGAATATTAATTTTCATCCCCAAAGACACACTTTAGTCAATCGGCATAAAAAGAAGGCTTTGCTAATTGAAAAAGGAGAAAAAGAAGATACTCTTTCAGGAATCAAATGTCATCATTTAAACTTTTTACAAAAGGGGAAAGCTATTCTTTTCACATCAATATGAACACTTTAAAACGTTTTTTTAAGAAAACATAACAGCCAAAATTTCAAATATCTACTTTTTTATTGTTTCTATATATTATGTAAAAATATAAAGTATCATTAACACTGTCAAGTCATATTCCTGATTTCTGTCGATAATCCTCCCCTATAATACTAAAAATACAAAAAAGCCTATAGTTCAAAGATTTTTTTTCATGATATAAAGCATAGTGTCAATGTTGAAGGAAAATATTTACTCAAAAATGTATGCAATATCACAATGGCAGCATTTATTCTGTATTGAGACAATGATAAATCACACATACACACATTACATATGCAATCTAGTAAAGTACAAGTTTTTATCTCATGTAAACTTCTATTTCATGCCCATGCCCTTTCATTTGATAGTAGTGTGAACAAAGATACTGATTTTGCAATTAAAAGGTACAGTTTGGACATGGTGAAAAATCAAGTCTATATTGTCTATATCCTTCTTAGACTGTGGTTCCCATAACTGCAAACTTTAAATTGATCTATTACTCTGGACCAGCACAAATCAGAAGATGACAATTATCTCCTTCATTTTGCTAACTACTTGTTGACATTCCTTTTTTTTTTTTTTTTTTTTAAAAGTATCTACATCGAACTGACAATTCATGCTGACTTTACAGCTAAACTACCTATTGGGTTTTTTTTCCGCCTTTAAACAATGCTGATTGTTTATATTTTGTGATTGAATGGGAACCCAAGTGCAGGAAACATATTATCATTGCTAAATTCACCTGGTTGGATTCAATTTACAGTCTCAATCTGTAAAGATATTTTAGTATCCTGACTTCAATAACTAATATATTTGCTATTTCTACTGGTACTGCAAAGAACACTAGAAATAAAACCAAGTTCAAGCTCTTACTCTATCACTTTCTAAGCTGTATTAACTTGGGACAAGTAATTTAGCCTCCAAAGCTCAGTTCTTTCATCTGTAAAACAGAAATGTTACATTTCAACAGAGAATTACTGTAAAACTTAAACAAAAAAATAATGGCAGTAAAAGCACATTATAATTAGTAATGCAAATAACTGCAATAATACAAACCTGCCCAACATTGTATTTGGCTGTGCAGTAAAAATGGATGGGTCTACAACAAATCTAGTGTTATCCACTATTAGTGTCACTCGTTCTGACGTTCTTATATTCCGAGCTCCTTCTTTTGCATTTTCATATACAAACACCATCTCCCCAGCTGTCTTACAGCTACCATCTGAACTTGACTGACTACTGTTTCTGCTGCTGTTCCCAGCACTGCTAATGGAACCATTTGGGGATGCTTTTTGAGGACGCGGACTGCTTGGACGAGAGGAACTGTGATCTTTTTCTCGTTCTGAAATAAAGATGTTAGACGAAGTTATGCAAATTTTCTTTTACAAATTCAAGATTTATATATATCTTTTTAAATGTTTGATTTATAAAAGTTGTTTTAAGTCACAGCATTTCTACTTTTCAATTTCAAATAAGATGTTAACAGAACACCATAAACATTCATTTAGTTCCCAGGAATACAACCCAAAACATCAAAATGCTTTCTAAAATCTTTATTTGTAGACTTTTAAAAAAGATGTATAGCTGACTAATGCTAACCCAAACTAACATCAAGACTAAGGAAAATTTTATGTTATTACTCCACTTAAAAATAGAAACCCAAGGAACCGAATATTCTCACAAGTAAAATAAATATGCTTTGAAAGTTATTACAGTAAAAGATTAATAAGAATACCAATTTAAGCTGTCCTAATTACTAAAAGAGATAACACTATTCTGAGAACACAAAGTACAATCTTTAGAATCTCACTACGTTAATAAGGGCATTCTAAAACCAGCAATTTATCTCAAAAAAAGAAGGTCCCCTTTCCCCCACAAAAAAAGAAAGAAATTCACTAAGGGTAGTAAGAAGTATTTTTTTTTAATGATTTTTATGTCTACCAAATAAAGTGGCTTTAGTAGCTTATAATATATTGTTTTCTTCTCATGTTTGTTGAATAAAGCACTGCTACAAATTTTATGATCTATAATTACAGTCTGTAATTTTCATAGGTAGAAAATATTGTTAAAATTCAGAAAATTTTCTTAAGATGTTCTAATAGTCTACAAAAGAAAAATAAAAACCAAGATTTTGTGATATATTTCATTTAGAGACTAGATCACTAAACTTTAAAGGTGACCTAAAAATGTACCTCCATCTCATCACTTTCATCAGCTTTTGCCAAATTCCTCTATGACTCAAACTACTTAGAACACTCTGTACAGCATTATTGATTGTATAATTAGGTTTGACATATCTCCAGAGATACTCTGACACCTCCCTTTTATTGCCTGTTTCTACAATACTGGTAGCATCCCAAAAGCAAAATTTGCTAAAGCAATATTAATAAAATAATTTATTATATCCTGCTATTCTACTCCCAGACACTGACTTTTGCATGTAACAAACTGTCAACTCTAATTTATACTTTTGTTGATGTCTGGCTTATAAGTACAAGTCTGACTTCAAGGATCAACTGAAACATTGACAACTTCTCTCATAATTAGACCCTAATATTAATGATTCTTATTTACAACAGATTATCAGAAACTATTGCTGCATATACTAAGTCAAAGTTTTAATTTGTCCCTTCTGCAGGGGAAAATAAAAATCAGCAAGCTCACATGCTAAGGCACCTCTTCTTCAGCTGGTGTTTTATAGTTATATGTGTTCACCTGGGGTACTAATGTTCATTTATAATACTGAGTAGGAAGGAAGGTGAGCTAGTTACTAACAAAGTAAAACACATCACACCTTTCATCTATTTTTATTATTAAATTTGAGATAATGCCAAAAATCAGAATAAATAACATGATGGCTATTCTACCTTTCAGGTCCTTTGTTAGCATGATAATAACTAAACTCCTATCAATAATTTACTACAAACTATTGCTATATATTTCATAAGACAAAAATTAAATCGAAAACTTTGAAAATCTATATATCACAGTTTCAAAGGCTTTTCAATTACTTATTTTATAAGACTGTCCCAGAGGTTAAAAATTCATGTTAACTTTGCATTTAATTAGCTGTTTTTTCTTTCACACCAAGAACCAAGCTCAACTAAAACAGAAACAACTGAATAGAAGCAGCTAATTTTACTCTGCAGTATTAGGCACAATTCAATGTCATTACTACTTTAAAAAGGTAAATGCATGTTTTTAAGAACTGTTAGGAAGGTTAGTTGATTTTACATACCAACATGGTGCTGTCGTGTTGGAGAAGTCACATTTCTAATACAAGGAGTGAGCTGAGACTCCGTTCTTTCATGAGATGAATCTCGTGATCTGTCACTTGACCTTCGTCTATCTCTTGATCTCTCATGTCCCCCACTAGCACCATGTAGACTCATTTTGGTGTGGTCAACTCCTCCTTTAGCAATACGCGAGGAAGTACTGATAAGTTAGAAAGGAAAATTAACCATAAAAGCAGAACATAAGATTGGAAACATTTTAAAAGAAACACCCAAGTAACAAAAAACTAGTATCTTGAAGTGCAAAAATCAAATGCTACTTTCTAATTCTGAAACCTAATTTACCTCAAACTTGTAGGCTTTAAAAATTCTGGAATAACGTGTCTTTGAAGATCACATACTTGAACTCAGTTTTTTATGAACGAGAAAACTAAAGCTTAGAAAGGTTAACTAACATATGAGTTAGTAGAAGTTGTAGTAATAATAGTAGTAGATCACTCAGATATCTTAAATGTTATTCAGATGTTCTTTTGATTTCCTTCATTGTAGGGGAAGAAGAGAAGGCAAGAGCTTTTGGAACTCTTAAAAAACTGAGGAATGGGGCAGAGAAATTGGTCTCCCTGCCAAACAAAATAAGTCTACATGCTAACTTCAATCAACCAACTTTCAGTTGAGCCTTTTCAAAACACTATGATTTTTTTTTTAAAGTTTTTCTGAAAAGCATTTCTTAGCCAGGCACAGTGAATCACACCTGTAATCCCAACGCTTTGGGAGGCCAATGCGGGTGAATCGCTTGAGGTCAGGAGTTCGAGACCAGCCTGGCCAACATGGCAAAACCCTGTCTCTACTAAAAACACAAAAATCAGCTGGGTGTGGTGGCACACACCTATAATCCCAGCTACTCAGGAGGCTGGGGCACAAGAATCGTCTGGGAGGCGAAGGTTGCGGTGAGCCGAGATCACGCCACTGCACTCCAGCATGGGCAACAGAGCAAGACTCTGTCTCAGGAAAAAAAAAGAAAAAGAAAAGCATTTCTCTGAAAAACCTAACAAACCTACCTACTCTGACTACATAAAGTCACAGAATTTTTAAAACTTTAAAATATCTTATATATAATAAACTTCTCCACCAGAAGTGAATAACTCAGAATGCTGATTAAAACAGTCCAGCTTACAGAATATTTTAACACAATTATGTATTAAGTTACACATACTACATGCACAATGCTATGCTAAATGCCAACAGAAAGAAGCTTCCTCAGGAGCTTGTTTTCTAAGTGTAGCAATAATAGATAAACATGCAGAACTTTAAACAATTCAAGAGTTATCCCAACTTCCAAATATAAAACTACTAAAGAGTTCCCAAATATGTAACTACTAAATGGGTATCAGATAATAAATGCTTTAGGATTTCAAAGAAAAAAGACATTGCTATAGAGTAGCCACTAGTGTATCACTAGTGTCCAGGCCCTGACAAATAGATAAAATTTCAATAATTAGAGTACACTGCAAATAAGAAAACTGATGATAATAAAAATAATAAAGCCAGACCTAAGGCAATTTGGAAATTTACTGTTAGCATATAATATGGTTCAAAAATATTAAAGTTCTTTTTAGAAACAGAAGGAAGTTCATGGCTTTAGAGTAAAATTGTCCTCTAATGCTTATTGCTTGGCATTTTGAATGATCCTTAATATTCTGGAAACTTAGGTTTCTCATTTGTAAAATGTAGATTCTATTTATTTTCTAAGGTGAATAGGTGAATTAAATGAACTATAATAAGTAAGCTGACCAGCAACGTACCTGGCACGACATAATTACTCATGAAATGTTAGTTTATTTAGTTTATGACAGATGAGGATGTTAAAGTTCAAAACTGCAAGACTTGCTCAGGGTCACACAGCATTTAGTAGAAACGCTAATAACACTATAACCTAAGCCTTTTGAGTCATTCCAGTGCCCCTTTCATAATATTATACTGCTCTCCTTTAGCAAAACCACACGAGTTAAAATCTAATCTTCGTGATTCAGAAAACAAAATCTTTCAGTGTCTCCGGGTCATCTCTTTGGTTGATTTTATTAGCTTTAATATTTTTTGTTATTTTGGTGGTTTCTTTCATTATAAAAATCAGTCATCACCTTGCTATAACAGAATACCAGGACAGAAGATAAAGTTGACTTTGTATTTATCCTGAAAGTTACTTCTAAGGAAATAAAGGCAACCTAACAGCCTTTATCAGTTATTTGTTTCTCATCAACCTACAGAGAAAAATTCTACTCCCACCTTCATTCTAGTGAAAAAAAATTAGAGGACAGCTGCATCAATAGAACATAATCTTTTCTTTCAAACAGATCAAAAGATCCTACTGCATTTATGTTTTTAAAAAATCATTAGAGTAGGAATACTGGAATTTCTGGCTTGTTTTCTAAAGTAGGAAAAAAAGGAATCCACATTAAATAGAACAAAGATCATATATAGAAAAAATAACTCTTCAAATTATTCTGGCAGCTAAGTTTTCATCATTTTCAACTATAAGAAAGCACATTATCTAAATGTGAGTCTGGTAATTTAATGGACAAGGTACAAGCACAACAACGAGTAAGACAAATACAAGCTAAATGTTCAGTTTGAGTAAGGGCCAAGCAGACTGAGTAATTAAAAAAGCGTTTTCACCAGACATCCCTGTAGCTGAAAGACTAGACACTGCTAAAACATTGGCTTCATCTCTAAACCACTTAGATTTTAAACGAATTCAAAAGGTGTCATAATACACTTTCATATTTTCTTTTAATTCCCATATAGACTGAACCCTGAATCAGACCTTCAAAATCAGATGTCATGGAAGACAAATTATGTCCTACTATATTTAATTCAATACTTTCAGATTAAGAAATCACTTTAAAGGCAAAAATAGTTAATATGTACAAAAGAAAATGAGGATGAGCAAGTTCAGAGGGGAAAGCTCTGTTTCAGGCTGCATTGAAGAGTTTGAAATTCATGAACTAAGGATAGGTAAGGACATGAAGACTGGATTAGCCCTAATATCTATTTCCAGCCAAGATAGAATAACAAGGGCTGAGTTCATACTCTTGTCTGAAACAACCCAAGAAACCAAACGGAATATAGGAAACAACAGTCTGCAAGACACGGCACATCAGGCAATGAAAGAGAGCAATCATTGAAAAATGGAAAGCGAATGAGATATGCCCAACAATTGTCCCAAATTACTATCTTGAGAGCATTTGCAAAGTAAACACAGAAAGGGGAAACACAAGCAGAACCCAGTGGACTCTGAGTGAAAGACATGGAGCTGAGACATTGGGATAAGAGATGGCTAGAGTTCTAAGGGAAAAGTACCAGAGAGGAGAGTGTAACACAGAGAGAAAACCTCAGAAATTTGCAGAGTCCTCCTTGAGTACTGAGCTGGATACCAGTCACACATGTGAGGACACTATGAAAAGAAGCTGGGGAAAAAAAACAGCTCAAAGGATTAGAGGAAATAGTGCCCAGCACTCATACAGGGTCAGGAATAGGTCCTGTTCCCACTGGTTCAGACTGGAAAGCCTAATAATTTATAGGGCACTGGGAAGAGAATTAGAAGGTTCTAAAATGGGAAATAATTACAACTAGACTGAGCACTGTTCCAGTTCCCCTAATAAATTTTAACATCAAGACCAAAAGGACCACACTGTTTCCCTATAGCTAAATCCTAAAGCAAAGCTCAAGAATATTTATAAGAAATATCAAACACACAAATGAGGTAAAATTTACAATGTATGGCATCCAATCAAAAATTATCAGGCATGCAAAGAAGTGAGAACACATAACCCATGAGGAAAAAAAACATCAAGTGAAATAAAACGTGAACTGACACATACGTTAGAATGAGAAATAAAAACATTAAAAAGTCACTATAACCACAGCCCTCCAAAAAGCAATGTAGAGACATACCAGATTAAAAAAATGCAAATCAAGCTTCCAGAGATAAAAATGTTTACATGTGAGATGAAAAGTATACTAAATGGCCCTTTAAAATGACTATAGTTAACAATAACTTATTATATATTACCAAATGGTTAGAAGAGAGAACTTTGAATGTTCCTGACATTTTTAAAAAATGATAAATGTTTGAGGTGATATACTAATCACCCTGAGTTGCTCACTACACACTGTATACATGTATTGAAATATCACTCAGTACCTCTAAATATGTATAATTATTACATGTTACATGTCAATTAAAAATAACTTTAAAAAAGAAAAGCACACCGAATGGAATTAATGGGAGATTACACATTATAGAAGAAATGATTAACAAATTTGAAGACAACGCAATAGGAAATATTCAAAATAAAAAAGAGAAAACAGAAAAATAAACAGCATGAGTAAGCTGCAGGTTCATTTCAAGTGGCCTAATATAGGTGTAAATGGAGTCCATGAAGGAAGTGGGAAGGAAAAAAGGGAAGTAATATCTGAACTTTCTCCAAATTTGGCAAAAATTACAAACCCACAGATTCAATATGCACAACAAACTCTACAAACACTTTAAAGAAAAAAAATGAAAACAAACCCTGTCAACCTAGGTTTTTCACAGCCAGTAAAAACATCTTTCAAAAATAAGAAGGATCTGCATTGATTTGTCGAAAAAAAATAAGAAAGTACAGACATTTTCAGGCAAAAAAAGACACATGAATTCATCATGAGAAGACCTGCATTGCAAGAAAAGTTAAAAGGGAGTCCTTCAGGCAGAAAAAAAAGCTAATGCCAGATAAAATATGAATCTACACAAAAAAATGAAGACTACTAGAAAAAGTAACTGCATGGAAGAATATAATTTTTTTCTAATTGTTTAAATCTCTATAAAAGATTAAACAATAATGATAATAATATAATATGGGGTTTATAACATATACATATAACTAGAGTAGCACAAAGTCTGGGAGAAAGAAATGCAAGTATACTTTTGTAAGGTTTTTACACCACACAAGAAACAGTATAACATCACTTGAAGGTATACTGTGATAAGTTAAAGATGTATACTGTTAATACTAAAGCAACCACTAATATAAGAAAACAAAAGAAATACAGTTAATATACCAAAAAAGGAGATAAAATAAAATCATAAAAAAGGATTTGGCTAATCCAAGAAGGCAAAGGAAAAAAGGGGTTGGGAGGAAGAAGGAAAAGGAACAAATGGGACAAACGGAAAATAAATAACAGGACAAGACTTAACCTTAACCATGTCAATAATCACATTAAATACAGATAGCCTTAGCCATTTAGATGTAAACTGTCTAAACCATAAAAGGTGAAGATTATCAGATTGGATATAAAAGCTAGATCCCCAGCCTGGCAGATCACTTGAGCCCAGGAGTTCGAGACCAGCCTTTGGCAACGTGGCAAAGCCTCATCTCTACAAAAAATACAAAAATTAGCTGGGTGTGGTGGCACATGCCTGTGGTCCCAGCTACTCAGGAGGCTGAGGTGGGAGGATCACTTGAGCCTCGGAGGTCAAGGCTGCAGTGAGCGGAGATCGCACCACTGCACTACAGCCTGGGCAACAGAGGGAGACCCTGTCTTAAAATAATAATAATAATAATAAGCCAGGTCCAACTATATGCTATATGGTACAAAGAGATTCAATATAAAAGAATGAGGAAAGATACACTATGCTAGCACTAGTTCAAAGAAAGCAAGAGTGGCTATATTAATATCAGACAAAGCAGAGTTCAGAACAAAGAATATCACCAATGTATTTCATAAAGATAAGGGGGTTAATTTATTAAGTGCACATAACAATCCAAATGTTTCTCTGCCTCATGAGAGAGCTTCAAAATACAGGAAGCAAAAACTGATAAAACTATGAGAACTAGACAATTCCACAATTATCATCAGAGATTTCATCACCTCTCTCACAATATTTAACAGAAAAACTACACAGAAAATCAGTAGGGATTGATGAGATTTGAATAACATTATCAACTGACTTGATCTCATTGACATTTACAAAACACCCAAAAAGGGCAGAAAACTCATGCTTTTCATGTGCACACAGAAGAACATTTCTCAAGATAGATCATATTTTGGGCAATAAAACAAGTATCAATAAACTTAAAAGAATTTAATCATACAAAGTATGTTCTCTGATTACAATGGAATTAAAGTAAAATTCAATAACAGAGATACCTAGAAAATTCCCAAATACTTGGAAATTAAATAATATCTTTACCTAAACAACTTACAGAGCAATAAATAAATCAAAAAGGAAATTAGAAAAGTTTGAACTAAAAGAAAGTGGAAAAAACCCCAAGATACCATAATTTGTGGCATGGTATGACATTGTAACAGTACTTAGGGGCAAATTATGGCATTAAATTCCTACATTAGAAAAGAAGAAAGGTCTAAGAAAAATGACATCAGTCAATAAAATTGTTAAACCTCTACCCAGACTGCTTGGGACAAAAATCGAGAAGATACAAACTACCAATGTCAGAAATAAGAGAGGCTACAGATACTAAAATAATAATAAAAGAATATTATAAACAACTTTAAGCCAATAAATTCAACAACTCAGAATGGACAAATTTAAACCTACAAAAAAGCTCACTTAAGAAAAGGTTGAATAGCTCTGTTTACTGAAGAAATTTAATTTGTAGTTTAAAACATTCCTTCCAAGAAAACTCTAGGCTCATATGGCTTCACTGACAAATTCTACCAAGCATTTAAGATAGAAATAATATCACCCCTACACAGCTCTTCCAGAAAATTGATGAGAAGATAGTATTTCCCAACTCATTCTATGAGACCAACATTGCCCAGACACCAATATCTAGAAAATTCCCAAACACTTGGAAATGAAATAATACCTTTACCTAAACAACTCACAGAGCAATAAAGAAATCAAAAAGGAAATTAGAAAATTTTGAACTAAAAGAAAGTGGAAAAAAATATTACAAGAAAATAAAACCACAAATCTTAGAACACAAATATCAATATTCTAAACAAAATTTTAACACATCAAATCCAGCAATACATAAAAAAAGAATAGTAATCAAAGACCAAATGCTCTCCATCTAAAATCAGAAATAAGAATCAGAAATAAGAATGTCTACTGTCACTTTTCTTCAACAATGTACTGAGGATTATAGCCAGTGCAATATGGCAAGAAAAGACATTCAGATTGATTAAGATGTAAAACTGTCTTTATTTGCAGAAAACATGATCATCTATTGTAGGCTCTAGTAAGAAAAAAAGGTTACTAGAACCAATGAGTTCAGCAAGGTTGCAGAATACAAAATCAGTATTTTAAAATGAACTTTATTTCTATATACCAACAATACGCAACCTAAAATTGAAATTTTAAAAACACTACTTACAAATAACACCAAAACCTGAAATACTTAGGGATAAATATGACAAAAGATGTGAAAAACTCACACATTGGCAAAACCTGAAATACTTAGGGATAAATATGACAAAAGATGTGAAAAACTCACACATTGGAAATTATAAAACATTACTGAAATTAAGAAGACCTAAACAAATGGAGAAACCTACCGTCTTTACAAGTCAATTTTCTCCCTAAGTTCATCTACTAGATACAACATAATCCCAATGGAAAACCAAGTAGGCTTGCTTGTCAAGAGTGACAAGCTGATTCCAAAATTCATATGAATACGCAAATGACCTAGAATAGCCTAAATAATTTTTTTAAAAGAACAGTTGGAAGACTAACATGATCTGATTTCAAGACATATTAAAAAACTGTAGTAATGAGTAAAGTGTGCTACTGGCATAATGACAGGCACATAGATCAATGAATCAGAATGAAGACTCCAGAAAAGAACTCACATACATATATATGGACAACTCATTTTCAACAAGGGCTCAAACACAATTCAGGGAAGAAAGAGTTTTTCATCAAATGGTGCTGGAACAAATGAATATACAATAGGTATTTCACTTTCAGCAATTCTAGAGAAAAAAAAAAAAGAACTCTGTGCAATAGTTCCCATCATATGCAAAAGTTAACTCAAAATGGACCACACACCTAAATCTGAAACTTAAAACTACAGAACTTCTAGAAATAAAAAGCCTAATGCATAAAAGAGCAAACCGACAACTGAACTTCATCAAAATTAAAAACTTTTGATCTTCAAAAAACAGTGTTAAGAGAATGAAAAGAGGCTGTGCGCAGTGATTCAAGCCTGTAATCCCAGCACCTTGCGAGGTTGAGGTGGGAGGATGGCTTGAGCCCAGGAGTTCAAGACCAGCCTGGGCAACATAGTGAGACCATTTCTACAAAAAAATTTTTTAAAAATTAGCCAGGAGTGGTGGCAGGCATCTGTGGTTCCGGCTACTTGAGAGGCTGAGGTGGGAGTATTGCTTGAGCCCAGAAGTTTGAGGTTGCAGTGAGTCATGGTCATCATGCTACTGCACTCTAGCCTGGGCAACGAAGCAAGACACTGTTTCAAAAAAATAAATAAATAATAGAGACTAAAAACACAAGCTTCAGACTGGGAGAAAATATTTGCAAATCATGTATCTGATAGAGGACTGATATGTAAACTATATAAAGAACTCTCAAAATAATGGGTAAAAAATTTGAGATATGCAGATGAAAAATAAGTACATGAAATGATAGCGTCACTTGTCATTAAAGAAATGCAAATTAAAATGACACTGTTACATCATTACACATTAGAGTGGCTAAATAAAAAGACTGACTATATCAAGCATTGATGAGTACATGTATGAAATGGAACTCTCATACACTTGTGGTAGGAATGGAAAATGGTACAACCATTTTAGAAACTGTTTCGGAGAAGAGATTGTTTCTTAAGAAATTAAACATACTCTAGCCATATGATTCAGCCATTCCATTATGTATTTACCCAAAAGAAATGAAGACATTATCCATAAAAAAAATTTGTAAACAAACATTCTTAGCAGCTTTATTTGTAACAGCTCAAAACTGGAAAAAACCTAAATGTTTATGAACAAGTGAGAGGATAAACAATTTGCGATATATCCATACAATGGAATACTACTCAACATAAAAAAGAATGATTTACTGACACAAGTTACGACATGAATCAATCTCAAAATAATTACACTGAATAAAAGAAGCCAGATCTCTCTCCACCACAAAAAATAAATTATATAAAATTCTAGGAAACATAGAGTACTGTATAGAGCGACAGAAAACATATTGGTGGTTTCACAAGAAAGGGGTATAGGAGTTCAAAGGGAAGGGTTACAAAGGGCACCAAAGAAGCTTTTGAGTGTGATGTATATGCTCATTATCCTAATTATGGTAAGGTTTTATGGAGATACATACACACACACACACACACACACACACACAGATATATATATATAGCAAATTGTACACCAGAATTGACCTCTTGGCCAAAACACAGCTGCCTGAGAATACCAAAATAGAAAACAACTACTTAGCCATTTTAATTACACTTAAGTAATAAAAGTCATGCCTTTCTTCTTCTAATAGTCCTTTCTTTTCACACTTTTCTTAGCAGAGTGCACTAAATTCCTTCTCTTACCAATCTACATAGATTTTTGCATCCTCTTGTTGTAATATGGTCCATGGTCTCAAGAAACCAAAAGCACTTCTACAATCAGATTAAAAACATCTACCATCACCAACTGATCACCACTTGAAAACTTCACAAACCAACATATACTACCCAGTAAACTTACCACAAAAGCCCAAATTAGAACCCTTAATCATGATCCTCTGAGATCACAATTTTCTTCAACTAAGGAATATCAATCACTTCCAAGCACCTCTAGTTACATAAACAAATCCACCTTAAACACAAAAGAAAATATTTCCATTTTTAAATTTTGCAGCTTTATGACTTAATAATGCTTCTGTTTTCTTTAATACCAACTTTTCACTTTGTTTCAAAATCATGCTTTGAAGCATAAGGTGAATCAACAGGCAGTAAAGTTTCTAAAAACTTTTAAATCTTATTAAAATGGTCACTCTCAGAAGCAAATATCTATTGCTTCTTGGCCTTTTGGCTAAGATCAAGTGTAGAAGCAAATATCTATTCACATCAAACTTTAGAATGCAAATCTGGTATGAACTTCTGCATATGATTTTGTCACCTAATTTGTTTAAAAATTCTAATTACAGCAACAGTTTTCAATGGCAGGCAGGTTCCTAAGAACTGAAGAAAAACATCAGGGCCTTGTTTTGTTCAATGAAACTAGAGACTCCTACAAGGGGAAAAAGTTTATAATACTAATTAATACGTACAGAGTTTTTAAAATCCAACAGTACTGCAAAGTTTATAACAAAATCCAAGCCATTTTTTGAATGGGTAAACTGTAGTACAGCCATACCATAGAATATTATTCAGCAATTAAAAAAAAAACTATTGATATCTGCAACAAATGTGAATGGATCCAAAAGCATTTCGCTGAATGAAAAAACCCAAACCCAAAAGTTTATATGCTATATGATTCCACTTATATAATGTTCTCAAAATGACAAACTTACAGGGATACAGAACCAAATTAGGGGTTGCCAGAGGTCAGAGTTGGAGAGAGGGTGTAACTATAAAGGGGTAGCATAAGAGAATTTCTTTGTGGTGATAGAAGAGTTCTATATCCTGATTGTGGTGGGAGTTACATGAATCTATACATACAATAAAATATCACAGAACCATGTAATAAAAAAAAGATAAAGTGCATGTAAAAACTGATAAAATACAAGAAAGGTCAATAATTTAGTTATTAGTATTGTACTCACGTCAGTTTCCTGGTTCTCATAATGTACTAAAGTTATGTAAGATGTTATCATTGAAGGAGGCTGAGTAGAGTACCTGGGAACTCACTGTACGATTTTTTGTGACATCTTGTAAATCTAAAATTATTTCATAATGAAAATAATTCATATTTTCATTGAATTATATAACAAAAGGAGCAATAAAGTGGAGACAAAAAAACACACAAAACTGTAATAAATTCAGTAACATAAAAAATGTATCCATAAAATAAGGACAGGAATGCTGCAATTTTAAAAAAATTAAAGAATAAGAAAAAGTTCTGAGAAATGCAAAATAATAGCAGAAATTTTTACAAAGTTACTAGAAGGGTTGAAAGAAAATACTGAATATATCCTTAAAAGAACAAAAATGCAAAGAAATGGAAAATAAGACAGCATTAAAAAAGAGAACTAATGAAGGAGGTCAACATTCAATTAATATCTGTTCTAGAGAGAACAGAGAAAATAGAGGGGAGCACATTTTCAAGGAAATAATATAAGAAAAATTTCCAGAAGTAGCTGATATAAGTAGCACTCATATCAGAAAACTGTTGACAAATACACAAAACTGTAATATAAAAAACTATATATAGCTCTGTAAAAAACTATATGTCTCCATAAAAGGCTATATATATGTTTTTGTCCATGTTTCCTGGCTCGTAACTCCTACTGCCCTTGTTATAATGTTGGGGGCACTTTAGGCCTCAGAAAACAGAATCTCTCTCTCTGACCTTCACCTGCCCTCTTTTCATGGCTCCTTTTTCTCTCCAAGGCAGGCCTTAGAAACTAAAAATACATTCTACTCTTCCCCTGCCTTCCTGTAATGGAGCTGACCATAAAGAAATCCCCTGACCTACTTTGCTTATAGGCCATAGGCCCCTCATTTCAGAAGGTGTCCTGTCCCATACCCTGGAGTTTGAGTGTGTTTTTTTTCCACTGACAATACTCCTATCCATTTGAATTAGTCAGACCTCAATAAAGAAGCAATATTTTAAATCCTATTTTTATTCTGGGAGAAAAAATTAGCTGATTTTTTTACTATTCTAACAAATACCAGATCCTCTGTTTCGGTTTTTTAAACTAAAGCTTTTAAATGACTTTATATTAATATATTTTTGAAGCAACTGATTTGCTTTTTATAAGCATCGTTAATGTGTTAAGTCAGGATTTGGCAAACTATGGCTCATGGGCCAAATTCTACCCATTGCCTGATTTTGTAAATAAAGTATTATTGGAACACAGCCATGTCTATTCATGATTACTGTTCATGGCTGTTTTCATGCTACAATGACAAAGTTGAGTGGTTAGGACAGAGACTGTGGCCCACATAGCCAAAAATATTCACTATCCAGCCCTATACAGAAAAAGTTTGCTGACCCCTGTATTAAATGTCAACAACTATAATATAAAAAATGCTATCAAACTTCTAAATAGATTTAATAACAATTTATCTCTCATTTCCTTTTTTTGGTCAATTAGCCTTCTATAAACTTTCTGCTCTTCTGCTTAATATATGGTCAGTTTCCCAAGGAATAAATGCTTAATTATGGAAAAGGGAAGTTCTCAACTGAAGAATTAGTTAAATTCTCAAAGATCACCTGTAAGTCTGTTGTCGGATATATTTTTCCCATAAAAATATTTTAAATGATACTTAAATCCCAGATTACCCCCACAAAGACAACTTCAGCAATAAATATGTATAGCCTAAAAATAGTTTTAATACTATTTCTAAATCCTGACATCTTTCTCTTCTTCCTAAAATCCCATTGCAGCAGCAGCAGCAGCGCCTAAGAGTATCTTTTCAAATTTCAACTGAAGTCACATGAAGACCCAGATACTAACATATGGTGATAAATGTTATAAGGAAAAATAAAGGTAATAAAAAAAGAGTGCCACCGCTTTGAATGGTCAAAGTAGAACTCTCTGAGGGGGAAGTGTCTAAACAAAGACCTAAAAACGTAAGAAATAGAACTATGAAATATAGAAGGGAATAGTAAATGCAAAGGCCCTGTGGTAAGAGTTATCCTTGGCTTTTTCAAGACATTCAAGAAGCCCAGGGTTGCTGGAGCACAGAAAATAAGAACAACCATGTTAAAAAGGTAGAGCTTAGTTAGGCAAGACTAGAACAAGATTATGACAGGCATTGAAGGAATGTTTAAAGGGTTTTGGCTTTTGTTTGAGTGAAATGGGTAGCACTGAAGTGTGAATTAAATGACGTAATTTACATTTTAACAGGATCACTCTAGCTGCAAAGCAAACAATGGGAGAATGGGAGAAAGGAGACAAAGGTAAAACCAGGAGACCATTTCAGATGTTACTGTAAATAATCAGGCGAAAGCTGAAAGTGACTTGGACCAGTGTTATGGCAGAGTTACGTGGTAGAGTGGACTAGACTATATATTTTGAAGAATATGCCTCTGAAATTTACTGATGGATGAAATGTAGGAGGTGAGAGAAAAAGAAGAGTTAAGGATGACTCCATGATTTTGTCCTGAGCAACTGGAAGAATGGAAGTTCCATTTACTGAATGCAAGTGAAAGTGAAAGGACTAGGTTTAGAAATGTAGGTATATCTTAGACATGTTAAAAGTGAGATGCTTATTACACATCTGTGTATATGTAAGTCTGTGTATACTTATGGATACATAAGTCTAAAGTTCAGGGGAAAAGTCTAGGCTAGAAATACAAATTTCGGAGTTGGCAGTCACTACATACTTAGTATTCTCAGCAACTTCCTAGCATGAAAAATTTTTTAAAAATAGCTAGCCACTATTAAAAATTGTTCAAAGCTAAATTAATGGTTGCACAGGTTTATTGTGTATCTACTGAATAGTCATTCATTCAACAAATATTTACTAAATAACTACACTGTGCCAGTTACTGTTCTTGGTACTGTTAATGATTGAGAACAATATTATAATGCATACACAACCAATATTTTTCAAGCAATGCTTTTAAAAAATATAATTTTTTTAAACTTTTGGAGTATAAAAGATATGAAGTACAAATACAAGACTCAGTTTTTAAAATATTTATCAAATGATTGTGAATATTTTAATAAATTACTTTCACAAGACAGATTTTGATAGTCTCGCTCTGTCGCCCAGGCTGGAGTGCAGTGGCGCACTCTCGGCTCACTGCAACCTCCACCTCCCAGGTTCAGGCAATTCTCCTGCCTCAGACTCCCAAGTAGCTGGGACTACAGGTGCCTGCCACCACACCTGGCTAATTTTTTGTATTTTTAGTAGAGATGGGTTTCACCATGTTGGCCAGGCTGATCTTGAACTCCTGACCTTGTGATCTGCCTGCCTCGGCCTCCCAAAGTGCTGGAATTACAGGCGTGAGCCACCACGCCCGGCCACAAAACAGATTTCTAAAGACAAATCACAGCCATCCCACAATCACTCCTTCCAAATGACCTTTGAAAACACAACCTTTTTCTATTAAATTCTCCCCACTATGCCTTTTATTCAATCCTAAGTATCAAAAATAAAAATCTATACTGTAATTAGACTGATGAAATTAAAGACTAAAATGATTTCTATCAGAGGCCCTTTGATGTTATTGTAATTCAGTATGTCTAACTATCCTAAGAAATATCCACAGAAACACAGAACCTAAGTTTAGGAAAAACTGTTTAGAAAATCTAGTCCAAACATGTATCTAATTCCTGAATCTTCATCTACAAAGTGTCCTCGAATTGGCTGACCTACTGCTAATGACAGGGAAGGGGAACTTTTCCCTTTAAAAGTTTCATTCTAGCCTTGGAAAGTTCTGACTCTTAGGCTGTTTTTCCTTCACATTAAGGCTTAAACCTTTTTACCTAACCCAAGTTCAGGGTTTTGGGCCAGGTAATTCTTTGTTGTAAAAAGGCTGTTGTTTGCATTGTAGAATGTTTAGCAGCATCCCTAGCCTCCATCCACCAGTATGCTAGTACTTCCTCCAGCTCCCCAACCAAAATGTCCCTAGACATTGCCAACACCCACTAGAAGACATAATCATCTGGGCTGAAAACCACTGCCTTAGTTCTACCTGCTGGGACCAAATAACAACAACAACAATGCGAACACTTGGGCATTTAGAACAATACTGAGCACCTTAATCCTCAAAACCACCCCAATTTTACAGCTGAGAAAATGGAAACTTAGCGGCTAAGCAAGGTGCCTGAAATCATATAGTTAATTAAGTGCTGGATCTGAACCAAGGGGTTCAATTTCAGAGCTCATGCTCCTAACTTCAAACAAGTCTGACTCAAACCATGTCTAATTACTTTTCAAAGGAAAAGTCTTAAAATATCTGAAGATAGCTCTTATTATGACATTCCTTAATATCCAACCAGAGCTGTCACAAGATTTCTCTGTTTTTTTTTGAGAAAGAGTCTCACTCTGTCATCCAGACTGGAGTGCAGTGGCGTGATCTCTGCTCACTGCAACCTCTGCCTCCTGGGTTCAAGCAATTCTCGTGCCTCAGCCTCTCAACATAGCTGGGATTACAGGCGTGCACCAACATGCCCAGCTAATTTTTGTAATTTTAGTAGAGACAGGGTTTCACCATGTTGTCCAGGCTGGTCTCAAACTCCTGGCCTCAAGCAACCCGCACGCCTCAGCTTCCCCAAGTGCTGGGATTACAGGCGTGAGACATCACGCCCAGCCCAAGATTTCTCTTAAATTCTTAGTTCCTTAAACTGGCAACATACCCAACTTTTTCACATCCTTCCTCTTGAATATTCACAGAACTAAAAATAACAATACTTTGGTATTCAGCAGTTACTCTACTCTTCCATTAATTGAAATGGATTTTTTAGGGGAGGGGTGAGGAAGAAGATGGGAAGCCATATGATACTTTTGTCTTATATCTAGTTTACTGCCAACAGCCACCCTCAGGTCTTTTTCATATGTGATGCTGTAGAGCGATGCTACCTTAATGTATCCTGGTGTTTTTTAGGCCTTACATATATACTCCCAAAAAGTTCATCTAAACTTAGTACAACAACTCAGCCTCAAAAATTATTTTGGAACATTTAGTATATTACCCAAAGCAAAGAACAAAGCCACCTTTCAAGATCAATGAATCTCTGGATGGGATCATTTAAAGTCAGAATTGTGTAAATTAATTATCACAATCAGCTGGTAGCTAACTTATTGTTCCCCCACTTTACTCTCAAGGATATCAAAATGACTTTACCAAAAGCTAAGCTTAAGTCCAAATATATTATAGCGTTGCTAGTCTACTAACTGCATCAGAGAAAAATCTAAGTTGGTCTGGCAATCTAATTTTAACAAACCTATCCCTAATCATTTTTAAACTGTTTTTCTTCAAGTCAGTCATAAATGAGTCCTTTCCATTTTTAATTCCAAAATCTCCTACCTGCTTCAAAATCAAGCCCAGAATCTCCCATCTTTTAGCAGTTCTTTTATTCTCAGAAAACCTTCAAAGATCACAAATAATAACAATAATTTTAAGGTGTTGCATGCAGTTCCTTTTATAAGATGTTTTAAATGGCCCAGAAGACAACTCATTTAATCAGATGAATTCTTTACCTCTATACTCATATTGGCCTTCATGTCCTTCCTATCAATGTTTGTCTTATTTCTATTTCTGTTAGAGGTGGTAGTGGTTTCCTCTTCCACTTTGACAAAGAAGCTTCAAGAGCTAGATTTTTCCCTCTCATTGTCATGCATTATTATTATACTTTCCTTGATTATTATTCTTACATTAAATGTAATATAAGAAACCTTTTTTGGTGGTCTTGACATTTTTCTGAAGTCTCAGTTCATCTGAGCTCTAGTTTTCCTGATTTTTTGTTTATTTTTTATACTTTATGATGGTTATCTTAGCTATTTGCTTTGCTTTAAAAGTAATGTGTATGTCTTTAAAGGGTTCACTGTGTAATCACACTGAAGATCTTTCTCTGTCAGAAAAATAATCAATATTACATTTTTACTTAACTCCTTAAGACATTCTTTCTTTTTGGAGATATTTATGCTGTGAAATCATGCTGATCTTTTCTCTGATCAGTTATCAGAAAAATGCGGATTGGTGAAATAAATTACAAAATATGTATGTACAAAACACTATGTAATCCTTTAAAATTATGCAATAGAAGATCACTTCATGACTAAAGGATGTTCATAATTAAATTTCTTTTTTTTCAAGGATAGGTTACATAACAGCACTACAGTAATGCCTTTTTAAGTGCATATGTGTTATTTTAGATTTTTATATATACACAGAAAAAACAGGTTATATGCCAAAATATTTATTTTTCTTTTTATAATAGAAAAACTTATTTTCATTTTCTTCTATATGTTTTTCTGGGCTTACCAAATTTACCTAATGAGTATGTACCATTTTCACAATAAGACAGACATTATTATCTTAAAAGAATCAGCACAACCTGGGGAAAGTATCCTATAAAGTATAAGATTAAAAGGTCTAGCTTGAGATTCTGCTTTTATAACTCTATTTAATAAGCTGACAAAAACATTTCTGGACCCTAAACCACAAAAAAAGTCAATACAAGATACCACGAACAGAACTATATAAATAAGTCATGACAACCATAAGATGACCATTCAAACTTTTAGAAATTAAATGGGGGAAATTAAAAGAACTTCCTGACACTTCAAGGAAAGAATGTTATAAACCATATAAATACATTAAAAACAAAGTAAATGTAAAATGCTGTATATCCCAAATGTCCAAAAAAATTAAGGATCAGCAGGATAAGGGTAATAAAGAGAGAAGGAAAAAAACCATTAGTCAAAATGTTTTAAATTGTTGTAAAATTTCCTAATAAAGTGAGCAATATCACCTGTTAAGATTTAAAATCTCACAGGAAAAACCATTATCCTTATTTAGAAATTTTGTCTGGTTGAAAATTTATACTCACTAATCCAAAACCTCAGTGGCAGTAGTTAGATCATCTATTCAGTTTCTGGGTTCTTTGACTTGAAAGAAAGTCACTTTAACCAATTAGAGCTTTATCATTTAAGTACATTCAGTTCTGTAAAGTACTATATATAAATGGTTCAGTTAATCCTTAGTTCATTCAAATGTAAAAATATATTCAATTCCTTCTTTAGAAAATTTCAATTATTTCATTTATCTTGAATTTTATTTTCAAATAAATCAAAAATATTATTGCAAAATTACTCTCTCCTTAAATAAATTTTTAATGATATTCATAAAAAACAGTACCAAACACAATGCATTCTCAAGTTACTTGAAATAAAACACAAAGCATCAAACCCACGAAAACAATAAAAACATATTTCATTTATTTTAAGTAACTTGCCATTAAACTGAAAATCAGACATATGATCTTTATCTTTAGTCATGTAAATGATCATAATGAAACAAAGGTCACACATATCCCTCTCAATCTTTCTTTCAAATTCATATATGTAAATAATTATAACCCAGAGATATCATGTAATAAATGAATACACACCTTCCTTTAGTATATGCCAAGGTAGACACACAAAAACAAGAAAAAAATTTTGAAATCAGAGTATAAAGGGACTCTGCTCTTTCAAACAATGAAGCACTGAAAGCCAGGTCAGCATCCTTGGGCATTACTAGGAAACTTTAGCACATCTGATATTTCCATCATCTTCAAGATTCCTCTGAACAATCAGAAAATTCCCCAGTCTCCCCCTACCTCACCTGTCCATAGACTTCCTTTAGCTTCCTCCCTCTACTGTGTAATAATGCTGTTGCAATATTTAGGCTTTAAATATTCAGAGATACAACCCCCTCTACATATTAATTCAGTTTATTTTCTCACAGACACTGACTCAGCCGTGGGTTGTGCAGCACTGACGTTTCTAACAAAACAGCATCGTGTGAGCTGTGATCGTCCCATTTCTCCATCTCTGAGCAGTGATTGGATATTGTAATTGATAGACAGGCATAACAAAACGCAGGAGTTGAGGGCTTAGAGATATGTAGATATGTTGCCAAATGCCATCTGTAAAGCTAATTCTAGCTCTGCCAGCTTGCCAGGGTTTAGAAAACTGGGATACAGCTAACTTTCTTTTTCCTTTCAAAATTTTATTGTGTATCCATTCTGGGCAGTAAAGCTCTTTAAAATCAAAGAGAAAATATTATTGTACTTAATTAAGAATCCACTCAAGAACTATTCTTTAAAGCAACCAAACTTTTGCATTTCTAAACTGCTGCTAGGGCTATGAAGTGACTTAAAAGGGAAACTGGAATGTTCAGACTTTATGCAGTCTCAGGAGAAACGAGCATGCGTACTTCCATGTGGGAATGAAACCTTGCGGCATAGTCTATACTGAATGTATGATGCATTTATCTTTAGTAACCTGAGTGGACTGCAGACCTGAGTTTTATATGGTCATATTCCACCCAATTCAAATATTTAAGAGCTTTTAGTGTATCATCTATCTAGACATTTTAACCTTCTTATACAGAAAAAGTGCTTTTCTTTTTCTTTTTTAAATAGCAAAAGCTCCTCTAATTCATAATTTAAAAAGAAGTTGTCACAAATTCAGGCCAAATACATTTCAACTGAAATGATCTTTAACATCTTCAGCAGGCTACCAAACTGTTCTATATGGATATCATACAAGTATATAACTATGCAACTCTATATATAACTATACAACTACTCACCCAGAAACAAGTTGAGCAACTTATAAACAAATTCAGTAATTTTTAAACTAATTTTAAACCAATTCAGTAAATTTTAAACAAATTCAATCATATAGACCTGCTGAGAGATCATAGGCACCCTAAAAGTCCATCCATGTTCAGACTAGTTTCTTTAACTGTAAACAAATTTTTAAAAGAGATATACATCTACATTCAAAAGAAAGTTTAAAAAAGAAAGCACCTTTTACTGAATATTCCCAACACAAAAAAAGATAAATATTTGAGATGATGGACATGCTACTTACTCTGATACGATCACTATATGATACACATATCACTAGGTACCCCATAAATATACACAATTATGTGCCAATTTTTAAAATTTTTTAATCTTTTGAAAAAAGAAGGAAAATGATCAGAAATAAAATATAATAATTAAATGATTTTTTAAAGTACCTAAAGTTGTTTAGATAGAACAGAAACCATAAGGCAATGCTCTCAAACTCTCAAACCTTAATGGTAAATACACATTAGATAGTAACTGTTGCTGTTACTTTTATAAATCAAATAATTTATTTTTATCCTAGCCAGCAAGGAAAAGTGGGGAAAAAAATCAAAAGTACAAGACGAGAAAAAGTCAGGCTATTCCAAAACATAAATAGAACAAAACAAAACACAAAATTTCAACAAGACAAAATTTAGATTAGCTATAAAAACTAAACAATAAAGTATGCTTATTTCCTTACGTTTATAGATTTAAATCCCCAACTGTTCAAGGTGACAATGTGCCCAATTTAAAAACCATATTTCTCAGTCTCCCTGATCCAGAGATGGCCATATGACATGATTCTAGCCAATGACTGGTTTATAAGCAGATATCTGCTGGAAATTTCTGAGAAATTTAATTTCCTGATATAAATGAAGCCCTTTTCCATTTTTTCCTTCTTGTCTAGAAAGTGAAAATGATATCTGGAACTACAATATCCACCTTGTGATAATGAGAGGAAAGCCAAGAAAATAAGAGATTTCTGACCCTAACATCCTTAAGCCACTAAACATGCACCCGCCATTGCCTATCTCTGGATTTCTTATTTAAAAGAATAATAAACCCCTAACATCAGCCAGTGTTTAGTCTTGTTTTCTTTTACTCAAACATACCTAAATAAAATACACAATATTCAAAAAAGGAATGAGAGTAGGAGAGGCATGATGAAACAAAATCAGCCATGAGTTGGTAACTTCAAGCTGGGTGATGAATACCAGGGGTTCATTACATCTGTTCTATTTTGCATGTATTTAAAATATACCATAATAAATTATGTAAAATTTGAAAAAGAAAACAATGAGAAACTTGTTTATAAATCCCAGCTCTGCTATTTACAAGTTGGATGGTCCTGGGCAAGTTTACTCATTTCGTTTTTTTTCATTTGCCACATGGGAACAATAATACTATCCACAGAGCTCCAACTTCAGATCCAGTCAAGGTAATCTGAAGATCCATGCCAGAAATGTCCTCCATCTACCTAATACTCTAATCATCCAGGATTACCTCAAGTCTCATTTTCACCTACTCAAGCTGATAATTATTCTTTCTCTGAACTCTTATTTTATAACTCATTACCATAGTTTAAGTGCCTTATTGTCCTCTAATAGTTCCATGCGTGGATACTAAACTATTCCATAACAGTGCACTTTTGAATCTCTCCTGAACTGAAGGCAAGTTCTCATTAATACTTGCTATTACTTTTTAAAACCTCTCAGCCAATTAATTTACTATGAATTCAAAAAGTAACACTTTTAAAAAGTCAAATCATACTTTTTAAGTGTCCTAAGTTATATGTTCCTAAGCATATGGGACAGGAGGTCTCTAAAAGTTCTTCCTTGGGCAGATTTTCCATGAATGAGGCTAAAATAAACTCATTTAACAGACTTCATAGTCTTTGCATTAAAAAAAAATCAATTCACTGGTATTTATTTTCTATTTTACTTTAATGTTTTTCACTCAAATAACCCTAAATACTGCTGCAGTCTACCTAAAAAGAGCTCCAATTAGCTGAGTGTGGTGGTAGCGGTGCATGCCTGTAGTCCTAGGTACTCCAGAGGCTGAGGAGGGAGGATTGCTTAAGCCTAGGAAGCAGAGGTTGCAGTAAGTTGAGATGGTGCCACTGCGCTCCAGCCTGACAGAGTGAGAACCCATTTCAAAAAAAAAAAAGAATAAAAACAGCACTAAAAAGTTACTGATGTTACAGCTATCAAGAAGAGCTTTGAGTATTTGTTACTGACAATGAAACAACAATAATGAAAAATGCACTGTTCATTTTTATTAATTTTTCCCACTGTATGTATGTAGCTTTTATAAAATAATGGCTTATTTTCTCCCTTGTCACCTCTTCATTATATAGTGCAGTATTATACCTTAGCAATCTGTTTTTCAGCAGAAAAACAGCAAGAACTAGGATGAATACTATATAATTCACTTGAAAAAAATACACATATATATAACATAGTAGATATAAATACAGCCCCACATTTAATGTGATAAAACCAATACTTTTTTTTTTTTGAGACAGCGTCTCACTCTGTCACCCAGGCTGGAATGCAGTGGCCTACTGTAACCTCCACCTACCAGGTTCAAGGAATTCTCGTGCCTCAACCTCCCAAGCAGCTGGAATTACAGGTGCATGCCACCATTCCCGGCTAATTTTTGTATTTTTAGTACAGACAGGGTTTTGTCACGTTGGCCAGGCTGGTCTCAAACTCCTGACCTCAAGTGATCTGCCTGCCTCGGCCTCCCAAAGTGTTGGGATTACAGACATGAACCACCACACCTGGCAAAACCAACATATCTTTAATCTAAATGACAAAATAATATCCATGAAATAGAGAAAAAGAACAAAAGCCCCAGTTTGGATGCTGACACACACACACACAGAATGAACAAACATAAAAAACCAAAAAAACACTCATACAATTTGGCATGGACTTATAAATTATTAAAAAGTCAACTTAATATTAACATTTTAGACCTCATAACATTAAAAGTCCACAATAAAAGTGAACATATTATCAGGAGACTTAAAAAGTACCAATCACTCAAATTTTCTAGCTATAGTATATAAAGTACCTGAACTATTTCTTTAAAATCACAAAAACGATTTCATTATCACAATATTATGGCTTTTTTTTTTCAAGAAAGCTGGTATTTGTTATCAGTGGTAAGAAGAAATTTATATTCAAGTAAGTTAAATGCTCAATAATATCCCCTAAGTAATATTCATAGAAGATATTGCTTTATGAAAACATGCTTACATACCTGTAATATGTGAGGTTTCTGAGTTGTCAATTAACATCTTAAAATTTCAGATCAAAGTGTACAAAATGAGGCATTCCTCATTAAGTTACACAGCAGAAAATGAAAGTTTTAAAAATAATAGATAGATGGCCTGAAACTTGAAATGAATTTTATTTCACGCAGCAAACTTTAAATAAACCAGTAGAGTCATTCCAGAAAGATTAATTTTTCTCATTAATGAGAAGGATGACAACACAATATAAACTCAGATAGTTAAAAACGTATGAAGCAAACACTGACATAAATCTATATATTATCCTGTGTAAGGTATACAATGTATTTAGAGCACAAAATAAATTCCTATTAGAGAGTTTTAAACACAAAGAACTAACCTGTCATGTGAGAGTCCCCAATTAAGTAAATTATAGCATTTATTCATGGGGTCAACTAGGGAGATTTTCACCATCTTTAGAGACAGAAATAAATATTCAAATACAAATATTAAAAAATTAAAAAGAAATGTTTCTCCAAAAGTTATCTATGGAGACAGATAAACATTCACAACGTTTTGTAAAACAGCCCCCATTCTCTGACAGGAATTGCCACAACCAAATGCAGTAGTATTCTTTACAATCAGTTTTTAGCAGAGCTTTCATATGCGAAATACATATTTTCTACCTACCTTGAATGTTTATAAAGTTTACGAGGTCTACTATGCAATTTCCGATCCCAATTCTCTGGATCACTGGAGTTACCATCATAGGGATGAGGCCGTCCTGCCATCCCACTCCAAGCTTCCTCACACTACTGCTCTGAAAGCACACATGTAGCACCCATAACCTACATAAAAGAGCAGTGTTGACCTTTAAATCTATTCCACGCAGAATAAAATAGTCATAGAATTGTACAGACTTGATATTATTGTGACATATTTTTAAAGTGATGAATAGATTATAAAATACTAACCATACAAATGCCACAAATCAAATTAAAATAAACACCAGGGGTCTTCTTAAGTACTTTTCATTTGATTTGTCTATTAAATCTGCTACCACTATGTAACAGTTTAATAATGTGCTCTTTATATTTAGTAAATATACTTAAACAACTACTGTATAGGTACCTCATGTATCCAAATATCATTATGGTACCAAAAAGGCAAAAACAATTCCACAGAATGATTATTTTAGACACAATTTCACTTGGAACATATTTCCTAATTACTAAAAGTTTAAGATGCTTAGGAAAGCATGTAGTAAAACCAAATAACCAATGTTATTATTTCTTTAATGATTATTCCTTTAACGAAGTTAAAAACTCTGAATAGAAATTTAATTTTTACTCAAAAATAAATGTACGTAAGCATTCTGATGTTTCCTTATAGTGCAATAACCATAAAAATGTTTTATCAATGCAATTCATATACTTTATGCCTTTTCACATGTGAGGCTTGTAACTGCTATTTCTACTATAGTCAAATGAAATGATAAGGAAACTCACTTAACAACAGCTTTACAGAATATCTGAGCTAAACACTTTTAAACCACATTCACTATCCAATTTAATGTTCACAATCACCTTGCAAGGTAGGCATTATGATCCCCATATACAGAATAGAAAGCCTCAGAATTTTAGTAACTTTGCCAAAGATCACAATGCTGCTAAATGGTATTATAAAGAACAAGGATAATTCACTATATAGAATAAAATCTTGATCTCGAAAAATGCTGAGACTAAAGTATTTGTTTGGAAATAGATGATTTGACTTTCAGAAATTGCAGACACCAAAAGAGAAACCAAATGAAGTTAAACAATTTAAACAAAGCTATACAATTTGGACTGGAACTCAGGTTTCCTGACACCCACTCCTGTATACCTTCTATATACTTTTCCAAGCTGGATTTGATGGTGGGAGGTGAGGTAGAGTTGTACATAAAAGTCAAAGGGAAATTCCAAAACTGGGAAAATACTATACTTTCCTGAGTTTTACACAGTATTGCAGTACAAGTTCACAAAGAATGCCAAAGATAAACTCATTAAAATTGTGTTCATATCAAAAATCAGTAGAAAATACATTTTCATTTTAGAGAAACAATTTTACTATAATTTTTTTCTCATAGTACCTTCTTTCTAAAAACAGCTGAAAATTTTATAATAAATGAGCATTTAATATAATAAATACATAAATAAGTAGGTAGATCCATGAGTGAAATAAAAATAAAAGTGGGGGAAAGGAAGAACTGCTGATTCAAATTCTTCCTTTGAATCTATGACTGATGCAAATTCCTGAGCAAATGCCACATAGTTTATTTGCTGAATGCTCCTGGAAAAGGAAGCCTATTTCCTATTTGTTATTTCCTTAAGAATGACTGTATCATAAATCAATCAGGTATTAGATGACTATAAAAACCATGAATTATTTTGAACATAAAAATATGTCAATGTCATCTGAATTTTAGATTATAAAAATAAAAATGTATTCATTACAAAAAAACTTATAAAAAACCTCAATTTTACTTTATGACTAGTTATCTGTACTGAAGAGATGAGGTCAAAGAGAAGAAAATGGGGAGAATGAACAAATCGGAGAAGCAAAGGAGAAAGAAAAAAAGTAGTCACCAAAAGAGATGCAAAAGGTATAAAGATAGTAGAAAGAAACAATGTGAGAAAATAAAGATGTAGAGATTTGGCAGATTCTGTAGAATGAGATTTAGAACAATTTTTCCTTACTCTACATATCCTCAAGTATAAACTATTTCAGGGATTAACCTTTCTTTCTCTTCTTTTCTTTCTTCTTTCTCTTTATCTCTCCTCTTCTTTTTCTTTTTCTTTCTCTCTTTCTTTGAACTCTAGGCCTCAAGTGATCCTCCCACCTCAGCCTCCCAAAGTGGTAGGATTACAGGCATGAGCCATGGCACCCAGCCGTTTCTTTCGAGACAGGGTCTCAATCTGTCACCCAGAGTGGAGTACAATGGTGCAATCATAACTCACTGCAGTCTCCAACTCCTGGGCTCAAATGATCCTCCCACTTCAGCCTCCAGAATATCTGGGAATACAGACTAACATATCTTTGAAGAGCATTTTATCTCTTCCTTTTCCTTAACTATCAGATACTCTTCTGAATAGGATAGCCACAGATGTCCACTGAGGGAAGAATGATCCTAAACCATGGGTGGCAGTGACCAAAAAGCTAACTACAAGGAATAGATAAGCAAGGCAAATTCAGATTCAGATTTTCTACCACTATTACACTGGTTGGTAAACAGGTGGCAGGAGCGAAATTCCCATGTGTTTTCCTAATCAATCCTATTTAATCAGCATGTATTTCACAGCAAGCCATAAGAAAGTAATGAATGTTCAGATAAAGGTGCTCAAAAATCAGCTGAAAAATCATATTCACATTTCATTTGTCAATAAAACTTAGGTATTACCACATGAAAGATTTTTCCCCAGCCCTCACATCCAGTAGTCATAGGGTTACAAGCACACTAAAAAATAAGCGGAATTCAAATTGAGATGTTTGGAAAAACTATGCCTATGTTTGCCTACACAAACATAACGTGTTTTATGTTTGTGTAAAATACACAAAAATGCTAGTGTTTTTAAATTTTATCAATAAGCTAAGTTATAACTGTAAATGGTTGAAAGGCCACTGGCACATATTATATACTATTTTGTAATATCTGATAATCTCTTCAGTTTTAACCATCCTCTGTGCCATTCTCAGTGACAGTATATTTGTCGGATTTCATTCATTCATTCAAGCACTTATAAGCATTTACTACAATATGCCAATATGCAAGGTGCTGAAGTAAGTTAGACATTATTCCTGTACTCAAAAAACTCATCTTAGAAAGGGGAAAAAAGACACCTCTCATGATTCCATATCCTGTATCTCTCTCCCACCTGGAGCACTTCTATTCAAGTTGTACTGTTGCCTCATCCTTCACCCTCATTAAATCTTGGTGTTTATTAGGATTCCATCTTCCTCTCTTCTCTACTTGCTGGTTTGAGAGAGACAGCAAACAAAATAGAAATGAGGACCAAACCCTTGCAAATATCAGGATTTATACACTACATAGAATCTATGTTTGCATTATCACTATCTGAATTATTTAACAGGCACCCCAACTTCAATAGTCAGTCTCATCATCTTGGCCTCTCACATCAATTAATGTCATTTCTATTCATCAAGCTAAAAACTTTGAAGTCATCCTTGACTTCTTTTTCATTTCCCCACACCAAGTCTACTTTAGAATCTTCTTTTGACTCCTTCTCTCCCTTTCATTCATACGAGTGCTGCCTTTATTTAAGCCCTTATCATCTATCAGTAAAAATGTTGGCTGACCTCCTTACCACCATTCAATTCCTTACTAGCTTTGCTGTAATCAGAACGGCCTTCCTAAAAACTGAATGGCTCCTCGTTTCCTATATCTAAACTCCTTACTATAAAAAGGTCCTTCAGAATCTGGCACTTGAATCCCCAATGTCCAGAAAAACTAAAGTTTATTGTTGTTTGGATCTTGTAATCATCAAAAAATAATTACCAGACAACCGAAAATAAAATTCCTGGAAAATATGTCACTATTCATTACTATGTTTAGGCATGATAGAAATAAATTTAAATTCAAAATAATCTAGAAATCATCTGTACAGAGGCTGGAACCACTGGGCCTGTTGGCTAGGGGCAGGCATTCAGGAGACTGCCAAAAGTTAACTGAGAAAAAGATGATGCAATTATTTCCCCTTCTCTTGGACATTCTGTCTAAACAGGAGGTGGGGGTTGGGGGATAGGCAGAATCTTCAAGACTATAGTAACAAAATAAATAATTGCTCCTCGGGACACTATTTCCAGGTAGTATCAATTAATGGTAATGATAAATGGAAGAACAAAACAAAACAAAACAAAGACAATGCACAGTGTATGGAGACCACTTATTCTATTTTCACTATCGAAGTTCTAGGAAGTTTATATATTTTCTCCTACTTAAACCTTAAAACAACTCTATATTATTATCCTGTTTCATATATGAGGAAATCTTAAGAGATAAGATTAAAACCCCAGTCTAACAAAAAGCCCATGTTATTTCCAATGCACCAAGCAAGGTATATAAAAATTGGTACTTTTTTCAAGTCCAAAAGAGTTTAAAGGGAAAAAAAAAAAGAATTGATATTTTTGCTTATTACCAACAATGTGCCTTTTAAACCTCAGCCATCTTGTGGCTTCATCCAGCCTACTAAAATCTTACTCTTAGTCCATTTTCTGTTGCTGTAACAGAATATCTGACACTGCGTAGTTTATAATGAACAGGAATTTATTTAGCTCATGGTTCTGGAGGCTGGAAAGTCCAAAAGCATGTCAGTAGCATGAGGCAAGGGCCTTCATGCTGTGTCATCTATGATAGAAGGTAGAAAGGCAAGAGAACTTGGGTGAGAGAAAACACTAAGGGCTGGGCTCACTTTTATAATAACCAGCTCTCTTGATAACTGACCAACTCCTGAAATTAACTACATTAATCCATTTATTAGGGCTCCACCCTCATGACTCAATCAGCATTTATTAGGCCCTTCCCAGCACTTTTACAATGGGGATAAAGTTTCCAACACATGGATTTTTGGGGACACAGTCAAACCATAGCACACTCTAAATAGTGTCATTACACAACAGCTTTTCTATTAATGTAAAATTATTTTTATCTCTCAAACTTTGTAGACAAAATATTTCAAGTGTAGCCATTACTAGAAAGACCTGATAGATAAGAGAGGGGGAATAGTGAAGAGGATAGAATTACATAGTGATCCCAGAATCAGACGACAAGGGCTGCCTTCAGCTACAGAGGTCCAAATATCCAAATATATGGATGGTAAAGACTGACCAGGAGGAAGCCAAGACGACACCTGAGACAGTTAAATGTCCTAAGATGACATTCTCTATGTGGAAAGGACCAAAAGGAGGAGAGAGAGCCCCAAAGAGCAAATTAATCACTTGATACTGGCAGACAAAAGAGTAAATACCTGAATGTTCACAAAGTTAATTTTGTACTAACGACAAAGAAGGCCTTCAGAGGGGCCTACATGGAGGAAGAATTCTAAGGGCCAGAAACTGAAAGATCACTTGATGAGCTTCTATCCTTAGGAATAAAAGAGAGACTGTATCACTAAAAACACAGAAAATGTATGATATGGATATAACCACCATGAAAATGTTTATAATTTCCTCTTGATTGCTAATCTACTCTAAATTCTCCCATGGAGTGTAACATAAATCCAAAAATTAATTGACAGAGAACTGAACAGTCATTTTTAGCAACATCAAGAACTGAAAGAGCTTGAGGGATTGCAAACTATCACAGATAATAATGTAGGACAAAGAACAGGTGGAAGCAACTTTTAAAAGAAAAGGAGATCAGACAGACGGAAAGAAACTTCTCGCAAACACAGCCAGGTGAAGTGATCATGCACACCTCCAACAGAAAGCAATTATTTAAATCTAGGTATACTATAAAAAACAACTATTTAAAAGCACTTGAAAGTGTCCAAAAGCAGACAGTAGTGAAAGAAGAGCTTACTCTTGAAAAACTACAACTAGAAGCAACAGAATCACGAGTTCAGTTTGAAGTTTTTTTGCTGAGTGGCCTCCCCATCCCTCACAAATATGGTGAAGGAAACCAGGCAGCCACACAGCTCAAAGTGGCAGAGAAAACCTCAGAGCTGAAATTTCAGGTAGATGTAGTGGAAGTGAAAGAAACAAAGAAAAGTGCAGGCCCAAAATCTGAGCATAAACTCTGCTCAAATCCCTGGCTGATAGCTAAAATACACATGTACGGGAGGTAGGGGAGGGACATCAGGTAGCCTGGCAGAAAAAGCAGGCAGAGACCATAGAGAACTCTGCCCTTGAAAGCTGCATGGCATGAGACATGATTTTGATGCTTTCTAAGCTGAATGTATTCCCCAACTGTATACACCTCCAGCAGCAGAAAGCTGAATCCCTTACTGGTTAGGGTATCAGAGGACAAAGACCACCACTAGCAGGTAAAGATTAAGAGGGAATTCCCAGAAGTAAAGAACCCACAGAGAGGGTGAATTCCAAAATGTGAGTACAATCTCTGCCCAAATTCTTGGCTGACCACCAAATTACAGGTGCAGAAAAGCCTTCCCTTTGCCCTGACCCCCAGGAAAACAAGCTAAAAAAGTAAGTAGTTGGAAGAAGTAAGAAATAAGCACAGATGGCAGCTGCTATACACTTCAGGGGAAACAAGTTTGCAGTTTGAATCCAAGCAAGTTAACATTCTCTAAAACAATAACAAAACAACAACAACAAGTCCTCATAAAAATATTACAATGTCCAGGTTTCAACCAAAAATTATAAGACATGCAAAAAATTAAAACAGTAAAAGGCAGAAAACAGAAACTGACTCCAAGTTGGCCCAGATGTTAGATTTAGCAAACAAAGACTTCAAAGCACCTATTATAAATATATTCAAACAATTAAAGAAAAAGCCTATACAAAGAACTAAAAGAAGAGCACTGTCTTGACGACTGACACAAAGGGCATCTCAGTAGAGAGGTGCCAACTGTCAAAAGAAATGGAAATTCAGCTCTAGCTGAAAAGAACAATAACTAGAATGAAAAATTAGATGGGTACAATGGCATATGGAGATAACAAAAAAAACCATCAGGGAACTTGGAAAACAGATCAATAGAAACTACCCAATCCATAGAATAAAGAGCAAGAAAGATTGAAGAAAATTGAAAAGAGATTCAGAGACAGGAGGGACAGTATCTAATAATAAAGGTAGGTAAGTTATTGAATACACACAAAACATGAATGAATCTTAAAAGCATTAGATAAGTGAAAGAAGCCAGACTCAAAGGTTACATACCATATGATTTCATATGTATGAAAGACAAAACTATAAAGACAAAACTATAAAGACAGAGAACAGATCAGCCAGGAGTTAAGGCTGAAGTGATTACACAGGGACAGCACAAAGTAATTTTGGTGAGTGATGAACTATTCTGTACCTTAATTGTGGTAGTGGTAAACACCTGTATGCTTTTATCAAAACTGACAGAACTGTATATCAGAAAGAAATAATTTTATTGCATTTAAATTTTAAAAGAAAAAATCAGCAATGATTTTAATTAATACATAAAAGCAGCATCAAATATATCAGCAAGGCATAATGAAACCACTTTTTGATCAAAAACCCCAATCACACTGTCTCATTACCATAGCAAGCATACTTAATAGCCATCCTTCCACTGCCACAAACGACATACATAAACTTTTGATAAGGAAAACTGGTGAGTTTTCATTTCTACTTCTGCCACAACAGTGAGTAATGAAGACGTTTTAGAATCAGAAAAAAACCTGTATAACTGTGTAAAAGTTTATTAACATTCAAGACCGCAATTTCCTTAAACGTGAAATGAAGAAAATAACACAATTCTCATTATTTAATCTATTATTATTTTAACCATCAAACTGTTAGACAGGATACCTTATATAACACAGTGCTAGGCACAATGCTTACTGTCTTTAGTAGGCAACCTAATATAAATTTTGTGTATATTTTATTAGTTCATTCATGACTAAAAGTTTTAAGATTTTGCTCAGCCCTTGTTTAATTATACATGGTATAATTACACATGGTATAACTACACTAATACACACATATATACATAATGAATACATCTCCTTTCTCTCCCTGACATGATACACAGTATTATTTGTCCTAGAAAAAATCTAGAACCAATCTAAATGTTCATCTAGTTTATCGGTTAAAACTCTGCACAATATATCATGCAACCAGTAAAAATAAGATATATAGATACAGATACAGAAAATATTTCAAAATATATTGTTAAGCTAAAAAGCAAGACACAGATATGCATTATGTAATCCCATATTTACACACAAGAAAAACAAAAACAAAAAAACAGAAAAAAGAAAATTTAAAAATTAAATACACATACACACACACACTCATCCATGCTTGTATATGTTAAGATAAAATGTCTAGAAATATCACATAAAATTAAAACTAGTTGCCTCTGAGAAAATGCTGGAATAAGGAGACTTACTTTTTGTTGTATCCCTTCATACTACTTGAATTTTCTACATATTATTTTCAAAATGATAATATTGAGGAAGGTTTATTAAAAAGTGTTTGGAGGTGATAGTGCTATAGAAATTTTCTTCCTTGTTTAATTTTACTGCTTAAGTGTAGTTTTGTAAATTTTTTTGGATTGCTTAAATATAGTCACTACATATGCATTGATAGAATATGTTTCTGCCACATGTACCCCATTAGACTATAAGATCCTTGAGGGCAAGAACAAAGTATGATTCAGGTTTGTGTCCCCACAGCCTAGCACAATTTGTATGTAAGCTTTTACAAAATGTTAACTACATTAAGAAGAAAGAGGCTGGGTGCGGTGGCTCACACCTGTAATCCCAGCACTTTGGGAGGCCGAGGCAGGTGGATCACGAGGTCAGAAGTTCAAGACCAGCCTGATCAACATGGTGAAACCCCACTGGTACTAAAAATATAAAAATTAGCCAGGCGTGTTGGCGGGCACCTGTAATCCCAGCTACTCAGGAAGCTGAGGCAGAAGAATCGCTTGAACCTGGGAGGTGGAGGTTGCAGTGAGCCAAGATCGCGCCACTGCACTCCAGCCTGGGCAACAGAGCAAGACTCCATCTCAAAAACAAAAACAAAAAAAGAAGAAGAAAGAAACTGAAGGACATTTCACTTAATATAATTTACTAGTGCAGAGGAAATAAGAATTACAAAGATTTATAAGCAGTCTTTAACTTTTAGTTGTCTTAAAAGAATACTGTCATATACCTGTACTCATGTTTTAGTTATTGCAAAGAGCACCAATCATGTGACTCTCACTCTCAAATAAGCAAAAATTATAACAATTCAATTTCTAATGCTCTCAGGAAATACATATCAAGATAGTGGGGATAAAAGACAGAAAATATCACATCCCTGAAAACATTTTTCAAGCTATTACCAAACAAGCCCTAAGTTTCCCCAAAACATTCCTCAAAGATGTGCCTATTTAAATCTCACAGAAGCCCTTTCAATTGTTAAGGCTTGACCTTTTCTGATTTGTTACAGTTAAAACAAGACAAGCTTAGCTGAGAACTTTATTCAGGATATTTTTATAACCAATTGAATTGTAAGTATCTAATTTCACCATATAAAATTAAAGTGGCCAGGTATGGTGGCATGCACCTATAATCCCACCTACTTGGTAGGCTGAGACAGGAGGATTGCTTGAACCCAAGAGTTCAAGGCAAGCCTGGGTAACATAATGAGACCCCCAGGTCTAAAAATAAAAAAATAAATTAAATAAAAATTTTAAAATTAAAAAGATTTTTAAAAATAAAATAAAATTTATTTATTCTTTCATTCAAAATTTATTTATTGAGTACTTAAGCACCTTTCAGGCATTTTGATAACTGCTAGGGAGACTCTAACAAACAGATTTAATAAAACTGCATGGTATTTCCATTAAAAGTAGGATCTGTTGTTTATTTATTTATTTGTATTTAATTATTTATGTATTTAGAGACGGAGCTTTGCTCTTGTTACCCAGGCTGGGGTGCAATGATGCAATCTCAGCTCACTGCAACCTCTGCCTCCCGGGTTCAAGCAATTCTCCTTCCTCAGCCTCCCAAGTAGCTGGGATTACAGGCGTGTGCCACCACACCTGGCTAATTTTGTATTCTTTTTAGTAGAGACAGGGTTTCACCATGTTGTTCAGGCTGGTCTCGAACTCCTGACCTCAAGTGATCTGCCTGCCTTGGCCTCCCAAAGTGCTGGGATTATAGGCATGAGCCACTGCGCCCAGCCCTGTTGTCCACTTAAAGGGTGATCTCTAATTCACCAAGATGTTAAGACTTCCAAAGTCAGCTCAGTCAACCCTTAATGTTCCAGAGGTGATTTGGATATAAAATCTTTGTGCTAATTGATTTTATCACTTTTATAGAATTTCTATTCAAATTTTGCTGACTTCTTAATTAACACATTAACACTTCAATAAATGAAGTGTTATTCATTTGTTTCTTTCCCATCACAAACAGCTCAATAAATGTTTGAAAATCTTTCCATATTTTAAGCATTTACAAAGTACCTACATTACATGATTAGCATTGTTAAGTAACTAGACACTGTTTAGTTTATAGGCTACCTTCTTAAAACTCAAAAGGCATATTTTTTTAATATCCTAAAGAAATAACAATGTTTTAATTTTCTACTATGACCAAAAAGTGTTGACTTCAAAACCAGAAACACCTTAGTTGAAGCAAACCATCTTGACATAATATCAATTAATACAGGCAATGCTCCTGAAGCTGATGCCTAAATCAAAGGAGATTATGGTCAACTCCTAAGAAGCAACACCCTTTAAACAAAGTCAGACAATATTTTAAACAATATTTTTTCCTTCCATGATGCTTTATGTTTTTTCATATAACCTTTATTATGCTGTTCCATTTTGACCTATTCATTATTCCCCTTACCTTCCATTCCTTTCCGATTTTTGTCTATCAGCCATCAATTCAACAGGCTAGTAAAGGCTCTATTAAATATGATTCAAGTTCTAGACTGTAGCACTCACTGCTCAGCGCGACTTTCCATTATCACAACAGTGTGATAATGGAAATGTTCTACGTCTGCACTGTCCGAAAAGTTTAAGGAATCTAAAATTTGCCCTGAGACAAAACACTTGCTCACAAAGAAACATTTTACACATCTTTGTGTCTTGGTACTATAGGTAGCATTCCACTTTAATAAAATTAAAAATGTTGTTATATTCAAAGATCTTTGAATTAAGGTTCATTTCAATAATTGAAAGTCTGTGGTGCATGAATAGACAAACCAACCAATAGAAGAGAATTAAAGGCCCAGAAACAGAGCCCTAAAACATAAAGAACTTCAATATATGATGAAGTGATAGCTCAAGTCATCGAGAAAAGACAGACACTAATAAATGGTATTGGGACAACTGAATAAACATTCAGGAAAACATGAAACTGAATTCGTACCTCATACCACATACAAGGATATACTCCAAATGAAATCAACTATCTAAATGTAAAAACTGGAATCATACAAATACTAGAAAAATTATGGGTGATTTCACTGACAACCGGGAAGGAGAGAAAGCCTTTCCTATTTGCCTACGAAAAACACCACTACTTGCAAAAAGCACAGAAAAAAATAAAGTTTTAAAAACAAGTAATTTTTTTAAAAGGGCTAATTTCATAGTATATAAAGAGTTCCTTAAAGAAGGAAAGAAAAAGACAATTTCTCTTCTCCAAAACAGACAATGCACAAAGAAATGGGCAATCCTCAGAAAAATAAAGGCAAATGGCCTTAAACATAAAAATATGTTCAACCTCACTCATAAAAGAAATGCAAATTAACACCTCCAATTTTGGCCATATACTCTGTTGGTGAAGCTGTGGAGAAGCAGTCTCAATACTGGCATACACTGCCAATGAAAAGTACAAATGAGGGTCTGGCGCAGTGACTCACGCCTATAATCCTAGCATTTTGGGAAGCTGAGGTGGACAGATCACTTGAGCCTAGGAGTTTGAGACCAGCCTGGGCAACATGGTGAAACCCTATCTCTACTAAAAGATACAAAAATTAGCCAAGCATGGTGGCACATGCCTGTAGTCCCAGCTACTTGGGAGGCTGAGGTGGGAGGATCACTTAAGCCTGAGAGGTGAAGGCTGCAGTGAGCGGTGATCATGCCACTGCACTCCAGCCTAGGTGACAGAGTGAGACCCTGTCTCAAAAAAAATTAAATAAATAAATAAATAAAATAAAAAGAAAAACACAGATTATATAACCCTGGTAGAAAGGAATTCTGTAATATCCAACAATACTACACATACACTTACTAGTCCTACTTCAAAGATGATACAACTCCACTAATATTCCATAAAATATTTGTAAATATATTCACTGTGGCATTATTTGTAATGGTAAAAGACTAAAACAATCGGAATGTGCATCAAAAGGAGTTAACTGAATAAACTACATGCATCCACACAATAGAATAACGGATTAATATCCAAAATACATCGTTAGGTTAAACAGCAACAGCAAAAAACAGGTAGGTACAGAACAAGCAGTATTCATTGTACTACCTTTTGTAACATAAAGGGTAAACTTAAAAATATGTACATATATTCAAAGACAAATACACATGTATTTATTTTTGTAAAGAAAACAACTCAAAGTATAAAAAAGACATTAATCAAAATGGTTACCTATATGGGCAGAGTAGGACTGGGGTGAAGGTAATAGGGATGTAATCAAGACTTCTGAGTTCTCTTTCGATATACTTTAGATATTTGAACCACATAATGACTTACATACTCCAAATAAATTAATAAGGGGTGTATGTAATATTCATATGTGTATGTATGTATCTGTGTACACACATATATTTCTGACTGGAAGCAATTATCACTGAGTCATGGGATTATGGTACCATTTTCTTCTTTGCCCTTTGCTAAATGTTCCCAGTTGCATGTAATACCCATTACTTTTACAGTCAGAAAGAAATTACTCCAAATAAATCTATTTTTATAGGAAATTTTTCAAACTACTCATCATAAAACAGTTTCAAAATTAACAGCCATTCAAGCTGAGTGTGGCGGTATGTGCCTATAATCCCAACTACTTGGGAGGCTGGGGTGAGAGGATCACTTGAGCCCAGAAGTTCAAGGTCAGCCTGGACAACATAATGAGACTCCATCTCAAAAAAAAAAAAAAAAAAAAAAACTGTTCCAGTCTACTGTTAAATAATATCATTCACTAGGGAAGCAAAGATGATCAAAGATGCCATACCACTTTAAAATATGGCAGTTTTTCCTTTTCTTAATATGTTGAGTTCAAGTAACACGGACAGCTGTATATATGTATATTTATAAACAATGCACATATACTATCACACCAGTATTATGTATATAGTACACACACACACGAAATGGAAATTTAAAAAGGATACAGTAAAAAATAAATAGAAGTTCTATTGTTTTCTTCATACAGCACAATGAACAAGTTTTTCATATATCCCCAAAAGCACATGCAACCCACTAGGGGGAATCACTGGAACAAACTACTCCAAATCAGGAAACTTGTGGATTTGTATTCTAGTCTCAGCTGTCTTACTGCCTGCCAATATCTTTGATCAAAATCAGTTAAGGGGCTTGATTTGCACTTTAGTTTTCTCTTCCAAAAATTGGAGTATTAATGGTTTTAAAGTTACTTTCAGTATTATGGTTTCATAATCCCACCAGTCTCTCTAATAATTATTCTCTTTTAAAAGAGAAACTCCAACAATTTGGAAAACTAAGTAAGAAACAAGAATGTCTCGCAGTTAACCATCTTACAGGAGGTTATGGTCTTCTCTAAGAAAATTCTAAATGAACAAATGAATAGCTGAAAGAAACAGATCATATCGCTTGCTTTCTTGATGTGAGAAAAATCAAATTCAAGCCTGCATTGTATAAAATAAATTGTCTGAATGAAGTAATTACCTTTGAAACAATCCAGCACTATTTGTATGCCACCCAAAAACAAGAAAATCATAACAACGCTTGTACAATTTTGTACCTAAGATTCTCTGTCAGGTATCTGAGCATTAAAATTTATTTATTTATTTATTTTTTTATTTATTTATTTTTTTTTTTTTTTTGAGACGGAGTCTCGCTCTGTCGCCCAGGCTGGAGTGCAGTGGCGGGATCTCGGCTCACTGCAAGCTCCGCCTCCCGGGTTCACGCCATTCTCCTGCCTCAGCCTCCCAAGTAGCTGGGACTACAGGCGCCCGCCACTACGCCCGGCTAATTTTTTTTGTATTTTTAGTAGAGACGGGGTTTCACCGTTTTAGCCGGGATGGTCTCGATCTCCTGACCTCGTGATCCGCCCGCCTCGGCCTCCCAAAGTGCTGGGATTACAGGCGTGAGCCACCATGCCTGGCTGGCTGATTGCTACATTCTTTAGCAAACTAGGTCTCAGTTTCAAGGATCTCAAAGTAAACCCGAGCAAGATACACTAGGGGAAATGCAACATTGGCTTGAACCCTGATGAAGAATCTATTAAAAAGGGAGAAAAATTTTAATAGTTCTTTCTCCATTAACAGGAGAAGGTAACATCTGTATCTTCCTGACCCGCCTTACTTTCGGTTCAGAATCAACAAAAAATAAAGGATCCAAACAGATGATGGTAAAAATATAACTAAATCCAACGTGCAAAAACCCTTATTACTTCAACTGCAAATTAAACTTACCCAGTTAGAACTGTAGGCATTCCATTTCCTTCTCCCTCATAGTATTAGTAGTCCAGCCTGCTCAGATAAGCCTACCATACAAATGAATAGACAATGTATAGCCTAAGAATTGAGAGTCCCAAAAATTGAATCATAAGGCACTGAACAAAAGTATACTCAATCCCTTCCCTTAGCCTCCCCTGATCCTCCTTTGGGATGGCAACTCAGGGGATGGGAAGAAGCGGAAAGCTATTTCCAAAAAAGAACTTCCTACTTTATGAGTCATGGTAGAAACAAGTAAAGACGAAAATAATGGTTCCCCCTTCAACAAGCACAATCTTCTCAAATATAAAACAAATTCCTCAGAAGTAGTCTTATAACTCTTCAACAGGAGCACCTCACAAACATAATACATATCTCCTCTTCTTTCATTTCCTATTTCAGAGAGAGGCAGAGATTGAATGAACAGATATTAGCCTAGCTTGGCCTGAGATGACTGAGCTAAAATGAAGAAAAGAAAATCTGCAAATTCCCATAGCAGTCCTGATTAAAAACCAGTATTCTATGTAGTCTCTGCACAAGTTATGATAAATTTAGCCACAAAAGGCAGACCTCTTTTTAAAACTGCACAATACACAAATGGGTACTTAATCATTTCATCTTCCTTTTCAAAATTCTCTCCCTTACCTAACTTCCTCTCTCACCCTTATCCCAAGTGAAGACCCCCAACTTGCCCTCTATATGCCTAAAAAACACCTCTTACTTAGCTTTGACCTCTAGCACTCCCATTCCCCATAACCCAACTAGGTATGAATCAGATTATGTGATTAAATTACTTCACATTAATGGGTAAATGAGGCTTAATCCACAAAGGTCAATTCCACACGTCATTAAACTCTACTATGTATAAGGCACTAAGTTTAATCAATTAATATACCTATCCTTCTTACAAGAAAAACTAACACAAATCAATCTTTTAATGAACAATGTAAGGAAGGGGCACAAGAGTGTTTGCTTCACATCACACTTTCTCCACCCAGTTCTTTCCATCCTGTTGCCAAACCCCTCCAATCTCCATCTGGCATGGAATAAAATCCAAGGGATCAGTATTTCTTCCAGTAAGTCAATGCCTAGGAAGACAATGTGGGATAGCACAGCAAACAATAAACATTCAAATCCTGAAATGGACTGTAGAGGGTCTCTTGTATTTAATTTTATATATTAGCTGCAAATACAATAAAGAGCTTCTAAATAATTCAATTTCTGTACAAGATACCTATAAATCAGCTTTGCTCAGAACTCTGAGTTTTTAAACCATAAATACTGAGATGCTTTTTCTTCAGTTATTTCCACAGTTAAAACGTTTATAGTAAATACCAGTTCAAATTGCCCTACTATAACTATACTTAAAGGCTATTAAACTTAACTACTGTTTTCAATTAGATGTGACATTTTTCCCAAGACCCCTTAAGTTTGAAACTCCAAACTTGCTTTAAACCTCCTTTTTTTCCAGTCATAAAATTTATTAATTTTGATTTATAACAGAGCTTCTAAACTGGAGAGGAGAATACAACTATGGACAGGTTTGGATTTGATTCAGTCACATGATATTTTTAATGGTTTTAATTAGTTGTCAATATTTTTAAGACGCAAGACACTGAATGCAAAAATCTAGATTTCCGAGTTCTCTTGAGAATGCTGAAGATGGGGTCCATATTCTTATATAGCACTGATTAGGGGGACCTGAGACTTGGATGTCTCTCTGATAAGGCATAGTGCATTTCCCTCATTTTCATTATCTAACTAGTACCCGAAGGCATGTGAGTTTGTTGCTCATGCTATGGCTTTGAAAGGTGCACAATATTTTCCATATCACTTCCATACTTCCCTAAGTCACCTATTATAAAAAGCCAAAAGCAGACCACAGTGGTTTGCAACTCCATAGTTAATAATTTAAAAAATTCACATGGCTTAGAGGGAGTGAGAAAGAAGAAAATTCAGACTGGTGGAAGGGTAACATAATTACATAGGGTTAGAAGTCTATCTGAAAGCTTTTCTGGGAGTGAGAAAAAAGGTGAACGAACACAAAAACATTGTTGAAACACTAAAAGCTTTCCTGATTGAACACTGTTACTCTCTGGTGGTTCCTTACCACATTCCATGCTTCAGAAACTTCCTTCCTACTTTGTATGTATTAATATAATAGCTGTTAGGTCATACACGCTGAGAAATATTGGGAAAATTTATAAAACACATTTACATCATCAGAAATAATTCTTCTCACACTTTTTTTTTTTTTTTTTTTACCAGTCTTGGTCCACTTTCAAATCCCTTCCCAAGTATTTTCTACTGCTTTCCGCTTTATATTCAAATGACAACTGCAGTCCTGGGTTTCAGGACTGAACTTCAATCCTGGACAGGCTCTCTAATACAGAAACTCTTTTGGCCGTTATGGCTGCATTCTTTATTATATCTCTTATTCCGATTTCCACAGTCTCTTTCATTGAAAATTTATCCCTAACCCCCTCTCTAAAAGATTTTGATCAAATTTGTGTAGTTGGGGGGTTGGGAGGATAGGGGCGGGAAGGAACTCAGTTGTCCAAATACAATTAATATCCTGTGCTGTTTCATTTAGATTGCTAATTTAAATAAAAAGCATGAAAACTCTGCAAGATAATAAATCTTCGTAAAATAATCTTGTTTACTAAGTGCACAAAGCCACAAGCAAGTGAAGCTCTATCTTTCAGCATGTCTGGACTAGTGACTTTTCATCATGGACTCAGAATACTGAGAAAGGAGAAGCAGGAAATCTGTGAGGCCCAGGGACAGTCACACTGGCCCACACTAACAAATTACTAACCGATGTCTCACCTTCCCCCGCCCCATTCCCAAAGATAAGGGTGTCAGGGCACCTGCATCTGAAGAAGAAAGACATCAGAACCTTTTCCGTGCAAGTTTTAAGAAAACAAAGCTTTACCACACGTAAAATGGTTACAACATAAAACCACGCAGCACGTTAGTGGGGTCTCACTCCTCTTCACCCAGAGGGAGGCTGCCCACCACCTTATCCCCTATTGTGATGCGCCTTCCTCAGGATGTCGCTGCGTTCGTCTGAGATGACAGGAAAGGGGCGGGGCACGGGGTTCCTCTGCCCTGGAAAGGGATGAGGGTATCGCCTTCATCCCCGGAGAAAGGCCCCCGGACTCCCAACCCAAAAGCAGCAGCCGCAAAACTCAAGTCTTATCCCGGCCTCTCCTAATTGGGTGCTCGTGGCCGGAGCCCAAAACGCCACCCACGGTACCCGAGCAGGGTCCGGCCGCCCAGACCACCGCCGCAGCAGCCTGGCTCTCACGCCCAGATTCGCCCTCCGCCCCTTTCCTCTTTCGCCCCGGCCAAGCCCAGCCTCCCGCGCCGCCCCCGCCGAGTTCCCCAGCTGAGTCCACTCACTCTCGAACCTGTAGTCCCCCTTCAGTGCCCACACAAGATTGGGGCAAAGGCCGGGGCCAGTGACACCTCCACTTCCTCCTCAGCCAGATCCCTCCGGAGGTGGCTGTGGAGGAAGCCACTGAGGCGGCTGCGCGTAGCGGAGCCGCCCCGGCAGGTTGCAGGCCGGCTCCTCAGCCTCTTACCGCGAGAGCTCACAATGCGAAGAGGCGAGGCCAGCAGCGTTCTCGCGAGAACGGTGCTCTCCGCCCAGGGGTGGGCGGGGCACCGAAGGAGAAGGCAGTTGAGGGCGCGGCGGCCACGGGTGGGATCTCAGGCGCGTGGAGAGGAAGGCGCCGCGCGACCTCTCCTCACAGACATCAGCTCGGGTCAACCGCGGGCCTCGAGCCCGAGTGGCTGAGGGCTGTTACCTTCAAACCTTTGAATCCCACGTTTTCCCCTTGACTTCCTGTCACCGTTAGAGAAAAGTGGACAGCGTCTCGGTCACAGAGTTGGAGAAATAGTGCAGGGACTCTTCAGGGAGAGCGTTTTCCTCATCAAAGCAAACTGCAAAATCGCTTCTGCCGGCGTGGACCTGATGAGAGTCGGTCGTCGTGAGGGACACCCTCTGTTCCCTAACGTCCCCCGCTGCTTATTTTTAAACGCTCGGTTGGCGGGAACCCCTGTGCCAGCTGAAACTCCTTCAGTTTGGCCGCCTAGGAAACACCGAGAGTCACCTACATGGGCTGGCTGGGCAATAAAAACGGGAAAAAATGTAAAAGACACAGTCTCCGCCTTCGAAGCTTACACCCCCGGGGCAAGACCTACAGGAAAATAGATAATCCCATTATTCTCTGATAAAAGCCGAGCTGCTTGCCATGAGCTCTGGGAGCAGACGGGGAGGCCTTGTTGAGAAAGCCTTCACCTGGGAGTGACAATTGCGCTGAATCTTAAGCATAAGTAAGTTCTCCAGTTTAGGGAAGAGAGGGAAGGGCATTGCAAGGAGAGGAAGCAAAGAGGAAGAGGACCTGGTTTGAGTAATTGGGTATGAAAACAGATATTGCAGCAAGAACTTTGTTGAAAAACCTTTAACCACTGTTTAGTTCGGATGAGAACATTCCCAGGCTCCTACGTGTGATACGCAAAGTATTTTCCAAATCAGTGTTTATGCTAAGAAGATGAGCAGTTGAGCTGGACAATTATAAGATAACTTCATCTTTCTCCTGTAAGGACACTTAAATATCAGAAACCTAAGAGAAACGGGTTATTGTCGTAATTCACTAAGTTATTATAGCCAACATTTTGCTAAATTGGAAATTGCCAATAATTTCAAGTTGTCTACATAAGAGCAATCTAATAGGAATTTTGTGATACAGTTTCTCAGAGAAACTCTGAGAAAATTCTCAGGCAAAAAACAAAAACGTCATCAGTCCTGATTTATTATCAAAATTTTCTCCTATAAGCTCTGCTCAGAAGAAGTCATTCTGTAGTCCAAGTTAGGGCTAATGAGGAGCCATACTCTTACATCAAAATAGAAGCTGTCCTTTTCTAAAGAAAGACTCTGGTATTTTGCTGTAGTTTCCACTCACCTTCCTTTGGACACATTATTTTCATATTACATATAAAAATATGTATACTATATGAAAAATACTATGTATACTATAGTTTTATTTGGCTTACCATACTCTCCCTACGAATAAGCCCAACACTTAGGAGGAAAACAAAAAAGTTATTCTAACCCTGCTGATACGGTTTGGATCTATGTCCCCACCTGACCTCTCATGTGGAATTGTAATCCCCAGTGTTGGAGGTCGTTGGATCATGGGGGCAGATTTCCCTGTTTTTGCCATTCTGGTGATAGTGAGTTCTGGTGAAATCTGTTCTTTAAAAGTGTGTGGCGCCCCCCCACCCCCGCCCCACTCCTCCCACCATATAAGACGTGCCTGCTGTACCTTGGCTTTCTGCCATGATTGTAAGCTTCCTGAGGCCTCCCCAGAAGCCCAGCAGAAGCCGTCGGACTTCCTGTACAGCCTGCGGAGCCGTGAGCCAGTTAAACCTCTTTGTTTTATAGCAGTGCAAGAATGGACTAATGCACCTGCCATAGGCCAATTGGGTGTTCTGTTAAGCATAATTTCACATCAAGTTCTTGGAATTTTCCAGGAAGCATTAGAAGAATCATATGAATGAAAGACTTCAGGCAAAATATGGAAACTTTGTTCCATGCTGGAATCTGTTCAAACCATCATATCCTACTTGGATGGGTCCTGGAGCTCATTTCATTCTGCTGTTCTTCAAAAACAAAAGAGAATGGGAGTTGGGAGAAAATAGAAAATCGAATAAAGTTTCTACTGTTCTTTGCTTTAAAAGAAAATTAATCGGCCGGGTTCGGAGGCTCGCGCCTGTAATCCCAGCATTTTGAAAGGTCGAGGCGGGCAGATCACGGGGTCAGGAGATCCAGACCATCCTGGCTAACATGGTGAAACCCCGTCTCTACTAAAAATACAGAAAATTACCCGGGGGTGGTGGCAGGCGCTTGTGGTCCCAGCTACTTGGGAGGCTGAGGCAGGAGAATGGTGTGAATCCGGGAAGCGGAGCTTGCAGTGAGCAGAGCTTGTGCCACTGCACTCCAGCCTGGGCGACAGAGCGAGACTCCGTTTCAAAAAAAAAAAAAGAGATAATTAACCTTTCAAATATTAAGGTAGTAGCACAGTAGCACTGGTAACAGTTATACATTTGGTAGGTAATGCCATAGATTTAGATAATCACAAATCTGCTCTACACGATAATTTGTAAATGCTAGCTGACTGCATAGGCTAAGGTTCAGAACTTTAATGAAAGTCTTTCTTCCACACACCAAAGAGGTCCATACAGAAAGAGAAGTTTCATATAGTAGCAGTGAACAAACAAGGTCGTTTGGTAGTTTGTGTTATAGCATGCTAAGGCAATATTGTTTCAAAGCAGATAAGACCACAGACCCAGAATCCTATTTAATTTTTAAAACCTGGAATTTCTTTGTACTACTAAGTTTGAGCACTGCCATCTAATGGCAGGAACAGGAAAATCACATACACGCAAAAATAACTCGATCCCTATTCAGCAAATACATTTATTAATCAAGCCCCTGTGTAAGAATACCAGAAGAGCTGGGCACTGTGGCACGTGCCTATAATCTCAGCACTTTGGGAGGCGGGAGGATCACTTGACAGGAGTTCGAGACTAGCCTGGGCAACATAGCAAGACTTCTCTACAAAACTGAAAAAAATAAAAATACTAAGAGATACAGATAGTATTATACATATTCTGACAAAATGAGATGTATAATTAAATAACAAAAGGAAAACAAGTTAGGTCAAAGATAGAAATAGTGTGTTATGGGAGGACAGAGATGAAGATTACTCTTTTTTTTTTTTCTTTTTTGAGATGGAGTCTCGCTCTGTTGCCCGGGCTGGAGTGCAGTAGTGCAATCTTGGCTCACTGCAACCTCTGCCTCCCTGGTTCAAGCAATTCTCCTGCCTCAGCATCCCGAGTAGCTGGGATTACAGGCATGTGCCACCACGCCCGCCTAAATTTTTGTATTTTTAGTAGAGATGGGGGTTTCACTGTGCTGGCCAGGCTGGTCTCGAACTCCTGACCTCAGGTGATCCACCTGCCTTGGCCTCCCAAAGTGCCGGGATTACAGGCGTGAGCCACCGCACCCAGACATAAGATTACTTATTTTTATTTTTTCTTTTTCTTTTTTTTTTTTTTTAAGAACACCACCTTTAAGGAGAGCTAGCTTGTAAGCTCCTTTTTTCAGGGGCATGGGCCTTCTCATTATCACTTCAATGGGAGAGAGCTGATGTATTCCAAGCAGGGTAGAATTTAAGCTAAGCAAATGAAAGAGTCTTAGGCCAAGGAAGGTAAGACGTTTCTGTAAGCTTTGCCAATTGATTTTGTATTTTCCATTTGTGCATCCCACCAGTCTGGAAGACTGAGGGTAGTATACACAATGGAAATGCTAATTCATCTCATCTCAATCAGCTTTCACCACACAACATTTCTATAAACATTTTATAAACTCATAATTTTTTTCAATTTTCTTTCTTTCCTCAATTTTCTATATCCATTCAGTTTTATCGTTTTTTAAATCTCTTCAACTTAAAACAACCTTTAAAAACCTCTGGACAAAATTACTTTCTTTTTAACAAAAAAACATATTCTCATGCCTCCTTCATAATCCTTTCTACCAAAAATTCATCCTATTTTTCTTATACACTCTGTATACACAATTGTTTCTCTTATATCTAGTAATTTTAATTACATTTGTTAATTACAATTTTAACTCTTAGTAACCTTAATTTCTAGTGAAAAACCTAGAAAGTAATTTCAAACTGTTTTATATCAGTAGTTGTAGATAAATTTTTTAATTAACATATAAATATAATTAGTTTTTCTATACCACATAAAAACAAGATGCTAAAATATACAAACTTAAACTTATGTTTAGAGATTAATAGTTCAGTATTTTAACTTAGAAATAATATTTCAGTATTTTAACTTAGAAGTGACTCTGACATCTTATGCTTATCTATTAATTTAATACAGCATAACTTTAAAATAACACAGGAATTCTCTCTAATGTCTTCCCCAGTCATCCTGGGTCCCAAGTACCCACATGGCAACGAGGATGGCTGTAAAGGGTGGAGCTCATCTGGGTCCTGAATTTACATACCAGGTCTAGAGCTTAGGAGAGAGGGCAGAGCTATGAAGAGGATGCCTGGAGGGTCCGACCCTACCCAACATAACCAGGAGGCATAGCTTGGCCAGGGAGGATACGTTGGGTTTGCCCTACACCTGACAGCCTAGACACTGTGGACATATGTATGTCTTCAGGCTTCACCAGGGCCACTTGTCTAGATCCCAGAATCTAAAGGCTCAAACCAAAGATATAAGCTCACAGTAAGATGTGTTCAAGGCTTCAGGGAAGCCCAACAGCCAGCCCTCAGAGCTTTGGCTCCAAGACAAATCAAACATCAAAAATATCACAGAAATGGCCAGGCATAGCATGGCCATTATAAGCTTATGCTTATATGACTTATGCTTATAATCCCAGCATTTTGGGAGGCAAAAGTGGAAGCATCACTTGAGTCCAGGTTTTGAGGCCAGCCTAGGCAAAATAGGGATACCCTGTCTCTACAAAAAATTTAAAAATTAGCCAGGCATGGTGACACACACCTGTAGTTCTAGCTACTTGGGTGGCTGAGGCAGGAGGATTGCTTGAGCACAGGAGTTCAAGGCTGTAGTGAGCTATGATTGTGCCACTGCACTCCAGCCCAGGCAACAGAGTAGGACCCTGTCTCAAAAAAAAAAAGAAAGAAAGAAAAGAAAAAAAATTCACAGAAGCAACAGTTTTTTTGTATGTGTCTTTTTTTTTTTTTTTTTTTATAGAGACAAAGTTTCACTATGTTGCCCAGGCTGTTATCAAACTTCCTGGCTCAAGCCATCCTCCTGCCTTGACCTCCCAAAGTGCTGAGATTATAGGTGCTAACCACAGTGTTTGGTCACCAAACTCTGTTACCTTAAGACATCTAGTGGAAACAGTATAAATATGTCTCACCAAGAGACCTAGGTGAAAATGTCTGAATTATATTTAATACAATTCTGAAGAAATTCTAATTTTATTTTACCAACATTTTAAAAACTAGTTTTAATTACCAGTGATTACTAAAGTCACGTGAACTTCAAAAGCATTTGGGCTTATTTGCTTAATAAGTGCTCATTTATTCATAAATCAATTTGGCACCATGTAGACAATATACAAACATAGGCATGTACCCATTGAGGAGAGCAAAATCACGTGGTGATCATTGAACAGGCCCCGGAGACAAAAACTCCTTATCTGAGGAATTTAGAAGGGAGCAAAGACCACCTGGTGACTATCAAGCAGGCCATCCGGAGGCAAAACTCCTTATCTAGGGAAAATCAGAAGTAATTAAACTTCCCTGGTAGCTAAAGTCGGCATGTGGTTCCAGGTCTCTTTCAACTTTTATAAGTAACTAAAATTCCTATATATCTCTGGAATGCCATGTGGAAACTCATTTTACAACCCTACGCTCCTGCCTTATGGTCCATAAATTCTCCATACGCTCCCGCCTTAAGGTCCACAAATTCTCCAGTGAAAAATCCACCACAGCACGCTCAGTCCTCTCACTGAGGCTTCCCACTGCACTCCTCTGCCACATTCTAATAAACTTTCCTTTTTCAAACCTATACTGGTGCCGATCTTTTTACCGACCTGAGATTCAAACTCCTCCCAATTCCAGGGCTCTGACACCTTGCCTGGCATCTTGACCATATGGGGACTTTACTGAGATTTCTCCCTTCTTTGTCCTCCTGCTTCCCTCAGTGGTCTGGTTCTTCACTTGGGAACCAAAGGCCCTTGGCCAAGGCTGAGATCCTGAAGCCCTAGAGAAGGGATACTTATACTTTGTTGCTGTCCTTAGGGGTGACGGACTAGCCAGGGTTCTTTTCTGTTTTTGGACTGCCAGTGAGCCAGCTTGAATACTCGTTGGCAATTGAGGGTTTCCGGCTGAGGGCCCTCCCTTGTATTATGTGAACTGATGATACCCGATGGCATAACTAAAGAGCGAATTTGCTATTACCCGTCAGGGTGGCAAGTCCACTTTTAACACTCTGTAAATTGTGCCTTGGAAATGAGCAGCAGTGATCTGAACACTGCACAGACACACTCTACAGGTTGCCGACCCACTTTTGCATTTAACTTCATCACAGGCACCTCATCCCAAGTTACGGGTGAGTTCTTCACATTAGGCTTGAGCTGACCACTCAAACAAGGGAACAGTTGTACTGGTCATCCAGGAAAGGGTAGGCCCTCTATTTGTGGTGGGACACCCCTGAATAGAGTGAGTCGAAGGGAAAAGGGACGTCCAAATCCCTCAGGGAAGCCTCGGGGATCTTGTAGTCCCTTACCAAAACCCAACATGGGTTCAATTTATTCTTTAATTCATTCCTTCTTGCCATTAGGTTTCAGTCTTAAAAATTGGTCCCATTTTAACCCACAAACTCTCAAAAAAAAAAGTGTATAATTCTCTTTTATAATCAGGGGTCCCATACCTCTGACCTGATGTTCAGGTCTTTTTAGCTTTATCCCAAAACCCAAAATTACATAAAAATCATCGTGTATGCTTCCAAGGAAGTTCCTCTCTCCCTGATTCTGATGTCTTAGATGATCGTTTCTTTTGTCTATCACACTCTCCTCAGAATGTTCCCCCTGCACTTACACCCTCTTCATCTGTTCCATCCCCCAATCAACTTCCACCATATGCAATACTTTATCCTCCTCACATACTCACACAGGAGTCGCATATGCCACTAGTAGTACAGAGTCCTCAGAAAATCCCAAAAATATTTTGCCTCTCTGCAAGGTAGCAAATGGAGATTTGGGAACAACGCAAGTTCATTTTTCTTTTCCAATGTCTGATCTTTCACAAATTCAATCCAAGTTGAGTTCATTTAGCCAGGATCCCTCTAAGTTCATTCAGAAATTTCAGGCTTTAACTATTGCCTTTGATTTAACCTGGCAAGATATATTCGTGTTATTAACTAGTTGTTCTCATGAAGAAAAATCATGTATATAAAAATTTTTGCAATCTATCCATCTGACAAAGGTCTAATGTCCAGAATCTACAAGGAACTTAAACAAATTTACGAGAAAAAAACAAACAACCCCATCAAAAAGTGGGCAAAGGGTATGAACAGACACTTCTCAAAAGAAGACATTTATGAGGTCAACAAACATATGAAAAAAAGCTAATTATCACTGGTCATTAAAGAAATGCAAATCAAAACCACAATGAGATATCATCTCACACCAGTTAGAATGGTGATCTTTAAAAAGTCTGGAAACAACAGATGCTGGCAAGGATGCAGAGAAATAGAAATGCTTTTACACTGTTGGTGGGAGTGTAAATTAGTTCATCCATTGTGGAAGACAGTGTGGCAACTCCTCAAGGATCTAGAACCAGAAATACCATTTGACCCAGCAATCCCATTACTAGGTATATACCCAAAGGATTATAAATCATTCTACTATAAAGACACATGCACATGTATGTTTATTGCAGCACTATTTACAATAGCAAAGACTTGGAGCCAACCCAAATGCCCATCAATGATAGACTGGATAAAGAAAATGTGGCACATATACACCATGGAATAATATGCAGCCATAAAGAAGAATGTCCTTTGCAGGGACATGGACGAAGCTGGAAACCTTCATTCTCAACAAACTAACACAGGAACAGAAAACCAAACACTGCATGTTCTCACTCATAAGTAAGAGCTGAGCAATGAGAACACATGGACACAGGGAGGGGAACATCACACACCAGGGCCTGTTGGGGGGTGGGGCAAAAGGAGAGGGAGAGCATTAGGACAAATATCTAATGCATGCAGGGCTTAAAACCTAGATGACGGGTTGATAGGTGCAGCAAACCACCATGGCACATGTATACCTATGTAAAAAACCTGCACGTTCTGCACATGTATCCCGGAACTTAAAGTAAAATAAAAAAAAAATTGATAAACTTCTAAAAAAAAAAAAGAAAAAGAAAAATCATGCATATGGTCTTAGCTCAAGCTTGGGCAGATGAAGCTCATGCTTGTAATCTTAATGATAACAAAGCTGGGGCAGAAGCTGTCCACGACACAGAACCCAGCTGGCAGTACCAGGATGCCAATGCCAGCCCAAACAGAGGTGGGGCAGATTAGATTATATGATAACTTGCTTGTTGGAAGGAATGAAAAAGGCTGTAATAAAACCTGTTAATTTTTCTAAAGTATGAGAAATCACCCAGGAGCCATGAGAATCCTGCCCTTTTCCAAGCTAGACTGGTGGAGGCTATGAATAAATAAACAAATTTAGACACTGAAAACCCTAAGGGCCAATCCATTCTGGCCATACATTTTATAAGTCAGGCTTCCCGAGACATCAGACAAAAACTCCCAAAATTAGATAAAGGTCCACAAACTCCCTTTCTTACATTGTTAAATACAGCCTTTAAGGTTTTCAGTAACTGCGAGGAAACATCAAAAATAAAAAAGGCTCAATTGGAGGAGGAAAAATGCTGTTGTCATGCTAATTACATGGTGGCAGCATTGGCGCATTCTTTCTCCTTAGCTAACAACCCCAAGGCTTGTCCCTATAATACTAATAGTATGGAGGCCTGTCATCGCTGCAGAAATCCAGGACACTGGAGTAGAGAATGTCCCAAACCTCTGGCTTACAAGCTGCTTTCAGGACCCTGTCTTCATTTCAAACAAGAGGGCCATTGGAAGAGCGATTGTCCCTCTTTCCCTCATGAGATGGGACCACCTCTTCTTTCTGTGCTGTCATAGCCACAACCTTGCCAACCTACCTGATGAGAAATTCCTGCAGAACGAGGACTAGGGCAAGGGCAAGGACAAGCACCTCTAACACTATTCCTGGGTTATGCTCAAGACTTTGAAAGTCATCCTCTAGATGACTGATGGGGCTGTGAGGCTATCCAGGCCCCTGTCTTTTCCACTTCTATGGATGAGCCTCAGATAAATCTGATCGTGGCTGAACAAGAAATAATGTTCCTCATAGATACAGGGTCCAACTTTAAACATTTATTGTAACCCAATGTGCCAGTCCTCCATTTCCCTCATGGGTATTGAAGGAAAACCCCAATGTAGCTGTTTCACACTGCCACTCCCTTGCAAAATGGAAAACTCATCCTTTAACTACTCCTTTTAGTCCTGCCAAGCTGCCCTGTTCCATTATTGGGTCATGACTTACTCACAAAATTACAAGCGAATTTACAGTTATAACCTCACCTTCTAGCTGTATTAACTCACACTTCACCAAAAGAGCCACTGCAGTCAATAGAACCTCACATTCTAAAACAAATGCCATTTGAGGTTTGGAATACATCTGCTCCTGGCCGCTCAATATCAGCTGTTTCTGTCATCATTCAGCTTAAAAATCCCAATGAGTTCCTCAGAATCCCCCAATATCCTTGAAACCAGAAGCATGAAAATAGTTAAAGCCTGAAATGACAAAATTTTTAGCCCATGGATTACTGAGCTCATGCAACTCACCTTGCAACACTCCTATTTGAGCTGTAAGTAAACCAGATGGCTCCTGCCAACTAGTACAGGACCTTAGAATAATTAATGAAGCTGTTATTCCTATTCATCCTATCGTCCCAAACCCTTACACCCTTTGTAGATAAATTCCATCTACCACAGCTTGGTTTACTGTACTTGATCTTAAGAACACCTTTTCCTGCATTCCTATATACCCAGATAGCTATTTTTTTTTTTTTTTTTTTTGCCTTTGAAAGGCAAAACCCAGATACTCAAATAACTCAACAGTTAACTTGGACAGTTCTGTGCCAGGGATTCAGAGATAACCCCCGCCTTTTTGGACAGGCCCTAGCTAAAGACCTGTCCACCCTGCAGCCTCTCCCAGATAGCAATATACTCCAGTATGTGGATGACCTACTAATCTGTAGTCCTACCAAGGCTGTTTCAGACCAAAATACAGTATTTGTAACTAAACAAATTTGCTAACTGTGGGTACAAAGAAGTTTCTTCCAAAGTACAAATATCTGCACAAAGCATTCAATTTTGGGGTCTTAGTTTAACCCCCAGTACAATGAGCCTTTCTAGTGCCAGTAAAGATCTTACCTTAAAATGACAACCCCTGTAACTAAACAATAGCTTTGGTCCTTTTTGGGTATGTCTGGGTTTTGCAGAATATGGATTCCTTCCTTCAGAATAATAACAAAACCTTCATATGAAGCCCTCAAGGGAACTGAGGAACAACCTCTCTTAGGGACTAATGACATGAAGCATGCTCTAAACACTTTAAAACAGGCTTTAATCTCAGCCCAGCCTTAGCCCTAAAAGATCTGACTAAGTTCTTGCTTTTGTATGTACATGAATGAAGGGGAATTGCTTTGGGTGTCTTAGCCCAAAATCTGGGGCCCTCTAAGTGCCCTATAACATATTTTTCAAAATTTTAGACTTGATTTCCCAGGGATGGCCCCCTGCTTTGAAGCTTTAGCATCAGTGGCCCTCTTAGTCCAAAAAAGCCTCAAGCTATATTACTTGCCCCTCCTGGAATCTTACGGTTTTGTAGCACCACCAATAATTATTTAATCCATGTTCAAGCTTTGGCCCTGTGCCACCTTGATAATTCTCTTCATTATGGTGATTGTATTTTGGGAACAATAGCTCCCACCCAAATCACTGTCTTGAACATAACTCCAATTCAGAATTTCATTCTAGAAAAAAAGGGCCCTAGGATTTAATGTGGCCACAGTTGTGGGAACTGTCTCACTCTTGCCACTTGGAGGTTTTACTTACCATGAAATCACACTACAAGAACTTACCGCCTCCCTTGACATAGCCTTAGCAAAAACTGGCACAAGTATATCAGCGATAGAAAAGTCTTTAGACTCACTAGGAGGAATGGTTTTTTGTAATGGACAAGCTCAAAATTACCTCCTAGCTGAACAAAGAGGAATCTGTGCTGTCATCAACAAAACTTGTTGCACCTACATTAATGTATCTGAAAAAATGGAAACTGATACACACACTTTTCCAAAGTAACCAAGACTGGACCAAAACCTTTATTGAAATCACATGGCTTCTTCCATTCTTTAGACCTGTATTCCTTGTCATTCTTCTTTTAATATTTTGTCTCTGCCTTTTTATTGCTCTCATTAAGTTTATATCTTCCAGATCACAAAGATTCCACCTATAATGGCTATGCAATATCAATACCAGCCCGCAACAGCAACTTCCACTTATATGGGGTCTCTTGACGGAATCTGGTCTTCCCCCATGAACGAGTTTTTCATAGCCCCTCATTCCTTTCATGACAAAGAGCAGAAAAGGGAAAAATGCAACTTATCCCTACATTTTGCCTCAGTTTCTTCTTTTAGTTCAACAAGATATTGTAGGATTTCCTACTTAGTTTAGCTAAGAGCCAGGTCCTTGTCACACGGCCAATATTAGCCTCGCAGACACTTTGAAGGGTGAGAATAGTGGAATTCATTGGGCAAAAAGGAAAAAATGAGAAACAGGGACTCTCCACACAGCCAAAGTCCCTGTTAGTGTGCTTCCCACCTCACAGATTGAATTCCAGGTTCCACCCAGGAAGAGGAGGGGCCAGACTCCACCCAACTGCAAAAGGCACGAACTTCTGTGACTCCACCCCAGTGTGCATTCCTCTCAGTGCACAGGCTGGTTGGAGTTTCTCTGGGGACCCCTTCCCACCTGGCTGTCTCAAAAAGAAATGTTTGTAAATTATATGAAGGACTTATATAAGAATATATAAAGAACTCAACTCCATAATAAATAAGAAGACAAAAGAGTACAATTAAAGAGTGGCAAAAGACTTGCACAGACACTTCTATGAAGACATATAAATGAATTATAAACATAGGAAAAGGTGCTCAAAGTTCTTAGTCATTAAGTAAATGTAAATTAAAACCACAATGAGATACCAATACACATGCACAAGAATGGCTATCATAAAAAATGAGGGCCGGGCGCAGTCGCTCATGCCCGTAATCCCAGCACTTTGGGAGGCCGAGGCGGGTGGATCACGAGGTCAGGAGATCAAGACCATCCGGGCCAACACAGTGAAACCCCGTCTCTATTAAAAATACAAAAAAATTAGCCGAGCGTGTCAGCAGGCACCTGTAGTCCCAGCTACTGAGGAGGCTGAGGCACGAGAATCACTTGAACCCAGGAGGTGGAGGTTGCAGTGAGTGGAATTCACACCACTGCACTCCAGCATGAGTAACAGAGATAGACTGTCTCTAAAAAAAAAAGAAAAAGAAAAAAAAATCAAGTGTGGTTACGTGACTATATTATAGTTCATGGAATGTTAAGAGATAATGTCACCTTTTCCAGGCCTGGCCCATAACACCTTCACACAAGTATTCTTACATTTTTCAATTCCAGCTAACTGGACTGGAAACAACCCCAGTGTTACATGGTAGAAATAGAATTCCTGGTCATCCTGTTGACCTGTTTGCCTGCCTGGGAATATAACATTCCAGTAATTTTTGTTTGTTTGTTTTTTGAGACAGAGTCTCACTCACTCTGTCCCCCAGGCTGGAGTGCAGTGGCATGATCTCAGCTCACTACAATCTCCACCTCCCAGGTTCTCCTGCCTCCTGAGTAGCTGGGATTACAGACGCATACCACCATGCCCAGCTAATTTTTGTATTTTTAGTAGAGATGTGGTTCACCATGTTGGCCAGGCTGGTCTCAAACTCCTGACCTCAAGTGATCCACCCACATCAGCCTCCCAAAGTGTTGGGATTATAGGCGTGAGCCACTGCGCCTGGCTCCAGTAATGTTATATGAACAAGAAATAAACTTCTATTCAATTTAAGTGAATATACATTTGGGATGTATTTGTTATAGCAATTTGTTCACCCTAATGAACTCAGAAATGAATACCTTTAAATGGGATTCTGACTAGCAAAAATTTAAAAATAGAGAGATGGGGCTTAGCCAGATGGATGGTAATATCACAAGGTGAAAAGACAGCCTACGTTTTTCGAAGGCAAACATTTGAAAAGCTAGTATCAGACCATTCAATCTAATCATATACCCGTTAATTAGACTGAATAGTCTAATACTAGCTTTTCAATATAAAATAACCAAGGAGTATATATATACACATATACACACACTATTTATTAAATAGTGTGTATTTATTAAATGGTTAAATTTGAAATCTTTAAAAGGCATATACGTGTGTATATATATATATATATATATACACACACACATATACACACACCCTTTGATTAGATTATATATGTATAGGTATACTATTTATACATATGAAATCTATATGTATATATAAAATCTACACAGATTTTATATATAGATAATAGAAAGACTAATGATAAAAGTAAAATGGGGATGAATTGGGGGATGTGATAGAGAAAGGTCTTACAAGAAATTTTTGTACTGGCAATATTGTATTTCATAATCTCAGTGGTGAGTAATGGAAGTTAATTCTATTTTTTTCTTAAAAATTTGCATATATGTTTTATGCAGGCTTCTATATGTACAATAAATTTTACTGTTTAAAAAAGTAAAAACATATCGATATTAAGTAGGTTCTATCCCAGGCATGTAAATATATTTAACTTATCACATTGAGCTAAAAGTAAAACATTGCATGTGTTTGGAAAATCATTTTATAAAGTTTAATTCCCTTTTATTATCTCAAATGAACTCTTGGAAAACTAGTTGTAAAAGGGAATGTCATCAATGTGTTAATGGACTTTCTCTTCTTGAGAAATTATGGACACATTCCTATTAAGGTAAAGAATATGATAAGGAAGCTCAACATCATCACTCATTAACAAGAACTTAGAGGTACTGAATAATGCCATAAGAATTGAAAAAAAGGTGTAATCAGAGGGGAAAAAAGAGAAAAAAGTATCACTATTTGAGATTATATGATTATCTACATGTATAACAAGCTTAATCAAAAGACAAACTATTAGAATTAATAAGAGAGTCCAGCAGGGTTGTTGGATGTAAGATAAAAGTAGAAAAATGAACAATGTTCCTGTATACCAAAAATAACTAAATAGAAAATGTAATTAACATTTAGATACTTTTCATAATAACCACACAATAAACTACATAGTATTCAGCAATTAACGAAGGCTATGTAAGATCTTTCCAGAGAAAATTTGAACTATTTAAAAGGCATAAAATGAGATCAGAATAAATGAAGACCCTTACAGTATCAATGAATAGGATGATATAATAAAGATGACAATTCCTCCTAACACAAATTTATAATTTTAATACAATCCCAATCAAAATTGCAATTGGCTTTTTTTAGAAGAGAGCTCAGTTGATTGTAAAATTTATATGGGAGAACAGACGTCTATAAAGAAGGATGTGTGCATGTGTGTACACTTAATTTATATTACTTGAACAAATACATCATTAGAACAGAATAAACAAAGAGAGCTCAAATATAAACCTATATTTGTGACATCAGCAAGATGGCAGAATAGGAAGTTCCAGCCCTCATTGCCTCACAGAAACATTTATTTAACAATGATATAGGGAGACTTTATGAGGCTTAAAAATGCCTTTATGAGAATTCCAGAATCCAGTTGAGAAGAATTGTAGTACCCTAGAGCAGCACAAAACTGAGAATAGCTATGTTGAAATGGTGGCCATAGCAGAAAAACACAAAAAAGAATTGACATGTCCCATTTAACTTAAACTATTCAAAGATCCCTGCTTGACGCCCTGCAAACACAACTTCTGCTTCACCTGCCTCAGGCAGTTGGAGAGGGAGAACTAGCATGTCCTTTCACTTGTTCCCAGTGTCTTGACATCTCTTGGATCCAGAGGATCTAGACCAATATGGCCCTGGGGAAGCTAGTGGCTGAGATCACAGTGATGACACTTGTGACACTTGTGCTGAGCATGTTCTGCATGGAGTTCTATGAAAAGATGAGTCTGAATGTGGCCACAAGTAATAACCTCCTCATATTTTCTAATGACCTGTGGAGCCTCTTATGGAGATATGTCCAGATGAGACCACCAGAGAATGCCAAGACATTAATCTCTGTTCCTCCTGTCCTAGGGTCCTCGTGCTTCACCTCTGGCTGACATTATTAGGAGTTGAAAGTGGGAGAAATAAAAAGATGGATTGCGGGTGTTTGCAGAGAATCTGCATTTCATGAAGAACCTTTCCTAGTATCATCAGATCTCTGGTTCTGAGTGGTGAGCCTCAAGAGCGTATGTGAAGTCACTGCTAGCACAGAAACTAGGACGGTTCTCCATGTGAGCCCAAACTTAGAAGTGGGGATTTTCCTGGACTGTGACCTGAAAACCATTTCATTTTTCAACACGTCTGATAGTTTCCATTTATTCACCTTCACAATATGTCTATCTTGGAGCCTCTATTTTCACTCTTTGGACCTGGGATCCCAAGAGAGGGTGAGAACATGCAACACATGAAGATCTGTACCAAGGAAGGTATCGATGTCATAATTTGACCACAGTCCTCTCAGGGAGCCAGGAAAAGAGGAATATGCAGGATGAAACTGTCAGATCATACACTTTCATCTTTTTTGACATTACCAGGAGTTTATAAGTTTGAGAAACCATTTGTTTTACTAAAAAGGAAGCTTTAAGATTAGAATTGCAAAAATAAACAATTGATTTTAAAACCTAACTTAATTGTAAATACTGGTCTTTGCTCAAGATAAAATTGGACCAAACCCAAGAGGCCCACAGTGTGAGGGCTAGTTTTGTTTCTCCTCTTGTGTGTTTCCCAGGGCTACCTCCGTGAACTGCTGCTTCCTCATGTAACCAAGAACTTGTTTCTGAAGAGTGCCTAGGTTGTCTGTTCATAGGCTCAACCCCCGTGGACTTGAGAAGGAAGGTTTCCTGTGTATGCCCCACATGGGGAGGAGAATCACAGGGCTGGAGATATTCAGAGGGACATGGTGTCCAAGGATTAAGTTGGGAAATGAAGGAAAAGTCCAGGAAGAGTCATTTGTTGGCATGAACTGAAAGTTGATTCAAAGAGCACAATAAGGCAAATTTTCAGCCTCTTTTCCCTCAAAATTAAATAAAATAAAAAATAGACCTATGTTTAACCCAAGAACCTAAGGTATGATTTTTAAAATGTCTCCATAAAGCCATGGGGAAATAATGGATTGTTTCACAGATGGTGTTTGGGATACTGACTGTCCATATGAAAAAGTCAATAAAACGCAAACATAGCATTTTAGCATACACAAGACTAGTCTTCAGAAGAATAACTACCTTAAAGTGAAAGGTAGATCCAGCTCTAAGATGGCTGAATAGGAACAGCTCCAGTCTACAGCTCCCAGCATGAGCGACGCAGAAGATGGGTGATTTCTGCATTTCCAACTGAGGTACTGGGTTCATCTCATTGGGACTGGTTAGACAGTGGTTGCAGCCCATGGAGTGTGAGCTGAAACAGAGTGGGGCATCACCTCACCTAGGAAGTGCAAGGGGTCAGGGAATTCCCTTTCCTAGCCAAGCAAAGCCATGACAGATGGTACCTGGAAAATCGGGACACTCCTGCCATAATACTGCGCTTTTCCAATGGTCTTAGCAAATGGCACACCAGAAGATTATATCCCATGCCTGGCTCGGTGGGCCCGACGCCCACGGAGCCTTGCTCACTGCTAGCACAGCAGTCCAAGATCGAACTGCCAGTCAGCAGCGAGGCTGGGGGAGGAGCATCCACCTTTGCTGAGGCTTGACTAGGTAAACAATGTGGCTGGGAAGCTCGGACTGGGTGGAGCCCACTGCAGCTCAAGGAGAACTCCCTGCCTCTGCAAACTCCACCTCTGGGGGCAGAGCATAGCTGAACAAAAGGCAGCAGAAACTTCTGCAGACTTAAACATCCCTGTTTGACAGCTTTGAAGAGAACAGTGGTTCCCTTAGCATGGAGTTTGAGATCTGAGAATGGACAGACTGCCTCCTCAACTGGGTCCCTGACCCACAAGTAGCCTAACTGGGAGACACCTCCCAGTAGGGGCCGACTGACACCTCATACAGCTTGATGCCTCTCTGAGACAAAGCTTCCAGAGGAAGGATCAGGTAGCAACATTTGCTGTTCTGCAATATTTGCTGTTCTGCAATATTTGCTGTCCTGCAGCCTCTGCTGGTGCTACCCAGGCAAACAGGGTCTGGAGTGGACCTCCAGCAAACTCCAACAGACTTGAAGCTGAGGGTCCTGACTGTTAGAAGGGAAACTAACAAACAGAAAGGAATAGCATCAACAGAAAGGACATCCACACCAAAACCCCATCTGTAGGTCACCATCATCAAAGACCAAAGGCAGATAAAACCACAAAGATGGGGAGAAACCAGAGCAGAAAACCTGAGAACTCTAAAAACCAGACTGTCTCTTCTCTTCCAAAGGATTGCAGCTCCTTGCCAGCAACGGAGCAAAGCTAGACGGAGAATGACTTTGACAAGTTGACAGAAGTAGGCTTCAGAAGATCAGAAATAACAAACTTCTCCAAGCTAAAGGAGGATGTTTGAACCCCATCACAAGGAAGCTAAAAACGTTGAAAAAAGATTAGAAGAATGGCTAACTAGAATAAGCAGTGTAGAGAAGACCTTAAATGACCTGATGGAGCTGAAAACCATGGCACGAGAACTACATGACAAATGCACAAGCTTCAGAGCCGATTCAATCAACTGGAAGAAAGGGTATCAGTGATTGAAGATGAAATAAATGAAATGAAGCGAGAAGAGAAGTTTAGAGAAAAAAGAGTAAAAAGAAATGAACAAGACCTCCAAGAAATATGGGACTATGTGAAAAGACCAAATTGACGTTTGATTGGTGTACCTGAAAGTGATGGGGAGAATGGAACCAAGTTGGAAAACACTCTGCAGGATATTATCCAGGAGAACTTCCCCAACCTAGCAAGGCAGGCCAACATTCAAATTTAGGAAATACAGAGAACACCACAAAGATACTCCTCCAGAAGAGCAGCCCCAAGAAACATAATTGTCAGATTCACCAAGGTTGAAATGAAGGAAAAAATGTTAAGGGCAGCAAGAAAGAAAGGTCAGGTTACCCACAAAGTGAAGCCCATCAGACTAACAGCGGATCTGTCAGCAAAAACTCTACAAGCCAGAAGAGAGTGGGGGCCAATATTCAACATTCTTAAAGAAAATAATTTTCAACCCAGAATTTCATATCCAGCCAAACTAAGCTTCATAATTGAAGGAGAAATAAAATCCTTTATAGACAAGCAAATGGTGAGAGATTTTGTCACCACCAGGCCTGCCTTACAAGAGCTCCTGAAGGAAGCACTAAACATGGGAAGGAACAACCAGTACCAGCCACTGCAAAAACATGCCAAATTGTAAAGACCATTGATGCTCTGAAGAAACTGCACCAACTAATGGGCAAAATAACCAGCTAACGTCATAATGACAGGATCAAATTCACACATAACAATATTAACCTTAAATGTAAATGAGCTAAATGCCCCAATTAAAAGACACAGACTGGCAAATTGGATAAAGAGTCAAGACCCATCAGTGTGCTGTATTCAGGAGACCCATCTCACATGCAAAGACACACATAGGCTCAGAATAAAGGGATGGAGGAAGATCTACCAAGCAAATGGAAAACAAAACAAAGCAAAAAAGCAGGGGTTTCAATCCTAGTCTGTGATAAAATAGACTTTAAACCAACAAAGATCAAAAGAGACAAAGAAGGCCATTACATAATGGTAAAGAGATGAATTCAACAAGAAGAGCTATTTTAAATATATATGCACCCAATACAGGAGCACCCAGATTCATAAAGCAAGTCCTTAAAGACCTACAAAGAGACTTAGACTCCCACACAATAATAATGGGAGACTTTAACACCTCACTGTCAACATTAGACAGATCAATGAGACAGAAAGTTAACAAGGATATCCAGGAATTGAACTCAGCTCTGCACCAAGCAGACCTAATAGACATCTACAGAACTCTCCACCCCAAATCAGCAGAATACAATTCTTCTCAGCACCACATCACACTTATTCCAAAATTGACCACATAGTTGGAAGTAAAGCACTCCTCAGCAAATGTAAAAGAATAGAAATCTTAACAAACTCTCTCTCAGACCATAGTGCAATCAAATTAGAAGTCAGGATTAAGAAACTCACTCAAAACAGCACAACTACATGGAAACTGAACAACCTGCTCCTGAATGACTACTGGGTAAATAATGAAATTAAGGCAGAAATAAATATGTTCTTTGAAACTAATGAGAACAAAAACACAATGTACCAGAATTTCTGAGACACAGCTAAAGCACTGTTTAGAGGGAAGTTTATAGCACTAAATGCCCACAGGAGAAAATGGGAAAAATCTATCATTGACACCCTAACATCACAATTAAAAGAAATAGAGAAGCAAGAACAAATTCAAAAGGTGGCAGAAAGCAAGAAATAACTAAGATCAGAGCAGAACTGAAGGAGACAGAGACACAAAAAATCCTTCAAAAAAATCAATGAATCTGGGAGCTGGTTTTTTGAAAACATCAACAAAATTGATAGACAGCTAGCAAGACTAATAAAGAAGAAAAGAGAAAAGAATCATATAGACACAATAAAAAACGATAAAGGGGATATCACCACCAATCCCACAGAAAACAAACTACCATCAGAGAATACTATAAACACCTATATGTGAATAACCTAGAAAATCTAGAAGAAATGGATAAATTCCTGGACACATACGCCCTCCCAAGACTAAACCAGGAAGAAGTTGAATCCCTGAATAGACCAATAACAGGCTCTGAAATTGAGGCAATAATTAATAGCCTACCAAACAAAAAAAGTCCAGGACCAGATGGATTCACAGCCTAATTCTACCAGAGGTACAAAGAGGAGTTGGTACCATTCCTTCTGAAACTATGCCAATCAATAGAAAAAGAAGGAATCCTTCCTAACTCATTTTATGAGGCCAGCATCATCCTGATACCAAAGCCTGGCAGAGGCACAATGAAAAAAGAGAATTTTAGGCCAACATCCGTGATGAACATCAATGCAAAAATCCCAATAAAATACTGGCAAACCAAATCCAGCAGCACATCCAAAAGCTTATCCACCATGATCAAGTGGGCTTCATCCTTGGGATGCAAGGCTGCTTCAACATATGCAAATCAATAAACATAATCCATTATATAAACAGAACCAAAGACAAAAACCACATGATTATCTTAATAGATGGAACCAAAAAAGTGCCCGCATTGCCAAGATAATCCTAAGCAAAAAGAACAAAGCTGGAGGCATCACACTACCTGACTTCAAACTATACTACAAGGCTACAGTAACCAAAACAGCACGGTACTGGTACCAAAACAGAGATATAGGCCAATGGAACAGAACGAGAGCCCTCAGAAATAATACCACACATCTGCAACCATCTGATCTTTGACAAACCTGACAAAAACAAGAAATGAGGAAAGGATTCCCTATTTAATAAATGGTGCTGGGAAAAGTGGCTAGCCATATGTAGAAAGATGAAACTGGATCCCTTCCTTTCACCTTGTAAAAAAATTAATTAAAGATGGATTAAAGACTTAAATGTTAGACCTAAAACCATAAAAATCCTAGAAGAAAACCTAGGCAATACCACTCAGGACATAGGCACGGGCAAGGACTTCATGACTAAAACACCAAAAGCAATGGCAACAAAAGCCAAAATTGATAAATGTGATCTAATTAAACTAAAGAGCTTCTGTACAGCAAAAGAAACTATCATCAGAGTGAACTGGCAACCTACAGAATGGGAGAAAATTTTTGCAATCTACCTATCTGACAAAGGGCTAATATCCAGAATCTACAAAGAACTTAAACAAATTTACAAGAGAAAAGTCAAATGACCCAATCAAAAAGCGGGTGAAGGATATAAACAGACACTTCTCAAAAGAAGACATTTATGCAGCCAAAAAACACATGAAAAAATGCTCATCATCACTGGCCATCAGAGAAATGCAAATCAAAATCACAATGAGACACCATCTCACACCAGTTAGAATGGCAATCATTAAAAAGTCAGGAAACAACAGGTGCTGGAGAGGGTGTGGAGAAATAGGAACAGTTTTACACTGTTGGTGGGAGTGTAAATTAGTTCAACCATTGTGGAAGACAGTGTGGCGATTCCTCATGGATCTAGAACTGGAAATACCATTTGACCCAGCATCCCATTACTGGGTACATACCCAAAGGATTATAAATCATGCTAGTATAAGGACACATGCACACGTATGTTTATTGCAGCACTATTCACAATAGCAAAGACTTGGAAACAACCCAAATGTCCATCAATGATAGACTAGATTAAGAAAATGTGGCACATATACACCCTGGAATACTATGCAGCCATAAAAAGGATGAGTTCATGTTCTTTGTAGGGACATGAATGAAGCTGGAAACCATCATTCTGAACAAACCGTCGCAAGGTCAGAAAACCAAATACCACATGTTCTCACTCATAGGTGGGAATTGAACAATGAAAACACTTGTGAGAGGTGAAGCCCGCTTGGCTTCTTGTTCTGTAGGGACTTGGAGAACTTTTCTGTCTACCTAGAGGATTGTAAACACACCAATCAGTGCTCTGAGTCTAGTTAAAGGTTTGTAAATGCATCAATCAGCACTCGGTAAAAACACACCAATCAGCGCTCTATGTCTAGCTAAAGGTTTGTAAACGCACCAATCAGCACTCTGTAAAAACGCACCAATCAGCACTCTGTAAAATGGACCAATCAGCACTCTGTAAAATGGACCCATCAGCAGGATGTGGGTGGGGCCAAATAAGGGAATAAAAGCTAGCCACCTGAGCCAGGAGGGGCAGCCAGCAGTGGCAACCAGCTGGGGTCTCCTTCCATGCTGTGGAAGCTTTGTTCTTTTGCTCTTCACAATAAATCTTGCTGCTGCTCATTCTTTGGGTCCACACCACCTTTAAGAGCTGTGCCACTCACTGGGAAGGTCTGCAGCTTCATTCCTGAAGTCAGCGAGACCACAAACCTACCAGAAGGAAGAAACTCTGGACACATCTGAACATCTGAAGGAACAAACTCTGGACACACCACCTTTAAGAGCTGTAACACTCACCATGAGGGTCTGTGGTTTCATTCTTGAAGTCAGCAAGACCAAGAACCCACTGGAAGGAACTAATTCTGGAGATACCTGGACACAGGGTGGGGAATATCACACATCGGTTCCTGTCGTGGGGTCGGGGGAGAGGGGAGGGATAGCATTAGGAGAAATATCTAATGTTAAATGACGAGTTAATGGGTGCAGCACACCAACATGGCATTGTATACATATGTAACAAACCTGCATGTTGTGCACATGTACCCTAGAACTTAAAGTATAATTAAAAAAAAATAAGAAAAAAACAAAGTGAAAGGTAAAACTCTAAAGCAGATGTAAGAGGTAACTTTGTGGCCTAGGGCTGGGGAAATACTTCTTCAACAAGACTCCTGAAAAATACAAACAATAAAGTGAAAAATTGATATATCTGAGTTCATCGAAATTAACTATAAAGACGGCAGCTGTGGTGCTGGTGGCGACGCAGTTGCTGCAGGGATCGGGTTCTCGGGGCTGCCCGCGGCTAAGGTGAGCCACAGGTGAGCCAGGCCTTGGCCTGGGACTGGGGCAGCTGGAGTCTTTCCAGAGGCTCTATCTTTGGGTTCTGCAGGCTCATGTCCTCAGGCAGGCTCACCCCTGGAGACACCAGCCTCATCCCAGAGGCGATGGGGGTGCTTCCCAGCTTTGCATCTCCACCCCTGGCTCACAGTCCCATTTGTCTCTCCTCTCCTCCTTGGCTACTGGGTACTATCCTGCCCTCACCTCTTCAGCAGAGGCCATGTCTCATCTCTCTGCCTCTGCCCCACTCTCCTTTGGCATTTTTCCCTTGTGTCCAGAATTTGTGGGTTCTTGGTCTCACTGACTTCAAGAATGAAGCCGGGGACCCTTGTGGTGAGTGCTACAGTTCTTAAAGTTGGTGTGTCCGGAGTTTGTTCCTTCAGATGTTCAGATGTGTCTGGAGTTTCTTCCTTCCGGTGGGTTTGTGGTCTCACTGACTTCAAGAGTGAAGCCGCGGACCCTTGTGGTGAGTGTTACAGCTCTTAAAAGCAGTGCATCTGGATTTGTTCATTCCTTCCAGTGGGTTCGTGGTGTCACTGGCTTCAGGAGTGAAGCTGCAGACCTTCATGGTGAGTGTTACAGCTCATAAAGTTAGTGCGGACCCAAAGAGTGAGCAGCAGCAAGATTTATTGCAAAGAGCGAAAGAACCAAGCTTTCATAGCATGGAAGGGGACCCGAATGGGTTGCCGCTGCTGGCTCGGGTGGCCTGCTTATATTCCCTTATCTGGCCCCACCCAAATCCTACTGATTGGTACATTTTACAGAGAGCTGGTCCATTTTACAGAGAGCTGATTGGTCCGTTTTGACAGGGTGCTGATTGGTGCGTTTACAAACCTCTAGCTAGACACAGAGTGCTGATTGGTGCGTTTACAATCCTTTAGCTAGACACAAAAGTTCTCCAAGTCCCCACCCGACCCAGAAGCCGGCTGGTTTCACCTCTCAATGGCTCCAGCCGCTGCCTCTCCCTGCACACCTCCTCGCCAGCAGAGGGAGCCCGCTCCAGCCTTGGCAAGCCCCAGAGAGGGGCCGCCACAGTGCAGCCGCGGGCTGAAGGGCTCCTCAAGCACGGCCAGACTGGAGGCGGAGAGCGAGTGAGGGCTGCTAGTACATTGTCACCTCTCACCCTCAGAAGGCTGAGCTGGTGGGGGCTGAGTTCTGTTACGTGTGACAGCAACGTCTAGGCCAAGCTTGTCCAACTTGCGGCCCACCAGCTGCATACAACTCTGGACGGCTTTGAATGCAGCCCAACACAAATTCGTAAACTTTCTTAAAACATAGTGCGTTTTTTTTGTTTTTTTTTTTTTGTTTTTTTAAGCTCATCAGCTATCATTAACGTCAGTGTATTTTACGTGTGGCCAAAGGCAATTCTTCCATTGTGGCCCAGGGAAACCAAACTGAAAGATTGGACGCTCCTGGTCTAGGCTCTCGATTGCTGAACTCGTTTCCTCTCAGCTGTTGATTCCCGACATTTGAGGACTTTTTCTGTCCCCTCTGCTCTTCCTGCCCAAGAGGCAATATCTGCCTTTCCCCACAAGGGTGCGTTCATTCAGGCAACAGGTATGTATTACCCTTCACTACATAATGAGCACTACTTCAGGGGTATGGAGGTGACCAGAGAGAGTTGCTGCCCACAGGAAATGGAGACAGACAATAGTGTGAACAAAATATTGCCAATCATGAAAATGGTTTGAAGTAAATAAGCAGAGTTTAGTGGCAGAAAATAGTAGGAAAGCCTAGACAGACTGAGTGATAGCCCCTCGTCAAGGTGACATTTAAGCCAAGAGATGAAGAATGAAAGAAGGGGAGGCCACATGAAAAAGGCAAGCCCTGGAATAGTGAGAACAGAAGCTTTGGAGGTGATGAGCCCGGTGTGTTCTGGGAATTGATGAAAGAGTCGGAGTGACTGGGACCCGTAGGGGTGGGAGGTTCAGGAAATGAGTGTGGAGAAAGAGACACAAGGCCTTCAAAGCAGATTAATAAGGGGTGTGGCTTCCACCTAGACTTCAGTGACACTGCTAAATGGCAGAGCTGTTCTAAGTGTTTTATCTGTATGAACTGTGCTTCAGTGAGTTTTGGTTGTAAGCCCTGTTTTACAGAGATGGCAATTAATTAATTAAGACCCAACGTACTGAATCAGCTTGCCTCAGGGTCCCTTGGCTGAGCCAGGATCACTCCTCTATGTTGTCTTTCAAGATATGTAGAAAGAAATCCTTTAGAAAGGCAAATGTCGATTTCTAATGCAGACAAAACATAACTAACTGCACTAAGTGGTCATCATAGGCTCAGTTGTCTCAATTTTGTGGTACTGGGTCAGTTTCTCTGTTTTAGGTTTGGATTCCCTGCATACAGACACTTTAGAAGTGATGGCACCTCTCCCAACATCCCCATGCCCCACTTCTGTCTTACCTGGAGTACCTAAGCTTGTTTTTCCTACAGTCAATGGACAGGCAAAGTTTGAAACCAAAGTTACTATGTTGGATAATGGGCTTTGTGTGGCATCTTAAAATAAGTTTGGAAGCTTTTATATGGCAGGAAGTAAATACTTTTGCTAATATTGTGGGTGGTCTCCTTGTTTTAACATGTACATGCTTTAGCTGACTCTCAGTTGCAATTAACGTGTCAATTATGAATTGTACTCTGAGTAGATGTATGCTAGAAAATCCAAAAACTTAGTAACCAAAATATCAACAGTGGTCATTTTTGTTGGTGGCATTTAGGATGGGTTCCCTCTTCCCCCCACTTTTAAAAATCCTTTCTGTAATTCTAAAAGTTTTCTACCACAGACATGAAGTGTATGGCTTCATAAATGTTGACCTACGTATATACCTGTGAAGCCACCATTACAATGAAGATAATGAGTATATCCGTCACCCTCATATAATTAAATCTGGTTATTAAGTCATTGACAATTTTAAAAGGTATCTCTTGACTAAATCTTATTTTGAACATCTGATTTAACCTGCGAATTTTCTTTATATTACTAGTTCTTATTAATTCAGGATCAAGATACAAAGCAAAATATCATGGTGAAATTGCGCACTCTTTGGAAAGTTGGCATTTTCAGTCAGTTGTCTAATTTGTAGTTTTTGAGACAATACTATAGAAAGATGTTTCAAGTTTTTCTTTTTTAGAATGGTTATTTTAATACATTATTAAGTTGCTAAGTTAATGCTAATAAAAGACCTTTAAGTTTTAAAAAAAAGCATAGAAAGAGTTAGCAAATACATGACACACTGGGAGAAAATATTTGTGGCATTTAAAACCAACACGGGGCCGTGTGCGATGGCTCACGCCTGTAATCTCAACACTTTGGGAGGGGGAGGCAGGAGGATCACTTGAGCCCAGGAGTTCAAGACCAGCTGAGCAACATAGTGGGACCTCATTTCTACAAAAAAATTTAAAATTAGCTGTGCACAGTGGTGTGCACCTATAGTCCCAGCTACTTGGGAGGCTGAGGTAGGAGGATCACTTGAGCCTGAGAGTTTGAGGCTGCAGTGAGCCGTGATTGCACCACTGTACTCCAGCCTGGGTAACACAGTGAGGCTGCTCTGTCTCATAAGTAAATAAATAAATACATAAACAAACAAAACCAACAAGGAATTTGCATTAGAATATACAAAGAATTCAAAATCAACAGGGCCAGAAAACTAATAGAAAAATGGCAAAGGATATAAATAAGCAGTTCACACTCAAATGACCAACATGTAGAGATAATACCAATCTCACTAATAATCAGAGGTACACAAATTAAACCAATGAGCTACCACCTGACGTCAATATGGCAAAACTTTTTATAAAGGCATATCATTCCAAACTGGAGGTGGAAATAAGGAAACAGGAATGCTTAGCCTACTGGAAGGAGTATAAACTGTGCTTGTGAAACTCATTTATGTCTGTCTTATGATTCTACTTCTGGATAACGATCCCAAAGAAATTCTCACACAGTTCCATAAGAGGACATATTCAAGAATACTCACCGTGCCATTTCTCTACCAGGGAGTCAGAGACACTGTCCACTCCACCTTCTAGTGTGTATTCCTCTATTACATAGGTTGGCAAGTTAAAAACTACATTTTCCAGACACCTCTGCCGCTAAGGTTCAGCAAATCATATGCATTCTTGTGAGAAAGGGAAGGCAGAAGTAAGGTAATCTGCCACTTCTCCCTTTCTGCTGGCAAGCATTGTTGTGGACCGGTTTGATTTTACTGTACTAGTGTTAGCAAACGTTACAATGACAAGGCACTGACAGATGTCAATAGGCAGAATGCTGGACATCCGTTTTGCTGGGGTGGATGGTAGAGGTGTAGTGTGTTTCTGGAACAGCAGCTGCCTCCTGATCAGGGCAGTCTCAGGATAATAGTCAAGGCAGCTACTGCTATTAGAAGAGAGAATCGCTCCCTCAGTGACTTTGAGTCTTTCCTAGATTGTTTCCTTCAGCATTCTCTATGATTCTGTAATGCATCCCTTTCTATTTAAAGTTAATTTTCTTTGCATTTAAACTACAGTTTGATTGATTCCACCAGAATGCAAGAAATTTGTTAATATTCTTCTGTTCTACATTTTACAAAGTTCACTTACCGTTAAACTTCCATCTCAATTGTTCATTCTATCAGGCAAGTCTACTCTCTCTGTATCTCACAGTATTTTGTATTTGTATTGTAATTACTTGCTTACCTATCTGTCTTTCTCCATTAGAAAATGAACTCTTTGAGGCCAGAGATGGAATCTTATTCATTTTTGTAATCCTGGCTCTTAGCATTACAGCCATCTTCCCTCCCAACTAAGGGCCTTTGCATATGCTATACCACCTGCCTGGGAAACCCTCCTACTTCTTTTCATCTAGTTAACTCTTAGTCATGTTTCTTATTCAGCTGGATCATCTTGAGATTGAACTATACTGTTCAGTATAGTAGTCACTAACTGTATGTGGCTATTTCCATTTTTTATTTTATAATTTTATTTAAATTAATTTTAAATTAAATTTAAAATTTAAAATCATTCAAATTGACGAAGGGATTGAAAATAAAAATAAGTAAATAAAAATCAATCATCAGTCACACTACCCACATTTTACATAAATGAACATGTGGCTACCATATTGGACAGCACAGAATACAGAACATTTCTGTCATCACAGAAAGTTCTGTTGGACAGCACTGATCTAAGTACATTAGGGCTCTGTATTTTACACTCCAATATTTTGTGCTGTGCTTACATAGCACTTATCAAACTAAATTATGAATTAATAATATCTGTCTTCTCTGTTAAATCTTAGGCCGCATGTAGACAGAAACCATGTCTGTTTTGTTTGCCATTGTATGCCAGTGCCTAAGACAGTACACGACAAACAATAAACACTAAATAGATATTTGTCAAATGACAAATGAATGAATGAAATTATCTTCTAATAGATACAAACATTCTATTTCTTGCAATTTTGCGTCCAGATTAGAACTATGATTAGTGGGTTTTTATGTAGGGGCAAATACTTTTTCAAGTTTCGGACCACTTTATGCCCCCTTTTTTTGCTGAGCATTTTATTTCCTTTCCTGAAACCAAAAGGACAACAGTATTGAGCTAGTGAAGATTTGGAAACCTAATACTTTGGTAATACTAAAACGTTGATGTTCAAAATATCCAAATGTGAAACACATGACTAAAAAAATACTTTGTATTGTTCTACCTAGTCATGATCAATGTAAACATGTGGGTATCAGTGATAACCAAAAAGATATACTTGCAATGAGTGAGAAATACTTCATTTATTTAGACTTATGATCATTACATTTTTGTTTTACATTTTAAGGTAGAAGAGAGGTTTAAAAGTGCAATTTTATTCTTTTATAAATTATGCAATAACATACTTTAAAAAGAATAAACAATAGAAAAGATAATTAAAATAACTCAAATGAATAAAAGTGGAATCAGAATAATCAATTAAAATTGCAGTTATCATGGCTAGTGATGGATTACATGTAGTTTGTTATATCAGAAATATTGGCACTTGGAAATCTTAATAGAGCTTTGAATTAGCAGCATGTATTGTTGCCCTACACTGTCTAGAGCAGAACTCTGACAATATCTGTTTTCATTTTCACTGGGATTTAGCTTTAGTTAATACATTCACATCAGCTTTGTCTGCCTCTCCAAGACTTTTTTCATGGCTCTCAACCAAGACATTGTCTTCCTTTTTTCGGGGCCTCTGGGAACCAGCATCTCTGGGAGCTAGAGGAGCTCCAAGGGCAACAAAATTGTGCACATCCTGCAGCTTCTTACGCAGCCATTCTACTCTCTCCATCGAGTTCAGATGTTTTCCCAGGTTATGCATAAGCTGTATTTCACTCACAGATCTCTTCCTGGGAAGAAGAGAAACAGAGAGGGCCACTTCCCATTAGCTCCCCACTTCGAAATGATAAAGTCAACATTAAAAATCCAATTCCAAGGCAAAACAGTACTTACTTAACAGATTTCCCATCCGATTTTGTAAGAAAACAAATTGCCAACATGACAATCATAACTTTAGCCATGTCTTTTGCAGGTATCATCTTCACTAAAAGGACAAGCAAAATGGAGGTATTTTAAAATATTTTTAATATTCCAAACTATAGTACACAGAATGCAATACTAACTAATTGGGTTGGTTTTCACGAGAAGCTTTTGGAATCAACCTCTTTATTTTATGGATACATTAGTATACATTATATATACACATAATTTAACTTATAAATTAGTTTTATGCTCCTAACTATCTTTTGGAGATTTCTTGTGCAAGTTTTATTTATTTATTTATTTATTTATTTTTATTTATTTTTTTAGAATGCAATTTTTTATTGTTTTCTAAATCTATTTGTACACTTAATATGCTAGTATTAATTTCACAAACAGTATAAAGAATGTACTCCAATGATATTAAGCGGCAACTACTCACCTGAAAAAGAAAACATTGTCTCTGAAATAATTCCTAATTATACAATTTTGCAAACTAATAAGCACTATAAATATTAAAATGTTAAGACTTCAATGTATAATGTCAATAACATCCTGCCTTTTTAAAATTGCTTAAAACATTTGTTAAAGATCATGCAAAATAAACACTGTATTAAAATGCTAGATTACACTCAAACATCAAGGCAATGAAACACAAAAGAGCAACTATTTAGCACAATGACTGGCCAAGTAAATAACTTAATCAGCATATTAATAAAAATCCACTGAGTGATAAACATCAAAAATGTAACACTGAATCTAGATAATCACGCATCTGCGATCTCACCATCTACCGTCCTAACTGTGACTTGGGGTAAACTGCCAGAATTCATTCTGCATAAATGAGCTATGTTAAAATGTTAGCAACATTTCATTGCATGATGACAGAGTACATTTCTAGTCCACACAGTACTTCAACGTGATCATTCTCTTAACTCAGCTAATAACTAATGGAAAGTACAGTTTTACAGTCATACCACTTATGTATATACATATATTTTACCCTTGCTTTGTTACATGTTTTTAAATTTTTTTTAAAAAAGTATTTCCTTTCTTATGATCCTCCCCCAGAATTAACATGCTGACTTAGGAAAAGACGAAGTAGATAAAGTCTATCCTAGTATAGAGAGCAATGGTTTACTTTTACCTAATTAAATATTTCCTTGTCATTTATCAATTGTCACTGACCTTTTTTATGTAATTATTTCCTCATTCACTCATCTATAAATATTTATTAGTGCCTGTTGTTACCCATGTCTCCTTGATTTTCCAGAAAAATAATTCATGTTTTTTTTTTCTTCTCATTGCTAAGCTCACTTAGAAAAATTAGGCACCATTTAAAAGACTTGGAGAACAGACCAGCGTGGCTTCTTGGGCACAGCTGGATGGTGCTGGAAGCCAGGCCTGGGATTTGGAGAGAAGAGTCTCCAACAGATAAACCCACGGAGGTCACCAGCCCTCCCTGCATCTACTCTCCTAACAGCTCAGGATGGCCCTGTTACACTACTGCCAGCCCTGGTGACTCGCTTTCTTAGCAATTTTTAAAGCCCTCTTCATTATGTACTTCCTACTTAAAATTCAGAACCTCTGTGATAAGCAATGCCTCTGTCATACAGAATGCTGGATCTCAGTTTACTGAGCCTCTCCCTGTAGTGTCACAGGCTGTGCACTCACCTAGATGAGCCCCTAAGAGCAGGGTTTGCTTCTGCTTCATCTAATGCCACATCTTCCCTCAAATGTGTGGTCACCAAATGTTCTGCAAAAAGGGTCTCTAGCTTTTTACTTTTCTTTTTGGCAAATTAAGCCCTTTAAAATACTTCTGACCTATCTTTATACTCAGATCTCACCTCATCTCAAGTTTTATGGGGTAATGCGCCAGTGAAAGGTACAGTGGTATTAGTGAGTTCTGAAGCTTCTAATTACATAGACAATAGAGGCTGGCTGGTGAGCCATGCTTCTCATGCTCCCTTCTGTCACACTGCAGAAATCTTAAGCTACAAGAGGAATGAAAGAGCCTATTTTTGAGAAATCCCCCCGCACTGCATTTTATGTTGATTATACCTAAATGTTTATAACTTGCTTGAAAATGCCTAATTTTCTTCATAGTGTAAATTGTTAACACTATTTACGTAGCAAATCCTTTTCTTAAGTAACCTTCATTTCAGGCATTGTAATAACCATAAATACCAAACTAATAGGTGCTAATCTAGAGATTTTCACTAAATTAATTCACATTTCTCCTAGCATTAAAAATAATGTGTCAAAGCATTTAAAAATCATCTGATTAATTACTTGTGATATGGATTTCGAGCTTTATCTCTGAATGGAATGCTTGTTTGTAGCTTATTTCTTCAACTTATTTTATTAACAATTATCTTTTAATATAACTTTTGTCTCTTTCCTCGTTTCACATCAGTATAGGATATTCTTGCCTTAATCTGCATTTCAGTACTTGCAAAGGCTGTTATTATAGAAGTGCTTTTCCTTAATGCTCAGTGTACTACCTTTTAACATACACATAGAGTAGTTATGTACTCCTATTTTACAGGGAAACTGCATCATTTAGAAATAGCATAGGAAATACTGTTTTCAGAATACAGCTGTCATTTATGTAAAGGAAATAAATATTTACTAGTCAAACTGGGCTTATCCAACTTTAGTATACAGATTGGGCTCTTTATGAGCCATAAAATAAATAATCTAGATAAGAATACTCTGCAGGAAAAACAGAATATTAACTCCACTTAATAAATTTATAAAGATTATTTAAATCAGAACTATTCATTCACCATCAACCTGTTTTATTTCAAAATTTTGACACCGATACTATTATATTAAAGCATAGCATGCCAAATTTTAATGATTTTTTGTTGTAATTTCAGATGAGGTTTTAAAAGGCAAGGTATCTCAGAAGACTTTAATCAAAAAGGATTTTGTGATTTGAGTAGCATTAATTTATTTTGTATGTGGCATTTTATATTAAACATAACTCAAACTTCTTAGCATTTTACCTTGAAGAAACAACATGGTATTTGTAGAAATGGTACACATTAAATAATAACTTGATTATCAAAATCTCATGAGATTCAGAAGTGAATTTTTAAGTTTACTTACCATACAATGTCTTAGAACAAGATCTTCGTTCAGGTATGTTAGTAGCTGATGCTGAGTAAACTAAAGACAACTGATGAATTGGACTGCAGACCCCTTAAATGGTGACTTTTATATATAGGTCTTCTGCTTACCAAGAGAGGCTCTTTTATTGTTACAGATGATGTCACTCCCAATTCTCTGGATCTCAACTATAGGTTCAAAGCAGCACATACACACACCCATTGGGCGGTGCACACTCTTCTTAAGTTTCAGATAATTGGATACTAAAAGGAAAACAGCATTTGGCTTGACAAGGGGCTTATGCAAAGACTTTTAACAAATACAGAATTATACCATCGAGAAAAATTCTATGTGGATTAATGAATCTGAATTTATACTGTAAAAAGACTGATTTCAAAGGTTTATGATAAAGTCATTATCTTACTTGAAAATAAAACCCAAAAATAAGTGTATTTGTTATAACCGTACTGTTGGTACAGTTTTTATGGTAATAAATCATAAATGTTAGGCTTACTTTACAAGCCATTTTCAACCAATCCATGTCACTTCTGGTCATCTTTCAAAAAACAGATATAGCCCTTTTCTTAAAGGAAGTGTTAAGAATAATTTGAGAAAATGCTCTTAGTACATAATTACTTTAAAAGCTTCAAAAGTGAAATTATTTTAAAATTTATTTAACTTATATTTTATTTGTGCATCTTAATCTATAATAATAACATTTGATAAGCACTAACTGCATGCCTAACTACATATATTATCCCACTAGATCTTCACAGCAGTCCTTTAAAGTTAGTACTTAAAGTACTAAAGTTAAGTGCTTATCCCCATTTTTACATGAGGAAACTTAGGCTTGGAAAGCAGAAAAGATGGAATTCAACAAAGGTCTTTATGACACCAGATTCTTACTACCTCAGTTTCTGCCTAGAAATACAGCCCTTCTTTGAACTCCAGTCTTCTTGACTTTAATTTGCAAAGTCATCTGAAAACACAGCAAAAGCTCTTTGCAACATTTTCCCCTAGGGGTTAGGTCTTTATTCTCATGTTCCCTAAGGGATGATGAGAGCCTGCTCCAAAACCTATTGGAGGCATGATGCTGCCACATGTCTGACTTCAAATATTCCTCCAGCAATATTTTCCTGGTCCACCTGTCAAAACACCCTGAATGTCTTTGATATATCTAGGACTCCTTTAGACAGCTTTGCCTTCCCACCAAAGATCCGGTGCCAGAGTGGGATCAGTTCTCTCAGCTCTGGTCCCATCCTGGCTTCATGTCATCCTTTTTCCTACTAGCCATTGTCAAGGTTTGACTCTACCTTAGGTAAGAGCCAGTACAAATTTGAATAGTAACCGTATGGAGTTTATAATGAGAGATATATACTAGTCCTGTCCTAGGAGATTCTCCACTCTGGGTTAACCTCACTTAGAGTGTTGCTCCAGGCTCCATTTTAGAAGCAGTAGAAACAAATGGGAACATACACTGAGGATATCAATCAGTTTGGTGAAAATGTTGAAAACTATAACATGAGAAGTAGTTGAATGAAACTAGAAAAGTCTGAGGAAAAAAAGACGGGATGACTTTATAGCTGTGTTTAATTATTTATAGGGTTACCATAAGGAAGAAGGAGTATTCTCTGTGGTTTAAGAAGGAAGGGCTGGGTTCATTGGGTTTAACTTGGACATTATAATTGTCAAAATAAGGAATCAAGTACCTTCTCAAATAGTGATTTCTCCATCACTGAGAATATTCAAGTAGAAGGTAGATGAGCATTTATCAGGCATACTATAGAGATTCATACATAGAAGAAAGTTGAACTAGATAACCAAGAGGTCTCTTTTAACTGTAAAAATCTGTTGTCTTGATCTTTTTAAAGACCTCTTCTGATGCAAACTCTACATGTGATGTTTGTGTGTCATTTTTCTGCTATACTCTGTTGAGAAGAAGAATTGGAAATACAGATGGTTTTTCTTTTTTCTTTGAGATAGGATCTCACTCTGTCACTCAGACTGGAGTGGTGCAGTGGTATGGACATGGCAGCCTCAACTTTCGGGGCTCAAGCAGTCCTTCCACCTCAGCCTTCTGAGTAGTGGGGGCTATAGGCACACAGCACCACAACCAGCTAATTTTTAAATTTTTGTGGAGGCAGAGTGTAGCTAAATTGCCCAGGCTGTCCTTGGCTCAAGCAGTCCTCCCACCTCTCGCTCCCAAAGTGCTGGGATTACAGGCATGAGCCACCACACCCAGCCACTAATGGATTTTTATTTTTTAACTTTTAAGTTCAGGGGTACATGTACAGGCCTGTTATATAGGTAAACTCATGTCGTGGAGGTTTATTGTACTAATTATATCATGACCCAGGTATTAAGCCTAGTGCCCATTAGTTATTTTTCCTGATCCTCCGCCTCCTTCCACTCTCCATCCTTCAGTAAGCCCCAGTGTGTGTGGTTCCCTTCTTTGTGTCCATGTGTTCTCATCTTTTAGCTCCCAATTATAAGTGAGACCATGAGATATTTGGTTTTCTGTTCCTATGTTAGTTTGCTAAGGATAGTGGCCTCTAGCTCCATCTTGTTCTTTTTTATGGCTGCCTAGTATTCCATGGTATGTAGGCACCACGTATTCTTTATCCAGTCTACCACTGTTGGGCATTTAGGTTGATTGCATGTCTTTGCTATTGTGAATAGTGCTATAATGAACATACGCATGCATATGTCTTTATTATAGAATGATTTATATTCCTTTGAGTATATACCCAGTAATGGGATTGCTGGATCAAATTGTAGTTTTGCTTTTAGTCTTTGAGGGATCGCCACACTGTTTTCCACAATTGTTGAACTAATTTACACTCCCACTAACAGTGTATAAATGTTCCTTTTTCTCCACAACCTCACCCATACCTGTTATTTTTTGGCTTTTTGATAACAGCCATTCTGACTGGTGTGAGATGGTGGCTCGTTATGGTTTTGATTTGCATTTCTCTGATGATCAGTGATGTTGAGCTTTTTTCCATACGCTTGTTGGCCACATGTATGTCTTATTTTGAAAAATGTCTGTTCATGTCCTTTACCCACTTTTTAATGGGGTTGTTTGTTTCTTGTAAATTTGTTTAATTTATAGATGTTGGATATTAGGCCTTTGTCAGATGCATAGTTTGCAAAAATTTTCTCCCATTCTGTAGGTTGTCTCTTTACTCTGTTGATAGTTTCTTTTGCTGTGCAGAAGCTCTTTAGTTTAATTATATCTCATTTGTTAATTTTTGCTTTCATTGCCATTGCTTTTGGCATCTTCTTCATGAAATCTTTGCTCATTCCTATGTCTATAACAGTATTGCCAATGTTGTCTTCCAGGGTTTTTATAGTTTCGGATCTTTAATCCATCTTGAGTTAATTTTTGTATATAGTGTAAGGAACAGGTCCAGTTTCAATCTTCTGCATACACAAATGGTTTTATAAACACATTTTTTGCATTGTTATTATAAAGCCATGCTTAATATTCTGATTTGGAGATTTTTCCCGCTTTGGGTAAGTTTAATGTAATTGACAGCCTTCTAGGAGTGATGCAATTATCACTTTCTTGTTCTTCTTTCTCTTACACTTATTTATAGAATAAATTGTCATACCAAGGCAACCACATTATTAAACTAGTTTTACAGAAAAATAAAGCAAATAGTTCAGACAGTGGTCACTCATTTGTTCACTCAAAAAAATGCGTTGAATACTATCTGCCAGGGGCTGTATTAATCACTGGATAATTGAGACATAATCAATGCCTTGAAATTTAACACATAATTATAATATAATGTGATAGGTATTATAATAGGGGTATGAACAAAGACTTATAAAAGCACAGAAGAGGAAGTGACAATTTCCCTAAAGTTGTTGGAAGCTGTTTTACTGAAAAGCTGAACTGTCCTGACAGGTGATTGTGTTTTCCATCAGAGAAGGTAAGAAAGGACAGAGGGAACTGCATGCGCACAGGCATGCAGGCAATGAAGACTGAATAGACGCAGTGGCTCACACTTGTAATCTCAGCACTTTGGGAGGCCAAGGCAAGGGGATTGCTTGAGTTTAGGAGTTTGAGACCAGCCTGGGCAACATAGCAAGACCTCATCTCTCCTAAAAGTTAAAAAAAAAATCAGCAGGATGTGGTGGTGCACACCTGTAGTCTCAGATACTCAGGAGGCTGAGATGGGAGGATCACCCAAACCTGGAAGATGGAGGCTGCAGTGAACTCTGATCATGCCACTGTACTCCAGCCTGGGCGACAGAGTGAGACCCTGTCTCAAAAAAAAAAAAAAAAAAAGACTGAATATTGAGTATATGCTTGTGGATGGAGAGGGAAAATGGGGAAATGGATGATGACTCCAAAGAAGTAAGATTTGGGTACAATTTTGGAAGATTATTGTGTGAATGCCAAGGAGTTTTGTCTTGCAGTCCTCTCTAAACTCTAAATGTGTGCATGAGTAATATTGTTGTGTCCTTCAAATTTTTCAAAGGACTACTTGACCTTCCCACAAAGCAGTAATATAGCTGCCAAGACTTGATATATAGTTTATCTGAACCATCACGTTCTGGACCTGCAGGTATTAGATAGAAGGAAATCACTTAGGAGGACAGGGTTAGGGGATATGTGGGCACAAGAGACTGATGACACCGTGACAGAGAAGAGCTGAGCACAGCTTTTTGCTTTGAAAACGTCAGCTTTTCTTAGCATTCTAAAGTACTGAAGCTAGGGTCAAACAATCTAATGTATTCCTCACATTTGGGAAGGACAAAATACCATGTGTTGTGCCCTGTTCCCTTATGGAAGGTTTAAGTTAAGACGGATACTTTTTCCTTCTGTTTGCTCAATAGGAATTAGTACAGCTTTGGGAATTTGACATCAACAAGCTTCCAGGGCTGAAAAATCCAGCTACATCTCTCTAATTCCATGTTTTGTGAACAGATTGGATAATTTCTACTCCCTTTTTTTAAAAAAAAAAAACAAATTTACTGAGGTTCAATTGATATACAAAGAACTGTTCATATTTAATGTGTACAATGTGATGAGTTTGGACATACATGTTATCCCTGTGATACCATCACCACAATTAAGGTAATAGACATAGCCAGCACTTCTCAAAGTTTCCTTGTCGTTTAGAAGAACACAACATGAGACCTACCTTCTTAAATTTTGAAGTTCACAATGCAGTATTATTAGGTATAAACACTATATTGTATAGCAGATCTCTAGAACTTATTCTGAATAGTGTCTATCTTAATGGTTGAGTCATTCTTTTGCTCCAAGCCCCTCTGTGCAATGAGTTACTGAGCTCCTTATTATTATTATTATTAATTTTTTTGAGACAAGGTCTCAATCTGTCACCCAGGCTGGAGTGCAGTGGTGTGATCTCAGCTCACTGCAACCTCTGCCTCCAAGGCTCAAGGGATCCTCCTACCTCAGCAGCCTGAGTAGCTGGGTCCACAGGAGCATGCCACCATGCCAAGCTAATTTTTGTATTTTTGGAAGAGACGGAGTTTCACCACATTGCCCAGGCTGGTCTCTGCCTCCTGGGGTCAAGTGATCCACTCGCCTCGGCCTCCCAAAGTGCTGAGATTACAGGCGTGAGCCACTGTACTCAGCCAACCAAGCTCCTTTTGATCTGTCAGAAAAAACTTTCCTCTCTGCTTCCTTTCACCAGCCCTAAACTTGTTTATAGTTAGAGGCAATGAACAAAATGCTTAAAGTGACTTAGCACATAATAAATGATTAATATTCCAAGTATTTATGATAGTATTCTGTTCCTTATTTTTCTTTCTCTAGAATTTTTATTGATGGACGCTGTGATTGTGGTTCTCTAATAGGCAGCATTTAGAAGGCCACTGATCTCTATATATTCATGTTATAAACTCTGGGATCCATTATATCTGAGTAGCTCCTCGAAGTTAAAATGTGTAGCCACATTCACAAATACAATATTACTTGTTGTTTTTTGTGTGTTCTGTCAGTGAACATCTAACCCTGCATGAGTTTTCAGCTTTCTACATGTTTATATGGATTGGGGGAGTGTTAAGATGATATGCAATGTTTCCACGATCAGAAAGAGGCATCTCTAGAGGCAGGGACTGAAGGAAATAGCGAGTTACTGGATGCCTGGGATGAGACTGTCTTTCTAAATACAGTAAGGAATGTCTCTGTCTTGTCACAGAGCAAACCTAGAGAGTCACTTATGGACTTATGGAAACCTTTAGATCTTTATTTAATTGAAAAGGTTTTAGTTGCCTGTGCAAAGTTCTCTGTTTCTTAAAAAAAGAGAGGGAAAGAAGTAGACACAATTGAGTCATCACTTTTTGAATCATAAGAAAGCCATAGCAATTTAATTGAGAAGTAAAGTCTCAAATTTTCTGTGGCCCTTTCCAGTGAAGTAACCAGACCACTAATATTATTATTATTATTATTATTGTTAACTTGTCACCCAAGCTAGACTGCAGGGTCATGAACATGAGCTAACTGTAACCTCAAACTTCTGGACTTAAGCAATCCTCCCACCTTAGCCTCTTAAGTCCTAGTAGCTAGCCTCCTAGCTACTAGTAAGCCTCCTAGCTACTCCTAAGCCTCCTAGTAGCTATGCTTGTGCTATCACATCCAGCTAATTTTTTTTGTAGGTACAGGGTCTCCCCATGTTGCCTGGGCTAGTCTTGAACTCCTGGCCTCACGTGATCCTCTTGCCTTGGCCTCCTAAAGTGCTTGGATTACAGGTGTGAGTCAATGCACCTGGCCCAACACTTTTGATTCTAAATATTCTCTTTTATTGTCCCATAAATGTAGTTATACTGGTTAGACCAAGTGTTTCAATTCAGGGTTCATACTCTATTAGTTCCTGCCAGAAAAAAGAATAGTATAAAAAATTTTTTGAAGTTTAGATAATATGGTCTCCTCAGTTAATGTGGATCTTACTCTGGATTACATAGATAGCTTTCTGCTCTACTCTTTCTTTATCTTTGATAGAATATCATGATGATGCAATTTATGATACAACAGCAAAACAAGAAAATAAAATGTCTTGTACATCCCTTATCCAGTGTTCAGCTGGAGCAAATAGGCTATGTACTTGATTCTTCCCTTTATGTTTTTGAAATAGTGTGGGAAAATAGTGGGGCATGGGGTATTGTTTTCCCATTAGTGAAGCTCTAAGTCAAATGATCTGGGTTCTCAGACTCCAGTTCAGGAATGCCAACACTGCAATTTACATTATGGTTTTCATCTAATATGGTAAAGTTTCACTGAGCACTTACAGTCAACCAGGCAAGATTTCCCTGCTCATAATCTTTGTGAGTTTTGTTTTTATGTGATTTTTTAAAAAATTTATGACATCTTAACTTTTCATAGTTTAAAATTCCACATCTCAAAATAGAATACTGCCTTCCCTCATTTGATGAGCTTTCAGATACGAGCTATCATATGTGAAAATGCTTTGCATATAATTGACATTCAAAAAATGCTGGTTGAATCTAAATCTGAAAGTGTCCCTTATCTCTTCCCTCAGGTGAGTCCATCTCACTCTAGGAGTTCCTAGTAATAAGCATAGAGAGTGCTGAGCAACTTGGCCCAATCTGGTCTCTGCCTCCCAGATTTGTGAGTCCAGCTCCCTGAAGTGCAAAGAATTCTGAGGCAGTAGGCAGTTATGATGTTCATAAAATCCATGCTGTGTTTGCTAATTGCACAAGGAGTTGTTGTAAAACTTAAACTAAAGCTAAGTATATCTTTGTTCTTCTGGTAGCAATATGTACTAAGCGTGATTAGAGAGTGGACTCTTATTCAAGTTAACAAACCAACAAGCAGCCCCAGAAGCTGTGTTGTTCTTACATCCACTTGGCAGCACTGTGCAGTGGAAACACTCAGGATCTGGAAGCAGACAATGTGGGTAGTTTGTAGCTGTGATACTTATCAGCTGCACAACCCAAGATAAGTCATTTTACATAGCAGAACTTCAATTTCCACAGAAAAATAGGTATAAACTATCCCCCTAGACTTTGTGAGGATCATGTAGAATAATGTATATCCAAGTACTTTGTCAACAGTATCAATGGTACTGATTAGAATCTCAATAATAATAACAGTCTATGTGAATCCTGTTAAGATGATGTAATTCAACTTTGTAGCTTTCTGTGTCTCTGTTGCTGATTGCATGACATTTCAAATAACATTTCAGAGCTGTTCTAAAAGTTAATGCTAGAATGCTATTGACTTTATCTTTCAACAATGGAAAGAATCTTCAGCATGGCCTAACTCAATACATTGTTCAGAAGAATGCCCTAATGGATGCAAAGAGAGGCATGAAGATGAGATTCTCTATTTTCTCTCCAGGGACAGTTTCCTAATGTTTAGGGCAACAATGAAGTATGTAAAAGTAGCTGTAAAATTTAATTCAAACACACTCATGCAGTTGGTTATTTTATGTAATCAACTGAAGGGAAGGTCATAGTAGAAAGAGCACTAGATTTGGAATCAGAAGACCTGAGTTCAAATCCTGGCATTACAAGGGTTGCTGGATTTAGCAAATGAAAGCACAAGACACCCAGTTAAATTTGAATTATTTATTTCCTAAGCATATGTACACTGAGATAAAAAAATATTGCATGGGACCTACTTATACTAGAAATATTTGTTGTTTATCTGAAATAAATTATAAGTATCTAAATTACATGCTTCTCTTTTACATTATTTTTTCCTGATGATTTGGCTCTTCTTAACAGTTCCTATTTTGCAGAATTTGTTTCAAGATTTTTTGCAGTTGTAGTTTATCTTCCAGAGAGTGCAATATGGAAAGGGGAAACAAAGAGTAACTTTATAGTGGAGATACTTGACAAACCCTACTTCAGCCAGATGATCAAGTCAACATCAACAATGATAAATAGTGTTGATAGAATATATCCTTGATATTATGTGATGAAAATGGCACTTTACCTCTGCAATTTTCCTCCCCAAGGCAAATTAGAATCTGCCATATTTTTCTCATGATTAGACCAGGATAATCATGAGAAATATAAGTCCCTGTTAGACTTATATCCCTGGTCTAATCATGAGAAAAACAAGGCAAATTCTAATTGAGGGGCATTCTACAATATCCTTAAAACTGTCAAGCTGCCAAAACCAAGGACAGCCTGAGAAACTGTCACAGTCAAGAGGAGCCTAAGGCAATGAGACAACTAAGTGTAAAATAGCACTTTGGATGGGATCCTCGAACATAAAAAGACAATAGGAAAAAACTAAGGAAATCTGAACAAACTATGGTCTTTAGTTAATAAAAACATATCAATGTTAGCAATACTTAATAAAATCAATAAAGTTAAATAATATTAACAAATTACCAATAAATTAATAAAGTTTATATCAATGTTATAATAAAAATATTCATTGGTTTATTATAACAAAGGTACCATACTACTACTGTAAGATGGGTTTTTTTTTGTTTTTTATTTTTTATTTTTTTGAGATGGAGTCTTGCTCTGTCACCCAGGCTGGAGTGCAGTGGCACAATCTCAGCTCACTGCAATCTCTGCCTCCTAGGTTCAAGCAGTTCTCCTGCCTCAGCCTCCTGGGTAGCTGGGATTACAGGCATGCATCACCACGCCTGGCTAATTTTTGTATTTTCAGTAGAGATGGGGTTTCACCATGTCGGCCAGGCTGGTCTTGAACTCCTGACCTCATGTAATCCGCCCATCTCAGCCTCCCAAAGTGCTGGGATTACAGGCGTGAGCCACCACACCTGGGCATCAGATGTTAATAATAGGGGAAACTATCAGTAGGGAGGCTATGGGGTGGGCATATGGGAACTCTCTGTACTATCTGCTAAAATACTCTGCAAATCTAATATCCTTCTGGAAAATAAAGTCTGTTCATTTAAGAAAAGTCATGGAGATATAGCAGACAAAAAGAAATAAATAAGTGAAGCTCTCAGCAAAAAGAAAAAGTTTAGGAATTTAATTGAGAAGTAGAGCATTTGATACAGCAAAATTAAGAGTCAAGTAAGATTGTTTTGATCATCTACTGGCAATTTCCACAACACTTTATATTATACTTTGTCTTACCTGGTTCTCACCAGGTATCTTTGAGGTAAATATTATTTCTGTCTTATAAATGAGAGGCTTAAACTTGGACTTCTGAAGTTTTTGGTTCAAGTTTAGTCAACTAGTAAGGGGCAAGGCCAAATTTAAATCTATGCATCTGGACTTACATCTTTTTCTTTAATATCATACTGCAAAGAATAAAGGTCAATAGAAAGGAAACAGAGAATTCAATCCAGGGCATACTTGCTGAGGTCAAGGCCCTGTTTTGAGAGGTATGGGATTATAGAGAAGGTTAGGCATAGACTGTGACCTGGAGGAATGTATGTTCTAGTGGTGGAGACAGACAAGTATGATTTATAATAACGCCAGATCCATTAGAGTGGGGAGGTGGAACAGATGTGGCACAAGCTTATGGTGGGGCTATAATGATGTGCTCTCACAAGCTTTTGGCTGTCGGTGGTAAGAAGTTGCAAGGTCAGATCCCTACACCTATGTGCAATCTCTGCAGATTAGAAGATTACTTCTTTATGCCTGAGAGAGTATTGAAGGATGGGCATCTCAATTTCTTTTCAGATGTAAGTAAGATGACACATATGAATGATAAAGCTGACAATCTTTTATCTAGTATAAAGGTCTCTATCTATAGTTTTCAACCGTAAATGCTTTCCTTGCCACTAAATAGTTTAGTTGACAATCTGATACTAAGTTTGGATTCAGCAAAAGACCCATATGTTTCATTAACCAAAGTGCAATTATATAGTACTAGTCATACTCACAGAGCAGTTGCTATATGCTAGAAACTGTTCTAAGTGCTTTATAAATATTATCTCTTTAATCTTTACAGCAACCCTGAGGTAGATCTATTTTAACCCATTTTACAACTGAAGAAACTGAAGCATAAATAAGTTAAAGACATGTCTAGGGTTATCCAACTAGTAAGTGGCAGGGACCTGGTTTGAACAGAGGCAGTGTGACTCCAGAACCCATGCTTTTGATAATTATGGAATACTGTCCAGACATGTACCCCCATAGACACACACTGGAACAGTATATTAAAGTATGTTTACTTATATGATAACTTAGATTTGAGAAAATATAGTTTCTCTCATCTGTAAAATTTTTTGTATCTTCTCAAGCTTCCCAAGTGCTAGTTAGCAGCAGAATAAGAAGTTCTATATTTGGTTTAATTTAAAAAATGAGTTCAATTATACTCCATTACTGTATTAGTTCATTTTTGCACTTCTAAATCTAGCAGAAGGCAAGAAATAACTAAGTTCAGAGCAGAACTGGAGGAAATAGAGACACAAAAAACCCTTCAAAAAATTAATGAATCCAGGAGCTGGTTTTTTGAAAGGATCAACAAAATTGATAGACCGCTAGCAAGACTAATAAAGAAAAAAAGAGAGAAGAATCTAATAGACGCAATAAAAAATGATAAAGGGGATATCACCACTGATCCCACAGAAATACAAACTACCATCAGAGAATACTACAAACACCTCTACGCAAATAAACTAGAAAATCTAGAAGAAATGGATAAATTCCTCAACACATACACTCTCCCAAGACTAAACCAGGAAGAAGTTGAATCTCTGAATAGACCAATAACAGGAGCTGAAATTGTGGCAATAATCAATAGCTTACCAACCAAAAAGAGTCCAGGACCAGATGGATTCACAGCTGAATTCTACCAGAGGTACAAGGAGGAACTGGTACCATTCCTTCTGAAACTATTCCAATCAATAGAAAAAGAGGGAATCCTCCCTAACTCATTTTATGAGGCCAGCATCATTCTGATTCCAAAGCCAGGCAGAGACACAACCAAAAAAGAGAATTTTAGACCAATATCCTTGATGAACATTGATGTAAAAATCCTCAATAAAATACTGGCAAACCGAATCCAGCAGCACATCAAAAAGCTTATCGACCATGATCAAGTGGGCTTCATCCCTGGGATGCAAGGCTGGTTCAAGATACGCAAATCAATAAATGTAATCCAGCATATAAACAGAGCCAAAGACAAAAACCACATGATTATCTCAATAGATGCAGAAAAAGCCTTTGACAAAATTCAACAACCCTTCATGCTAAAAACTCTCAATAAATTAGGTATTGATGGGACGTATTTCAAAATAATAAGAGCTATCTATGACACACCCACAGCCAATATCATACTGAATGGGCAAAAACTGGAAGCATTCCCTTTGAAAACTGGCACAAGACAGGGATGCCCTCTCTCACCACTCCTATTCAACATAGTGTTGGAAGTTCTGGCCAGGGCAATTAGGCCAGAGAAGGAAATAAAGGGTATTCAATTAGGAAAAGAGGAAGTCAAATTGTCCCTGTTTGCAGACGACATTATTGTATATCTAGAAAACCCCATTGTCTCAGCCCAAAATCTCCTTAAGCTGATAAGCAACTTCAGCAAAGTCTCAGGATACAAAATCAATGTACAAAAATCACAAGCATTCTTATACAACAGCAACAGACAAACAGAGAGCCAAATCATGAGTGAACTCCCATTCACAATTGCTTCAAAGAGAATAAAATACCTAGGAATCCAACTTACAAGGGATGTGAAGGACCTCTTCAAGGAGAACTACAAACCACTGCTTGAGGAAATAAAAGAGGATACAAACAAATGGAAGAACATTCCATGCTCATGGGTAGGAAGAATCAATATCGTGAAAATGGCCATACTGCCCAAGGTAATTTACAGATTCAATGCCATCCCCATCAAGCTACCTATGCCTTTCTTCACAGAATTGGAAAAAACTACTTTAAAGTTCATATGGAACCAAAAAAGAGCCCACATCGCCAAGTCAATCCTAAGCCAAAAGAACAAAGCTGGAGGCATCACACTACCTGACTTCAAACTATACTACAAGGCTACAGTAACCAAAACAGCACGGTACTGGTACCAAAACACAGATATAGATCAATGGAACAGAACAGAGCCCTCAGAAATAACGCCGCATATCTACAACTAGCTGATCTTTGACAAACCTGAGAAAAACAAGCAATGGGGAAAGGATTCCCTATTTAATAAATGGTGCTGGGAAAACTGGCTAGCCATATGTAGAAAGCTGAAACTGGATCCCTTCCTTACACCTTATACAAAAATCAATTCAAGATGGATTAAAGACTTAAACGTTAGACCTAAAACCATAAAAACCCTAGAAGAAAACCTAGGCATTACCATTCAGGACATAGGCATGGGCAAGGACTTCATGTCTAAAACACCAAAAGCAATGGCAACAAAAGCCAAAATTGACAAATGGAATCTAATTAAACTAAAGAGCTTCTGCACAGCAAAAGAAACTACCATCAGAGTGAACAGGCAACTGACAAAATGGGAGAAAATTTTCGCAACCTACTCATCTGACAAAGGGCTAATATCCAGAATCTACAATGAACTCAAACAAATTTACAAGAAAAAAACAAACAACCCCATCAAAAAGTGGGCGAAGGATATGAACAGACACTTCTCAAAAGAAGACATTTATGCAGCCAAAAAACACATGAAAAAAATGCTCATCATCACTGGCCATCAGAGAAATGCAAATCAAAACCACAATGAGATACCATCTCACACCAGTTAGAATGGCAATCATTAAAAAGTCAGGAAACAACAGGTGCTGGGGAGGATGTGGAGAAATAGGAACACTTTTACACTGTTGGTGGGACTGTAAACTAGTTCAGCCATTGTGGAAGTCAGTGTGGCGATTCCTCAGGGATCTAGAACTGGAAATACCATTTGACCCAGCCATCCCATTACTGGGTTTATACCCAAAGGAGTATAAATCATGCTGCTATAAAGACACATGCACACATATGTTTATTGTGGCATTATTCACAATAGCAAAGACTTGGAACCAACCCAAATGTCCAACAATGATAGACTGGATTAAGAAAATGTGGCACATATACACCATGGAATACTATGCAGCCATAAAAAATGATGAGTTCATGTCCTTTGTAGGGACATGGATGAAATTGGAAAACATCATTCTCAGTAAACTATCGCAAGAACAAAAACCCAAACACCGCATATTCTCACTCATAGGTGGGAATTGAACAATGATATCACATGGACACAGGAAGGGGAATATCACACTCTGGGGACTGTTGTGGGGTGGGGGGAGGGGGGAGGGATAGCATTGGGAGATATACCTAATGCTAGATGACGAGTTAGTGGGTGCAGTGCACCAGCATGGCACAAGTATACATATGTAACTAACCTGCACAATGTGCACATGTACCCTAAAACTTAAACTATAATAAAAAAAAATTAAAAAAAAATAAAAAGATAAAAAAAAGAAATACCTGAGACTGGGTAATTTATATAAAAAAAGAGATTTAATTGGCTCGCAGTTCTGCAGGCTGTATAGGAGGCACAGCAGCTTCTGCTTTTTGGGAGGCCTCAGGAATCTTCCAGTCATGGTGGAAGGCAAAGGAGAAACAAGGCAGGAGCCAGGAACAAGAGAGAGTTTGGGAGAGGGGTGGGAACGCTACACACTTTAAAACAACCAGCTGTCTTGAGGACTCACTCACTATCACAAGGACAACACCAAGGGAAGATGATGATAAACCATTCATGAAAACTCTGCCCCCATGATCTAGTCATCTGCCACCAGGCCCCACCTCCAACACTGGGGATTACAGTTCAACATGAGATTTGGGTGTGGACACACATTCAAACCATATCAATCACCAAGTGGGATTTAATGCTGGAATGCAAGGACAGTTCAACAGACAAAAATCAATTAATGTAATACCCAACATTAGCAGAATGAGGGGAAAAAAGTTACATGATCATCTCAATTGATGCAGAGAAAACATTTCACAAAATTCGATGCCCTTTCATGATAAAAACACTCAACAAACTAGAATTAGAATAAAACTATATCAACATAAAATAAAGACCATATATGAAAAACCTACAGCTAACATCATTTTTTAAGACACATTTTTTTCTCTAATATCGGCAACAAAACAAGGATACCCACTCTTCACGATTTCTATTCAACATAGTACTGGCAATCCTAACCAGATTAATTAGTCAAGAAAAAGAAATAAAAGGCATCCAAGCTGAAAAAAAATGAGGTTATCTCACTTCTCAGATGACATGATCTTATAGTTAAAAAACCCTGAAGGTTCCACACACAAAAAATAAGACTAATAAACAAATTCAACAAGTTTGCAGCATGCAAAATCAACACAAACAGTTGCACTTCTTTACATCAATAATGAATAATCTGAAAAGGAAATTAAGAAAACAATCCCATTAACAAAAGCATTAAAAGAAATAAATGCTATTGAACTTACAGTGATCACTACAAGCAATGAATTTACAGTGACAACTACAAAACATGACTGAAAGAAATTAAATACATCAATATATGGAAAGGTATTCTGTGTGCATGAATTTGAAGACTTAATACTAATATTAGGAAGTCAATACTACCCAAAGCAATCTACAGATTAAATGCAACATCTATCAAAATCCCAATGATTTTTTTTGCAGAAATAGAAAAATTTATCCTAAAATTTATGTAAAATCTCTGGGACCCTGAATGTCCAATACAAGTTTTTCCTTATTTTATTTTATTTTATTTTATTTTATTTTATTTTATTTTAGGTTTGGAGCTACATGTGCAAGTTTATTACAGGGGTATATTGTGTGATGCTGAGGTTTGGGCTTCTATTGATCCCATCACCCATATGATTAACACAGTACTCAACAATTAGTTTTTCAGCCCTTGCCTCCCTCTCTCCCAGCTTTTGAAGTCCCCACTATCTATTGTCCCCATCCTTATGTCTGTATGTACCCAATGTTTAGCTTCCACTTATAAGTGAGAATAGGTGATATTTGGTTTTCTGGTTTCTGCATTCATTCGCTTAGGATAATGGCCTGCAGCTACATCCATGTTGCTGCAAAGGAAATTATTTCATTCTTTTTTATGTCTATGTAGTATTTTATGATGTATATATACCACATTTTCAAAATACAATCCACCATTGATGGGCACCTAGGTTGTTTTCATTTCTTTGCTATTGCGAGTAGTGCTGCAGTAAATATATGAGTGAAAGTGTCTTTTTGGTAGAACAGTTTATTTTTCCTTTGGGTATATATCCAGTAATGGGATTGCTGGGTCATGTGGTTGTTCTGTTTTTAGTTCTTTGAGAAATCTCCAAATTGCTTTTCACAGTGGCTGAACTAATTTACATTCCCACAAACAGTGTATAAGCATTCCCTTTTCTCCACAGCCTCACCAACATCCGTTATTTTTTTAATTTTGGTAATAGCTATTCTGATTGGTGTGAGTTGGTATCTCATTATGGTTTTGTTTCGCATTTCTCTGATGATTAGTGGTGTTGAGCATTTTTCATGTTTGTTGTATGTCTTTTGAGAAGTGTCTGTTCATGTTCTTTGTCCACTTTTTAATGTTTTTTTTCTTGTTGATTTGTTTAAGTTCTTTATAGATGCTGGATATTAAACTTTTGTCAGATGCATAGTTTGCAAAAACTTTCTTCCACTGTATAAGTAGTCTGTTTAATCTGTTGATAGTTTCTTTTGCTGTGCTGAAGCTCTTTAGTTTAATTAGGCCTCCATTGTCAATTTTTGTTTTTGTTGCATTTGCTTTTGAGGACTTAGTCATAAATTCATTGCCTATGCTGATGTCCAGAAGAGTATTTCCTAGGTTTTCTTCTAGGATTTTTATAGTTTGAGGTCCTACATTTAAGTCTTTAATCCATCCTGAGTTAATTTTTGTAAGAGGTAGGGATTAATTTCAATCCTCTGCATATGGTTAGCCAGTTTTCCCAGCACCATTTATTGATAGGGATTTTTTTTGCCATTGTTTATTTTTGTTGACTTCATTGAAGATCAGTTGGTTGTAAGTGTGTAGCTTTATTTCAGGATTCTTTATTCTGTTCCATTGGTCTATGTGTCTGTTTTTACACTAGTACCTTTCTGTTTTGTTTACTGTAGCCTTGTAGTATAGTTTTAAGTCAGATAATATGATGCTGCTGGCTTTATTCTTTTTACTTAGGATTGCTTTGGCTATTCAGGCTCTTTTTTATTTTCATGTGAATTTTAGAATACTTTTTTTTCTAATTATGTGAAAAATTCTGTTGGTAATTTAATAGGAACAGCATCAAATCTGTAGATTGCTTTGGATAGTATGGGCATTTTAATGACATTGATTCTTGGAATCCATGAGCATGGAATGTTTTTCCATTTGTTTGTGTCATCTGTGATTTCCTTCAGCAGCGTTTTGTAGTTCTTCTTGTAGAGATCTTTCACCTTCTTGGTTAGATATATTCCTAGGTATTTTATCCTTTTTGTGGCTATTGTAAATGAAATTGTATTCTTGATTTGGCTCTCAGCTTGAGATTTATTGGTGTATAGCCATGCTGTTAATTTTCGTACATTGATTTTGTACCCTGAAACTTTACTGAAGTTTTTAACAGGTCTAGGTGTCTTTTGGTGAAGTCTTTAGGGTTTTCTAGGTATATAATTATATTGTCAGTAAAGAGAGATAATTTGACCTCTGCTTTTCCTATTTGGTTGCCTTTTATGATTTTTCCTTGTCTGATTGCTCTTGCTAGGACTTACAGTTCTATGTTGAATAGGAATGGTGAGAGTGGGCATCCTTGTCTTATTCCAGTTCTTAGGGGGAATGCTTCCAGGTTTTGCCCATTCAGTATGATACTGGCTGTGAGTTTTTCATAAATGGCTCTTATTATTTTGATGTACATTCCTTCAATGCCTAGTTTATTGAGGGTTTTTATAATGAAAGAATGTTGGATTTTATTGAAAGCTTTTTCTGTGTCTATTGAGATGATCATGTAGTTTTGTTTTTAATTCTGTTCATGTGTGAATCACATTTATTGATTTGTGTATGTTGAACCTATCTTGCATCCCAGGAATAAAGCCCACTTGATCGTGGTAAATTAACTTTTTGATGTGCTGCTGGATTCAGTTTGTTAGTATTTTGTTGAGTATTTTCACATCTATGTTCATTGGGAATATTGGCCTACAGTTTTCTTTTTTGTTTTGTTTTCTTTGCCAGATTTTGGTATCAGGATGATGTTGGCTTAGTGGAATGAGTTAGGGAAGAGTTCTTCCTCCTTGATTTTTTTGGAATAGTTTCAGTAGGATTGGTATCAGTTCTCTGTATGTCTGATAGGATTCAACTATGAATCCATCTAGTCCAGGCATTTTTTTTTTGGGTGGTAGATTCTTTATTACCAAAATAATCTTGAAAAAGATAAGAAAATGTGGCACATATACACCATGGAATACTATGCAGCCATAAAAAATGATGAGTTCATGTCCTTTGTAGGGACATGGATGAAATTGGAAACCATCATTCTCAGTAAACTATCACAAGAACAAAAAACCAAACACCGCATATTCTCACTCATAGGTGGGAATTGAACAATGAGATCACATGGACACAGGAAGGGGAATATCACACTCTGGGGACTGTGGTGGGGAGGGGGGAGGGGGGAGGGATAGCATTGGGAGATATACCTAATGCTAGAGGACGAGTTAGTGGGTGCAGTGCACCAGCTTGGCACATGTATACATATGAAACTAACCTGCACAATGTGCACATGTACCCTAAAACTTAAAGTATAATTAAAAAATAATAATAATAATAATAATAGTAATAATAAAAAAAAAAGAAAAAGAAGAATGAAGTTGGAATTCACAACTTACTTCGGAGCCATAGTAAATATTAGCACAGTGTGGTACTGGCATAAAGAAAGACATACAGATCAATGGAATAGAATAGAGACCCCAGAAATAAACCCTTTCATATGTGGTCAAATGATTTTTGACAGTGATGCAAGACCATTCTATGGGGAAAAGATCATCTTTTCGCCAGTGTCGAGAAAACAGAATAACCACATGTAAACAACAACAGTAAGACAGAGCCAAGTATCTGTTCTGAGACTTGGGTTTCTCCCTTGGCCACTTGGCAAATACCTGCTCATTTCCAAGATCTGGCCTAAATGTAACATTTTCTGTGATGCCTGCCAAAGTATTGACCACTGGGATATTCCCAAGACACTTTATACTCATCTCTTACCAAAGCTCTGAAAGTGGCAGCCAAGGATGGAATCCAATCCAGGGCTCTTTCCATCACCCCAGTACCTCTCACATTCACTTCTAAGCTATGGCACTAGCAGGCTGACTCACCAGTGAAACTCAAAACAGGGAACTAATGGAGGCTTGGAGATTGACTTTTCAGGAAGGCACTAAGCTATATGATAGTGGTTTTGAGTGCTGTGGCCATCTCTATACAGACTTAAAGAATTCCCTTCAATCAGCCCTTACATTATCTGAAATGCAGAAGAGGGATTGACTATTTAAGTGTTTAGGAGCTATGGGATATAAGCAGCAATGAACAATATCATGTTTCTCTGAACCAGGTACTATGCAGATTTCTCTTGGGTCTTCTGTGGCAAATTCCATTCATCTACCAATTGCCCTCTGTTCTCACCAAACTCCAAGCCATTACTTTTAGGACCAATGAAAAGTACTTCAGATCTCTTTCACATTAACCTCCTGCTGTATACATACATATATGCTCAGTTTTGCACTATTAAGTGTAGAAGTAATATATTAATTGAGCAGCACTGAATAAACCTCCTCAAAAGATTTGAGATATGAGTACAATTTTCTTCAAAGATATCATTCTCACAATATCTCTTCTTCTATACTTCTTTATAGTATAGAAGTGGGTAAGAAGGTTCAAGAGTCATGAAATGGATTTTCTCATTTCCTTTGCAAATTCTGTCCGTGAAGATTTATTTTGCACAAATTTTGATGCCTGTACTTAGCACCTTGGTGCAAACTGAGACAGGAGGGACTCTATCTAATATGATGTTATACTGTATGTTTTAGTTATCTAATGCTGCATTGTAAGTTACCCCAAAACTTGATGGCTTAAAACAAGTAATAATTATTTATTAATTTTTATGGTTTCTCTGGTCAGGAATTCAGAAGTGGCTTAAAAGGTCATTTTTGTCTTAGGCCTCTTGTGTAGTTGCAGTCAAAATGTTGGCTGGGCTATAGTCATCTGAAGTCTTGACTGGGGCCGGAGGATCCACTTCCAAAGTGATTCACTCACAAACCTGGCAAGTGGATGCCAGCTATTGATGAAGGGTCTCAGTTCCTCACTACATGGGTCTCTCCTCCATGAGGCATGGGCTTCTTCATAATATGATGAGGTGAGTGGTGTCCAAAGACAAGCAACCTGAAAAAGAATTGCCAAGTAAAAACCATACCCTTTCTTTTTTAAAAACAACTTTATTGATAGGTAATTTATAATTCATCAATTTAAAGTATACAATGAAATGTTTCTCAGTATATTCATGGAGTTGTGCAACCACTACCACAATCTAATTTTAGAACACTTTAATTGTCCCCTAAAAAAAGTCTCCATACCTATTAGTTGTCACACCCCATACTTTCTCCACCCTCTTCCTTAAGCCCTAGGCAATCACTAATCTACTTTTTGTCTCTATGGATTTGCCTACTTTGGATATTTTAAATGGAATTATACAATATTTGGTCTTTTGTAACTGGCTTCTTTCACTTAGCATATTTCCAATGTTTATCCATGTTATAGGAGGTATTGATATATAATTTCCTTTTAATGCCAAATAATATTCCATTGTATGGCTATACAACATTTTATTTATCCATTCATCAGTTGATGAAAATTTGAATTATTTCTACTTTTTGGCTATTATGAATATGCTGGTATGAACATTCATGTACAAGTTCTTGAGTGGAAATATGTTTTCAAATCTCTTTGGTATATACCTAGTGGAGTAGAATTGCTGGATCATAAGGTGACTATATGTTAAGCATTTTAAGGAGCTGTCAAACTGTTTTCTAAAGCAGCTGCAACATTTACACTCCCACCAACAATGTATGAGGGTCTAATTTTTCCACCTCTTCACCAACACTTATTATTGTCTACCTTTCTGATTACCACCATTCTAGTGGGTATGAAATGGTGCCTCATGGTTTCAATTTGCATGTCTCTGATGACTAATGACCTTGAGCCTCTTTTCATATCCTTATTGGTCACTTGTTTATCTTCTTTAGAGAAATTCCTGTTTGAATCCTTTGCCTATTTTAAAAACTTGAATTGTTTGTTTGTTTGTTTGTTTATTTATTTATTTTAGATGGAGTCTTACTCTGTCACCCAGGCTGCAGTGCAGTGGCACCATCTTGGCTCACTGCAACCTCTGCCTCCTGGGTTCAAGTGATTCTCTTGCCTCAGCCTCCCGAGTAGCTTGGATTACAGGCATCACCACCACACCCAGCTAATTTTTGTATTTTTAGTAGAGATGGGGTTTCACCATTTTGGCCAGGCTGGTCTCAAACTCCAGACCTCAGGTGATCCATGACTTGGCCCCCCAAAGTGCTGGGATTACAGGTGAACCACCATGCCCAGCATTATTTTTGAATTAAAAGAATTCTTAATATATTCTGGATACAGGTCCCTTATAGAGGCATAATTTGCAAAAAGTGTCTTCCATTGTGTGGGTTGTTACTTTACTTTCTTGATGGTTTTGTGTGCAACACGAGTTTTAAATTTTAATGTAATTCAGTTTGTTCATTTTTTAAAAATTGCTTGTGTTTTTGATGTCTTATCTAAGAAATCACTGCCTAACCTATAAAAATTTACTTTTATATTTTCTTCTAAGAGTTTTATAGTTTTGGCTCTTACAGTTAGGCCTTTGACCCATGTTGAGTTAATTTTTGTGTATGGCATGAGACAGTGGAAACTGTGTCCTTTTTATGTCCTAGCTTTGAGAACCACATAGTATCATTTCCACTCTGATCCATTGGTTGGACAAGTCCCTGCCCAAGTTTAAGTGGAGGAAACATAGAGCCCATCTCTTGTGGGGAGAATATCATTCAAGGGTAAGTGAGATGGATAAAGATACAGATGTGTCTGTCTTTGGAAAGTATAATTTGTAGCACTACTAATACGGTCATTTATGTTTCTTAATATTTAGAGATATTATAAGTGAAATGTCTAGAGACATTTGTTTGAGTTCTGACTCTTCTCCTCACAATTTGATATTAACTCAAGAAATACCAAGTTAGGATAATAATGCCTATCTTTTAGAGTTGCAGTTATAATCAAATTAAGACAACATATATGAAAATCCCTAGTACAGTGTCAGTTACAGAGATAGCAATGGGTAAGGTATTTTGATATGATTTGGCTGTGTCCCCACCGAAATATCATCTTGAATTGTAGTTTCCATAATCTGCACATGTCATGGGAGGGAACCAGTGGGAGGTAATTGAATCATGGGGGCAGTTACCCTTATGCTGTTCTCATGGTAGTGAGTGAGTTCTCATGAGATCTGATGGTTTTATAAGGGGCTTTCCTCCCTTTGCTCAGCAATTCTCCTTCCTGCCGCCATGTGTGAAGAAGAATGTGTTTGCTTCTCATTTCACCATGATTGTAATTTTCCTGGGGCCTCCAAACCCTGTGGAACTATGAGTCAATTAAATCTCTTTCCTTTATAAGTTACCCAGTCTTGGATATGTCTTTATAGCAACCTGAGAAAAGATTAATACATATATGAACCAGCAATTCACAGAAGATGAAAATTAAATGGCTCTTAAGCATATGAAAAGATGCTCAACCTCACTCATAGTAAGATAAATTTAAACTAAAATTACACTGAGATACTACTTCTCACCTACTGGCAAAAATCTAAGAGGTTGACAACACAGTCTATTGGCAAGACTCTGAAAGGACAAGGTCTTTTATACTTGGCTGGTGGGAATTGCTGGTACACTTGCTATGGAAGGGAATAATGCAAAATTACATTTGAATTTACCTTTTGACCCACCCATCCCACTTCTAAGACTATCTGATATGATTTGCCTGTGTACCCACCCACATCTCATCTTGAATTGTAGCTCCCACAATTCTCCCGTGTTGTGGGAGAGACCCAGTGGGAGGTAATTGAATCATGGGGGTGGGTCTTTCCCATGCTGTTCTTGTGATAGTTAGTAAGTCTCACAAGATCTCATGGTTTTTATAAAGGGGAGTTTCCCTGCCCAAGTTTCTCTTCTCTTGTCTGCCACCATGTGAGATGTGCCTTTCGCCTTCCACTATGATTGTGAGGCCTTCCCTGCCACATAGAACTATGAGTCCATTAAACTTCTCTTCTTTGTAAATTGCCCAGTCTCAGGTATGTCTTTTTCAGCACCATGAAAACAAACTAATACATTCTCCAAAAGCTACACTGGCAAAAACCACAAACCCACTTCTGTATATTATTATATGTATGTACTACTATGCATTATTATTCATACTATTAATAGCACAAGATTGAAAACACCCAAAATGTACATGAATGGGAGGCTGGCTGAGTAAACCATGACATACTATGGAACAAGGAAGATTCCCTATACATGGATCTGGAGAGAGATCCAGAATATAGTGCTAAGTGAAAAAAAAAAAAAGATGTAGAACAATATATTCTAACTTTGTCTGAGAAAGTAAAAGAAATAAGAACGTACATGCATATTTAATTATATTTTCTAAAAAACATAAGGATAAAGCAGGCATTAAAAAAACAAAGGTTACCTACAGAAAACTGAAACTGGACCCCTTCCTTACACCTTATACGAAAATTAACTTAAGATGGATTAAAGACTTAAATGTAAAACCCAAAACCATAAAAACCCTACAAGAAAACCTAGGCAATACCATTCAGGACATAGGCATGGGCAAAGACTTCATGATGAAAACACCAAAAGTAATTGCAGCAAAAGCCAAAGTTGACAAATGGGATCTAATTAAACTAAAGGGCTTCTGCCCAGCAAAAGAAACTATTATCAGATGAACAGGCAACCTACAGAATGGGATAACATTTTTGCAATCTAACCACTTGACAAAGGTCTAATATCCAGAATTTACAAGGAACTTAAACAAATTTACAGGAAAAAAACAAACAACCCTATCAAAAAGTGGGCAAAGGATATGAAAAGACACCTCTCAAAAGAAAACATTTACACGGCCAACAAACATATGAAAAAAAAACTCAATATCACTGATCGTTAGAGAAATGAAAATCAAAACCACAATGCAGTACCATTTCATGCCAGTCAATATGGCAATTATTAAAAAGTCAAGAAACAATAGTTGCTGGTGAGGTTGTGGAGAAATAGGAACACTTTTACATTGCTGGTGGGAATGTAAATTAGTTCAACCATTGTGGAAGACAGTATGGCGATTCCTCAAGGATCTAGAACCAGAAATACCATTTGATCCAGCAAGCCCATTACTGGGTATATACCATAGGAAATATACCAAAGGAATATAAATCATTCTACTATAAAGACACATGCACATGTATGTTTATTGCAACACTACTTACAATAGCAAACTCATGGAACCAACACAAATGCCCATCAATGATAGACTGAATAAAGAAAATGTGGTACATATGCACCATGGAATACCACACAGCCATAAAAAGGAATGAGATCATGTCCTTTGCAGGGACATGGATGAAGCTGAAAGCTATCATCCTTAGCAAGCTAACACAGGAACAGAAAACCAACACTGCATGTTGTCACTCATAAGTGGGAGCTGAACAATGAGAACACATGGACACAGGGAGCGGAGCAACACACACCAGGGCCTGCTGGAGTGGGAGGTGAGGAGAGGGAACTTAGAGGAGGAGTCACTAGGTGCAACAAACCACCATGGCACATATATACCTATATAACAAACCTGCACATTCTGCACATGTATCCCAGAACTTACAGTAAAATAAAATAAAGATAAAGATTACTACTAAGAAAAGAGAGAAAAGGGGTAGAAGGGAAAGTGATGGAAATTGAACCCTGAATATATTTTGTTATAATGACATCATTGTTATGTAAGAAAATGTCCATAGTTTTTGGAGATGGATAATGAAGTATAGAGGGGAAAACTGACAGGAGGTTTAGAGTTGTTATTTCCCCAGAAAAAGGGAGTGAGGTGGGATGGGCAGGATGGACTGATGCAAGTGTGGCAGAATATTGATAATTATCTGGATGCTATTTATATTGAGCTGCATATACTACTCTCTCTTACATGTGTTGAAAAATTTTAATATTTCACTTAAAAATAATCTGTGATATAATTTTAAAATGCTGAAAAACTTACTTAAAACCTTTTGACAGTTTTTACCTGCATACAGCCCAAGCCTATATCAATCTGAATGCAAAACATTCTATTGGTTCTGTTTCTCTGGAGAACCCTGCCTAATACAAGGATTATCATCTGCCCTTGAAGACGTGCTGCTACTACCCCTCTATCATGGGGCAGTGAGTGAAGGAAACACACTCTTTCTTTTTCTTTTTTTTTTTCTGTTGTTTTTTGTTTGAGATGGAGTCTCGCTCTGTCGCCCAGGCTGGAGTGCAGTGGTGCGATCTCGGCTCACTGCAAGCTCCGCCTCCCAGGTTCACGCCATTCTCCTGCCTCAGCCTCTCCAGCAGCTGGGACTACAGGCGCACGCCGCCATGCCTGGCTAATTTTTTTTTTTTTTTTTTTTTGTATTTTTAGTAGAGACAGGGTTTCACTGTGTTAGCCAGGATGGTCTCTATCTCCTGACCTTGTGATCCACCCTCCTCAGCCTCCCAAGGTGCTGGGATTACAGGCGTGAGCCACCGCGCCCAGCCGACAAACTCTTTCTTTAATTGGTGATGGACAGAAAGGAGAATAGAGAAAATAATGTACACTTGTTGCTAAATGTTATTACTCAGCATCTTTAGACCCAGCCTCAGATCCATACCGTCAAGGTCCTAGAAGGATGCCACCTGCCTAGCCACTACTTCACCACTTTCTGAGTGGTGCCACCTTATCGCTTGCAAAAGAAAACATCTTGAGCACTTCACCTGTCTTGAATTTAAAATTGCACCTCTGATGAAGCAGTTTGCATGGCTATTGCTCTAGTCCTTATTTTCTGTTCCAGGATCAGCATCTTTCCAGGCTGACAGGATGAGCAAGAGTACAAATATCCACTTCATTCAGGAGAAACTCCTTCTATTGTCCACAGAGGGATTCTCATAAAGAATGGCCCATGAAAGTACAATCTCATCAGATCAATATTTCAACATCAGCACAGTTGAGTTATTTATTCAGATCATCTGTAGACATCAACAGTTTAGTTCCAGGTAAAGTTTAGGACCTTATATTTTGGTACATTTTTCAGATTTTCAGATCTCTTGGAGTAAAGACACACTCTCATATATTCATAAGAACAAAAAATAAAGCTGTTTAAATTCAATTAAAGAAAAGAAAAATTTTCCCTAAATAAGCAAAAATTCTGCAGATAAGTACTCCCAAAACATACATCAAATTTACATAATCAGACAGAAAACTGAGGTACTTCATGCAAAACATCTGCTTTCAGATTGTTTCCATTTTCTCCAAGAACAATGGATGGGTATTGGACATACATTGATATAGATATAGATGTTTATTTGTAATAAAAATCTTCAAGTGGTTTTCTCAAAATCAAGTAAGATCTTCCTCGAAGACAAAACAAATCTTCATATTTTATTTTAAAAAACTGCTTTAAGCTAGAAAAGTACACATATTTGACTTCTATTCATGAAAGTTTAAAAAAAACTCTTGGGGATTAAAATATTCTTGAGTAAATGAATGACTGGATGAATTGAATTGAATTAACTGAAATCTTATTGAATATCAATTATATGCAAGGCACTGAACCAGGTGATTGGTACACTACTGGAAAAAGAGAAACAAATATGCTACTTGCCCTCCTGGGACAGCAGCCTAGTGGAGAATATAGGCAACAAATGAACACTCAAATGCAAATTGTGATGAGCAAAATGGATGAAATGAACTTGATGCTAAGATAGAGAATAAAGATATATGTGGAGGGGATGATATCTTCTTTAAATAAGATGTCATGGAGGGCCTCTCTGTGGTCATGCCTTTTAAACCAAGATTGAAAATTGAGATGGAGACAGATATGTTGAACTGGGGGAGGCACGAGTGTGGAGGCCCTCCTCCTCCAGTGTGCATAAAACTGAAAGAAGGTGTTTAAAGATGAGAGAAGAGAGGAGAAGCTGGGTTAACTCATGTAGGACACTATAAAGGGTTTAGATTCTACATTGAGTGCAATAGGGGAGCCAGACAGGATTTTAAATAGGGCAGAGATGAGGGTTGGCAGATATGATTAAATTTACAATTTCAAAAAATTAGTCTGCCTACTATGTGGAGCATAGATAGGAAGGGCACAATGGAGAGAGTCCAGGAGACCAGTTAGGAGGTTCTCTCAGGTGAGAGATGAGGGTCAGTTCATGTGAGAAATGAAGGTGACTTGGCCTAGGATGGTGGTATGGAGAGTTGATCTGTAGGTGGAACTAGATGTGAAGGGTAAGAAAAAGATAAAAATCAAGGGCTGTTTGCTGCTCCTGTCTTCAGGGCACTGATGTAAAGGCTTCTTTCTGTGAATGTGTGTCCTCTTGGCCTTAGATTCAATGACACTTACAGAATATGATCAAGTGCATATTTTAAAATCTGCAATTCCCCTAGAAGCTAACTAGAAAATGTAGTTGCTTTCCTTAACCATTATACATCATAACATTTATCCCTACTAGGCAGTAGTCTTAAATATCTTGCTTGCTGGCACTAAGGTCTATTCATTTTTATAGTTTGAAACACTTGGCCTTCTATGAGAACAAGGTTGATGACCAATATGTTGAATTAAATAAGAGAAATTAAATATTCTCAAAGTCAGCAAGTCAACCCTGGGATAATGGTTTCCGAATTTGGGAGTAGCCAAAAAGTCATTAAGAGACAGATATAATAATAATTCTACTTAAAGGCATGATATGGCCATAAATTAGTAAGTGATTTTCTTTCATGGCTCATAAACTGACTGAAAAGGCTATTCCTAGAGAGGGTTACTGCCTCCTTAGACTCTTGAATCCACACATCAAGCTGAATGTGCTCATTCATTGAGCACTTACAATACTTATGGTACTACCTGAGCACTAAAGATATAAAGCTGGAAAAATATGGCCCTTGAGAAGAGTAAGATGACTCCTATATGATTCATTCATAGCAATCTATACTTTCTCTATTAAAGCATATATCTGACTTTATTATAATTTCTTATTGGTCTGTCTTGCATTAAACAAGACGTGTATTCCGTGAAAGCAGAGATGTGTATTTTTTGTTCCTCATTGTATCCCTTGCCTCTAGCAGTGCCTGGTATGTGGTAGGTAGAGAGGACATTTGCCTTTGTCTACCCATCCTTCCTCCCACTTCTTTGCTAAACCAACCCTCTTTCCAGTGAAGCACCCACTCGACATGATTTGATTGGCTCTGACTCCATCTGTCTTGCAAAACAGTTGCTCACATCAGAGTTCTCCCTGGAACAGTACAGTCAGAGCTTTAGGGGAAAAGGTCTTTCTTTTGGGGTTACCCAAGATTCATATGAATGTGCTACTGGCAGCCATCATGCCTGCCACGTGGATGCTATTGGTGCCTCACCCAGAGCTCCTTCACCAAGCAGATTAGCACAATACTCCCCCATCCCATAGCACTCAGCTCTTGACTGATGGGAAGCAGGTGCAAAAGGCAGACCCCTTTGCCTCAAGGTAGGATAAACTATGTGTATAGTTTATGCTCCAGATCTCCCCATGGGAAAAGGCTGAAAGTAGTCTCCAGCTGAGACAGCATCGTTGCTTAGGTTTCTTTCCCTGTCCTATCCTGTTTCCGTCATGCACCTTTTCCTGAAAGTGTTCCTTTAATAAATCATTGTCATAAGAATCCCTGTCTCAGGCTCTATTTCTAGGGAACTTAACCCAATCAGCCTGAAATTTCATCATGTTTTTCCTTGCGTTTTTTAGTTAGGTGAGTGAGTTTGTTTAAGCTACTTGAATTTTAGTTTCTGTTATTTGCATCTTAGAGTCCCGGCATTAAGCAGAATTCTATAAATATTTGTTGAATAAGTATATTAATTTATAAAGAAAGTGGAAAAATTGGTGAGATCGAAAACATGGTGAGCTGGTTTGTTTAATCTATTTGGATTGGGTTTCTGCCATTTGCATCTTGAAGAGTTCTGACATTCAGCAGGCATTCTATATATGTTTGCTGAATAAGTATATTGAATTATAAATAGAGTGAAATGAAAATATAGATGAGGATGTAATGAATTCCATCTAGTGTTTTAAGGAGAAATCATAATTTACATTTATTTGAGCCCATACTTATTCATAAGTATAAATAGCAGACCAGCAGGAGGATGAGTAGTGGGGGCATTCTAGGCCAAAGGAATCTTTGTAAGAACAAAGGTTTGGCAATGTTAAAGTACACAGTGTTTGAGAAAAAATTGAGTTGTTCTACATCGGTAGAGTGAAGAGGTTAAAAAAAAAAGAAAAGGAAAAAAAAAACTATTTTGTTGAATCAGCAAGTCTATGTGATTGTATAGGACAGAAAGTAAACCATCACTTCCATGTCTTACCAAGGTCATGAACTGATGCTGACAGGTGGGCTCTTAAAGAAGGTACAAGATGTACAGGTAACACTGACGTATTTGAGATGCAATGGCAAAGAGATAGCAGCCATTGTAATCAAGCTGTGACTGTTAGTCATGGTCACAGAAAATCAGGGTAAAGATCTGCTGAGGCTTACTGATTCTGAAGGGTGTTGCATGTGTTCTACAACACATGGGAGCTCAGTGTACACACATCAGTCTCTCTCTCTTTTTTTTTTTTTTGAGATGGAATCTTACTCTGTCATTCAGGGTAGAGTGCAGTGGTATGTGATCTCAGCTCACTGCAACCTCTGCCTCCCGTGTTCAAGTGAGTCTCGTGCCTCAGCCTCCAAAGTAGCTGGAATTACAGGTGCATGCCACCACACCTAGCTAATTTTTGTATTTTTAGTAGAGACGGGGTTTCACCATATTGGCCAGGCTAGTCTCAAACTCCTGACCTTAAGTGATCCACCTGTCTCGGCCTCCCAAAGTACTGGGATTACAGGCATGTGCCACGGCACCCAGCGTCCCATCAGTCTCCTTTATATCACTTTGTCCTGATCTGCTTCACCTGGGTAATGCAAGAGCTGGCCTGTCTAAGGGAAACTAAATCTATTCGGGTTATGTTAAGCCATCACCAAAGTCATTAGTTATTTGTAGAAAGCAATATTTATCCAGTATTATTCATATTGATTTCTCATAATAATGCCTACTCCCAAAATGTATAATATTAACCTATATTTATATGGCCAGATGCTTTCATGTGAATTATTCTATTCAGTTTTCACAACTATTCAACAAAGATAAAAGAAGTTTAAACTTTGCCAAAGTAACCAGGCTTTGAACCATGTCTTCTCTCTTCAAGTTCATGCCTCCTTCTACTACCTCGGGAGTAGTCTCATGGTGGTCCCTATGGCCACTCAAAAAATATTTGCTAAGATGAGCTGAAACAGCAACATTAGTTGTTGGTTCTTGTATCTCTGTGCTCTTCAAAATAATGGCCTTCTTCATCAGACACTTGCCTCACACTCAAGGAACCAAGTTTTCCTTGACAGTAAGCCCTCTTTTTCAGCTGCTTCTCTTGCTGAAAGACCCTGACCTTTATCCTAAATGCGTATTGATATTGCCATTTGGGTATTTTCTAGGCATGTCAAACTTAAAATGTCTAAATAGAATGCTTGATTTTTTTTTTGCCTATATATTCTCGTTTTCTCTGACTCTTCATCATTTCAGCAAATGGTGCTACTATCCAGTGAGTTATTAAAGCTGGAAACTTGAATGTAAACCAGTTAATTCACTTCCAAAGTATATAGTCTGTTCACACCTATTTATTTATTTTTCTTTCTTTTTTCTTTCTCTTTTTAAAATGGAGATAGGGTCTCACTGTGTTGCCAAGGCTGGTCTCAAACTCCTGTGTTCAAGTGATCCTCCCACTTCAGCCTCCCGGTAACTGAGACTACAGGTATGTGCCACTATGCCTGGCTTTCTCCATTTATTTCCACTAGTGCCATTGTCGTCAAAGACACCCTTCTTTCATTTTGGCAGCTGGAGTAACCTCCTAACTAGACTTCCTGATTCTACTTTTATTTGCCCTATATGCCAAACCCATTCTACGCACATCGGCCAGAGTCAGTTTTTAAAAATGTAGATCAGATTACAACAGCCTTTAGTTTAAAATCATTTAATGGCTTTCTACTGGACTTTGGGTAAATCAGCTATTGAGTAACCCTGTGACACATTGCCTGCTTACCTGTCCTTAGTATACTCTGGTCACATTAGCTTTCTATCAGTTGCTAGGGTACATTTAGCTCTTTCTTGCCTCAGGGATTTTGCCATTGTACATTCTCTGTTTCGAATGCTCTTGATGGGGCAAATTCTCCCTTATTCTTCATGACTTGACACAATTTTAACTCTTCAAAGAGGCTTTCTGTGAAACTCTTGTCTCAAGTAGTTGTTTCTGGTCTTCTGAATTATGGTACATTTTGCTTTTCTTTATAGCAATCTGCAATTATTTTCTATAATTATTTTATTATTTAGGAAATTCCTTATACTACATCTCTAATGAAATAAAGTGAACTTCACAAAGGCAGAGAGTGGCATTGTCTGGTGTTGAGTATATCATTAATTCTTGGCATGCAGTAGGCCCTTAAGAAATATTCTTTAAATGAATAAATAATTGATCTACCATCTAATGGAGAATACTGTGAGATCCAGTATTTATCCTTGCCCTCATGCCATTAAGGTGACTACTCACCTAGCCCAGGTCAGATAGAAAGTGTAGCAGAAGGTAGGGGATTACAGAAAAGGAACCACCTATCAGTCTTGTTGTAGTGGAAACACTACAGGATTTAGAGTTAAAAGAACTGCATTCTAATTCACCTGGGCTGCTTGGAAGAACCTCTAAACTTTCTGAGCCTCAATTCCCTCATGTGTGAGAACAGGGATCATGAGGGCCAGGCACGGTGGCTCACACCTGTAATCCCAGCAGTCTGGGAGGCCAAGGCAGGTGGATTGCTTGAGTTAAGGAATTCAAGACCAGCGTGGGCAACATAGGGAGACCCCCTTTCTACAACAAATAAAAAATTAGCTGGGTGTGGTGGTGTGTGCCTGTAGTCCCAGCTACTTGGGAGGCTGAGATGGGAGGATCACCTGAGTCCAGGAAGTAGAGACTGCAGTGAGCTGAGATCAGGCCACTGCACTCAAGTCTGGGTGAGAGAGTGAGACCCTGTCTCAAAAAACCCACAAAAAACAACAAGAAAAAACATGTATCATGTTGCATCTTAGCATTCCTAGCTTCTGTACCCGCAATGCCTGGAACATAAGAGATACTAAAACTATGAACTAATAACATTCTAATACTAACTTTTTTGTGATGATTAACTGATATATATATCAGGTTTTTTTGTGATGATTAACTGATATATATATCAATTATATATGTATGTATATGACATATATATGCATATGTCATATATATGCATATATATGATATATATGTCAGTTTCAGATACATGATAAATCTCCTTAAATGCCTACGTCATAGAAGTTAGAGTCGAATAAATTTAAAGAACATTGCCCATTCAAAGCAACTCTGAAGAAGAACAAAGTTAGAGGACTCATTCTTTGTGATTTCAAAACTTGTGGCAAAGCTATAATAATCAAGAGAGTGTGATACTGCCATAAGACTACATGTATAGATCAACCCGTTATCTACATTAGGTACTTCTAATGTGGTCCGTCTCCTTGTCTGCCACCTCCCTGGCAGGCCCCGGTGTGTGATGTTCCCCTCCCTGTGTTCATGTGTTCTCATTGGTCAACTCCTACTTATGAATGAGAACATGCAGTGCTTGGTTTTCTGTTCCTGTGTTAGTTTGCTGAGAATGATGGTTTCCAGCTTCATCCATGTCCCTCCAAAGGACATGAACTCATCCTTTTTTATGGCTGCATAGTATTTCACGGTGTATGTGTGCCACATTTTTTTAATCCAGTCTATCATTGATGGGCATTTGGGTTGGTTCCAAGTCTTTGCTATTGTGAATAGTGCTGCAATAAACATACGTGTGTGTATCTTTATAGTAGAATGATTTATATTCATTTGCGTATATACCCAGTAATGGGATTGCTGGGTCAAATGGTATTTCTGGTTCTAGATCCTTGAGGAATCGCCACACTGTCTTCCACAATGGTTGAACTTCCACGTCAACCATTGTCTTCCACAATGGTTGAACTTCCACGTCAACCATTGTCTTCCACAATGGTTGAACTAATTTACAGTCCCACCAACAGTGTAAAAGCGTTCCTATTTCTCCACATCCTCTCTAGCATCTGTTGTTTCGTGACTTTAACGATCGGCATTCTAACTGGTGTGAGATGGTATCTCACTGTGGATTTGATTTGCATTTCTCTAATGACCAGTGATGATGAGCTTTTTCTCATATGTTTGTTGGCCGCATAAATGTCCTCTTTTGAGAAGTGTCTGTTTATATCCTTTGTGCACTTTTTGATGGGGTTATTTGTTTTTCTCTTGCAAATTTGTTCCTTGTAGATTCTGGATATTAGCTCTTTGTCAGATGGATAGATTGCAAAAATTTTCTCCCATTCTGTAAGTTGCCTGTTCATCTGATGATAGTTTCTTTTGCTGTGCAGAAGCCCTTTGGTTGAATTAGATCCCATTTGTCAATTTTGGCTTTTGTTGCAATTGCTTTTGGTGTCTTAGTCATGAAGTCTTTGCCCATTCCTGTGTCCTGAATGGTATTGCCTAGGTTTTCTTCTAGGGTTTTTATGGTTTTAGGTCTTACGTTTACATCATTAATCCATCTTGGGTTAATTTTTGGATAAGATGTAAGGAAAGGGTCTAGTTTCAGTTTTCTGCATATGGCTAGCCAGTTCTCCCAATACTATTTATTAAATATGTAATTCTTTTCCCATTTCTTCTTTTTGTCAGGTTTGTCAAAGATCAGATGGTTGTAGATGTGTGGTGCAATTTCTGAGGCCTCTGTTTTGTTCCATTGGTCTATATATCTGTTTTGGTACTAGTACGATGCTGTTTTGCTTACTGTAGCCTTATAGTATAGTTTGAAGTCAGGTAGCATGATACCTCCAGCTTAGTAGTTTTTGCTTAGGATTGTCTTGGTTATATGGGCTCTTTTTTGGTTCCATATGAAATTTAAAGTAGTTTTTCCTAATTCTGTGAAGAAAGTCAATGGTAGCTTGATGGGAATAGCATTGAATCTATAAATTATTTTCAGTAGTATGGCCATTTTCACAATATTGATTCTTCCTATCCATGAGCATGAAATGTTTTTCCATTTGTTTGTGTCCTCTCTTATTTCCTTGCGCAGTAGTTTGTAGTTCTCCTTGAAGAGGTACTTCACATCTTTTGTAAGTTGTATACCTAAGTATTTTATTCTGTTTGTAGCAATTGTGAATGGGAGTTCACTAATGATTTGGCTCTCTGTTTGTCTACTATTAGTGCATAGGAATGCTTGTGATTTTTGCACATTGATTTTGTATCCTGAGACTTTGCTGAAGTTACTTATCAGCTTAAGGAATTTTTGGGCTGAGACAATGGGGTTTTCTAAATATACAATCATGTCATTTTGCAAACAGAGACAATTTGACTTCCTCTTTTGCTGTTTGAATACCCTTTATTTCTTTCTCTTGCCTGATTGCCCTGGCCAGAACTTCCAACACTATGTTGAATGGGAGTGGTGAGAGAGGGCATTCTTGTCTTCTGCCAGTTTTCAAAGGGAATGCTTCCAGCTTTTGCCCATTCAGTATGATATTGGCTGTGGGTTTGTCATAAATATTATTATTTTGATATATGTTCCGTCATTGCCTACTTTATTGAGTGTTTTTAGCATGAAGTGTTGTTGAATTTTATCAAAGACCTTTACTGCATCTATTGAGATAATAATGTGGTTTTTGTCAGTGGTTCTGTTTATGTGATGGATTACGTTTATTGATTTGCGTTTGTTGAACCAGCCTTGCATCGCAGGGATGAAGCCGACTTGATTGTAGTGGATAAGCTTTTTGATGTGCTGCTGGATTCAGTTTGCCAGTATTTTATTGAGGATTTTCACAACAATGTTCATCAGGGATATTGGCCTGAAATATTCTTTTCTTCTTGTATCTCTGCCAGGTTTTGGTATCAGGATGATGCTGGCCTCATAAAATGAGTTAGGGAGGAGTCCTTCTTTTTCTATTGTTTGGAATAGTTTCAGAAGGAATGGTACCATTTCCTCTTTGTATCTCTGGTAGAATTTGGCTGCGAATCCACCTGGAACTGGGCTTTTTGTAGTTGATAGGCTATTAATTACTGCCTCAATTTCAGAACTTGTTATTGGTCTATTCAGGGATTTGACTTTTTCCTGGTTTAGTCTTGGGAGGTTGTATGTGTCCAGGAATTTATCCATTTATTCTAGATTTTCTAGTTTATTTGTGTAGAGATATTTATAGTATTCTCTGATGGTAGTTTGTATTTGTGTGGGATGAGTGGTGATATCCCTTTTATTATTTTTTTGTGTCTATTTGAGTCTTCTCTCTTTTCTTCTTTGTTAGTCTGGCCAGAAGTCTATTTTGTTAATCTTTTCAAAAAATCAGCTCCTGGATTCATTGATTTTTTGAAGGGTTGTTCATGTCTCTATCTCCTTCAGTTCTGCTCTGATCTTAGATATTTCTTGTCTTCTGTTAGCTTTTGAATTTGTTTTCTCTTGCTTCTCTAGTTCTTTTAATTGTGATGTTAGGGTGTTGATGTTAGATTTCTCCCATTTTCTCCTGTGGGCATTTAGTGCTATAAATTTCCCTCTAAACAATGCTTTAGCTGTGTCTCAGAAATTCTGGTACGTTGTGTCTTTGTTCTCGTTAGTTTCAAAGAAGATATTTATTTCTGCCTTAATTTCATCATTTACCCAGTAGTCATTCAGGAGCAGGTTGTTTGGTTTCTATGTAGTTGTGCGGTTTTGAGTGAGTTTCTTAATTCTGAGCTCTAACTTGATTGCACTGTGGTCTAAGAGACTGTTTGTTATGATTTCTGTTCTTTTACATTTGCTGAGGAGTGTTTTACTTCCAATTATGTGGTCTGTTTTAAAATAAGTGCTATGTGATGCTGAAAAGAATGCATATTCTGTTGATTTTGGGGGGAGTATTCAGTAGATGTCTATAAGGTCTGCTTGGCCCAGAGCTGAGTTCAAGTCCTGAATATTCTTGTTAATTTTCTGTCTCATTGATCTGTCTAATATTGACAGTGGGGTGTTAAAGTCTCCCACTATTATTGTGTGGGAGTCTAAGTCTCTTTGTAGGTCTCTAAGAACTTGCTTTATGATTCTGGTTGCTCCTGTATTGGGTGCATATATATTTAGGATAGTTAGCTCTTCTTGTTGCATTGATCTCTTTACCATTATGTAATGCCCTTCTTCGTCTTTTTTTATCTTTGTTGGTTTAAAGTGTGTTTTATTAGAGACTAGGATTGCAACTCCTGCTTTTTTTGGGTTTTCATTTGCTTTGTAAATATTCCTCCATCCCTTTATTGTGAGCCTATGTGTAGCTCATATGAGATGAGTCTCCTGAATACAGCACACCAATGGGTCTTGACTCTTTATCCAATTTGCCAGTCTGTGTCTTTTAATTGGGGCATTTACATTTAAGCTTAATATTGTTATGTGTTAATTTGATCCTGTCATCATAATGCTAGCTGGTTATTTTGCACATTAGTTGATGCAGCTTCTTCATAGTGTCATTTGTCTTTATATTTTGGTATGTTTTTGCAGTGGCTGGTACCAGTTTTTCCTTTCTGTATTTAGTGCTTCCTCAGGAGCTCTTGTAAGGCAGGCCTGTTGGTGACAAAAATCCCTCAATATTTGCTTGTCTGTAAAGGATTTTATTTCTCCTTCGCTTATGAAGCTTAGTTTGGCTGCATATGAAATTCTGGGTTGAAAATTCTTTTCTTTAAGAATGTTGAATATTGGCCCCCACTCTCTTCTGGCTTGTAGGGTTTTTGCAGAGATATCTGCTGTTAGTCTACTGGGCTTCCCTTTGAGGGTAACCTGACCTTTCTCTCTGGCTGCCCTTAACATTTTTTCCTTCTTTTCATCCTTGGTGAATCTGATGATTATGTGTCTTGGGGTTGCTCTTCTCAAGGAGTATCTTAGTGGTGTTCTCTGTATTTCCTTAATTTGAATGTTGGCCTGTCTTGCTAGGTTGGGGAAGTTCTCCTGGATAATATCCTGAAGAGTGTTTTACAGCTTGGTTCCATTCTCCCCATCACTTTGAGGTACACCAGTCATTTGTAGTTTTGGTCTTTTCACATAGTCCCACATTTCTTGGAGGCTTTGTTCATTCCTTTTCATTCTTTTTTCTCTATCTTGTCTTCATGCTTCATTTCATTAAATTGATCTTCAATCTCATATCCTTTCTTCTGCTTGATCAATTTGGCTATTGATACTTGTGTATGCTTCATGAAGTTCTCATGCTGTGTTTTCAGCTCCATCAGGTCATTTATGTTCTTCTCTAAAATGGTTATTCTAGTTAGCAGTTCCTGTAACCTTTTACCAACATTCTTAGCTTCCTTGCATTGTGTTAGAACATGCTCCTTTAGCTCGAAGGAGTTTGTTATTACCCACCTTCTGAAGCCTACTTCTGTCAATTCGTCAAACTCATTCTCCATCCAGTTTTGTTCCCTTGCTGGCAAGGAGTTGTGTTCCTTTGGAGGAGAAGAGGCATTCTGGTTTTTGGAATTTTCAGCATTTTTTGCACTGGTATTTCCTCATCTTTGTGGATTTATCTACCTTTTATCTTTGATGCTGAGGACCTTTGATGGGGTTTTTGCATGGGCATCCTTTTACTTGATGTTGACTTTGATGTTATTGCTTTCTGTTTGATAGTTTTCTTTCTAACAGACAGGCCCCTCTGCTGCAGGTCTGCTGGTGTTTGCTGGAGGTCCACTCCAGACCCTATTTGCCTGGGTATCACCAGTGGAGGCTGCAGAACAGCAAAGATTGCTGCCTGCTCCTTCCTCTGGAAGCTTCACCCCAGAGGGGCACCCGCCAGATACCAGCCAGAGTTCGCTTGTATGAGGTATCTGTCGACCCCTGCTGGGAGGGGTCTCCCAGTCAGGAAGCATGGGGGTCAGGGACTCACTTGAGGAGGCAGTCTGTCCCTTAGCAGAGCTTGAGTGCTGTGCTGGGAGATCCGCTGCTCTCTTCACAGCTGGCGGCCAGTAATGCTTAAGTCTGCTGAAGCTGTGCCCACAGCCACCCCTTCCCCCAGGTGTTCTGTCCCAGGGAGATAGGAATTTTATCTATAAGCTCCTGACTGGGGCTGCTGCCTTTCTTTCAGAGATGCCCTTCCCAGAGAGGAGAAATCTAGAGAGTCAGTCTGGCTACAGTGACTTTGCCGCGCTGTGGTGGGCTCCACCAAGTGTGAACTTCTGGCAGCTTTGTTTACACTGTGAGGGATAAACCGCCTACTCAAGCCTCAGTAATGGCGAATGCCTCTCCCCTGACCAGGCTGACCTAGTGTCCGAGGTTGACTTCAGACTGCTGTGCTGGCAGCGAGCATTTCAAGCCAGTTGATCTTAGCTTGATGTGCTCCATGGGGTGGGACCCACTGAGCAAGACCACTTGGCTCCCTGGCTTCAGCCCCCTTTCCAGCGGGGTGAACAGTTCTGTCTCACTGGGGTTCCAGGTGCCACTGGGATATGGGAAAGAAAAAACTTCTGCAGCTAGCTTGGTGTCTGTTCAGTCGCCCAGTTTTTTGCTTGAAACCCAGGGCCCTGGGGATGTAGGCACCCGAGGGAATCTCCTGGTCTGCGGGTTGCAAAAATTGTGGGAAAAGCATAGTATCTGGGCCAGATAGCACTGTCCCTCATGGCACAGTCCCTCAGCTCTTCCCTTGGTAAGATGAGGGAGTTCCCCAACCCTTACACTTCCTGGGTGAGTTGACTCCCCACCCTGCTTTGGCTGTCCCTCCGTGGGCTGCACCCACTGTCTAGTCCCAGTGAGATGAACTGGGTACCTCAGTTGGAAATGCAGAAGTCACCCACCTTCTGCATTGGTCTCACTGGGAGCTGCAGATTGGAGCTGTTCCTATTTGGCCATCTTGCCTCTCCACCAGTAATAATAATTTTTAAAAGCCTAGAAACAACCCAAATGTTCAACTGGTGAATAGATAATAGCACTACATACGTTTTCAGAACTCATTAAATTACACTTAAGATAGGAGGCTGAGGCAGGAAAATGGCGTGAACCTGGGAGGTGGAGCTTGCAGTGAGCTGAGATTGCACCACTGCACTCCAGCCTGGTCGACAGAGCAAGACTCTGTCTCAAAAAAAAAAAAAAAAAAAAAATTACACTTAAGAACTATTTAAACATACAATCATATGTAAATAATATGTCATTAAAGCTGATGTGAAGACCCCTTCTCTCCCCAAAAAAACTCATTTAAAAGTGAAAAAATTGAGGTCTAAAGGTAGGTGATCACTCAATTAGCAGAAGTTAGAAGTTCATCCAGCATTAGAACCAGTCCTTGACTCTTTATCTACGGTCCCTTGTATTACAGTTTGTAGCTGATTATCTTAAAAAGGAAAACATCAGATATACTTTCATTTATTTACCCTCCCCACCCCCCATCTCCTATTTGCAAGATCTTTTTGGGAAGATGATAATTAAATGTTTGTCTTCTTGTGTTTGTCCTCTATTGAGCTCAACCTGGGATCAAACCTGTGAATAAATAATATATTGAATTCCTCAGTCGAGTGACAGTTTGTCTTTTAGTATTTATATCTCTTTAGTAGTAGAGGATTGGTAATTCCTTCTACTAGTTTAACAGGCTAAGAAGAAGTAAGAAAGTCTCAGACAGTGGTTTGATAAAAACGAATGATGTTGTTTCTAGGTTTGTGAATTCTTTTATGTTGTCTTGTTCCAAGAGAGCAAATACTTTGGAACTCAGAAGTATTTGGGTTTCCTGTGAAGGCCACTTTGCAGACTTCATATGGAAAATACAGGGGAGCCCCCTGGTGTAACTTCTTGTTATTGACTTGAGTAATGCCCCCATCGAGTGGAGCAAAGAGAACCTGGTGGTAGGGTGGTTGGTAGAAGGGATGAAACCTGGAATAAAGGGTATTTTGACATCTTGCTGATTCAAATGCTCCTTACACTTGTGTGATGAACTTTATAATTAAAAGTTCATCACACTTTAATTCTACAGGTGACTTTAGAATTAAAAGTTATATGTTACAGTATGGTTTACAAAGGGCATTTGTTTAAATTATTAGGTTCAATTTACTAATGGTTTTATGGAGTAGGTATTACAATTTAAATTTTACAAATTAGGAAAGTGAAGCTTAGAGATGCAGAGATTGACTCGAAATAACTTTTTAGAAAGCACTTTAAAATTGAATAGCTTCTATTTTGTACCACAGCCTTGGCCAGGTTCCAGGGAAACAAGTTTTAGAACCTCAATGTTGGGTGTAGATGTGTACAGTAATTATAATACACAGAAAATACAGTTGAGGAAAGCCCTAACTGTGATAGGGAGAATTGGGAAATATTTCCCAAAAGCAGTGATATCGTTTGGCTGTGTCCCCACCCAAATCTCTTCTTGTATTGTAGTTCCCATAATCCTCACATGTCATGGAAGGGACCTGGTGGGAAGTAATTGAATCACGGGGCCTGTTACCCCCATACTGCTCTTTTCACGACAGTGAGTGAGTTCTCATGAAATCTGATGGTTTTATAAGGGACTTTTCCCCCTTTGCTTAGCACTTCTCCTTCCTGCTGCCATGTAAAGAAGGACATGTTTGCTTCTCCCTCCACCATGATTGTAAGTTTCCTGAGGCCTCCCCAGCCCTGTGGAACTGTTAGTCAATTAAGTCTCTTTCCTTTATAAATTACCCAGTCTCGGGCAGTTCTTTATAGCAGCATGAAAATGGACTAATACAGTAAATTCGTACTGGGTAGTGGAGTGCTGCTGTAAACAAACAAGAAAATGTGGAAGAGACTTTGGAACTGGGTAATGGGCAGAGGTGGAACAGTTTGGAGGGCTTAGAAGAAGACAGTGAAATGTGGGAAAGTTTAGAACTTCCTAGAGACTTGTTGAATGGCTTTGACCAACATGCTGATAGTGATATGGATAATAAAGTCCAGGCTGAGGTGGTATCAGATGGAGATGAGGAACTTTTTGAGAACTGGAATAAAGGTGACTTTGCTATACATTAGCAAGGAGACTGGTGGCATTTTACGTCTGCCCAAGAGATCTGTGGATTGTTGAACTCAAGAGAGATAATTTAGGGTATCTGGCAGAAGAAATTTCTAAACAGCAAAGCATTCAAGATGTGACAGTGTGCTCTTAAAAGCATTCAGTTGGCCGGGTGCAGTGGCTCATGCCTGTAATCCCAGCACTTTGGGAGGCTGAGGTGGGTAGATCATGAGCTCAGGAGATCGAGACCATCCTGGCTAACATGGTGAAACCCCATCTCTACTAAAAATACAAAAAAAAAATTAGCCAGGAGTGGTGGCAAGTGCCTGTAGTCCCAGCTACTCAGGAGGCTGAGGTGGGAGAATGGCATGAACCCAGGAGGTGGAGCTTGCAATGAGCTGAGATTGCATCACTCCACTCCAGCCTGGGTGACAGAGCAAGACTCTGTCTCAAAAAAGTAAAAAATAAAAATAAAAAATAAAAAGGCATTCAGTTTTACATATTCACAAAGATATGGTTTGGAATTGGAACTTAATGTTTAAAAGGGAAGCAGAGCATAAAAGTTTAGAAAATGCGCAGCCTGACAATGCAATAGAAAAGAAAAACCCATTTTCTGAGGATAAATTCTAGCCAGTTGCAGAAATTTACAGAAGTAACAAGGAGCCAAATGTTAATCACCAAGACAATGGGGAAAATGTCTCTAGGATATTTCAGAGGTCTTCATGGCTGCCCCTCCCATCACAGGCCCAGAGGCCTAGGAGGACAAAAATGGTTTCACAGGCCAGGCCCAGAGCCTTGCTGTTTTTTGCAGTTTTGCGACTTGCTGCCCTGTGTACCAGCTGTGGCTAAAAGAGGCCAACATACAGCTTAGTCCATTGTTTCAGAGGGTGCAAGCCCCAAGCCTTGGCAGCTTACATATGGTGTTCAGCCTGTGAGTGCACAGAAGTCAAGAATTGAGGTTTTGGAACGTCCACCTAGATTTCACAGGATGTATGGAAATGCCTGGATGTCCAGACAGAAGTTTGCTGCAGGCATGGAGCCCTCATGGAGAACCTCTGCTAGGGAAGTATGGAACAGAAATGTGGGGTCAAAGCCCCCACAGAGTCCCCACTGGAGCACTGCCTAGTGGAGCTGTGAGAAGAAGACCACTGTCCTTCAGGCCCCAAAATGGTAGATCCATCTACAGCTTGCATTGTGTGACTGGAAAAATCAGATACTCAAAGCTAGCCCATGAAGGCAGCTGAGAGGGGGGCTGTACCCTACCAAGCCATGGGGCAGAGCTGCCTAAGGCCATGGGAATCCACCTCTTGCATCAGCATGACCTGGATGTGAGAGGTGAAGTCAAAGGAGATTGTTTTGGAACTTTAAGGTTTATTTACTGCTTATTGGATTTCAGACTTTCATGGGGCCTCTAACCCCTTTGTTTTGGCCACTTTCTCCCATTTGGAACAGGTGTATTTGCCCAATGCCTGTACCCCTATTGTATCTAGGAAGAAACTAACTTGCTTTTGATTTTGCAGGCTTATAGGTGGAAGGGACTTGCCTGTCTTAGATGAGACTTTGGACTTGGACTTTTGTGTTAATGCTGGAATCAGTTAAGACTTTGGAGGACTGTTGGAAGGGTGTGATTGTGTTTTGAAATGTGAGGACATGAAATTTGGAAGGGGTCAGGGGCAGAATGATATGGTTTGGCTGTGTCCCCACCCAAATCTCATCTTGAATTCTGATGTGCTGTGGGAGGGACCCAGTGGGAAGTAATTGAGTCATGGGGATGGGTCTTACCCACGCTCTTCTTATAATAGTGAATAAGTCTCATGAGATCTGATGGTTTTAAAAAGAGGAATTCCCCTGCATAAGCTCTGTCTCTTTGCCTGCCACCATCCACATAAGATGTGATTTGCTCCTCCTTACCTTCCACCATGATTGTGAGGCTTCCCCAGCCACGTGGAACTGTGAGTTCTCCATTAAACCTCTTTGCTTTGTCTCGGGTATGTATTTATCAGCAGCATGAAAATAGACTAATATGGTTCCCATAATTCCAATGTGTTGTGGGAGGAACCTGGTAGGAGGTAATTTAGTCATGGGTGTTGTTACCCCTATACTGGTGTTCACGTGATAGTAATGAGAACAATAATAATTTTCTTGACTCATTCTTATATTTGGGAATTGGCCCCAGTCAATACTTGAAAAGAAAATATTGTTTGTCGAGTGTCTATTTAAGGTTTTATTAGTGTCACTAATAAAAATTTTGCTCTATATGTTGCATAATCTAAATGATTGTTTATGTAGCAGCCACTGGACAATCACTGAGAGGATCTTATTCCTCAAGCATGAGGGAGGGAGGCAACTTGGCTTCTTATCACCTACATGGCTCTTGGCAAGTCCTATGGCCCTTCCCTGGCTCCTGTGGAGCTCTTTGACATCACCTAGCACTAGTGCTATCTTGCACTTTATGCCCTAGAAACATAAGATGGCTTATAAGTTGTCTTATACAAGATATTTTGTTCATTTCTAGGGAAGTTCAAAGAACTGTGTACTTTTAAAAAGTTTTATTTCAATAGTTTTTGGGATACAGGTTGTTTTTGGTTACATGGATGTTTTTTAGTGGTGATTTCTGAGATTTTGTTGCACCCATCACCCAAGCAGTGTACACTGTACACAGTATGTTGTCTTTTATCCCTCACCCCCTTCCCACCCTCCTTCCTGAGTCCCCAAACTCCATTTTATCACTCCTATGCCTTTGTATCCTCATAGCTTAACTGCCACTTATAAGTGAGAACATACAATATTTGGTTTTCCATTTCTGAGTTACTTCACTTAGAATAATGGCCTCCAGCTAGACATTATTTTATTCATTTTTACAGCTGAGCAGTATTCCATGGTATATATATACCAGATTTTCTTTATCCACTTGTTAGTTTATGGACACTTAGGTTGGTTCCATATTTTTGCAATTACGAATTGTGCTGCTATAAACGTGTGTGTATGTGTCTTCTTCATATGACTTCTTTTCCTTTGGATAGATACTCAGTAGTGGGATTGCTGAGTTGAATCATAGTTTTACTTTTAGTTCTTTAAGGAATCTCCATACTGTTTTCCATAGTGATGATACTGGTTTACATTTCCACCAGCAGTGTAAAAATGTTCCCTTTTCATCACATACATGCCAACATTATAATTTCTTGACTTTTTAATTATGGTCATTCTTGCAGGAGTAAGGTGGTATCTCATTGTGGTTTTAATTTGCATTTTCCTGATAATTAGTGATGTCGAGCATTTTTTCATAGGTTTGTTGGCTGTTCGCATATCTGCTTTTGAGAATTTTCTGTTCATGTCCTTTGCCCACTTTTTGATGGGATTATTTATTCTTTTCTTGCTGATTTGTTTGAGTTCCTTGTAGATTCTGGATATTAGTCCTTTGTCAGATGCATAGTTTGTGAATATTTTCTCTCACACTGTGGGTTTTCTGTTTACTCTGCTGATTATTTCTTTTGCTGTGTAGAAGGTTTTTAGTTTAATTAGGTCCCATCTATTTATTTTTGTTTTTGTTGCATTTACTTTTGGGGTCTTAGTCATGAAGTCTTTGCCTAAGCCAATGTTTAGAAGAGCTTTTCCAATGTTATCTTCTATAATTTTTATGGTTTCAGGTCTTAGATTTAAGTCTTCGATCCATCTTGAGTTGATTTTTGTGTAAGATGAGAGATGAGGATCCAGTTACATTCTTCTACTTGTGGCTTGTCAGTTTTCCCAGCACAATTTTTTGAATAGGGTGCCCTTTCCCTAATTTACGTTTTTGTATGCTTTATTGGAGAACAGTTGGCTATCAGTATTTGGCTTTACTTCTGAGTTCTCTATTCTGTTCTATTGGTCTATGTGCTTATTTTTATAACAGTACCATGCTGTTTTGGAAATTATAGCCTTGTAGTACAGGTTGAAGTCAAGTAATGTGATGCCTCTAGATTTGTTCTTTTTGCTTAGTCTTGCTTTGGCTATGCAGGATCTTTTTTGTTTCCATATGAATTTTAGGATTGTTTTTCTAGTTCAGTGAAGAATGGCCATGGTATTTTGATGGGAGTTGCATTGAATTTGTAGGTCGCTTTTGGCAGTATGGTCATTTTTGCAATATTGATTCTTCTGATCCATAAGCATGGATGTGCTTTCATTTGTTTGCGTCATCTATGATTTCTTTTAGCAGTGTTTTGTAGTTTTCCTTGTAGAGATCTTTTACCTCATTCATTAAGTATATTCCTAAGTATTTTATTTTATTTTTTGTAGCTGTTGTAAAAGGGATTGAGCTATTGATTTCATTCTCAGCTTGGTTGCTTTTGGCATATAGCAGTGCTACTGATTTGTATACATTGATTTTGTATCCTGAGACTTTACTGTATTTGTTTATCAGATCTAGGAGCTTTTTGGATGAGTCTTTAGGGTTTTCTAGGTATACAATCACATCATCGGTAAACAGCAAGTTTGACTTCCTCTTTTCCAATTTTGATGCCCCTTCTTTCTTTCTTTTGTCTGATTGCTTTGGCCAGGACTTCCAGTACTGTGTTGAATAGAAGTGGTGAGAGTGGGCATCCTTGTCTTGTTCCAGTTCTCAGGGGGAATGGTTTCAACGTTTCTCCATCAGTATGATGTTGGCTGTGGGTTTGTCAAATATGGCTTTTGTTACTTTAAGGTATGTCCTTTCTACGCCTATTTTGTTGAGGGTTTTTATCATAAAGCGATGGTGGATTTTATCAAATGCTTTCTCTGCATCTCTTGAGATGATCATATGATTTTTGTTTTTAATTCTGTTTATGTAATGTATCGCATTTATTGACTTGCATATGTTAAACCATCCCTGATTCCCTGGTATGAAATCAACTTTATCATGACGTATTATCTTTTTGATATGCTATTGGATTCGGTTAGCTAGTATTTTGTTGAGGATTTTTGCACCTGTGTTCATCAGGGATATTGGTCTGTAGTTTTCTTTTTCTTTTTTTCTTTTTTTTTTTTATCTCCTTTCTGGTTTTGGTATTAGGGTGATACTGGCCTCATACAATGATTTAGCAAAGATTCCATCATTCTCTATCTTTTGGAAAAGTTTCAGTAAGATTGGTACCAATTTTTCTTTGAATGTTTGATAGAATTCAGCTGTGAATCCATCTTGTCCTGGACTTTTTTGTTGGAAAATTGTTTATTGCTTGCTGCTTGTTATTGGTCTGTTCAGCATTTCTATGTCTTCCTAATTTAATCTAGGAGGGTTGTATATTTTCAGGAATTTATCCATCTCCTCTATATTTTCTAGTTTGTTTGCATAAAGGTGTTCATAGTAGCCTTGAATGATCTCTTATATTTCTGTGGTAGTGGTTGTAATATCTCCAGTTTCCTTTCTAATTGAGCTTATTTGGATCTTCTCTCTTCTTGGTTAATCTTGCTACTGGTCTATCCATTTTGTTTATCTTTTCAAAGAACCAGCTTTTTGTTTCATTTATCTTTTTTGTTTTTTTTCACTTTCATTTAATTCTGCTTTGATCTTTGTTACTTCTTCTCCTGAGTTTGGGTTTTGTTTGTTCTTGTTTCTCTAGTTCCTTGAGGTGTGACATTAGGTTGTCTATTTCTGCTCTTTCAGACTTTTTGATGTAGACATTTAATGTTATGAACTTTCCTCTTAGCATCACTTTTGCTGTATCCCAGAGGTTTTGATAAGTTGTGTCACTATTATCATTCATTTCAAAGAATTTTAAGTTTCCATCTTGATTTCATTGTTAACCCAAAAACCATTCAAGAGAAGATTATTTAATTTCCATATATTTGTATAGTTTTAAAAGTTTCTTTTGGAGTTGATTTCTAGTTTTATTCCACTGTGGTCTGAGAAGACACTTGATATGATTTCAGTTTTCTTAAATTTATTGAGACTTGTTTTGTGGCTTATCATATGGTCTATTTTGGAGAATGTAACATGTGCTGATGAGAAGAATGTATAGTCTGCAGTTGTTGGGAAGAATGTCCTGTAAATAGCTGTGAAATCCATTTGTTCTAGGGTATAGTTTCATTGTTTCTTTGTTGACTTTCTGTTTTGATGATCTGTTTAGTGCCGTCAGTGGAGTATTGAAGTCCCCCACTATTATTGCGTTGCTGTCTATCTCATTTCTTAGGTCTAGTAGTAACTATTTTATAAATTTGGGAACTCCAGTATTAGTTGCCTATAAATTTGGGATTGCAATATATTCCTGTTGGACTAATCCTTTTATCATTATATAATTGTTCTTTGTCTTTTTTTTTTTTTGTAACTGTTGTTGCTTTAAAGTCTGTTTTGTCTGATATAAGAATACCTACTCCTGGGCTGGGTGTAGTGGCTCACACCTGTAATCTCAGCATTTTGGGAGGCCAAGGTGGGAAGATCGCTTGAAGTCAGGAGTTTGAGACCAGCCTGGCCAACATGGTGAAACCCCATCTCCACCAAAAAATACAAAAATTAGCTGGGCGTGGTGGCATGTGCCTGTAGCCCCAGCTACTTGGGGGGCTCCATCTCAAAAAATAAATGAATAAATAAATAATAATAATAATTGTCAGCCAAGAATTTTGTATCCAGCAAAATGAACCTTCATAAATGAAGAAGAGATAAAGCCTTTTTCAGAAAAACAAATGCTGAAACAACTTGCCACTACCAAACCAACACTACAAGAAATGCTAAAAGCGTTTCTAAATCTTGAAACCAAACCTTGTTATACACCAAAATAGAATCTCCTTAAGGCATAAATCTCACAGGATGTATAAAACAGCAACACAATGAAAAATAAAGTATCTAGACAACAACTAACAAGATGAATAGAACAGTACCTCACACCTCAATATAACATTGAATGTAAATGGCCTAAATTCTCCACTTAAGAAATACAGAATGGCACAATAGATAAGAATTCACCAACCAAATATCCGTTGCCTTTAACAGACTCACCTGACACATACGGACTCACAAAAACTTAAGGTCAAGAGGTAGAAAAAGATATTCCACTCAAATGGAAATCAAAAGCGAGCAGGGTTGCTTTTTTTTTAGACAGGATCTCACTCTTGTCACTCAGGCTGGAGCACAGTGGCATGATCTTGGCTCACTGCAACCTCTGCCTCCTGGGTTCAAGCGATTCTCCCTGCCTCAGCCTCCCAAGTAGATGGAAATTATGGAAGCTACAATTAAAGATGAGTTTTGGGCAGGGACACAGCCAAAACATATCATATGGGATTAAGTAAAATGGCCAAACCCAGAAAGAATTGGTGTTCCTGAGGGAGAAAAGAAGTCTAAACGTTTGGAAAATTTATTTGAGGTAATAATTGAGGAAAACTTCCCTGGCCTTGCTAGAGATCTAGACATTCAAAGACAAACAGTTCAAAGAACTCCCGGGAAATTCATCACACAAAAGATCATCACCAAAGCCCACAGTCATCAGGCTATCTAAAATCAAGATGAAGGAAAAAAAATGAGCTGTGAGGCAAAAGCATCAGGTAACCTATAAAGGAAAACCCATCAGATTAACAGCAAATTAGCCACCATGCCTGGCTAATTTTTGTATTTTTAGTAGAGATGAGGTTTTGCCATGTTGGCCAGGCCAGTCTCAAACTCCTAAGCTCAGGTAATCCTCCCATCTTGGCCTCCCAAAATGCTGGGATTGTAGGCATGAACCACCATGCCCAGCCATGACAATTATTTTGTTTAAGGAGGCTAAAGATAGGACCCTAAGCCCTTCTGGCTTGTGAAGTTTCATCTGAGAAATTTGCTGTTAATCTGATGGGTTTTCCTTTATAGGTTACCTGATGCTTTTGCCTCACAGCTCATTTTTTTTCCTTCATCTTGATTTTAGATAGCCTGATGACTGTGGGCTTTGGTGATGATCTTTTGTGTGATGAATTTCCCGGGAGTTCTTTGAACTGTTTGTCTTTGAATGTCTAGATCTCTAGCAAGGCCAGGGAAGTTTTCCTCAATTATTACCTCAAATAAATTTTCCAAACGTTTAGACTTCTTTTCTCCCTCAGGAACACCAATTCTTTCTGGGTTTGGCCATTTTACTTAATCCCATATGATATGTTTTGGCTGTGTCCCTGCCCAAAACTCATCTTTAATTGTAGCTTCCATAATTTCCATGTATTGTGGGAGGGACCCAGTGGGAGATAATTGAATCATGGCAGTGGTTTTCCCCATACTGTTCTTGTGTAGTGAAAAAGTCTCATGAGATCTGATGATTTTATAAGGGGAAACCCCTTTCACTTGGTTCACATTTTCTCTCTTGCCTGCTACCATGTAAGACGTGCCTTTTGCCTTCCACCGTGATTGTGAGGCCTCCCTAGTCACATGGAACTGTGAGTCCATTAAATGTGTTTTTCTTTATAAATTACCCAGTCTCAGGTATATCTGTATCCGCAGCATGAAAATGGAGTAATACAGTAAATTGGTATCAGTAGAGAGGGGAGCTGTTGTAAAGATACCCAAAAATGTAGGAGTGACTTTGGAACTGAGTAACAGGCAGAGGTTGGAACAGTTTGGAGGTTCAGAAAAAGACAGGGAAATGTGAGAAAATTTGGAACTTCCTAGAGGCTTGTTGAACGGCTTTGACCAAAATGCTAATAATGTTATACACAATGAAATCCAGGTTGAGGTGTTCTCAGATGGAGATGAAGAACTTGTTGGGATCTGGAGTAAAGGTAACTCTTGCTATGTTTTAGCAAAGAGATTGGTGGCATTTTGCCCCTGCCCTAGAGACTCATGGAACTTTGAACTTGAGGGAGATGATTTAGAGTATCTGGTGTAAGAAATCACTAAGCAGCAAAGTGTTCAAGAGATGACTTGGGTGCTGTTAAAATCATTAAGTTTTAAAAGGGAAAAAGAGCATAAAAGTCTGGAAAATTTGCAGCCTGATGATGCAACAGAAAAGAAAAACCCATTTTCCGAGGAGAAATTTAAGCCAGCTGCAGAAATTTGCATACGTAATGAGGATCCAAATGTTAATCACCAAGACAATGGGGAAAATGTCTCCAGGGCTTGTAAGAGAACTTTGTGGCAGCCTCTCCCATCACAGGCCTGGAGGCCTAGGAGGAAAAAATGTTTTCATGGTCCAGGCCCAGGGCCCCTCTGCTGTGTGCAGCCTAGGGACTTGGTGCCATGTGTCCCAGCTGCTCTAGCCATGGCTAACAGGGGCCAAGGTACAGCTTGGGCTGTGGCTTCAGAGAGTGTAAGCCCCAAGCCTTGGCAGCTTACACATGGTATTGAGCCTGCAGTGGCACAGAAGTCAAGAATTGAGGTTTGGAAACCTCCACCTAGATTTCAGAGGATGTATGGGAATGCCTGGTTGTCCAGATAGAAATTTGTTGCAGGGGTGGGGACCTCATGGAGAACCTCTGCCAGGAAAGTGTAGAAGGAAAATGTGGGGTTGAAGACCCCACCCAGAGTCCCCACTGAGGCACTGCCTAGTGGAGCTGTGAGAAGAGGGCCACTGTCCTCCAGATTCCAGAATGGTAGATCCACCAACAACTTGCACTGTGTGCCTGGAAAAGCTGCAGACACTCAATGCCAGCCTGTGACAGCAGCCGGGAGGGAGGCTATACCCTACAAAACCACAGGGGTGGAGCTGTCCATGACCATGGGAACCCACCTCTTGCATCAGCGTGACCTGGATGTGAGATATGGATTCAAAGGAGATAATTTTGGAGCTTTAAGATTTGACTGCCCTGCTGGATTTCAGACTTCCATGGGGCCTTTTTTCCCTTCATTTTGGCCAATTTCTCCCATTTGGAATGGGTGTATTTATCTAATGTCTATACCCCCATTGTATCTAGGAAGTAACTAACTGGTTTTTTATTTTACAGGCTCATAGGCAGAAGGGACTTGCCTTGTCTCAGATAAGACTTTTGACTGTGGACTTTTGAGTTAATGCTGGAATGAGTTAAGATTTGGGGGACTGTTGGGAAGGCATCATTGGTTTTGAAATGTGAGGACATGAGATTTGGGAGGGACCAGGTGTGGAATTATATGGTTTGGCATTGTCCCCTCTCAAATCTCATCTTGAATTGTAGCTCCCATAATTCCCACATGTTGTGGGAGGGACCTGGTGGGAGATAATTGAATCGTGGTGGCAGTTTCCCCCATACTGTTCTCATTGTAGGGAATAAGTCTCACAAAATCAGATGGTTTGATAGGGGGAAACCCCTTTCACTTGGTTTTCATTTTCTCTCTTGCCTGCCTCCATGTAAGACTTGCCCTTCACCTTCCACCATGATTGTGAAACCTCCCCAGCTATATGGAACTGTGAGTCCATTAAACGTGTTTTTCTTCATAAATTATCCAGTCTCAGGTATGTCTTTATCAGCAGTGTGAAAATCGACTAATACAACATATTTCTTGGCGAGTTTGTTCATTTAAAAAAAAATTTTGTCTTTGCCTGATTGGGTTAATTCAAAAGCCATATCTTTTAACTCTGAAATTCTTTTTTCTGCTTGTTCTAGTCTATTGTTGAAACTTTCACTGCATTTTCTATTTCTCTAAGTGTGTCTTTCATTTCCAGAAGTTCTGAGTGTTTTTTCTTTATGGTTTCTTTTTCCCTGGAAGATTTTTACATTCATATCCTGGATTTTTTAAAAAAATATTTAAGTTGGTATTCACCTTTCTCTGGTATCTGGGAAATATTAAGCTACCTTGAGTAACTTAATAATCAACCCTCCGAATTCTTTATGTGGCATTTCAGAGACTTCTTTTTGGTTTGGATCTACTGCTGGGGAGTTAGTGTGATCTTTTGGGGGTGTTTATAGAGCCCTGTTTTGTCATATTACCAGAATTACTTTTCTGGTTCCTTCTTATTTGAGCAGACTATTTCTTGAAATTGTTCATGAATTTATTTTTGATTGGACTGTGGTTTTTTAATTTCATTTTTCCCCTCCTGAGGATCAGACTTTAATGTTTATACTTTATTTTTGCCTAATTTGATTATTGGTGCTTTTAGGGGTGAAGACTCTGTATGAGTTCCTTAGTTATAGAGTCTTTTTGCACTGGCTTTCTTAGATGCTGGTTGTAGTAGTTATATACTCATTGTGTGGGCAAGTTTACTGTCTCCTATTGGTTGAGAATGGCAGGGATCTCTTGAAGCTTATCCCATTCTCTCATGGCGTACATTTTATTTATTTGATTTTTACTCAGTATTTTACTTATGGAGTTGATGATTCAGGCTTCAGGCCAATAGGGGAGGTATCCCTTAGTGGGCACTGGTTGTAGCTAAGGCAGATGGGTAGATGTAATACTCAGTGGTGGGCAGAGGTCCCAGCCTTGATGAAGGTGGCTGAGGGAGCTCTCAATTATATGTGCTGAGGTTTTATCAGGTTGAAGAGGGGGAGCTACCTCAGCTCCCCTGCCAGGCAAGAAGGAAAGGTATACACCTCACAGCTTAGCTTCACTCCTGTCCCAGTGTTCTGGCTATTCAGTTCAGACAGGCATCTTTTTTTCATCTATAGGAATTTAATGTTCCAACTAGGGAGGAATTCTGACTCTGTGTCTCATGCAGGCCTGAATCTGGGGAGTACTCCTCCTGTGGGCTGTAATTACCCTGCATTGTTTCAGGAAGGCTGTCTATAGGTGCATCCATGCTGCCTTCCTGAGGCAAAAAGCCCCAGCTGTGTCTGCAGTGGTGTGCCTGAGGGAACAATGATCCCTTCTCCAAAGCCCTTCATGATCACAGAGGTTACCTGCCTATTGGGGTAGAGGTGCAGACTTTCCCTACTGTGCCCAGCACTGCAGTTGTGGAAATATCTGGGACTCAAGGCCTGCTGTTCAGAATCTTTTATTCCATGAGGTTATCCCTTGATGTGGTGCTCTCCCCCTTCCCCTGGGAACGGGGCTTCCTGAGAGCCTGACTGCAGTGATTTTTATTGCTCTTCTGGGTCTAGCCACCCAGTAAGGCTACCAGTTTCTGGGCTGGTGCTGGAGAATGTCTGCCAAGGATCCAGTGATGTGACCTGTCTTCAAGTGTCCCAGAAATGGATACCAGCACCTGCTCTGATGGAGGTTACAGGGGAGTGATGCAGACTCTGTGAGACTACTTGGTTGTGGATAGATTTAGCGTGCTGGCTTTCTCAAATGCTGGTTATGCTAGTAGTGAACTTGTCATGTGGACAGACTCAGGACCTCTGGTTAGCCAGGATGTTGCAGGCAGTGGTGTTAGCAGCTATTTTCTCCTTCCTGGGAGCAGTATTAATCTGCCAAGATGTGCTGTAATGGCCTGAGTTGGTTGGCCTTCAGTCACGAGGTGGCACTTGCAAGAGAGCGCCAGCTGTGGTAGTAGCAATGGGATTTGAGCTTGCCCTAAGTTGTAAAGAGGAAGTATGCTGATTTCTCAGGTGATGGGTGGGGCCATAAAACTCCCAAAAGTTTGTCTTTTTGTTAGGCTCCTAGGGCAAGTAGAGGAATACCATCAGGTAGGCTCAGGTTTAGGAGGGTCTGAGCTCAGACTCTCCTTGAGCAGGGCCAGCCACAGCCACTGTGGGGGACAAAGGGTGATTCTCAGGCCTCTGGGATAATGTTCCAGAGGGGAGTATAACTGCCTCTGCTGTGTGGAAGAGTTTACAAGGGGAGTAGGGAATAGCTGGCAGTGGAAGGCCTCACCCAGCTCCCATGCAGTTGGCAAGGCCAATCTCACTCCTGCAATGCCCCACTAACAGCACTGGGTTTAGATCCAGGCAGCCTGCACACAAAACTCAGATGTGCCCCAGGCCATAAGCTTCCCCACAGAGATAGCAAACATGGCTCTTAGTCCACGTCCCCTCCACATCTGCCTGCAAGGCTGGGTGCCCAGCTTCTGTACTCTTGTCTGCAGCACACTTCCTGCTTACCCCTGGATTCTGTTCAAGGGAGTTTGTCCCAACTTGAAATTATATCACAAAATTCAGTTGGTAGCTTCTTTCACCCTGTGACCCTGCCCTGAGTTCATTGGCTGACATCCCAGAAGGCCTCTGTGAAATATAGTCAGGAATGGTTTCCCTCGACTTGTGCTGGAGACTGGGAATGCCTACAAGGCACTTCCCACTGCTGCTTCCACTTTTATATTTCATGCTGCTCCCTAAATCCGTTCCAGCTCTGGGAAGGGTTAAGGCTTTCTCCCATGATCTGGATTTTCAGATTCCCTGGTGGGGATGTATGTTTGGACGTAGGCTCTCCCCCTGCACTCTCTGGAAACTTATAGTTTTTTTGCCTGCTTCATGGGATAGGCTGCAGCCTTACACTTCTTTCAAAGGATCTGTGGTTTCTTTTGGTTTTCCTGGTAAGTTCTTGCAGTGGTTCTTGGAAAAAAAAAATTCACAGTGTTAATCCCTGCCCACTATTCTGTCCTTCCAAGTAGGAGAGACACACTAACACCGCCTCCTATCTGCCATCTAAAAAAGAAAAGAACTGTGCTCTTATGTGTTTAGTACTGGTGCTACATTCTTACCAAAAGATAAATCCAAGGAACAAAGTAAGAATTGTCATCCCTGTAGCATCTGAATTCTAGACACTTTTACCTGGATATTCTTTTCTGTATTCATCCCAAGTCAACCAACTGGGATCGAGACAGTGATGCTTTTTAGGGCCCAGATATGTTTGTTCCTCATTCTGATAACTAATTTAAGACAGGATTTCACACAAGACAGGCAATTCTTGCAAGAGGCCTGTAGTGGTAAAAAGGATGTCCAGGTTAGGTTTATAACACATAACACACCCCAGCTTCCCCAAGAGGCAGTACAGTCAGTTGTGAAACCACAGACTGGCTGACACAAGGCTGACTGGGTTTGCATCCTAGCTCTGCCATTCACTCACAGGGCCTTGAACAACTTTCTTAGCCTCTCTGTACCTTTATGTCCTCCTTGTTAGATAGAGAAAATAGTAGTATATACCTCATGTAGTTGTTATAAAAATTAAATGAGTTTGTCCATGCAAAGTTATCCAATGATTCTTAGCTGTCTCAGTTGTACTCATAGCATTTTAACTTATGGAAGTGATTGATGACCACAAGGAGAGGATAATGCCATTAAAGACAGATTTTAATTACTTACATTTTCCTAGAGGAGGGAGTATGCCATGCCATGCAGGGCCACCTTGGAAAGCATCAGTGTCAGTCAGGAGGCAGAAAGGAGAAAGAGGAGGCCCGGCCCAGACCCTTCCTGTATTTCCCACGAAAAAGGCAAGGCAGGGCATAGGAAACAGGTTAGGATTGGCTAGTTAGAATAATTCTGGTGGGCTCTGGGTTACAGGGTGGTCTTTAGTTATCTAGCTGGACCTGGGTGATTTAGGAAAGGGTAAATATTGGGTTGGTGTGTGAGGTAGATAAAAGAGGAGGTTGGGGGTATGGACCTGGGATTGATTCATTTGCGTGTGAGATGCATGTGTGCATGCCAGTTGTTTATTATCTCTAAAAATTAGTTATCCCTCTGTGGGGCAGTCTTTCCCTGGGTAGTTGGGCTCCCCAACACATCAAAATATCATAAAATAGAAAGTCTGTGATGAATACACTAGCCCATGTAAAGTGCTGTATAAGTGATAGCTACTTACATGCAAGAGATACTGAGCCCTGTTAGATGTGAAAGACAAGGAGAGTTCAGATGGGGTTCAGTGTAAAGAAGTGAGTTGCTCTTGTTTTTACAGGTATTAGCAAGCTTAGAAAAACTCCTGCCCAGAATTTGTGTATTGGTTTTTGTCCCCTCTGGTTCTGGAAAGCTCCATTTTAACTCCAGTTTCTGAAACTGTCCTGTTGACTCAGTGTACGTGGTGTTAAGAATTATACCTTTTTGTGCCTGTCCACCTGTTGGTTCATGTGGCAACCAACCTAGGGGTGTGCTTGACCGCATTCTTGCTTTCACCACGGAACTAAAGCCGTTATGACATTAATCAACAACTTTTCAATGTGATCATCCTAAACTAGCACCACCAAGCCAGACTAACCAAATAAATACAAGTACAGAGGTGCGTGTGAGCCAAACGTACTAATAGCATTAGGGTATCAGGGAGACATGGGGGAACTTGCAGAAATACAATAGGAGGTAGTAATTGTATTAGTTCTTCCTGATATCATCTGACAATTGCTCTCAACATTGATCAACAGCTCATTTTATCTGACCCAGCTTTTAGGGCATAACTTGCCTTCCAGGTTGATGCATGTCTATCAGATTAGAGCTTTTACCACGCTGCCCTTGGCCTCATGCACAAGAAGCTTTAAAAACAAGTGAAGGAGGGCTAGAAGGGGTAGAAGTGAAATGAAGATGAATAAGTTGGTTTGAGAATTCTATCAAAAAGTATCTGCAGGACTTCATGGCAGTTGAATACAGGGCTAAGCAGGGGTCAGATGCTGAAATCTAATGACCTTGGGAAATGGGTGTTACCACTAAGAAATGCAATTAAAAGGAAATTGGTTTGGAGTGTCAAGAGAGGCCATACTGGACATACTGTATTTGAGGTGAAGTGACATCCAAATAGATCTGTCCTGTAGGAAAGAGGAGGTGTGAGCCTGGGTGAGAAGATGTCAGGGTAGGAATGGTTGTGAAACCTGTGAGCAAGGACTAGGGTAGCCTAGGGCATGTGCCTGGAATGTGGTGGAGGGAGAGAAGACAGCAGTGGAGAAAACAGAGACCAGGAGGTCAGAAGTAGAAGATCCAGGTGGCATGATCCCAGAGAAGCCGTGGAGGAGAGTTCACGAAGTAGGGAGCAGGCAATTGTGTCTAATGAAGTGCAGAGGTTACATGAGTCAAAGGAAAACTGATTGGTGACACAGGAGTCCTTGGCAAGAACTGTCTGCATAGTGAGATAAGGAAGCCACCTCCAACAATTAAAGAAACACTTTATCTGGGTCAGAAAGAAGTGACCAGTGTAGATAACTTAAGTTTCACAATGAAGAGATGGGCAGATGTACCACAGGGGCTCAGTTTATCATTTCTACTTTAAAAGTGTTATATTTGATGGACTCACGGGTATTCTGTTTTTCTTTTTGGAAAAAAATTTCTGAACTAATGTGAGAGCTCTCCAATTGAACTTTAAGATTAATGTCAAAGTGGCCAGGCACTGTGGCTTATGCCCATAATCCCAGCACTTTGAGAGGCCAAGGAGTTTGAGACCAGCCTGGGCAGCATGGGAAAACCCTGTCTCTACAAAAAATACAAAAAAACTGGCCTGGCATGGTGAGGCACACCTGTAGTCCCAGCTACTTGGGAGGCTAAAGTGGGAGGATCACTTGAGCCCAGGAGATGGAGGTTGCAGTGAATTGAGATTGCACCACTGCAGTCCAGCCTGAGCAACAAAGTGAGACACCCTGTCTCTAAAAGAAGAAAGGAGAATAAGGAGAAGGAGAAGGAAAAGAAGAAGAAAGATTAATCCTATTATTACTGTTCAGCACTGTGTTGTTAACCAAAAAAGAAAAATCTGTCTGCCCTATGGCTAACATCCAACCTCCACAACAAAGTATTACATGGTACATCCGAAAAGAATAACAAAATATCTCATGTTGTGTTACACTTCTGTGTATATTATTATGCATCATAAAGATAATGTTTTTTAAATGACGTAGATTTTTATAAACAAATAGAAATTTCTGTTATGGCTTTCAAATGCCAACCTCTAAGAGCAACTTCATAGAATTTCATAGCGCAGATTAACTATGATAATAAATATAACTCACAAGATTCATGTTCAAGTATTATGTAATGGTCATATGTGAGATTCATTCCAATTGACTTCTTTGCAGAAATTGACAAGCTAATTCAAAAATTCATATGGAAACTCAAGGGACCCAGAATAGCCAATCAAAAACAATCTCTAAATAGAAGAATACATTTGGAGGGCTCAAGCTTTTCAGTGTCAAAACTTTAGACAAAGCTACAGTAATCAAGACAGTGTGGTCTTGATGTACAGATTAATGAAGTGGAACTGTGAGTCCAGAAATAAACCCTCACATTTTATGGTCAGTATATTTCAACAAGAACCCCAAGACAATTCATTTGGAAAAGAATAGTCTTTTCAACAAATGGCGCTGGGACAAATGGATATCCATATGGGAAAAAATGAATGTGAACCTCTTCCCCATATCATATACAAAAATTAACTAGAAGTGAACCAAAGACCTAAATGTATAAAATGCTTACAAGAAAAAATAGGTTGTAGATCTTCATGAACCTAGATTAGTGTATTAGTCTGTTCTCAGGCAGCTAATAAAGACATACCCAAGACTGTGTCATTTATACAGAAAATAGGTTTAATTGAATCACAGTTCCACATGGTTGGGGAGGCCTCACAATCATGATGGAAGGCAAAGGAGGAGTAAAGTCACGTCTTTCATGGTGGGAGGCAAGGAGAGAGAGCATGTGCAGGGGAACTCCCTTTTATAAAACCATCAGATCTCATGAGACTTATTCGCTGCTATGAGAAAGACCCATCCTCATAATTCAATTACCTCCCAATAGATCTCTCCATGACATGTGAGAATTATGGGGGCTACAATTCGAGATTTAGGTGGGGACACAGGAAAAGCATATCAATTAAGCAAAAAGTTTTTTTACATGTGAAACTAAGAACACAACCAACTACAGAAAATATTTTAAAATTTCACTTCCTCTGAATTAAGAATGTTTATGATTCAGAAGACACCTCTGAGAGGGTAAAAAAACAACCCTCAAAGTGGGATAAAGCATTTGAAAAACATAAGTTGGCTAAGAGACTAGAATCCAGACTATATAAAGGACACGTTCTTTTTTTTTCTTTTTCTTTTTCTTTTTTTATTATACTTTAAGTTTTAGGGTACCTGTGCACAATGTGCAGGTTAGTTACATATGTATACATGTGCCATGCTGGTGCACTGCACCCACTAACTCGTCCTCTAGCATTAGGTATATCTCCCAATGCTATCCCTCCCCCCTCCCCCCACCCCACAACAGTCCCCAGAGTGTGATGTTCCCCTTCTTGTGTCCATGTGTTCTCAATGTTCAGTTCCCATCTATGAGTGAGAATATGCGGTGTTTGGTTTTTTGTTCTTGCGATAGTTTACTGAGAATGATGATTTCCAGTTTCATCCATGTCCCTATAAAGTACGTGAACTCATCATTTTTTATGGCTGCATAGTATTCCATGGTGTATATGTGCCACATTTTCTTAATCCAGTCTATCATTGTTGGACATTTGGGTTGGTTCCAATCTTTGCTATTGTGAATAATGCCACAATAAACATACGTGTGCATGTGTCTTTATAGCAGCATGATTTATAGTCCTTTGGGTATATACCCAGTAATGGGATGGCTGGGTCAAATGGTATTTCTAGTTCTAGATCCCTGAGGAATCACCACACTGACTTCCACAATGGTTGAGCTAGTTTACAGTCCCACCAACAGTGTAAAAGTGTTCCTATTTCTCCACATCCTCTCCAGCACCTGTTGTTTCCTGACTTTTTAATGATTGCCATTCTAACTGGTGTAAGATGGTATCTCATTGTGGTTCTGATTTGCACTTCTCTGATGGCCAGTGATGGTGAGCATTTTTTCATGTGTTTTTTGGCTGCATAAATGTCTTCTTTTGAGAAGTGTCTGTTCATGTCCTTCGCCCACTTTTTGATGCGGTTGTTGGTTTTTTTCTTGTAAATTTGTTTGAGTTCATTGTAGATACTGGATATTAGCCCTTTGTCAGATGAGTAGGTTGCGAAAATTTTCTCCCATTTTGTAGGTTGCCTGTTCACTCCGATGGTGGTTTCTTTTGCTGTGCAGAAGCTCTTTAGTTTAATTAGATACCATTTGTCAATTTTGGCTTTTGTTGCCAATGCTTTTGGTGTTTTAGACATGAAGTCCTTGCCCATGCCTATGTCCTGAATGGTAATGCCTAAGTTTTCTTCTAGGGTTTTTATGGTTTTAGGTCTAACGTTGAAGTCTTTAATCCATCTTGAATTAATTTTTGTATAAGGTGTAAGGAAGGGATCCAGTTTCAGCTTTCTACATATGGCTAGCCAGTTTTCCCAGCACCATTTATTAAATAGGGAATCCTTTCCCCATTGCTTGTTTTTCTCAGGTTTGTCAAAGATCAGATAGTTGTAGATATGCGGCGTTATTTCTGAGGGCTCTGTTCTGTTCCATTGATCTATATCTCTGTTTTGGTACCAGTACCATGCTGTTTTGGTTACTGTAGTCTTGCAGTATAGTTTGAAGTCAGGTAGCGTGATGCCTCCAGCTTTGTTCGTTTGGCTTAGGATTGACTTGGCGATGTGGGCTCTTTTTTGGTTCCATATGAACTTTAAAGAAGTTTTTTCCAATTCTGTGAAGAAAGTCATTGGTAGCTTGATGGGGATGGCATTGAATCTGTAAATTACCTTGGGCAGTATGGCCATTTTCACGATATTGATTCTTCCTACCCATGAGCATGGAATGTTCTTCCATTTGTTTGTATCCTCTTTTATTTCCTCGAGCAGTGGTTTATAGTTCTCCTTGAAGAGGTCCTTCACATCCCTTGTAAGTTGGATTCCTTGGTATTTTATTCTCTTTGAAGCAATTGTGAATTGGAAGTTCACTCATGATTTGGCTCTGTGTTTGTCTGTTATTGGTGTATAAGAATGCTTGTGAGTTTTGCACATTGATTTTGTATCCTGAGACTTTGCTGGAGTTGCTTATCAGCTTAAGGAGATTTTGGGCTGAGACAATGGGGTTTTCTAGATATACAATCATGTCGTCTGCAAACAGGGACAATTTGACTTCCTCTTTTCCTAATTGAATACCCTTTATTTCCTTCTCCTGCCTAATTGCCCTGGCCAGAACGTCCAACACTATGTTGAATAGTTGTGGTGAGAGAGGGCATCCCTGTCTTGTGCCAGTTTCCAAAGGGAATGCTTCCAGTTTTTGCCCATTCAGTATGATATTGGCTGTGGGTTTGTCATAGATAGCTCTTATTATTTTGAGATACGTCCCATCAATACCTAATTTATTGAGAGTTTTTAGCATGAAGGGTGGTTGAATTTTGTCAAAGGCCTTTTCTGCATCTATTGAGATAATCTGTGGTTTTTGTCTTTGGTTCTGTTTATATGCTGGATTACATTTATTGATTTGCGTATATTGAACCAGCCTTGCATCCCAGGGATGAAGCCCACTTGATCATGGTCGATAAGCTTTTTGATGTGCTGCTGGATTCGGTTTGCCAGTATTTTATTGAGGATTTTTACATCAATGTTCATCAAGGATATTGGTCTAAAATTCTCTTTTTTTGTTGTGTCTCTGCCCAGCTTTGGTATCAGGATGATGCTGGCCTCATAAAATGAGTTAGGGAGGATTCCCTCTTTTTCTATTGATTGGAATAGTTTCAGAAGGAATGGTACCAGTTCCTCCTTGTACCTCTGGTAGAATTCAGCTGTGAATCCATCTGGTGCTGGACTCTTTTTGGTTGATAAGCTATTGATTATTGCCACAATTTCAGATCCTGTTATTGGTCTATTCAGAGATTCAACTTCTTCCTGGTTTAGTCTTGGGAGAGTGTATGTGTCCAGGAATTTATCCATTTCTTCTAGATTTTCTAGTTTATTTGCATAGAGTTGTTTGTAGTATTCTCTGATGGTAGTTTGTATTTCTGTGGGATCAGTGGTGATATCCCCTTTATCATTTTTTATTATTTCTATTTGATTCTTCTCTCTTTTTTTCTTTATTAGTCTTCCTAGCGGTCTATCAATTTTGTTGATCCTTTCAAAAAACCAGCTCCTGGATTCATTAATTTTTTGAAGGGTTTTTTGTGTCTCTATTTCCTTCAGTTCTGCTCTGATTTTAGTTATTTCTTGCCTTCTGCTAGCTTTTGAATGTGTTTGCTCTTGCTTTTCTAGTTCGTTTAATTGTGATGTTAGGGTGTCAATTTTGGATCTTTCCTGCTTTCTCTTGTGGGCATTTAGTGCTCTAAATTTCCCTCTACACACTGCTTTGAATGCATCCCAGAGACTCTGGTATGTGGTGTCTTTGTTCTCATTGGTTTCAAAGAACATCTTTATGTCTGCCTTCATTTCGTTATGTACCCAGTAATCATTCAGGAGCACGTTGTTCAGTTTCCATGTAGTTGAGCGGTTTTGAGTGAGATTCTTAATCCTGAGTTCTAGTTGGATTGCACTGTGGTCTGAGAGACAGTTTGTTATAATTTCTGTCTTTTACATTTGCTAAGGAGTGCTTTACTTCCAAGTATGTGGTCAATTTTGGAATAGGTGTGGTGTGGTGCTGAAAAAAATGTATATTCTGTTGATTTGGGGTGGAGAGTTCTGTAGATGTCTATTAGGTCCGCTTGGTGCAGAGCTGAGTTCAATTCCTGGGTATCCTTGTTGACTTTCTGTCTCATTGATCTGTCTAATGTTGACAGTGGGGTGTTAAAGTCTCCCATTATTAATGTGTGGGAGTCTAAGTCTTTTTGTATGTCACTCAGGACTTGCTTTATGAATCTGGGTGCTCCTGTATTGGGTGCATATATATTTAGGATAGTTAGCTCTTCCTATTGGAATGATCCCTTTACCATTATGTAATGGCCTTCTTTGTCTCTTTTGATCTTTGTTGGTTTAAAGTCTGTTTTATCAGAGACTAGGATTGAAACCCCTGCCTTTTTTTGTTTTCCATTTGCTTGGTAGATCTTCCTCCATCCTTTTGTTTTGAGCCCATGTGTGTCTCTGCACGTGAGATGGGTTTCCTGGATACAGCACACTGATGGGTCTTGACTCTTTATCCAATTTGCCAGTCTGTGTCTTTTAATTGGAGGATTTAGTCCATTTACATTTAAAGTTAATATTGTTATGTGTGAATTTGATCCTGTCATTATGATGTTAGCTGGTTATTTTGCTCGTTAGTTGATGCAGTTTCTTACTAGTCTCAATGGTCTTTACATTTTGGCATGATTTTGCAGTGGCTGGTACCGGTTGTTCCTTTCCATGTTTAGCGCTTCCTTCAGGAGCTGTTTTAGGGCAGGCCTGGTGGTGACAAAATCTCTCAGCATTTGCTTGTTTGTAAAGTATTTTATTTCTCCTTCACTTATGAAGCTTAGTTTGGCTGGATATGAAATTCTGGGTTGAAAATTCTTTTCTTTAAGAATGTTGAATATTGGCCCCCACTCTCTTCTGGCTTGTAGAGTTTCTGCCGAGAGATCCGCTGTTAGTCTGATGGGCTTCCCTTTGAGGGTAACCCGACCTTTCTCTCTGGCTGCCCTTAACATTTTTTCCTTCATTTCAACTTTGGTGAATCTGACAATTATGTGTCTTGGAGTTGCTCTTCTCGAGGAGTATCTTTATGGCGTTCTCTGTATTTCCTGAATCTGAATGTTGGCCTGCCTTGCTAGACTGGGAAGTTCTCCTGGATAATATCCTGCAGAGTGTTTTCCAACTTGGTTCCATTCTCCCCATCACTTTCAGGTACACCAGTCAGACTTAGATTTGGTCTTTTCACATAGTCCCATATTTCTTGGAGGCTTTGCTCGTTTCTTTTTATACTTTTTTCTCTAAACTTCTCTTCTCGCTTCATTTCATTCATTTCATCTTCCATCATTGATACCCTTTCTTCCAGTTGATCGCATCCGTTCCTGAGGCTTCTGCATTCTTCATGTAGTTCTCGAGCCTTGGTTTTCAGCTCCATCAGCTCCTTTAAGCACTTCTCTGTATTGGTTATTGTAGTTATACATTCTTCTAAATTTTTTTCAAAGTTTTCAACTTTTTTGCCTTTGGTTTGAATGTCCTCCCCTAGCTCGGAGTAATTTGATCGTCTGAAGCCTTCTTCTCTCAGCTCGTCAAAGTCATTCTCCATCAAGCTTTGTTCCATTGCTGGTGAGGAACTGCGTTCCTTTGGAGGAGGAGAGGCGCTCTGCTTTTTAGAGTTTCCAGTTTTTCTGCTCTGTTTTTTCCCCATCTTTGTGGTTTTATCTACTTTTGGTCTTTGATGATGGTGATGTACAGATGGGTTGTTGGTGTGGATGTCCTTTCTGTTTGTTAGTTTTCCTTCTAACAGACAGGACCCTCAGCTGCAGGTCTGTTGGAGTACCAGGCCTTGTGAGGTGTCAGTTTGCCCCTGCTGGGGGGTGCCTCCCAGTTAAGCTGCTCGGGGGTCAGGGGTCAGGGACCCACTTGAGGAGGCAGTCTGCCCATTCTCAGATCTCCAGCTGCGTGCTGGGAGAACCACTGCTCTCTTCAAAGCTGTCAGACAGGGACATTTAAGTCTGCAGAGGTTCCTGCTGTCTTTTTGTTTGTCTGTGCCCTGCCCCCAGAGGTGGAGCCTACAGAGGCAGGCAGGCCTCCTTGAGCTGTGGTGGGCTCCACCCAGTTCGAGCTTCCTGGCTGCTTTGTTTACTTAATCAAGCCTGGGCAATAACGGGCGCCCCTCCCCCAGCCTGGCTGCCGCCTTGCAGTTTGATCTCAGACTGCTGTGCTAGCAATCAGCGAGACTCGGTGGGTGTAGGACCCTCTGAGCCAGGTGCAGGGTATAATCTCCTGGTGCGCCGTTTTTTAAGCCCATCGGAAAAGCGCAGTATTTGGGTGGGAGTGACCTGATTTTCCAGGTGCCGTCTGTCACCCCTTTCTTTGACTAGGAAAGGGAAGTCCCTGATCCCTTGCGCTTCCCTAGTGAGGCAATGCCTCACCCTGCTTCGGCTAACGCATGGTGCGTGCACCCACTGACCTGCACCCTCTGTCTGGCATTCCCTAGTGAGATGAACCCAGTACCTCAAATGGAAATGCAGAAATCACCTGTCTTCTGCGTCGCTCACGCTGGGAGCTGTAGACCGGAGCTGTTCCTATTCGGCCGTCTTATAAAGGACACTCTCAACTCAATAATAAAAAAGACCACTGAGTGAAAATATGGGCAAAAAATTTGAATAGACATTTCTTCTTCAGAACAGGAAAGATTTCAATAAAATTCTAGATGATGAAAAGTGAACAAGAATGTATCACTGGATGAGAATCCTGGAATAAGCTCCAAGGGGCTGCCATGTAACTAGGAGGGAGAGGATCTGCCTAGCAACCTCTAAAGGCTCCGGAGTCTGAGAGGGCAGACAGGACTGAGAGCAGGAGTGAGAAGCTTGGCTGAGCAGAGAATTCAGTTAAGGTTAAAATGCATGTGCAAAGGCAGCAGGAAATGTCATACCTACCCTCATCTGGAATACCCTGTGGTGGAAGATGGGTTATAGGAAGATTCTTCTCTAAAAAGTTAAATATCTTCCATTAACTTTTCTGATGGTTTCTGAAGTATGTGCCTTTTATGCCCAGGCCACATGCCCTCAGCCCAGCATGGATTTTAGTAGCAGCTCTGATGGGTACTTTCCATGCACAAATTCTCCCACCTCTCAGTCTCCCTGTGCTTTGTTCAGCCTTAAAGCTTCTCCTGAGGCAAGGGGACATCAGTCATTCCCGTTTAGGAGAGCCAAGAATCATTGCTGGAGGCAAACCTCAGAGGGAGATACATATCCATAAAGAAATGTCCCAGACTCTCATCCTTCAGAGGGACAATGCTAAGGCTCATTTTGTATGGTTCTTTAGAGGCTCCCAGGAGAGACTGAACCTCACTCTCCCATGTAGTGACCAGCTGAAAAACACATCCCTTCTCAGCAATTTCCCTTTATCTGCTCATCCTCTTTATTTCTGGACTTGTGGGATTCACTTCTGCACACAAGTCTTCGTTTCAGACTCTCTTTTGTGGAAAAGCATATAGATCTCTCTCTCCCTCCCCCAACTCTATGTGTGTGACTGTGTATGTCTATGAGCTACACACACACACACAAATCTGTCCTAGAAAGTACAAGAGACAACTTTCACTACTCAGTAAACCAAATTAACTTTCACACATGTGATTGTGATATGATGTACAGACTTTGGGGACCCTGGTGGTAGAGCAGGGTAAGGAAGTTGACTCTGTCTTCAAGCACTGATATGAAGATTCACCCAGGTTCCTTCCAGGGAACTGGCCCCTGGCCCCTCCAGGCCTTCCCATTACCACAGCAGGTGTCAGTAATGCAGCATTCTTTTTGTTTTTTTTGTTTGTTTGTGTGTGTCAAGTTAAATATGAGACCAATGGTAGTGATAAGCCTGATATCAGTCATTCTTCAGGACTCCCTTCTCTTGCTTTGGGCCTCACCAGCATTCTGGAGCTTCTTCATGTTCCGGATGAATAAGGGAGAGTTATCTGGCATTCAGTCTGTTGAGATCATTGCTAAAGATATGCTCAAGGCTGAACATCATTTAGTCCAGGAGTTTTGCCACAGGACAATAGCTCATGAGACCTCATTACACAGAAGGCAGATGGCTCAGTTGTGGCCACTCAGCTCCAAGGACCTTTGCCTTAAATCCCCAAACCCTGGCACTGAGGGTGCTGCCCTGTCTCAAGGTGAGTACCTTTATATTCTCAGTGCACTGCATTTGAGTGGTTCTGATTTCTACCACTTAAAGAAACCCACTTCCCTACTTCCCCACTGGCCGGCTCCCACTTTTTCCTAATCCACCTTTACAGGGATATGGCTTTTCCCTCCTCCAACATGAGACAAACACCCTGGCTCCCTTTTTCCACTACTTTATCTCTTTCAAAATGGACTTACTAGTTTGTTAAGATGCTCTAGATAAAGCAATGAAGACCCTAACTTAACATCCTAGAAGAGTATATTCTGGGGATAACATTCTCCAGTCTTTAGAAAATTAATAGCCAGTATCCCAAACTAAGCAGCATGCCACTTCTAAGTGGCAGAATGCAAATAATACTGTGGAGTATTTAGGTCCACATCTGGTTCTGTTTAATTCTCAGTCACTCATTATCTTACACTTGTCTTGGCTTCTGGATCAGAGAAAAATGGCATGAAGACATAATGTGCAAATTATGTGAGCATATTTGCAAATGGTGCTCCTAGATACTTGAGAATTGAGAGACTCCTGGGCTGGGACCAGCTCAGTCGTGGAGACCCTAACCCAGCGGCGCTAGAGGAATTAAAGACACACACACAGAGAGAAATATAGAGTGCAGAGTGGGAATCAGGGGGCTGACACCCTTCAGAGCTGAGAGCCACCAGCAGAGTTCTTCCCACCTATTTATTGACAGCAAGCCAGTGATAAGCATTGTTTTTATAGATTATCGATTAACATAAACAGGAAGCAAAATATGGGCTCTGGCTAGTTATCTACAGCAGGAACATGTCCTTAAGGCACAGATCACTCATGCTATTGTTTGTGGTTCAGGAACACCTTAAGCGGTTTTCCACCCTGGGTGGGCCAGGTGTTCCTTGCCCTCATTCCAGTAAACCAACAACCTTCAGCGTGGGCATCATAGCCATCATGAGCATGTCACAGTGCTGCAGAGATTTTGTTTATGGCAAGTTTGGGGGCCTGTCTATGGCCAGATTTGGGGGCCTGTTCCCAACACTCCTGGTGAAATAATCCAAGGAAAATTCTCTCATCCATATGACGTTAAGTTGTTTTGGCAAGAGAAAATGGCTCATGTTGAGTAGAGTATATGCTAAGGAAAGCCATGTGAGCCTGGCCCATGCCCTCAGCTCACATAGGAAGCCTAGGACAAGGAAAGGCTAACCACAGCACAACATGGGCATATGGATAATGCTAGGCTGGCCTCTCCAGTCAAGCCTCAGCAGCAAATGTTAGGGTAAACCTAAAGTTTTGCAGATGCTGGAGCGGATGTGGAGAAATAGGAATGCTTTTACACTGTTGGTGGGAGTGTAAATTAGTTCAACCATTGTGGAAGACAGTGTGGTGATTCCTCAAGGATCTAGAACTAGAATTACCATTTGACCCAGCCATCCCATTACTGGGTATATACCCAAAGGATTATAAATCATGCTACTATAAAGACACATGCACACGTATGTTTATTGTGGCGCTATTCACATAGTGAAACACCATCTGTAAATAAATAAATAGATAAGAGATATCTTCTTTTGTCTCAAATAAATGTAGTAAAAGTAAGCTTTTTGTTTTGAAAATGTTTAAAATCTCCCATCTATGAAAATATAATTTTTAATAGATGGAATCGAGACGTCTGGTAGCTACCTAGAAAATGATAATGCTGTATCCATACTCAGATTGTATTTTTAGAGGTCTGGGGTAAGGTCTGATAGTCTACATTTCCAATAGGCTCAAAGTAGATGCCAATGCTTCTAGTGCAAGGACCACACTTTCAGTAGCCAAGGACTAGAAGCTCCAGTTCCCTAGCAGGAGGGAAATCCCTGACTTTCATGAACAAATAATGTTTCTTTTCGCTGAGTGTGGTTGAAGAGAGGGAACTGTTCATTCAGTTTTTACAATGAGTATTTGAGCATACCTGTGAGATTAAGCATAGGTAGACTGAGCAACAGTAGTTTTTCCTCTAGGAATCCTGGATTTGGCATCCAGTGATGTAATTTCAAATCCTAGCATCACCACTTATAATCCATTGTAGCCTTTGGCAAATTACTAAAACTCTTCAAGCCTCTCATAGAGTAGTACGAAGATGAAATCAGGTAATATAAATGCATTTGGCCCAGCTCCTGACTTATAGATAGCATTTATTGTTGCTTAAATAAGAACTTCTTTGGCAATTCTTGCTAACTCAATTCATCAAGTAACCATAAAGAGCATATAAGTCCAGATCTGAGTTTAAGCCCTTACTCTACCACTTAGCTACACTAAGTAGCTGTACAATCATTAGACACTTGGGAGCCTGGTATTTCTCATATTTCTAATAAGGGGATTGGGTTGGATGATGTCTAACAATCCTCACAGCCCTAAGGGTCCTCATATCCCTAATTGTCCATGTCATTCTTGAGCACCTTTTCTCTGTGAGGCAAAGGTAGGCAAACCTTAAAAAGAAACTGTCTAGAGTCAGAATGAGCTGAATTGACACAGCAAACTGGAAGTTGGGGAAGAAAGAAAAAAAGAGAAAAACAAGAATCTGGAACATTCCTGCTCAGTTTTGGACCTGAAGATCTATTCTTTTTCCTGATCAAACTATCTTGCTTAGTATTCTCTGCCAGGGACATATCTCAGTCATCACTTAGGACTCCTTGGACTGACAGGTGGAGAAACCAAGCACACAAGGCATTATATCTGAAGGACGAGCTCAGCCATAATCCAAGTAGACTTTTGAGGGCCCCATCAGTCAAGCTACAGTCACCAGACAGGGAACAGATACGAAGTCTCCAGGAAGAGGGCATTGGCAAGAGTAAGGCAGTGTAGCTGGAGTTCAGGCTGAGAGGAGGGAACACCACAGCTCAGGGGCATCAAAATGGATCACTGGAATGTATTGTCTTTGGAGATTTGAGAGCAACCCAGAGACTCATTAAACTATATTAGGATTCCTGGATTGGGAAGATAAATGTTACTAAATCCTTTCAGATATGTATATTTGATATTATTTCATAATTCTTTAATCTTATAAAGTTTGGGAACTAAGGCAGAACAGATCTTGGGTCAGACCATATGCACAAGATATCAGCGGAAGAACTGGGGAGGACAAAGGGAGGAGAAGCAACACCACTGTGCTGGGAAATAGAAGTCAAATGACATACCTTTTAGACTATGTAAGGCCCTAGACTTTCAGCCAGTTCCAGAAGAGTAGGAAGCTCTACCAAGAGATCTTGAACCTTCTGTTAATCTAGAGGATGCGGATAGCTATTTACTTGGGGGAAAAAAAAACAAAAAACAAAAACACAGACCATCACTCTATTTATATGCTGATCTGTGGGGCAGTTTATACTATACACATAATGGAATGCTGCAAAACAGATTTTTTTATTTTTATTTTTTTATTTTTTTTTTGAGATGGAGTCTCGCTCTGTCCCCAGGCTGGAGTGCAGTGGCACAATCTCGGCTCACTGCAACCTCCGCCTCCTAGGTTCAAGCGATTCTCCTGCCTCAGCCTCCTGAGTAGCTGGGACTACAGGCACGCACCACCATGCCCAGCTAATTTTTGTATTTTTAGTAGAGACAGGGTTTCACCATGTTGGCCAGGAAGGTCTCAATCTCCTGACCTCGTGATCCACCCACCTTGGCCTCTCAAAGTGCTAAGATTACAGGCGTGAGCCACCGTGCCCAGCACAGAACAAATTTTTAAAATGATGATACAGACATACATTTATACATTTACTTCATGGAAAGATCTCTACAACATACTATTGAGAGGGAAAAAGCAAGTTATAAAGCAGCATATATAAAGCAGCATGATCCCATTTATGTACAATGAGTCACAAGATCAGTAATAAGTATGTCCTCTTCATTTGGCTGGGTATAACATAAATTCAAATTTCCTTTACTGTTCAAATTATAACGCTAGTTCTATTCTACTCAGCTCAGCAGAAAATAGTTTTCCTTAATGACGTTCTTTCATGTCAATTTTGTTTCACATCTCTTTTCATGAAACCAACTTTTAGTTTCTTTCTTTTTTTTTTTTCTTGAGACAGGTCTCCCTCTGTCTCAAGGCTGGACTACAGTGGCATGACAATAGTTCACTGCAACCTTGATCTCTTGGGCTCAAGGGATCCTTCCATCTCAGCCTCCCAAGTAGATGGGACTACAGGTGCATGCCACCATGTCCAGCTTATTTTTTCTTTTTAGTAGAGACAAGGTCTTGCTGTGTTGCCCAGGCTGGTCTTGAACTCCTTGAGCTCAAGTGATCCTCCCAACTGGGCCTCTCAAAGTGCTGAGATTACAGGTGTAAACCACCTCACCCAGCCTAATCTTTATTATTTTCTTCCTTCTACTAGCTTTGGGTTTAGTTTGCTGGAATGTACAAAGTTAGATTATTCCTTATATAACAGAATTCTTTTTTTCTTTTTTTTGAGATGGAGTCTCGCTCCAAATGACAGAACTCTTAAATGAGTTGTCTAAGTGAGCACACTTTGTCATTGCTAGGAGAACTTGAGGGTTCAAATGTACCACTACTTTCCAAAGTAGCCCTTGACTTCCCAAATTATAGCTCTTTAGGGGCGGATTCTTCCATTGTTCACATACACAACACTCACTAGATCACAAGATTTCCCTCATAAAAACCGAAATAGTGCAGAGGTTGATATCTACTGCCCATAGATTCTAAATCTTCCTAACCCTAACTTCAGTGAAGAAGCCAGACCACTGCCCACTCTGTTTTGATGGTCATAGGCACTGTTGTCTGAAAGACCAGTTGACTGCCACACTAAATAAGTGAATATCAAAGAAGGATATGAAACTCATCCCTCTTGGAGGCACCAGTGGAGCTTACTGTAATTTTTCCTCCTGTGCTATAAATTTCAGATTCTGCACATCACACATGTACGAAGAAATATGACCGGAAGGATTTTTCACTAAAATGCTAACAGTCATGGAATAATTTGGGGGATTTATTTTATTTTTTTAAATTTGTTATATTGTTGAATTTTTAGAACAATGAAGATATGTAATTTTTATAATTAGAAGAGTAATAAACAGCTAGCACTTATTAATCACTTGCTATCCACAAACATTTTACACCTGATCCTTCACAGGACCTCTATAAGGTACATACTGTTGCTATCCTCATTTACCAATAAAGAAACTGAGACAGAAACAGATCAAGTAATTTGCCTGAGTCACACAGCTGAGAAGTGGCAGAGCCAGGGTACAAACCTAGATAGTCTGTTTTCATTTTTTTTTTCCTTTTAGAGACAGAGCCTTACTCTATCACCCAGGCTGGAGTGTGGTGGTGCAATCACAGCTCACTGCAGCCTCATCCTCCTGGGCTCAAGTGATCTTCCCATCTCAGCCTCCTGAATAGCTGGAACTACAGGTGTGCACCAGCATGCCCAGCTAATTTTTTAATTTTTTGTAGAGATAGGGTCTCACTATGTTGCCCAGACTGGTCTCAAATCCCTGGGTTCAAGTGATCCTCCTGTCTCAGCCTCCCAAAGTGCTGGGATTACAGGCATGAGCCACCATGCTTAGCCTGTTTTACCTACTATGTTTATTGTATAAAGATTTTTTACTTGAGGTAAGGAGAAGTAAACTAGTAAGAATCCAAAGATGAATATATAAAGTATATGCTCAATACATTAATGTTACATTTTGAGGGGGTTACATTCTGGTTGTGCCAAAGGGTATATTTCAGGATCTTGCCACATTACCATCACTGATAAAAGTCTACCAAGTATTTAAGTGCTACTGTAGCCCATTCTCAATCATGATCAAATGCATGAAGAAATGTTCTTTGCTATTCAAATTTATTTTGCTTGGGGCAAACCTAAAAATGATCACTAAGCAGACACTGCTAAATAACAGATCTACAAATAACATTCTGGCACAAAGCAAGTTGCAGCTTTGTTGAGAAGCACCAGCTAGCAAGGCTAGTTTTAGAAATGATTAAGAAAACAGGTATGATTATATAGTCGGTCATATTTTAAAGCAAATGTAGATGAGCAGGAAGGTGAGGTGAACAAGGGGCTGGCACAGTCCAGTGACTGAGTGAGTAACACTAAGAGGTGGATCACTAACAGATGGTAATGGGCTTAGATGGCCAGATGTACTTAACAGTGTAGTTAGGCACAGACAGTAAGCACTTCTGAGCCAGAGAAGTTGACTTCTGTACCTTCAAGCTCCAAACCTTCTGCTCATTGTACACTAACATACTGTGTTTCATAGGCTAGCAATGCCAACTGTTGTAGAAAAATATTGATGAAAGTAATTGAAAATTCTAACAAAACCTAATTCCATGTTATAGCTAAATTAATACATTAGTATAGTCTCCTCCTTGGTGTAATAATTTCTCAAGAATATATTCCATTAAAGCCCTAGTATACTTATGCCACCTCCTCTATGTCACTAATTCTCCACTAGGTCTCTTTCTGCTTCCAGAAAAACTGTTATGCACAGAAAACTTGGATGTACACAATCCAATCTGAGTTATATTAACATAATGGCATTAAACAAACTCACATCCATTAGGATGGCTACTATCAGGAAAAGAAAAAAAACAAAAAACAAAGATAAAAAGTGTTGGCAAGGATGTGGTGAAATCAGAAGTCTGTGCCCGATTGGTGGGATTGTAAAATGGTACAACTGCTGTGGAAAACAGTGTGGCGGTTCCTCAAAAAATTAAAAATAGAACTACCATATGATCCAAGGGTCTTGAAAAGATATTTGTACACCCATGGTCATAAGCAGCACAATTCAAAATAGACAAGCGGTGGAAGCAAACCAAATGTCTCTCAACAGATGAATGCATAAATACAATGTGGCGTATACATACAATGCAATATTATTTAGCCTTAAAGAGGATGGAAATCCTGTCACATGCTGTAACATGGATGAACCTGAAGGATATTATTTTAAGTGAGACAAGCCAGTCACAAGAACATAAACACGGTATGATTCTACTTACATGAGCTATCTGCATTATTCAAATTCATTGAGACAGAAAGTAGAATGGTGGTTACCAGGGGCTGGACAGACGGGGAAGAGGTAGGTTGTTGTTTAAGGAGTATATGGTTGCAGATTTGCAAGACAAAAAAGTTTTTGAAATCTGATTCACAATAGTATGAGTATACTTAACACCACAGAACTTTATTCTGAAAAATGGTTAAGATGGTAAATGTTATGTTTTTTACCATAATATGTTTTAAAAACTTCACAAAAAATCAAAATGTTAAACATAAAAGAAAATGGATTAATTAGACTTGATAAAAGTTAAAAATACATTGGTCCATACCAAGATGTCCAAATAGGAAGAGCTCTGGTCTGCAGCTCCCAGCGTGATCGATGCAGAAGATGGGTGATTTCTGTATTTCCAACTGAGGTACCTGGTTCATCTCATTGGGACTGGTTGGACAGTGGGTGCAGCCCAGAGAGGGTGAGCCGAAGCAGGGTAGGGCATTGCCTCACCCGGGAAGTGCAAGAGGTCAGGGGATTTCCATTTCCTGGCCAAGGGAAACTGTGATAAGGTATACCTGGAAAAACAGGATACGCCAACCCAAATACTGCACTTTTCCCATGGTCTTAGCAACTGGCAGACCAGGAGATTCTCTCCCATGCCTGGCTCAGCAAGTCCCACGCCTATGGAGCCTTGCTCACTGCTAGCACAGCAGCCTGAGATCAACCTGTGAGGCTGCAGCCTGGCGGGGGAGGGGTGTCCACCATTGCTGAGGCTTCAGTAGGTAAACAAAGCTGCTGTGAAGCTCGAACTGGGCAGAGCCCACCGCAGCTCAGCAAGGCCTACTGCCTCTCTAGACTCCACCTCTGTGGGTAGGGCATAGCTGAACAAAAGGCAGCAGAAACTTCTGCAGACTTAAATGTCCCTGTCTGACAGCTCTGAAGAGAGCAGTTGTTCTCCCAGCATGGTGTTTGAGCTCCGAGAATGGATAGACTGCCTCGTCAAGTGGGTTCCTGACCCTCGTGTAGCCTGACTGGGAGATGCCTCCCAGTAGTGGCTGGCAGATGCCTCATACAGGCGGGTGCCCCTCTGGGATGAAGCTTCCAGAGGAAGGATTGGGCAGCAATATCTGCTGTTCTGCAGCCTCTGCTGGTTTTACCCAGGCAAACGGTCTGGAGTGGAACTCCAGCAAACTCCAACAGAACTGCAGCTGAGGGACCTGACTGTTAGAAGGAAAACTAAAAACAGAAAGAAATAACATCAACATCAACAAAAAGGACATCCACACCAAAACCCCATCTATGGGTCACCAACATCAAAGACCAAAGGTAAATAAAACCACAAAGATGGGGAGAAACCAGAGCAGAAAAGCTGAAAATTCTAAAAACCAGAGTGCCTCTTCTCCTTCAAAGGATCACACCTCCTCACCAGCAACAGAACATAGCTGGATGGAGAATGACTTTGATGAGTTGACAGAAGTAGGCTTCAGAAGGTCAGTAATAACAAACTCCTCTGAGCTAAAGGAGCATGTTCTAACCCATTGCAAGGAAGCTAAAAACCTTGAAAAAAGGTTAGACGAATGGCTAACTAGAATAAGCAGTGTAGAGAAGATCTTAAATGATCTGATGGAGCTGAAAACCATGGCATGAGAACTTTGTGACGCATGCACAAGCTTCAATAGCAGATTCTATCAATTGGAAGAAAGGGCATCAGTGATTGAAGATGAAATTAATGAAATAAAGTGAGAAGACAAGATTAGAGAAAAAAGAGTGAAAAGAAACAAACAAAGCCTCCAAAAAATATGGGACTATGTGAAAAGACCAATTCTACATTTGATTGGTGTACCTGAAAGAGATGGGGAGAATGGAACCAAGTTGGAAAACACTCTTCAGGATATTATTCAGGAGAACTTCCCCAACCTAGCAAGGCAGGCCAACATTCAAATTCAGGAAAAACAGAGAACACCACTAAGATACTCCTTGAGAAGAGCAACTCAAAGACACATAATTGTCAGACTCACCAAGGTTGAAATAAAGGAAAAAATATTAAGGGCAGGCAGAGAAAGGTCAGGATACCCACAAAGGGAAGCCCATCAGACCTAACACTGGATCTCTCAGCAGAAACCCTACAAGCCAGAAGAGAGTGGGGTCCAATATTTGACATTCTTAAATAGAAGTATTTTCAACCCAGAACTTCATATCCAGCCAAAATAAGCTTCATAAGTGAAGGAGAAATAAAATCTTTTACAGAAAAGCAAATGCTGAGAGATTTGTCACCATGAGGCCTACCTTACCAGAGCTCCTGAAGGGAGCACTAAACATGGAAAGGAAAAACCAGTACCAGCCACTGCAAAAACAAGCCAAATTGTAAAGACCGTCAATGTTAGGAAGAAACTGCATCAATTAACAGGCAAAATAACCAGCTAACATCATAATGACAGGATCAACTTTACACATAACAATATTAACCTTAAGTGTAAATGGGCTAAATGCCCCAATTAAAAGACACAGACTGGCAAATTGGATAAAGAGTCAAGACCCATCAGTGTGCTGTATTCAGGAAACCCATCTCACGTGCAGAGACACACATAGGCTCAAAATAAAGGGATGGAGGAAGATCTACCAAGCAAATGGAAAGAAGAAAAAAAAAAGCAGGGGTTGCAATCCTAGCTTTTGGTAAAACAGACTTTAAACTAACAAAGATCAAACGAGACAAAGAAGGCCATTACATAATGGTAAAGGGATCAATTCAATAGGAAGAGCTAACTATCCTAAATATATATGCACCCAATACGGGAGCACCCAGATTCATAAAGCAAGTCCTTAGAGATCTACAAAGAGACTTAGACTCCCACACAATGATAATGGGTGACTTTAACAACCCACTCTCAATATTAGACAGATCAATGAGGCAGAAGGTTAACAAGGATATCCAGGACTTGAACTCAGCTCTGCACCAAGCGGACCTAATAGACATCTGCAAAACTCTCCACCCCAAATCAACAGAATATACATTATTCTCAGCACCACATCTCACTTATTCTAAAATTGACCACATAATTGAAGTAAAACACTCCTCAGCAAATGTAAGAACAGAAATCACAACAAACTGTCTCTCAGACCACAGTGCAATCAAATTAGAACTCAGTATTAAGAAACTCACTCAAAACCTGCACAACTACATGGAAACTGTACAACCTGCTCCTGACAAAGACACAATGTACCCGAATCTCTGGGACACATTTAAAGCAGTGTGTAGAGGGAAATTTATAGTACTAAATGCCCACAAGAGAAAACAGGAAAGATATAAAATCGACACCTTAACATCACAATTAAAAGAACTAGAGAAGCAAGAGCGAACAAATTCAAAAGCTAGCAGAAGGCAAGAAATAACTATGATCAGAACAGAACTGAAGGGGATAGAGACACGAAAAACCCTTCAAAAAATCAATGAATCCAGGAGCTGGTTTTTTGAAAATATCAACAAAATTGATAGACCGCTAGCAAGACAAATAAAGAAGAAAAGAGAGAAGAATCAAATAGATGCAATAAAAAACAATAAAGGGGATATCACCACCTATCCCACAGAAATACAAACTACCATCAGACAGTACTATAAACACCTCTACGCAAATAAACTAGAAAATCTAGAAGAAATGGATAAATTCCTGGACACATACACCTTCCCAAGACTAAACTAGGAAGAAGTTGAATCTCTGAATACACCAATAACAGGCTCTGAAATTGAGGCAATAATTAATACCCTACCAACCAAAAAAATCCAGGAAGAGATGGATTCGCAGCCAAATTCTACCAGAGGTACAAAGAGGAGCTGGTACCATTCCTTCTGAAACTATCCAATCAATAGGAAAAGAGGGAATCCTCCCTAACTCATTTTTTGAAGCCAGCATCATCCTGATACCAAAGCCTGGCAGAGACACAACAAAAAAAGAGAATTTTAGACCAATACCCCTGATGAACATCGATGTAAAAATCTTCAATAAAATACTGGCAAACTGAATCCAGCAGCACATCAAAAAGCTTATCCACCATGATCAAGTCAGCTTCATCCCTGAGATGCAAACCTGGTTCAACATACACAAATCAATAAACGTAATCCATGACATAAACAGAACCAACAACAAAAACCACATGATTATCTCAATAGATGCAGAAAAGGCCTTCGATAAAATTCAACAGCCCTTCATGCTAAAAACTCTCAATATACTAGGTATTGATGGAAAGTATCTCAAAATAGTAAGAGCTATTTATGACAGACCCACAGCCAATATCATACTGAATGGGTGAAACCTGGAAGCATTCCCTTTCAAAACCAGCACAGGACAAGGATGCCTTCTCCCACCACTCCCATTCAACATAGTATTGGAAGTTCTGGCCAGGGCAATCAGACAAGAGGAAGAAATAAAGGGTATTCAATTAGGAAAAGAGGAAGTCAAATTGTCCCTGTTTGCAGATGACATGATTTTATATTTAGAAAACCCCATTTTCTTGGCCCAAAATCTCCTTAAGCTGATAAGCAACTTCAGCAAAGTCTCAGGATGCAAAATCAATGTGCAAAAATCATAAGCATTCCTTTACACCAAAACAGACAAACAGAGAGCCAAATCATGAGTGAATTCCCATTCACAATTGCTACAAAGAGAATAAAATACCTAGAAATCCAACTTACAAGTGATGTGAAGGACCTCTTAAAGAACTACAAATCACTGCTCAACGAAATAAAAGAGGACACAAACAAATGGAAGAACATTCCATGCTCATGGATAAGAAGAATCAATATTGTGAAAATGGCCATACTGCCCAAGGTAATTTATAGATTCAATGCCATCCCCATCAAGCTACCAATGACTTTCTTCACAGAATTGGAAAAAACTACTTTAAAGTTCATTTGGAACCAAAAAAAGAGCCCACATAGCCAACACAATCCTAAGTAAAAAGAACAAAGCTGGGGGCATCACACTACCTGACTTCAAACTATACTACAAGGCTACAGTAACCAAAACAGCATGGTACTGGTACCAAAACAGATACACAGACCAATGGAACAGAACAGAGGCCTCAGAAATAACACCACACATCTACAACCATCTGATCTTTGACAAACCTGACAAAAACAAGAAATGGGGAAAGGATTCCCTATTTAATAAATGGCTCTGGGAAAACTGGCTAGCCATATATAGAAAGCCAAAACTGGATCCCTTCCTTACACCTTATACAAAAATTAATTCAAGAGGATTAAAGACTTAAATATTAGGCCTAAAACCACAAAAAACCCTGGAAGAAAACCTAGGCAATACCATTCAGGACATAGGCATGGGCAAGGACTTCATGACTAAAACATCAAAAGCAATGGCAACGAAAGCCAAAATAGACAAATGAGATCTGATTAAACTAAAGAACTTCTGCATGGCAAAAGAAACTACCATCAGAGTGAACAGGCAACATACAGAATGGGAAAAAATTTTTGCAATCTACCCATTTTACAAAGGGCTAATATCCAGAATCTGCAAAGAACTTAAATTTACAAGAAAAAAACAAACAACCCCATCAAAAAGTGGGCAAAGGATGTGAACAGACACTTCTCAAAAGAAGACATTTATGCAGCCAACAGACACATGAAAAAATGCTCATCATCACTGGTCATCAGAGAAATGCAAATTAAAACCACAGTGAGATACCATTTTACGCCAGTTAGAATGCTGATCATTCAAAAGTCAGGAAACAACAGATCCTGTAGACGATGTGGAGAAATAGGAATGCTTTTACACTGTTGGTGGGAGTGTAAATTAGTTCAACCATTGTGGAAGACAGTGTGGTGATTCCTCAATGATCTAGAACTGGAATTACCATTTGACCCAGCAATCCCATCACTGGGTATATACCCAAAGGATTATAAATCATGCTACTATAAAGACACATGTACACATATGTTTATTGTGGCATTATTCACAATAGCAAAGACTTGGAACCAACCCATATGTCCATCAATGATAGACTGGATTAAGCAAATGTGGCACATATACACTGTGGAATACTATGCAGCCATAAAAAAGGATGACTTCATGTCCTTTGCATGGACATGGATGGAGCTGGAAACCATCATTCTCAGCAAAGTATCACAAGAACAGAAAACCAAACACTGCATGTTCTCACTCATAGGTGGGAATTGAACAATGAGAATGCTTGGACAAAGGGCGAGGAACATCACACACTGGGGCCTGTTGGGGGGTGGGGGGCAGGAGGAGGGATAGCATTAGGAGGAATACCTAATTTAAATGACGAGTTAATGGGTGCGGCAAACCAACATGGCACATATATACCTATGTAACAAAACTGCACGTTGTGCACATGTACCCTAGAACTGAAAGTATAATTTAAAAAATAATAAAAATGATACTACAGATTCTAAGTACAATATGAAGAAAAATAAGAGTAATTTAATTAAAAAACAATATGACTTTAAGTGTAATATTAAAAAGCTGATTTCTAACAACAAAAAAAATTTTTAATATCCATTCATCAAGATTTTGAAAACAAAATGAAAAGGCTAATCACATAGTGGGAGAAAATATTCACAACACATACACATGTGGAGGTTGTGGTACTCTCTCCAGATTTCCCTTCCACAACTGCCAGAAGTTTTGGCTCAGAGAAGCTGAACAGCTGAGCCTGCCTCTATACATTGCTCTTGGCCAGAGGGAGCTGCCAGGGGATGAATGCCTCAGTCCTGAAGGTGTTTGAAAATGTAAATGTGAAGATCGCTGTTATCAATGGAATCTGTAGCTCTGTGTGAAATGTCTTAGGTGTGGGCAAGGAGAGTTTTACAGCAGAGTGTTGGAGAAATTCAATAGTTAATGTTTCGGTAAAGGAGGGAGACGATGAGAAGGTAATGGGGAAGAGAAAAAGAAAAGATAAGGGAATCCAGGGAGATGGGAGAGAAGCTAGAATTGTGTGGAAACATGGAAGTCACCAGAAGAGGATGCATGAGAAAGGAAGCAAATTGTCAAATGCTGCAGAGATATTAGGCAAGAGAAAGACTGAACAATCAATATTCATCACATTTAGAAATAAGGAAGTCACTGGGGACCTGACGTGACAGAAATTTGGTTACATATTGGGGCAGAAGCCACATTGTAATGTGCTCATGAGGAGGTAAGGTATTAGTAAGTGAAACAATGGAAAAATGTTGAATGTGAAGGGGTAGAGAGAACTACATGAATATCTGGAACTGCTTCCTGGACTAGATAGCAAAATGCCTGAAATTTTAATTTAATTATTTTTGAATAAGTAATATTAATACATTCATTTGGTTCAAAGGTCTAAAAGATTATACACTGAGAAGTCTTAACACTCACATATGTCCATCCAGTTCCTCATCCTCCATATCCCTCATGTATCCACTGTATGTAACCACTATTTACTAGTTTTACGGAATCCTCTCACTACTTCTTTAGGCAGCTATGAGCAAATACTAGTATAAATACATATTCCTCCCCTCTTTCTTACACAAAGGCAGCATAATAGCTTTGCTGTTTTCCCCTTAACAGTAAATTTTGTATATCTGTCAAGATTAGTCCTGAGAGAACAATACTTAGGTTGTCTCTAACAACTAGCTACTATAAACAATGCAGCATTGAATAATCTTGTACAGATGAAAATTCATACATGCTCAATTCATACATTCCCTGGCAGCTCCCTCTGGCCAAGAGCAATATACAGAGGCAGGCTCAGCTGTCGAGCTTCTCTCATGTGGTGAATTTTCAGGCTGCAAGTCCAGAAGTGTGGACTTTTATCAAAAGATAATTCATTTTAAATTTTGATGGGCATTGCCAAATTACTATCTGTAGGGTTTGCATAATTTTGTTCTCCCAGGAGGAGTGTGGTGGTGCTTATTTCTCTTAGCTTCAGCAACAGAGAATGCTATCACACCTACAAATTTTTTGTCATCTGATGAGTGACATTGGTATTTTAAAATACTTTTATTTTTCCTTTATATTATCATAACAAAGGTTGAAAATGTTTTTATCTGTTTAAAGTTAATGCGTTTCTTTTGTAGTGAACCTCGTTGCACAGAGTTTTACTGTCTTTGTCTATTTTCCTTTTGGGTTTCTGGCTATTCTGTTTTCAGTTTCCAGAGGCCCTTTATCTATTAGTGGTATTGGGTTATTTGCTTGTGATATAAGTTACAAATATTTTTATTCTAGTTATTTTGCTTATTGATTTTACTCATGTTGGTTTTTTGTTTTGTTATTTTATGTTTTTGCCATGTAGAAGTTATTTTTATTTTACTTTAGTTTACTGTATCACTATTTCTTTTATATGGCTTCTGCATATTGAATTCTGATTGGAAAGACCTTTCATACTCTAAAGATATAAAGGAATTTTTGATATATTCTTCTAGCAGTGTTATATTTTCCCTTCTTAATGGAAATCTTTAATCTACTACATCCTTATACAAGTGGGTATGATGATTTTTATGACAGGAAGTAGCAGGAACACAACTTTATTATCTTCTACTTTCACAGTAAAGTAAGAGTCAGTTTCATGTGCTGAGACTTGATAAGGAGCCGAGGTGGGAAGAGGGGAAGTTGAAGGTGAAGAGTAAAGCTTGATTCAGTCACTATAAAGAAAAGAACCATCCAACTTGAAAGACTTCCTGGTAAGAGTGTTGGAAAGTACTGGAGGCTCAGTTGAGCCCGGTGATAATACATTTATAATAATAGCAATAGGTCTGGTTATGTGATTTTTCTCTAGTTATGCTCAGAAGAAGCCCATTGCAAGCATGGCAAATGCAGATAGGATTCAAGTTTTTAATCCAGAAAGTCACATATCCAGATTGCAGGCATTTCCCAAAAAATGAGCCAAAAGGACAACAAGGAAAAGGAATATAGATTGCTTTCAAGAGAATGACAGAAATTATTGGTTCAAAATTGGATTGAGAGTGAGTAGAGCAAGACATCTGAATAGAAGCCTCCACTGATCATCACCCCCAGGCAAGAACACCAAATTTAACAACTATGTACACAAAAAAGCATAAGAACCAAAATCAGGTGAGCAATCACAGTATCTGTTTATAACTTCATATCACTGAAAGAGGAACTGAATAGGGTAGAAAAGACAATATTGAATTGCTGACACCACCCCTGCCCCATCTCCTGGCAGTGACCACGTGTCACAGAGAGAGAATCTGTGCACTTGGGTGAGGGAGAGTGCAGGGATTGCGGGAAATCAGTACTGCAAACAGTGGCAGAACTCAGCCAATGCCCACAGAGGGAGCATTTAGACTAGCCCTATCCAGAAGGGAATTGCCTATTCTAGTGGTCAGAACTTGAGTTTCTCCTCAAGCCTCACCATCACAGGCTAAAGTGTTGTGGGGTTCTAAGTAAACTTGAAAGGCAGTCTAGCCCACAAGCTCTGCAACTCCTAAGCAAGTCTTAGTGCTGTACTAGGCTTGGAGCCAGTGGACTTGGAGAGCTCGTGATCTAGTGAGACACAAGCTAGGGTGGCTGAGGGAGTGCTTGTCCCACCCCTCCACCAGCTCCAGGGAGTGCAGCTCACAACAGCAAAATTGACACCTACCTTATGCTTCATTTAAGGAGAGGGAAGAGTAAAGAGGACTTTGTCTTGCAACTTGGATACCAACAGAACCACAGTAGGATAGGGTGCTGGGCAGAGTTATGAGATCCATGTTCCAGGCCCTCGCTCTCAGATGACATTTCTAGACACACTCTGGGCCAGGAGGAAACCTGCTGCCTTAAAGGGAGGGACCTAGTCCTAAAAGATTCATCACCTGCTGACTAAAGAGCCCTTGGGCCCTGAATAACTAGCCGTGATGCCCAGGTAGTACACCATGAGCCTTCAGTGAGGCTCTGAGATGTGCTAGCTTCAGGTGAAACCTACCATATTTTCAGCCATGATGGTTATGGTGAGACTCCTTCTGCTTGAGAAAAGCAGGTGGAAAAGCAAAGGGGACTTTGTATTGCATTTTAGGTACCAGCTCAGCCACAGCGAGGCAGAGCACCAAGCAAACTCTCGGGGTCCCCAATTCCAGGTCTTGGCTCTTGGATGGCATTTCTGGACCTGTACTGGGATGGAGGAGAGCCCACTGCCCTGAAGGTGATTCCCAGGCCTGACAGCATTCACCACAAGCTGACTGAAGAGTAGCTGGGCTTTAAGGGAACATTGGTGGTAGTCTGGCAGTACTATCCATGGGGCCGTGGTGGCGGTGGCCATGAGGTGAGGCATCTCTGCCTTTGCAAAGGGGAGAGAAGAGTGGGAAGAACTGCATCTTGTGGTTTGAGTGCCAGCTCAGCTACACTGGTACAATATAACACCAGGTAGACTTCTAAGGTTTTTGATTCTAGTACCTGGCTCCTGGACAGTACCTCTGGAGCTGCCCAGGACCTAGAGGAACTCACCACTCTAAAAGGAAGAACACAGGCATGGCCAGCTTTACCAACTGCTGATTATAGAGCCCCAGGGTCTCAAGTGAACCTAGGCTATAGCCAGGAAGTGATTACAGCAGGCCTTAGGTGAGACCCAGTGCTGTGCTGGCTTCAGGTATGACCCAGCACAGTCCTAATGGTGGTGGACACTAGGGTCCTTGTGTCAACTCCACTCCCAGATCCAGGTGACTCAGAACAGAGAGAGCGACTTCTTTCATTTGGGAGAAAGTAAGGGAAGAGAACAACAATCTTTGCCTGCTAGTTCAGAGATTTCTTCCATATCTTGTCCAAGACCATCGAGGTGGTACCTCTATGAGTCTGCAAGAACCACAGTATTACTTGGCTTAGGGTGTCCCCCTAAAGCAGATACAGCTTAGATCTCAACACTCAACTCCTTTGGAATATCTGGAAAACTTTCTAAAGAAGGATGAGTACAAAGAAGCCCAGAATGAGAAGACTACATAAATATTTAACTCTTTAATGCCCAGACACAGAAGAAGATCTAGAAGTATCAAGACCATCCAGGAAAACATGATCTCATCAAATGAACTAATTAAGGCACCAGGGACCAATCCTGGAGAAACAGAGATGTATGACCTTTCAAACAGATATAATAATTCAAAGTAGCTGTTTTGAGGAAACTCAAAGAAATTCAAGATATCACAGAGAAGGAATTCAGAATTCCGTCAGATAAATGTAACAAAGAGATTGAAATAATTAAGAAGAACCAAGCAGAAATTGTGGAGCTGAAACATGCAATTGACATACTGAAGAATACATCCGAGTTTTTAATAGCAGAATTGATGAAGCAGAAGAAAGAATTAGTGAACTGGAAGACAGGCTATTTGAAAATAGATACTCAGAAGAGAAAAATGGAAAAAAGAAAAAAAAATGAAGCACACCTATAGGATCTAGAAAATAATCTCGAAAGCAAAAATCTAAGAGTTATTGGCCCTAAAAAGGAGTTAGAGAAAGAGATAAGTTTATTCAAAGGGATAATAACAGAGAACTTCCCAAACCTTGAGAGACATTAATTTCCAAGAACAAGAAGTTTATAAACACCAAGCAGATTTAACCCAAAGAAGACTGCCTCTAGGCATTTAATAATCAAACTCCTAAAGGTCAAAGATAAAGAAAGGATCCCAAAAGCAACAAAAGAAAAGAAACAACATACCATGAAGCTCCAACACATCTGGCAGCAGACTTTTCACTGTAAACTTTATAGGCTAGGGGAGAGTGGCATGAATTACTGAAAGTGCTGAAGGCAAAATTCTTTATCCTGGAATTGTATATCTGGTGAAAATATCCCTCAAACATGGAGAAACAAAGACTTTCCCAGACAAACAAAAGCTGAGGGATTTCATCAACATCAGACCTGTCCTGCAAGAAATGCTAAAAAGAATTTTTCAATCTGAAAGGGAAAGATGTTAATGAGCAATAAGAAAGCATCTGAAGGTACAAAACTCACTGGCAATAGTAAGTACATAGAAAAACACATAATATTATACTATAATTGTGATATGCAAACTTCTCTTATCTTAAGTCAAAGACTAAAAAATGAACCAATCAAAAATAACGACTGCAAAAACTTTTCAAGACATAGATAGTACAATAAGATATAAATAGACACAAGAAAAATTTAAATAGTGGGGGATGAAGTAAATGTATAAGTTTTTTATTAGTTTGCTTTGTGTTTGTTTGTTTATGCAATCAGTGTTAAGTTGCCATCAGTTTAAAATAATGGGTTATAAGATAATATTTCTAAGCCTCATGGAAACCTCAAATCAAAATACATATAATGGCTACACAAAAAATAGAAAGCAAGACATTAAAACATATTACCAGAGAAAATCACCTTCACTAAAAGGAAGACAGGAAGGAAGGAAAGAAGAAATACAAGACCACAAAACAACCAGAAAACAAGTAACAAAGTGGCAGAAGTAGATCTTTACTTACCAATAATAACATGGAATGTAAACAGCCTCCAACCAAAAAACGTAGAGTGGAGTCTCAAGATGGCTGACTAGAAGCAATGGCAGTAAGAAGCTCCCCCAAGAAGAACCAAAACAGTGTGCTAATCCTGCACTGGCAACCAAGGTATCCAGGTTCTATCATCAGGACTGAGTAGGCAGTTGGTGTGACCCATGGAGAGCAAGGAAAAGCAGGGTGGTGCATCAGCCCACCTGAGAGCCACATGGGGCAAGGAAAGACCACACCCCCAGCCAACGGAGGCGGTGAGTGAGCATGCTACCCAGCCTGGGAAACTGTGCTTTTTCCACGGATCTGTGCAACCCACAGTTCAGAAGATCTCACTCATGAGCTCACAACGGGCTTTGGGTCCCAACTACAGAGCCATGCAGAGTCTCAACAGCCACTCAGCTGGAATCTGCTTAAGACTACTGAGTTCCCCGGGGAAGGGGTGGCCATCATCACTGAGGCTGCCTGTTGTCTAAGCCACCTGAGCTCCCTGAAGGAGGGGTGGCAGCCATCCCTGTAGCTGCTGGCTGCCTAAGAAAACTGAGCTCTCTGGGGGAGGGACTGCAGCCATCACTGCAGCCACTAGCTGCCTAAGACACTGAACTCCCAGGAAGGAAGTGTGGCAGCCATCACTATAGCTCCAGGCCACACTTTCCTCCTGCTGGAGCCTGGGAGACTGGACCACTTGGTCCCAAGAGGTATTTCCCACAGTGCAGCACACCAGCTGTGGCAGACCATGGCCAGACTACCTCTTTAGGTTGTATCCTGACCCATCCCTCCTCACTGGATGGGGACTCCCTGCAGGAACTTCAGCAACTCCAGCCAGGGGCTCAGGGGCAGAGCTCTGATTGATCTCCCTGGGCCTGAGCCCTTAGGGGGAAGGGTGGCCATCTTCTCTGCAGACCAGCAAACTTAACCTTTCTCCCTGTTACCTCTGAGGAATCCAGGCAGCCCAGATGAGTGGGTTTCCCCCTAGCGCAGCACACCGCCTCCACCAAGGGACAGCCAAAGTGCATCATTAAATGAGTCCTGGTTCCTGTGCCTCCCAACTGGGTGAGACCCCCAACAGGGGTCTCCAGACACCCTATACAGGAGCATTTCTGGTGGTATCAGGTCAGTGCCTCTTTAGGTCAAAGATCCCAGAGGAAGGAGCAGGCATTATCTTTGCTGTTCTCTAGCCTCCTCAGTTGACATCTCCAGGTGCGGGAGGGACCCAGATGAATAGGGCCTGAAGTGAACCCCCAGAAAACCACAGCAGCCCTACAGAAGACAGAGCTGACTATTACAAACAAACAAATAGAAAGCAACAACAGCATTAACAAAAAATTCCCCACAAAAACCTCATCCAAAGGTCAGCAGCCTCAAAGACTGACACTAGACAAACTCATGAAGATGAGAAAGAATCAATGAAAAAATACTGAAAACTTAAAAGGCCAGAGTGCCCCTTCTCCAAATGATCACAGCTCCACTCCAGCAAGGGCACAGAACTGGACAGAGGATGAGATGGACAAAATGACAGAAGTAGGCTTCAGAAGGTGGGTAATAACAAACTTTGCTCAGGTAAAGGAGCATGTTCTAACCTAATGCAAAGAGGGTAAAAACCATGATAAAAGGTTACAGGAGTTGCTAACTAGAGTAACCACTTTAGAGAGGAACATAAATGACCTGATGGAGCTGAAAAACACAGCACAAGAACTTCATGATGCAAACACAAGTATCAATAGCCAAATCAAGGCCGGGCACAGTGGCTCACGCCTGTAATCCCAGCACTTTGGGAGGCCGAGGCGGGTGGATCATGAGGTCAGGAGATCGAGACCATCCTGGCTAACAAGGTGAAACCCCTTCTCTACTAAAAATACAAAAAAATTAGCCGGGCGCGGTGGCGGGCGCCTGTAGTCCCAGCTACTCGGGAGGCTGAGGCAGGAGAATGGCGTGAACCCGGGAAGTGGAGCTTGCAGTGAGCCGAGATTGCGCCACTGCAGTCCGCAGTCCGGCCTGGGCGATAGAGCGAGACTCCGTCTCAAAAAAAAAAAAAAAAAAAAAAAATAGCCAAATCAAGCAAGTGGAATGAAGAATATCAGAGCTTGAAGACTATCTTGCTGAAATAAGGCAGGTAGACAAGATTAGAGGAAAAATGATGAAAAGGTACAAACAAAACCTCTGAGAACTATGGAACTATGTAAAAAGATCGAACCTAGGACTGACTGGAGTACCTGAAAGAGACAGGGAGAATGGAACCAAGTCGGAAAATGCACTTCAGGATATCATCCAGGAGAACTTGCCAAACCTAGAAAGGCAGGCCAACATTCAAGTTCAGGAAATACAGAGAACCCCAGTAAGATACTCCACGAGAAGATCAATCCCAAGACACATTATCATCAGATTTCCTAAGGTCAAAACGAAGGAAAAAATGTTAAGGGCAGCCAGAGAGAAAGGCCGGGTCACCTACAAAGGGAAACCCATCAGACTAACAGTGGACCTCTCAGCAGAAACCCTACAAGTCAGAAGAGAGTGGGTGTCAATATTCAACATTCTTAAAGAAAAGAATTTTCAACCCAGAATTTCATATCCAGCCAAACTAAGCTTCGTAAGTGAAGGAGAAATAAAATCCTTATTAGACAAGCACATCCTGAGTGAATAAGTCACCACCAGGCCTGCCTTGCAAGAGCTCCTGAAGGAAGTATTAAATATGGAGAGGAAAAAACAATACTAGCCTCTGCAAAAACACACTGAAAAACAAAGACCAATGATGCTATGAAAAACTGCATCAACTAGTGTGCAAAATAGCCAGCTAGCATAATGGTGACAGGATCGAATTCACATATAACAACATTAACCTTAGATGTACATGGGTTAAATGCCCCAATTAAAAGACACAGATGGGCAAACTGGGTAAAGAGTCAAAACCCATTGGTGTACTGTATTCAAGAGACCAATCTCGTGCAAAGACACATATAGGCTCAAAATAAAGGGATGGAGGAAAATTTACCATGCAAATGGAAAGCTGAAAGAAGTAGGGGTTGCAGTACTAGTTTCTGACAAAACACACTTTGAACCAACAAAGATCAAAAAAGACAAAGAAAGGCATTACATAATGGTAAAGGGAACAATTCAACAAGAAGAGTTAACTATTCTAAATATACTTGCACCCAATACAGGAGCACCCAGATTCATAAAACAAATTCTTAGAGACCTACAAAGAGACTTAGACTCCCACACAATAAGAGTGGGAGGCTTCAACACACCACTGTCAATATTAGACAGGTCATTGAGACAGAAAATTAACAAGGATATTCGGGACCTAAACTCAGGTCTGGATCAAGTGGACCTGACAGATAGCTGCAGAACTCTCCACCCAAAATCAACAGGATATACATTCTTCTCAGTGCCATGTGGCACTTACTCTAGAATCGATCCCATAATTGGAAGTAAAACACTCCTCAGCAAATGCAAAAGAACTGAAATCATAACAGTCTTTCAGACAACAGTGCAATCAAATTGGAACTCAAGATTAAGAAACACTCAAAACCACACAACTACATGAAAATTGAACAATCTGCTCCTGAATGACTCCTGGGTAAATAATGAAATTAAGGCAGAAATCAGGAGTTTTGTGAAACCAATGAGAACAAAGAGACAACATACCAAAATCTCTAGGATGCAGCTAAAGCAGTGTTAAGAGGGAAATTTATAACACTAAATGCCCGTAGCAGAATGCTAGAAAGATCTCAAATCAACACCTTAACATCACAACTAAAAGAACTAAAGAAGCAAGAGCAAACAAATCCAAAAGCTAGCAGAAGACAAGACATAACTAAGATCACAACAGAACTGAAGGAGATAGAGACATGAAAAATCCTTCAAAAAAATCAATGAATCCAGGAGCTGGTTTTTTGAAAAAATTAATAAAATATATAGACTGCTAGATACACAAAGAAGAAAAGACAGAAGAATCAAATAGACATAATAAAAAATGATAAATGGCATATCACCACTGGTCCCACAGAAATACAACCAACCATTGGAGAATACTGTTAACAACTCTATGCAAATAAAGTAGAAAATCTAGAAGAAATGGATAAATTCCTGGACACATAGGATCTCCCAAGACTAAACAAGGAAGAAGTTGAATCTGTGAATGGACCAATAACAGGTTCTGAAATTAAGGCATTGATAAATAGCCTACCAACCAAAACAAAGCCCAGGACCAGAGGGATTCACAGCCAAATTCTACCAGAGGTACAAAGAGGAGCTGGTATCATTTCTTCTGAAACTATTCCAAATGATTGAAAAGGAGGGACTTATCCCTAACTCATTTTATGAGGCCAGCATCATCCTGATACCAAAACCTGACAGAGACACAACAAAAACAACAAAAACTTAAGGCCAATATCCCTGATGAATATCAGTGCAAAAATGCTCAATAAAGTACTGGCAAACTGAATCCAGCAGCACACCAAAAAGCTTATCCACCGCCATCAAGTCAGCATTATCCCTGGGATGCAAGGCTGGGTTAACATATGCAAATTAATAAACATAATTCATCACATAAATGACAAAAACCACATGATTATCTCAATAGATGCAGAAAAGGCCTTTGATAAAATTCATCACCCCTTCATGCTAAAACTCTCAGTAAACTAGGTATTGAGGAAACATATCTCAAAATAATAAGAGCTATTTATGACAAACTCATAACCAATATCATATTGAATGGGCAAAAGCTGGAAGCATTCCCTTTGAAGACCAGCACAAGACAAGGGTGCCCTCTTTCACCACTCCTATTCAACATAGTATTGGAAGTTCTGGCCAAGGAAGTCAAGCAAGAGAAAGAAATAAAGGGTATTCAAATAGGAAGAGAGAAGGTCAAATTGTCTCTGCTTGCAGGCGACATGATCCAATATCTAGAAAACCCCATCGTCTCAGTCCAAAAGCTCCTTATCTTCAGCAAAGTCTCAGGATACACAATCAATGTACAAAAATCACAGCATTCCTATACACCAACAATACACAAGCAGAGAGCCAAATCATGAATGAGCTCTCATTCACAATTGCTACAAAGAGAATAAAATACCTAGGAATACAGCTAACAAGGGATGTGAAGGATGTCTTCAAGGAGAACTACAAACCACTGCTCAAGGAAATGAGAGAGGACACAAACAGATGGAAAAGCATTCCATCCTCATGGATAGGAAGAATCAATATCATGAAAATGGCCATACTGCCCAAAGTAATTTATAGATTCAGTGCTATTCCCATCAAACTACCATTGACATTCTTCACAGTATTAGAAAAAAACTACTTTAAATTTTATATGGAATCAAAAAAGAGCCCATATAGCCAAGACAATTCTAAGCAAAAAGAACAAAGCTAGAGGCATCATGCTACCTGACTTCAAACTATACTACAAGGCTACAGTAACCAAAACAGCATGGTACTGGTGCCAAAACAAACACATAAACCAATGGAACAGAATAGAGATCTCAGAAATAAGACCACACATCTACAACCATCTGATCTTCAACAAACCCAACAAAAACAAGCAATGAGGAAAGGATTCCCTATTTAATAAATGATGCTGGGAAAACTGGTTAGCCATATGCAGAAAACTGAAACTGGACCATTTGTTACACCTTATACAAAAATTAACTCAACATAGATTAAAGACTTAAATATAAAACCAACAACCATAAAAACCCTAGAAGAAAATCTAGGTAATATCATTCAGGACATAGGCATGGGCAAAGATTTTATGATGAAATCACCAAAAGCAATTGCAACAAAAGCCAAAATTGACCAATGAGATCTAACTAAACTAAAGAGCTTCTGCACAGCAAAAGAAACTATCATCAGAGTGAACAGGCAACCTACAGAATGGGAGAAAATTTTTGCAATCTACCCATGTGACAAAGTTCTGATATCCAGAATTTATGAGGAAATTAAACAAATGTAAAAGAAAAAAAAACAATCCCAACAAAAAGTGGGCAAAGGACATGAACAGATAGTTTTCAAAAGAAGATATGTATGTGGCCAACAAACATATGAAAAAAAGCTCAACATCACTGGTCATGATGCAAATCAAAACCACAATGAGATACCATATCACACCAGTCAGAATGGCGATTATTAAAAAGTCAAGAAACAACAGATGCTGGCAAGGCTGTGGAGAAATAGGAACACTTTTACACTGTTGGTGGGAATCTAAATTAGTTCAACCATTGTGGAAGACAATGTGGCGATTCCTCAAGGATCTAGAACGAGAAATACCATTTGACCCATTACCAGGTATATAACGCAAGGAATATAAATTATTCTATTATAAAGATACATGCACACCTATGTTTATTACTGTATAATAGACATGGAATCAACCCAAATGCCCATCAATCATACTGGATAAAGAAAATCTGGCACATATACACCATGGAATACTATGCAGTAACAAAAAGGAATTAGGTCATGTCCTTTGCAGGGACACGGATGAAGCTGGAAGCCATCATTCTCAGCATACTAACACAGGAACAGAAAACCAACCACCACATGTTCTCCTTCACAAGTGGGAGCTGAACAATGAGATCACATGGACACAGGGAGGAGAACAACACACATAAGGGCTTGTTGGGAGGGTGTGGGGAAAGAGAGCCTCAGGTTAAATAACTAATGCATGCAGGGCTTAATCCCTAGATGATGGGTTGATAGGTGCAGCAAACCACCATGGCACATGTTTACCTATGTAAAACACCTGCACATTCTGCACATGTACCCCAGAACTTAAAATAATTTTTAAAAGCCTGTAGAAATTGGCACAGAGAAATTTATTTTATGTTTAAATCAGAAATTCAAGCATAGTAGAGTATCTTTTTAAATAGACTATTCTTGAAACAAATGAATTTGAAATACTTGGCATTGTTTTTGAATATTTATGTGTATCCTACTTGTATATGTTAAATCATTCTTAAGTTATAAAAAACGGTAAAAGTCCATGACTATACTTAAGCCTCAGATAACAAATTTACTTCTGAAAGTTCTCTTTCCATTAACAAAAGCTGCAATAACTTTACTACTATCAAAAGAATATAACACCTATTTTATCATTTATACTTGGAATGTTACACTTGAATGATAAAAATTAAACTTAAAATATTTAAAAAAGACATAGAGTGGCTGAACAGAATTTTTTTAGAGACTGAATAATATATTGCTTGCAAGAAACACACTTCACCTATAAGACACACATAGACTGATGGAAAAAAGATATTCCATGCCATTGGAAACCAAAAAAGAACAGAAACAGCTACATTCATATCAGAAAAAAATAGATTTCAAGACAAATCTATAAGAAGAGACAAAGAAAGTGATTGTGTAATGATAAAGGGGTCAATTCAGCAAGAGGATGTAACAAATGTAAATTTATATATGCACTCAACACTGGAATGCAAATATAATTCGAGCTAAAGAGAGAGACAGACCCCAGTACAGTAATAGCTAGAGACTTTCACACCTCACTTTCAGAATTGGACAGATCTTCTAGGCAGAAAATCAACAATGAATACACATTCTTTTCTTAGCACATAGATCATTCTTAAAGATAGACAATATGTTAGGTCACAAACAAGTCTTAAAACACTGAAAAAATTTGAAATAATATCAGGCATCTTTTCTGACCACAATGGAATAAAACTAGGAATCAATAACAAGAGGAATTTTGGAAAACATACAAGCATATGAAAATTAAACAATATGCTCCTGAATGACAAGTGAGTCAATAAAGAAATTAAAAGAGAAATTGAAAAATTTATTGAAACAATTGATAATGGAAACACAACATACCAATACCTATGAGATACAGTGAAAGCAGTACTAAGAGGGAAGTTTATAGCTATAAGTACCTACATTTTTTAAAAGTAGAAAAACTTCAAATAGGTAACCTAATGATGCATCTTAAAGAACTAGAAAAGCAAGAGCAAATCAAACCCGAAATTAGAAGAAGAAAAGAAATAATGAAGATCATAGCAAAAATAAGTGAAATTGAAATGAAGAAAATAATTCAAAAGATCAATGAAATAAAAAATTGGTTTTTTGAAAAGATAAAATTAACAAGCCTTTGTCCAGACTATGAAAAAAAAAGACCAAAATAAATAAAATCAGAGATGAGAAAGGAGACATTACAATGGATAGTGCAGAAATTCAAAGGATTGTTAGTAGCTATTATGAGCAACTATATGCCAATAAATTGGAAAGTCTACAAGAAATGGATAAATTCTTAGACCTATACAACTTACCAAGATTGCACCATGAAGAAAGCTAAAATCTCATCAGACCAGTAACAGGTAATGAGAATGGAACTCTAATAAAGAAGTCACCCAGCAAAGACAAACCCAGGACCTGCTATCATCACTGCTGAACTCTACCAAACATTGAAAGAAGAACTAATAACAATCCTACTCAAACTATTCTGAAAAATACAGGAAGAGAGAATACGTCCAAACCAGCAAACCAAATTCAACCATACATTAAGAAAGATCATTCATCATGATCAAGTGGGATTTATCCTCGGGATGCAAGGATGGTTCAACATATGCAGATCAATCAATGTGACAGCATATCAACAGAGTGAAGGGCAAAAACTATATGATTATTTCTTTTTGTTTGTTTGTTTTGAGATGGAGTCTCACTCAGTCACCCAGGCTGGAGTGCACTGGTGCAATCTCGGCTCACTGCAACCTCCACCCCACCAAGTTCAAACGATTCTCATGCCTCAGCCTCCCAAGTAGCTGGGATTAAGGCGTGTGCCACCACACCCTACTAATTTCTTGTATTTTTAGTAAAGACAGGTTTCACCATGTTGGCCAGGCTGGTCTCAAACTCCTGACCTGAAGTGAGCCGCCTGCCATGGCCTCCCAAAGTGCTCGGATTATAGGCATGAGCCACCACACCTGACCATATATGATTATTTCAATTGATGCTGGAAAAACATTTGATAAAATTCAATATCCAGGCTGGGCACGGTGGCTCGCGCCTGTAATCCCAGCACTTTGGGAGGCTGAGGCAGGTGGATCACAAGGTTAGGAGATCAAGACCATCCTGTCTAACACAGTGAAAGAAACCCCGTCTCTACTAAAAATACAAAAAATTAGCTGGGCATGGTGGTGGGCACCTGTAGTCCCAGCTACTCAGGAGGCTGAGGCAGGAGAATGGCATGAACTCGGGAGGTGGAGCTTGCGGTGAGCCGAAATCACCCCACTGCACTCCAGCCTGGGCAACAGAGCAAGACTCAGTTTCAAAAAAAAAAAATTCAACATCCCTTCATGATAAAAACCCTTAAAAACCAGGTAGAGAAGAAACATAACATAATGAAAGGCATATATGACAGATCCACAGGTAGTATCATACTGAATGGGGAAAAACTGAAAGCCTCTCCTCTAATATATGGAACACGACAAGGATGCCCACTTTCAGCACTGTTATTCAACATAGTCCTGAAAGTCCTAGCTGGAGCAATCAGACAAAATAAAGAAATAAAGAGCATCCAAATTGGAAAGGAAGAAGTCAAATTATACTTGTTTGCAGATGATATGATCTTATAATAAGAAAACCTAGACTCCACCAAAAAACTATTATAACTTATAAACAAATTTAGTAAAGTTGCAAGATACAAAATCAACATGCAAAACTCAGTAGCATTTCTATATTCCAACAGTGAACAAGCTGAAAAAGAAATCAAGAAAGTAATCCCATTTACAATAGATATAAATAAAATGAAATACCTAGGAACTAACTTAACCAAAGAAGTGAAATATCTCTACAATGGAAACTATAAAACATTGATTCAAGAAATTGAATAAGATACAAAAAATGGAAAGATATTTCATGTTTATAGATTGGAAGAATCAATACTTTGTGTGTCCATACTACTCAAAGCAGTCTACAGATTCAGTGCAATCCCTATCAAAATATCAATGACATTCTTCACAGAAATAGAAAAAAACAATCCTAAGATTTATATAAAACCACAAAATACCCAGAATTGCCAAAGCTATCCTAGGCAGAAAGAACAAAACTGAAGGAATCACATTACCTGACTTCAAATTATACTACAGAGATGTAGTAACCAAAACAGCATGGTACTAGCATAAAAACAGACACATGGACCAATGGAACAGAACAGAGAATCCAGAAACAAATCCATACACCTACTCATTTTCAACAGAGGTGCCAAGAACATACATTGGGGAAAAGACCGTCTCTTCAATAAATGGTGCTGGGAAAACTGGATATCCATATGCAGAAGAACAAAACTAGACCCCTATCTTTTTCCATATACAAAAGTCAAATCAAAATTGATTAAAGACTGAAATCTAAGACCTCAAATATGAAACTACTACCAAAAAAATAATTGGAGAAACTCTACAGGACATTGGAGTGGGCAAAGACTTCTTGAGAAATACCCCACAAGCACAGGAGACCAAAGCAAAAATGGACAAATGAGATCACATCAAGTTAAAAAGCTTCTGCAGAGCAGTCAATGAACTGAAGAGACAACCCACAGAATGGGAGAAAATATTTGCAAACTGCCTATCTGACAAGGGATTAATAACCAGAATATATAAGGAGCTCAAACAACTCTACTGAAAAAATGTAATAATCCAATTTAAAAATGAGCAAGAGATCTGAATAGACATTTCTCAAAAGATATACAAATGGCAAACAAGGATATGAAAAAGTGCTCAACATCATGAATAATCAGAAAACTGGAAATCAAAACTCCAAAGAGATATCATCTCACTCCAGTTAAAATGGCTTTTTGTCCCCAAAAGTTAGGCAATAACAAATGCTAATGAGGATGTGGAGAAAATGGAACCATTGTACATTGTAGGTGGGAATGCACATTAGTACAGGCATTAAAGACAACAGTATGGCAGTTCCTCAAAAAACTAAAAATTGAGGTAGCATATGATCCAGCAATCCCACTACTAGGTACATGCTCAACAGAAAGGAAATCAGCATATCAAAGAGATATTTGCACTCCCATGTTTATTGAAGCACTATTCACAATAGCCAGGATTTGGAAGCAAGCTAAGTGTCCCTCAACTGGTGAACTGATAAAGAAAATGTGGTTGGTACATACACACAATGGAGTACTATTCACCCATACAAAAGAATGAGATTCTGTCATTTGCAACTTGGATGCAACTAGAGGTCATTATATTAAGTGAAATAAGCCAGGCACAGAAAGAGAAACTTCGCATAGTCTCACTTATTTGTGGGAGCCAAAAAGTAAAACAATTGAATTCACGGAGATAGAGAGTAGAAGGATGTTTACCAGAGGTTGGGAAGGGTAGTTGGGGGAGAGGGTGGGAGAAAAGTGGGGATGGTTAATGGGTACAAAAAAAGACAGAATAAGACATAGTATTTGATAGCACAACAGGGTGACTATAGTTAATAATAACTTAATTGTAGATTTAAAAATAGATAAAAGACTATAATTGAATTGTTTGTAACACAAAGAATAAATGCTTGAGGGGATGGATACCCCATTCGCCCTTATGTGATTATTGTGCATTACATGCCTGTATCAAAATATCTCACGTACCCTATAAATATATATACCTATGTGTACCCACAAAAATTAAAAATAACAAAATTTTAAAAAAACGAAATTAGATTAAAAGTAAATGAGGACAAGAGGAGGCAAGAGGGTTCTAAGAAACTATGTGTGTAACTAGACCAGACATTAGTCTGAAAAACAAGTATATGGAGGGCAGAAAAGAAAATAAGGAGAAATTATGGGACATGATGGTGAAGAATGGGCTGTCTGATTTAGTGATTTTATAGGCAGAATTGTTCTAGGTGAAGGCAGGATCTAGGGTGTAACTTTGGGAGCATAAGGTGAGAAGGGAGGAGAAGGCCACTGAAAATAAAATAATCAAAAAACTAAAAGCCAAGGTTTTGGATAATTAGTCCTGTCTAGATACTAAAGCTACCAATATGAACGGGCAGATTAAGAGTAGAGAGAAAGATTGACCAGCTGAGTGACTGAGTCTTTGATGAATGAGAGTTGGCACCCAGAATGTCAATAGATGACAGACACAGGAAGAATAGAAGGTAATGTGCCAAATGGCACCAACTGTGTCAAAGCAGAGGCTTTCACAAGCATTAAAAGAGGAATGGTGAAAATCCAGCATTAAGGAACAATGAGGAGAGAAGTTTCTGACCCCACCTCTGGTCCCTGATGCAGAGAAGTACACAGGGTTGTGAAATAAGATTCTGCCTTCACGTGACTGGGCTGCAGTGGACTCTGATCCTCAGGGAATATCTTTTAGGGAATTTATTATTTTAATACTGTAGAGCCATCAGATTGCATGACCATTATAACCATGAAGGATCCTGTTCCTCCTGTCCAGGGACAGCCAGCTTTGAGAATGATCTTGCAGGAGGCATGTTCCAAATGTCAGCAGCACCTGCAACTCCAGACTCAACATTTCAGGTTAAGGCCTATGAGATCTCAAATGCCCTTCAGCTTTTATATTGGGGCACAAACATGCATGATCTCTTTCCAAGGAGAGGTGAGAATGGGACAGAGGAGGAGAGGAAGAGGAGATTAAATGTTTGAGGGAGAGATCCTCAGTGAACAAGGGGAAATAGGAGACTGAGGGCTCCCGAGGTCATATTAATAGCTCATAGTTATAACTGAGTGTTCACCTCTCAGTACTTTATGTCTAAAAATTCATTGAAATTTCACAAACAACCTAGTGATGTAAGTTCTAATATAAAAGCACTCTTGTTTTTCAAATGAGAAACTGAGATGCAGAGAAGTAAAGTTTCTTGCCCAAACTGAGTCATACACTAGTAAGCAGAAAAGCCAGGATGGAGGCTCAGGCAGTCTTGGCCCCAGAGGCCATGCTTTTACCCATCCTACCTTATGGCTTCCTGCCAAACTACATCCAGGGCCTGCCCTGGGAATCCTGAAGTGTGAGGTAGATTTTCTTGGTTGTATTCCTTGAAGTCTTCCCATTATCCTTCAAATGGAATCTCAAAGACAGTAGTCCTGGACTGTGCCAAAAATTAAAATGAGACATAGCAGGGAACAATAGAATCAGAGTGTTACATGACAAAAAGCAAAATAGCCTAAAATAGAGCAATGCTCAGTAAGGTAGGAAGGTTTTCCCCATAAAACCTAGGTAAAACCAAAGGGAGAATTGGCTTTTCTGTTGGTTCCTCCATTATCCATCATTCTTTTGGCCTTATGGTCTGGGACTTTGAGGGAGGCACAGTCACTTTGGAGTAATGCTCTGAGCTTCATTACTCAGCTTTTGAAATCTAGGGGTTGGGGGACTCCAGGGAAGAGAGAGGAGAGGCCTCCTTTCCTCCTAAATTAGTCTCACAGTCCATCTTACAAAGCTGCAGGCCAACTCAATTCTTTGGCATCTTTGAGGAATCCAGGCCAGGAGGGTCACTGACATATTTCAAATAACTGCAAAGTCTTTGTAATAACCACAATAAAACTTTTTTTTCACTAGTTGTTCAGAAAAGCAAGTCACAAAAGTATACACTGTTTCAGCCCATGTTTCTTGACCACCCTACCCAGAAAAACATGTCTGTATCTGTATACAAAAATGCCTTGTGGCCTATATAACGAAGAGTGGTTGACTTCAAGGAGCTATTACAGGTGTTTCTATAATTTTCTTCTTTTTTTGATAATGAATCTGGAACTTAAGGAAAAGAAAATAAAATAATTAATTACAATAACATTGGGTGGTCACGGTGGCTCACGTTTGAAATCCTAGCACTTTGGGAGGCTGAGGTGGGTGGATCACCTGAGGCCAGGAGTTCAAGACCAGCCTGGGGAACATGGCAAAACCTTGACTCTACAGAAAATACAAAAATTAGCCGGGTGTGGTGGCAGGTGCCTGTAATCCCAGCTACTCGGGAGGCTGAGGCATGAGAATCCCTTGACCCTGGGAGATTGAGGTTACAGTGAACCAAGATTGCGCCAGTGCTCTCCAGCCTGGGGCACCGAGCAAGACCCTGTCTTCAAACAAACAAAACAATAACATTAAGAGTAGATAAGGAATTCATTCTGCAGGATGAGGTCAAAGACGTAGAAGGGTTATTCCTGAAAGTTCTGCCTTTGAGAATATGGTCTTTCATCATGTTACTTTCAGGAGTGTGCCCCAGAGGACAAGATAAGAAGATCACTCTCTCTACTTTCTCCAAAGTGACCAATCAACACAGGGCCACATCAATGCTCAGCACCTTCCATTTGACTTCACCTGACTTTCACTGGATAGTTCCCATCTTGAAAGCTTCACATCTGCATTGTCAGCTATGCCTGGGTGTAATTCTACATACCTACACTGTGGTTGAACACCTGAGTAAACCACCCCATTTTTTGGTGCTGTGATGCCAGAGCTGATACAATTGTGTATCTCCCAGTGTCAGTCACACTCTCCCATGTGAGCACCAGCACTGCCACCCCCAGATACTGCAGTTCTCTCATTCCTCTTCTGCCCTCTCCTAACCTCCCTGGGTCTTCTGCTATACCAAGTTGATGCATCCCAATGACATGTTTAATCCTCACTTTCCTCTTACCTGCTAGTAGCAGAGGAGAGGAAAGAAGGAAGATACCATCTCTTCTCAAGAAATGAAGCTCCTAAGGCTTACTCCAAAGACATTTACATCCCAGCTCTCTCTCTGTTAAGAGGGACTATGTCATGGAGTATGGTCCTGTGGCAAAACTGTAGTTGTACCCTAACATTTGCTGCCAAGGCTTGACTGGAGAGGCCAGCCCAGCATTATCCATATGCGCATGTTGTGCTGTGCTTAGCCTTTCCCTGTACTAGACTTCCTACGTGGGCTGAGGGCATGGGCCAGGCTCACATGGCTTTCCTTAGCATCTGCTCTACTCAGCATGAGCCATTTTCTCTTGCCAAAACAACTTAATGTCATATGGATGAGAGAATTTTCCTTGTATTATTTCACCAGGAGTCTCTCAATTCTCAAGTATCTAGGAGCACCATTTGCAAATATGCTCATGTAATTTGCACATTATGTCTTCATGCTATTTTTCTCTGATGCAGACCTAATTAGCCTCTGGATTAACCAGGAAACACTAAGAAAGCCATTTTAGCCAAGACAAGTGTAACATGTCTTGAGTTATTTAAAATTAAGCAGAACCAGATGTTGACATAAATACTCCACAGTATTATTTGCATTCTGCCACTTAGAAGCAGCATGCTGCTTAGTTCGGAATACTGGTTTTTAATTTTCTAAAGACGGGAGAATGTTATCCCCAGAGTATACGCTTTAGGATGTTAAGTAGGGTCCTCATTGTTTTATCTAGAGCATCTTAACAACCTAGTAAGTCCGTTATGAAAGAGATAAAATAGTGGGAAAACAGAGCCAGGGTGTTTGTCTCATGTTGGAGGAGGGAAAAGCTAGATCCCTGCAAAGTCAGATTAGGAAAAAGTGGGAGCCGGCCAGCGAGGAAGTAGGGAAGTGGGTTTCTTTAAGTGATAGAAATCAGAACCACTCAAATGCAGTGCACTGAGAAGATAAAGGTACCTGCCTTGAGACAGGGCAGCACCCCTAGTGCCAGGGTTTGGGGATTTAGGGCAAAGGTCCTTGGAGTTGAGTAGGCACAACTGAGCCATCTGCCTTCTGTGTAATGAGGTCTCATGAGCTGTTGTCCTGTGGCAAAACTCCTGGACTAAATGATATTGGGCCTTGAACATATCTTCAGCAATGATCTCAACAGACTGAATGCCAGAGAACTCTCCCTTATTCATCCAGAACCCGAAGAAGCTCCAGAATCCTGGTAAGGCCCAAAGAAAGAGAAGGGAGAGGCCGGGCGTGGTGGCTTATGCTTGTAATCCTAGCACTTTGGGAGGCCAAGGTGGGTGGATTGCCTGAGCTCAGGAGTTTGAGACCAGCCTGGAGAGCACGGTGAAACCCCGTCTCTACTAAATACAAAAAATTAGCCAGGTGTGGCAGTGTGTGCCTGTAGTCCCAGCTACTTGGGAGGCTGAGGCAGGAGAATTGCTTGAACCCTGGAGGCAGAGGTTGCAGTGAGCCGAGATTGCGCCACTGCACTCCAGCCTGGGCGACAGAGCAAGACTCCATCTCCAAAAAAAAAAAAAAAGAAAAAAGAAAGGGAGTCCTGAAAAATGACTGATATCAGGCTTATCACTGCCCTTGGCATAAAATTTAACTTGACACAAAAAAGAAAAAGAAATGCTGCATTACTGATACCTGCTGTGGTAATGGGAAGGCCTGGAGGAGCCAGTTCCCTGGAAGGAACCTGGGTGAATCTTCATGTCATGTCAGTGCTTGAAGACAGAGTCAGCTTCCTTACCCCGCTCTAATACCAGGGTCCCCAAAGTCTATACATCATATCACAATCACATGTGTGAAAGTTAATTTGGTTTACTGAGTAGTGAAAGTTGTCTCTTATACTAAGACAGATGTATATATTTATGTGTGTTTGTGTGTGTATACACACATGGGGGTGGGGGAAGGAGAGAGAGGGACAGAGAGAGAGAGAGAGACAGAGAGATCTATACACTTTTAAACAAACATTTACATTTCCCACAAAGGAGAGTCTGAAACAGACTTGGGTGCAGGAGCTCATCCCAGGAAGCAGGATTCTGGAAATAAAGAGGATAAGCAGATAAATGGAAATTGCTGAGAAGAGATGTGTTTTTCAGCTAGTCACTACATGGGAGAGTGAGGTTCAGTCTCTCCTGGGAACCTCTAAAGAACCATACAAAATGAGCCTTAGCATTGTCCCTCTGAAGGATGAGAGTCTGAGGCATTTTTTTCATGGATTCCCATCTCCCACTGGGGTTTGCTGTCAGGAATATTTCCTGGCTACCCTATGGGGGAATGACTGATGTCCCCTTGCCTCAGGAGAAGGTTTAAGGCTGAACAAAGCACAGGGAGACTGAGAGGTGGGAGAATTTGTGCATGGGAAGTACCCACCAGAATTGCTACTAAAATCCACGCTGGGCTGAGGGCATGTGGCTTGGGACAAAAAAAGCACATGCTTAAAAAACCCACATCAGGAAAGTTAATGGAAAATGTTTAACTTTTTAGAGAAGAATCTTCCTATCTCCCATCTTCCACTGCAGGGTTTTCCAGAGGAGGGTAGGTATGACATTTCCTGCTGCCTTTGCACATGCATTTTAACCTTAACTGAATTCTCTTCTCAGTCAAGTTTCTCACTCCTGCTCTCAGTCCTGTCTGCCCTCTCAGACTCCAGAGCCTTCAGAGGTTGCCAGGCATATCCTCTGCCTCCTAGTTATATGGCAGCCCCTTGGAGCTTGTTCCAGGATTCTCATCCAGTAATACATTCTCATTCACTTTTCATTGTCTAGAATTTTATTGAAATCTTTCCTGTTCTGAAGAAGAAATGTCTATTCAAATTTTTTGCCCCTATTTCCATTGAATTGTCTTTTTGTGATTGAGTTGAAAGGGTCCTTTATATATTCTGGATTCTAGTCTCTTAGTAAACTTATGATTTTCACATTTTATCCCATTTTGGGGGTCATTTTTTTAATCTCTCAGTGGTGTCCTTTGAATCACAAACATTTTTAATTCAGAGGAAGAGAAATTTTAAAATATTTTCTGTAGTTGGTTGTGTTCTTAGTTTCATATGTAAAAAACTTTTGCCTAATCTAAGGTCATGAAGTTCTACAACCTATTTTTTCTTGTAAGCATTTTATGCACTTATACATTTAGGTCTTTGATTCATTTCTAGTAAATTTTTGTGTATGATATGAGGTAGAGGTCCACCTGCATTCTTTTGCATTGGGATATTCATTTGTCCCAGCACCATTTGTTGAAAAGATTATTCTTTTCCCAGTGAATTGTCTTGAGGCTCTTATTAAAATATACTGATCATAAAATGTGAGAGTTTATTTCTGGACTCATAGTTCTACTTCATTTATCTATACATCCAGACCACACTGTCTTGTTTATTGTATCTTTGTCAAAAGTTTCGATGTTAGGAAGCTTGAGCCCTCCAAATGTATTCCTCTACTTAGAGATTGTTTTTGATTGGCTATTCTGAGTCCCTTGAATTTCCATACAAATTTTTGAATTAGCTTGTCAATTTCTGCAAAGAAGTCAATTGGAACATGTCTCACATATGACCATAACATTTGAACATGAATCTTGTGAGTTATAATTATATTTATTATCATTGTTAATCTACACTATGAAATTCTATGAAGTTGCTCTTAGAGGGTGGCATTTGAAAGCCTAACGGACACTTCTGTTTGTTTATGAAAATCTACATTATTTTAAAAATATTACGTTTATGATGCATAATAATATACCCAGAAGAGTAGCACAACATAAGATTTGTTGTTATTCTTTTCAGATGTACCATGTAATAATTTTGTTGTGGAGGATGGATATTACCACAGGGCAGAGAGATTTTCCTTCTTTTTGTTAATAATACAGTGCTGAATAATAATAATATAATCTTTCTTTTCCTTCTTCTCCTCTTCCTCCTCCTCCTCTTCTTCTTCTTCTTCCTCTTCATTTTATTCTTCCCTCTTTTTGAGACAGAGTCTTGCTTTGTTGCTGAGGCTGGCCTGCAGTAGCACAGCCTCAGGTCACTGCAACCTCTGTCTCCTAGGCTCAAGTGATCCTCCCACCTCAGCCTCCTGAGTAGCTGGGACTACATGTGTGCACCACCATGACAGGCTAATTTTTTGTGGTAGAGACAGGGTTTTCCCATGCTGCCCAGGCTGATCTCGAACTCCTTGGCCTCCCAAAGTGCTGGAATTACAGGCATGAGCCACAGTGCTTGGCCACTTTGGCATTAATCTTAAAGTTCAATTTTCAGTTGGAAAACTCTCACATACGTTCATAATTCTTTTTTTCCAAAAAGAAAAAGAGAATACCCGTGAGTCCATCAAATATAACACTTTTAAAGTAGAAATGATAAACTGAGCCCCTGTAGTATGTCCGCCCATCTCTTCATTGTGAAACTTAAGTTTTCTACGCTGGTCACTTCTTTCTGACCCAGATAAAGTGTTTCTTTAATTGTTGGAGGTGGCTTCCTTACCTCACTATGCAGACAGTTCTTGCCAAGGACTCCTGTGTTGCCACATCCAATGATCAGTTTTCCTTTGACCCATGTAACCGCTACACTTCATTAGACACAATTGCCTGCTCTCTACTTTGTGAACTCTTCCTCCATGGCTTCTCTGGGATCATGCCACCTGGATCTTCTACTTCTGACCACCTGGTCTCTGTTTTCTCCAGTACTCTCTTCTCTCCCTCCACCACACTCCAGGCACATGCCCTAGGCTACCCTAGTCCTTGCTCACAGGTTTCACAACCATTCCTACCCTGACCTCATCTTCTCACCCAGGCTCACACCTCCTCCTTCCTACAGGACAAATCTATCTGGACATCACTTCACCTCAAATACAGTATGTCCAGTATGGACTCTCTTGACACTCCAAACCAATTTTCTTTTAACTTCATTTCTTAGTGGTAACACCCATTTCCCAAGGTCATTAGATTTCAGCATCTGCCCCCTGCTTATGCCCTGTATTCAGTCAGTTGCCATAAAGTCCTGGCCAGGTGCAGTGACTCATGCCTATAATGCCAGCACTTTGGGAGATCAAGGCAGGTGGATCATTTGAGGTCAGGAGTTCGAGACCAGCCTGGCCAACATGGTGAAACCCCATCTCTATTAAAAATACAAAAAGTAGTCAGGCATGGTGGCACACACCTATAGTCCCAGCTACTCAGGAAGCTGAGGCAGGAAGATCACCTGAGCCCAGGAGGCGGAAGTTGCAGTGAGCTGACAGCGCGCCATTGCACTCCAGCCTGGGCGACAGAGGAAGACTTTGTCTCTAAATAAATAAGTAAACAAATAAATAAAGTCCCACAGATATTTTTTGACAGAATTCGCAAACCAATTTTTTCATCTTCATTTCACTTCTACCACTTCTTCACTTGTTTATGAAGCTTCTTGTACGTGAGGTCAAGGGTAGCATGGTAAGAGCTCTAATCTAATAGACATGCACCAACCTAGAAGGCAAGTTGGGCCCTGAAAACTGGGTCAGATAAAATAAGCTGTTGATCAATGTTGAGGGTCATTTTCAGATGATAACAGGAAGAACTGATGCAACTGTTACCTCATGATTATATTTCTACAAGTCCCCAACATGTCCCCCTGATAGCCTATGATACTACCATGTTTGGCTCACACACATTTGTGTACTTTTATTTATTTGGTTAGTCTGGCTTAGTGGTACTAGTTTAGGATTATCACATTTAAAAGTGCTAATTAATGTAAAGCTTTGGTGCCATGGTCAAAGCAAGAATGTGGTCAAGCACATCCCTAGGTTGGTTTCCATGTGAACCAGCAGGTGGACAGGCACAAAAAGTTATAATTCTTAAGACCACAGAGTTAATAAGATTGTTTCAGAAACTGGAGTTGACATGGAGTTTTCCAGAAACAGAGGGGACGAAAGCCAACATACAAACTTTGGCAGGAGTTTTTCTAAACTTTCTGGCACCTGTAAAACAAGAGCAACTTAATTCTTTACACTGAGTCAGTCCTGTCTGAACTTTCCTTGTCTTTGACGTCTAACAGGACTCAGTATCCCCTGCATATGAGTAGCTATCACTTATATAGCACTTTCTGTGGGCTAGTGTATTCATCACAGATTTTCTATTTTATGATGTTTTGGCTTCTTGTGGGGAGGCTAGCTTGGCAGAAAGAGACTGCCCCTCCCAGGGTCAGCTAACTTTTAGAGATAATAAACAACTGGCCTGCACACATATGTCTCATTTTCAGACCACCAATCCCAAGTCCATATCCCCAACCTCCTCCTTCATCTAATTGATACACCAAGCCAATATTTCCCACCCCAAATCACCCAGAGCCAGGTACTAGACAACCAGAGATCATCCTATAACCTACAGCCCACAAGCATTATTCAAAGTAACCCATTCTAACTTGTATCCTCTGCCTTGCCTTGTTTTCCCATTGAAAACCCAAGAAAGGCTCTGGGCCAGGCTTTCCCTTTGCTCCTTTCTGCCTCTTCACTGACACTGATGCTTCCCCATGTGGCCTTGCATGGTAGGGCATGCCCCCTCCTCTAGCAAGTAAATAAAATCCTCCTTCAGTGAGATTATCTTTTGTTTGTGTTTACTCAATCACTTCCATAACTTAACATCCTATAAGTATAACTGAGACAGCTAGGAACCATTCTAAATACCTTGGATAGATAAACTCCTTTAATTTTCAGAACAACTCTCTGAGGCATGTACTACTATGTCCTCATTCTGACAAGGAGGACATGAAGATACAGAGAGGTTAATGAAGTTGTTCCAGGCCCTATGAATGAATGGCAGAACTAGGATGCAAACCCATTTAGCCTGTTGTCAGCCAGTCTGTGATTTCACAACTGTCTATACTGTCTCTTGAGGAAGCTGAGGTGTGTTATGTGCTCAAGATGCAAATCGCTAGCATTCTCTTCACCATTGCAGGTCTCTTGCAAGAATTGCCCTTTTTGTTTGAAATTCTGCTTTAAATTAGTCATCAGAATGAGGAACAGACATATCTAAGGCCAAAAAGAATCATTGTTCCTATTCCAATTGGTTGACTTGGGATGAATAAAGAAAAGAACATCTAGATACAATTACCTAGAAGACTATTGTCTTCTAGGCAATCTTACTCTGTCCCTTGGATTTATCTTTTGATAAGAATGTAGTACCTGTAATGAACACATAAGAGCACAGTTCTTTGAGCTGCCCTAGAAGTGAACCAAATACCATGTGTAAGCCAACTACAAGCCATCCAGTATCTCTAGGGCATAAAGTGCCAGAGAGCCCTGGTGCTAGATGAGGCCAGAGAGATCCACAGGAGCCAGGCCAGGGATGGGCCACAGGACTTGCCAAGAGCCTCGTAGGGAATAGGAAGCCAAGTTCCCTCCCTCTCTCATGCTTGAGGCATAGGGATCTCTTAGTGATGCCCAGTGGCTACTACATAAACAATCATTTAGATTACCCAACATATAGAGAAAACTTTTTTATGACACTAATAAAACTTAATATCCACATTTGACAAGCATTACTATTTTATTTTCAATTACTGCCTTGGGCCAATTCCCAGAATAAGATTGAGTCAAAGAAAATTATTATTGATTGTCCTCATTACTTTTAATCTTTTTAACTTCCAAATTGCTTTCACCAAGCCCATCATTGTACATAATATACACAGACCTGCCAGCATTGTTATGCCCTGTATATTTATGCTGTTACCCTATGTTCTCTGAAAATCATGTTCACCCTTCTCCATCTTCAAATCCTCAACATCCCATTCCCTTTTCTTACTCTCAACTGATCATCATGTAACTGCCCATCACAAATCTACCAAGCCTCTAGCATTTACATTCATTTACTCCATTGTCCCTTGGATTACAATGAATGGAATTGCCATTCTCTTATCTATGGACAAATCCTCACTTGTGCATCCATTTCTTCTCCTCTGCTCAGAACTCTGCTCCCCTCTCTTTTCTGAATGTCCCATGACTTTAGTGAGCTTGCAGGTCTCCCCTGAGCTTAAAGCTTGACTTAATATATCTAACTTATTTTTTAATTTCTCCACTTGCATGTCTAACAGGCATTTCAAATGTAGCATATCCAGAGCAAGACTCTCTTTCCTCCATCTCCCAAATCTGCTTCTCCTCCAGCCTTCCTCATCTCAGATAATGCCACCGTCATTTATTCAGTTGTGCAGACCCCAGACTTGAAGTTATCCTTGATCCTTTCTTTTTAATTTTTTTTTAAAATATTTGTGGGTACATAGTAGATGTATATATTTATGGGGTACATGAGAGGTTTTGATACAGGCATGCAATGTGAAACAAGCATGTCATGGAGAATGCAGTATCCATCCCCTCAAGCACTTATCTTTTAAGTTATAAATAATCCAATTGTATTCTTTATTTAAAAATATACAATTCAGTTATTATTGACTATAGTCACCCTATTGTGCTATCAAATAGTAGGTCATATTTATTTTGTTTTTTTGTACCCATTAACCATTCCCACCTTCCCCTCAACTCTCCACCACCCTTCCCAGCCTCTGGTAACCATCCTTTTACTTTCTATCTCCATGAGTTCAATTGATTTGATTTTCTATTACACAAATAAGTGAGAACATGCCGTTTGTCTTTTTTTGCCTGGCTTATTCCACTTAACATAATGATCTCCAGTTCTATCCGTATTGTTGCAAATGACAGGATCTCACTCTTTTATGGCTGAATAGTACTCCATTGTATATATGTGCCATATTTTCTTCATCCGTTCATCTGTCGAGGGACACTTAGGTTGCTTCCAAATCTTAGCTATTATAAACAGTGCTGCAACAAACACAGGAGTGCAGATATCTCTTCGATATACTGATTTCCTTTCCTTTGGGTATATACCCAGTAGTGGGATTACTGGATCATGTGGTAGCTCAATTTTTAGTTTTTCTGAGGAAACTCTGAACTATTCTCCATAGTGGTTGTACTAATTAACATTCCCACCAACAGTGTATGAGGGCTCCCTTTTCTCCATATCCTTGCCAGCATTTCTTATTGCCTGTCTTTTGGATAAAAGCTGTTTTAACTGTAGTAAGATGATATCTCATTGTAGTTTTGATTTGCACTTCTCTGATGATCAGTGATGTTATGCACCTTTTCATATGCCTGTTTGTCATCTGTATGTCTTCTTTTGAGAAATGTCTATTCAAATCTTTTGCCCATTTTTGATCAGATTATTAGATCAATTAGATTATTAGATTATTCCTGTAGAGTTATTTGAGCTCCTTATATATTCTGGCTATTAATCCCTTGTCAGAGGGGTAGTTTGCAAATATGTTCTCCCATTCTGTCACTTGTGTCTTCCCTTTGTTGATTGCCTCCTTTGCTGTGCAGAAGCTTTTTGACTTGATGTGATCCTATTTGTCTGTTTGCTTTGGTTGCCTATGCTTATGGGATGTTGCTCAAGAAGTCTTTGCCCAGAACAATGTCCTGGATATTAGATTTTCCCCAGAGTTTCATAATTTGAGGTTTTAGATTTAAGTGTTTAATTCATTTTGATGTGACTTTTGTATATGGCAAAAGATCGGGGTCTAATTTTATTCTTCTGCATATGGATATCCAGTTTGCCCAGCACCATTTGTTGAAGAGACAGTCTTTTCCCCAATGTATGTTCTTGGCACCTTTGTGGAAAATGAGTAGGTGTGTGGATTTGTTTCTGGATTCTCTGTTCTGTTCCATTGGTCTGTGTGTCTGTTTTCATGCCAGTATCATGCTGTTTTTGTTACTAAAGCTCTGTAGTATAACTTGACGTCAGGTAATGTGATTCCTCCAGTTTTGTTCTTTTGCTTAGGATAGCTTTGGCTAGTCTGGGTCTTTTGTTGTTCCATATAAATTGTAGGATTGTTTTTTTCTCTGTTTCTGTGAAGAATGTCATTGGTATTTTTTTGATTCTTTTATGCTCTCATGTCCTACATCTAATCTATGTGCAATTTCTGCTGCCTCTAACATCAGAATATATTCCAAATCCAGGCATTCCTCACCTTCTCCCCCACTGTCATCTCAGCCCTAGCCACCCTCATTCCACATCTGACTGTTGTAATAACCACCTACCTAGTCTTTCTGCTTTCACCCTTACCTTCTATATAGTGGCCAAAGTATTTCATAATATAAATCAGATCATATAACTGCCTTTATCTTAGAGCTCAAATGACTTCCCATCTCCCTACATTATCTGCCCTCTGATTGCCTCTCCAGCCTTGCCTCCTCCCTCTCTTTCTCTTCTCACTCTACTCCAGCCACAGCGTTCCTGCTGGTCTTCAATACATCAAGCTTGTTCCCATCTCACAGTATTTGTGCCTGCTGGGTTTCCTCTCCCAGAAATGCTTCCAGTTGGGTCACATGACCTGCTATCTCACTTCAGCCCAGTCTTCATTTATCACCTACTTAGAATGGCCTTCCCTGTCCATCTTATCTAAATAACCTCTTGCCCCTCTTCATTCTGTAATCGCTCACTCAGCTTTATCTGTGTTTTTGTTTATTCATTTATTTTCTTCACCCTTACCCCCACCTTCCTGACCCTAGAACATAAGTGCAATGAGTAAAGGGATTTAATTTGTTCACTTCTATAGCCAATGCCAGGAACATAATATTTGTTAAGTTATGGGTAAATAATTTAATAAAAGGAGTCAACAAGGTAGTTTGCATTTTTAAGAAATATAATAGGATGTATTGATAGAAATGTAATCTTGGAGAGTTCAGATTCTGTTCATGAGTGGCATTACCCTCCAGCCCATTTGCAAGAGGTGTGTGGCCAGATGAATTAGGATCGTCATCTTCCCACATATGTCTAGTTGTATCTGCAATTTAACAGAGGCATAAAGATATTGAAAGATGGCTGATGGACCAGAGTAGGCCTGACCGAGGTCTAAATAAAGGATAGGGGGACAATGCCTGTAAAAATATACTCCCCATGAGGACCAAAGTTGTATGGATCAGAGGGTCAGCTTTCACATTGAGGCTAGAGGGGAGCATTCCTTACGGAGACTGTTTCTACCTTCCCACACTGAAGCTGTGGGTTGTTAGGTGAAAAATTGTTTTTATGTGTGAATTGAAAGAGCTGTACCACTCAGGAAATGTACCATGTGGAACTAAGGCTGTTTCTGTCGTGGGAGATTGTGTCCGAGATTGTTACTTGTCCCCAGTAGCCCTTCTTTCTTTTTTCTAAAGCAAGTTCAGCAAACTTTTTCTGTAAAGGCCCAGATAGTGATTATGTTTGGCTTTGAGGGCCATGTAATACATAAACAAATGGGCAGGCTCTGTTCCAATAACTTCATTTACAAAAATAGGTGCTAGTGGAAGTTGGTCTCTAGCCATAGTATGGCAACCCTTGTTATAGATAACAGTAAAATTTTTAGCTGAGTACATGGCTGCCTAGCTAAAGGCCTTGTTTTATAGCCTGCCTTTTAGCTATCTGTAGCAAAGTGATGCATTTAGCATGTATTTGAATCAGAGTTTCTTTCTTTTTTTTTTTTTTCTTTAAGACAGAGTCTCACTGTGTCGCCCAGGCTAGAGTGCAGTGGTGCAATCTCACTGCAGCGTCAACCTCCTGGGCTCAAGTGATTCTCCCACCTTGGCCTCCCAAGCAGCTGGGACTACAGTCACACGCCAGTACCCATAACTAATTTTTATATTTTTTGTAGAGACAGGGTTTTGCCATGTTGCCCAGTCTGGTCTTGAACTCCTGAGCCAAGTGATCTGCCCACCTTAACCTCCCAAAATGCTAGGATTATAGGCATGAGCCACTGAGCCTGGCCTAGACAAGGTTTCTTAGTTTTCAATACTATTGACATTTTAGGCCATATAATTCTTATTTTATTTTTATTGATATATATTTATACTATAAAAAATTTACTGTTTTAAAGTCTACAGTTCAGTGGCTTTTTAGTATTTTCACAAAGTTGTGTTCAAGAATCACTATTATCTATTTCAGAACATTTTTCTCACCCCAAAAAGAAACCCTGTAACCATTAGCAGCCATTCCTCATTCCTGTTCCCATCCACAAGCCTCTGGCAGCCACTTACCTACTTGCCTATTCTGGACATTTCATATAAATGGAATCACACAGTATGTGCCCTTTTGTCTCTGGCTTCTTTCACTTAGTGTAATGTTTTCAATGTTCATCTGTGTTGTAGCATGTATCAACAGTCCATTCTATTTTCCATGAGTGAATAAATAATATGCCGTTGTATAAATATATCACATTTTGTTTACCCATGCATCAGCTGATGAACATTTGAGTTTTTTCCACTTTTTGGCTACTATGAAAAATACTTTTATGAACATCATGTACTAGCTGGCCATATGGTAACTCTATGTTTAACCTTTGAAAAATTGCCGAACTGTTTTCCAAAGCAGCTGCACCACTTTACATTCTCTCTAGTAATGCATGAGGGTTCCAATTTCTTTACATCCTCACCAACACTTGTTTACATTTGCTTTTTGATTATAGCCATGCTAGTGGATATGAAATGGTATCTCATTATGACTTTGATCTGGAAATACTGAAATTCATTTATCCATTCTACTACAATAGCTTTTGAGTCATAGTTGGTTTGAGCTATAATGAATAATGCTCTGCGAACATTCTGTTACATGTCTTCTGATATGCATATTCATTCATTTCCTATATAAAGAACTGAAATTAGTTGCACCATTATGCATTTCCACTAGCAGTGTTTTGAGAGATACAGTTGCTTTGCAATTTCCCAGTAATGGCATTTTCACTGTTTTTTAGTTTTAGTTGTTCTGGTGAGTGTAAAGTGGTATTGCAGTGTGATTTTACTTTGTATTTCTCTAATAACTGTGCACCTTTTCAAATGTTTATTGGCCACTTGATATCCTCTTGTGAAATGCCTGATCAACTCTCTTGCCCATTTCTTAAATTGGGTTTTCAGTTGTTTTCTTCTTGATTTATAGGCATTCTTTATGGATTCTAGACACAAGGCTTTGATTAGATTTAGTAATTTATGCATAGAAAGACACATATAGTAATATCTTCTCAAAGCTTTTTCTCTCTCTTTTTTTCTCAAGCCAAACCATATCCAGCTTTATTAAAGATACTTTCCAAAAACAATCATGGTATTTCAGGCAGGACATGGGCAGAAATTGTTAACAGTATACAGCAACTTTCAAACTCCCTTCTTCAATGGACTACCAAAAATTAGAAAGCCACTATGAAACCGAATAAAGTCTTCATCTGATGCTCTGAACAGGGGAAGTTTAGAGTGAGGGTTGACATTTCATATTTAGCATGTTGTTTAACAACTTTTCACGAGCCGACCCTGACTCTCAGGAACTGAAAAAAAAATGGCAGAATTTATCTGAAGATCCACAATCTAGAAACAGAACCACTGCTGTTTTGAAGGGCACCATCTCAGTGGCATCACTGGGAAGTCCAGATTGCCTGACACACTGGTAACCAATGACTGGGGGTCAGTCCCAACAGGTGTCTGGATTTAAGGGAGTTAATTCTATGTTGAAAGGTGGAAAGGGAGACAATGACATAAAAAATGAATTTGTTTTTTCATACCACAAAGGTTTTGTGCCAAGGTGGCCATGTGTCTCAAAGTCATGGAATCCCTCCTCCTGGGAGCCAAGAGGAAGTCTCTCAAAACTGGAAGGGAAAGGTGTTTTCTCCACATCAATCCAACTTTGGAGACATTCTATTAGTGACGTATGTCCCTTCCCCCAAAAACAAGTGTTCTGTGTGCTAACAGCATAACTTAAAACAGAATTCTGCATTTTCGTAAAACATGATAAAAATAATATTTCAAACTGTACCATCACCAGGAGTGCACAGTTATCAAAAATGCACATACTTCACTTGGCATCTCCAGCGCCTTCAGCTTTCTGTGCGTGGTCTGTTTTGGTCTCTCCATTTTCTGCAGGGTTATTCCCCTCCTTGCCAGCATCAGCTTTTCCCTTTTTCCCTTTGAGTACCTTCTCTCCATTCTTTGCAGGGCCCTTTTTAGGCTTGGACCCTGGCTTTGGAGGAGCAGGTTTAGCAGTCAACCTCACAGATCTTCTCTGTGGTTTGTCCTTCACCTTGGCTTTAACTCCTTTAGCATCCCCTTTAGCCTTTCTTCTTGGGCATGGTGTCGGAGATTGTGGTGGGTGGTAGGTGCTGGGCATGGGATGCAGTGGCCGCAGGATGCAGTGGCTGTGGTTGGTCCAGGAGCCATTCTCACCTCTTCTTCACTCTAAAGCTTTTTCTCCTAATGGTGTCTTTTCATGAACGATATTTCTTAGTTTTAACCTAATTCAATTTATCAAATATTTTTGTATATTCTAAAATCATGATAATATTCTCTGTAATACTGTAGAGGCCTTATAGATTACTAGTTTCCACATTATACCTACAGTTTACTTGGAATTTATTTTGTGCTTAATGTATGGTAGAGATCAAGCTATATCTACATATTATTTATTGATATTTAATTAACTTAGCACCACTTATTGATCTTCAGTAAAATCTTCATCATAAATCAGGTATCTACATTCCTTGGGTCTATCTGGATCTTCTATTCTGTTCTTTGGTCTATTCATCTTCTCTTTTGACAATTCCACACTGTCTAAATTACTGTAACTTTATAAGAAGTTTTTCTGCTTTATAGAGTAAGAACTTTGTTCTTTTATAAAAGTATGATGCTACTCCTAGCTCTTTGTTTTTCCAAATAAATTTTTAAGTCAGTTTGTCAGTTTCCACATATACAAAAGTACCTACTGGCATCTTGATTAAAATGACACCAAATCTAGGAAAAATTTGGATAAGAACTGATATTTTTATAATATTCAGTTTTATAACATGCGTAATTGTATCTCTTTAACTTCTTTCAATAATGTTTTGTGATTTTCTTTTTTTTTTTTTCTGAGATAGAGTCTCCCTTTGTTGCCCAGGCTGGAGTGTAGTGGCACGATCTTGGCTCACTGCAACCTCTGCCTCCTGGGTTCACGCGATTCTCCTGCCTCAGCCTCCCTGAGTAGCTTGGACTACAGGCACGTGCCACTATGCCCAGCTAATTTTTGTGTGTATTTTTAGTATAGACAAGGTTTCAGCATGTTGGCCAAGCTGGTCTGGAACTCTTGGCCTCAGGTGATCTGCCTGCCTCGGCCTCCCAAAGTGCTGGGATTATAGGTGTGAGCCACTGCACCCAGCCGTATGTGATTTTCTATGTAGAAGTCTTGTGCATCTTTTGCTAGATTTATTCTTAAGTATTTATGGGTTTAAATTTTTTTTAATTCTAAGAGAAACTATCCCATCTGAGGAGTTGTCCTAAAATACTGCTACTAGTAGTAATATTATAATAACTAACATTTATTGAGTGTTTACCATGTTCCAGGCACTGTGGTAGATGCTTTACACATACTAACTCACAACAAGCTTATTGTATGGGCACATTTATTATCTCTATTTTACAGGTGAATAAATGGATGTTCAGAGAGAATACCATAGACACATGGTAGTGGCAGGACAATATTTCAGCCTTTGCAGTCTGATTCCACAACCTATAATTTTAACCAGATGTGTCCTCTCTCTCTCTCTCTCTCTCTCTTTGAATCTGAACCCTAGTCATGGGCAATCCCAATCCACAGACTGACTATAACCTATGACATTGTTTGCTGTGATGCTGTGAAAATATGAGCTTGGATAATCAGATTTCCACTCTCACATCTTTGAATCAACAAATAGTAAGAAACAGAAGCATATTATTAGTGGGAGCTAAAGGAGAAAGTTTTCGATACAGAGAGAATCTGTCAAAACCATGCTAGGCCATGTGTAAAGTAAAGACAGAGAGATTAAAAAACTAGAAATAAGCCAAAGTCATGAGGCACACAAAGGGCACAATGAGAGTAGAAGAGGAGGAAGTCATCAGTAAAGAAACGGGCATATGAAGAAAATAGCTGACTTTTACTGATGACAGAGTATTAAAGTGAGGATCAATAAACTCCTGTGCTGAGGTCTGAAGGACTGCCTTGGCTCCAGTTTCTGCTCCTGGGAAGCTTGGCTGTACTACAGCTCCTGCTCTTCTCGTAGTCTGATTGACTCTTCCTGGGTTCCCAAAGCACATGAAGGCTTAGTATAAATGTGCTTTGTCAGTCATGATCCAGCTAATTAATTAAACGGGTTATGGAAGCACTGAGAAGCCAAAGTATAATTGACAAAATAGTGTTCTCCCCTCATAGATGATGAATGTCTTGTTAGCTATTTTGTGCATTATCTAGAGGCACAAGATATGACCCACACCTTGGAAAACATAAACTGCTCTGTGGTGACTATGCAATGGAAAGCCCAGGAATGTAAGCATCAGGAGTTCCTATGAGGCTAGGTCTGGGGAGGAAATCAGATGTCATTTAATAATTATATTATAATTATTCATTCTACATCCCTTCTTACCCCCACCTTGAAAAATTATTATCATAAATTGTTTCAAACTGCTAGTGTTGCATGGACTGAAGGACCCAAATATGTATATTGGGAAAGTCATCTTCTATTGGTGGTCTCCTACAGTTGGATATAATTTTTTTCTAACCTGAAGGCCTGTCTTTCTGAAAACATGAGCCCCTCTGAGTTGGTTTGCTAAATTGGAAATATGTGGGAGTTGGCATTGGGTCATTTTATCACCACATTAAGGACTAACAGTCTTAGAAGAACTGTTGCTTACAGTGTTTCATTTTTCTAAAGACGACAGTACTCTTTGTGGGTGTAATTAAGAACCTAATAAATGCGTACATACATATATGTCTATAATGTCCCAGAGGAAATGAACCTCTGGCTGTAAGTAGGAATGTTTTATTTTATTTATTTACACATTAACCAAAATTTTGTAAACATCTACTACGTGCCAGCCACTGAGAAGATTGGAGCGGTCAAGACTGTCTTCGTCCATTTCATTTTGCTGTAACACAATACCACAGCCTGAGTAATTTATAAAGAAAAGACACATATTTGGCCCACAGTTCTGGAGGTTGGGAAGTCCAAGAGCATCTGCTTGACATCTGACAAGGACCTTCTTGCTTCTTCAAAACATGGCAGAAGGCATCACATGGTGAGAAGGCAAGAGCAAGAGAGCCAGAGGAAGCTCACTTTTATTATAAAGCCATTCCTGTGATGATGAACCCACTCTGGTGATAGTACCATTAATCCATTCATGAGAGAACTCTCATTATTCATGAGAGCAGAGGGATTAACTTTCCAACACATAACCTTGTAGGGGACACACTTAAACTGTAACAAGACCAATACAGTTTTTTCCTTCACGCTGTATATAGGAATTCAGGTCCTAATAATACAGCTATAATTGCAGTGGAAGAGACTCTTCCACATCCCACTGTGAGGACATGAAGCTCAGTATCAGTTTTAGGGTTTTTACCAAACACAGCCAAAGACAAACAGGAAACATGTTCAGTGGATGAGGATAAGTTGCCTGGAATATATAGTCCATAACAAGTTCTATTTGGGCTGTCTCATAGTATCTATCCTTATTCAACACGTTTAACAGATCCCTTTGCAGGAAATACAGACAGGGGCCAAGTAATTTTTGAGGATGGTCTTCATTGGTAAATTGTATGATAAATTATATGATTTTTAGGTTTTATATTTTCAGAGAGAACTTAATTTGTACTTTGGTTGATTCTCTGTGATTAAGGCATTTACATGGAGAACTGAACAAATGATGACATTATAGCCCATAATTTTTTTCTTTCCAACTTTTATTTTAGGTTCAGGGAGTATATGTGCAGGTTTGTTACATGGGTAAATTGCACATTACAGGGGCTTGGTATACATATTATTTCATCACCCAGTTAATGAGCATAGTAGCTGAGAGGTAGTTTTTTTATTTTCACCCTCCTCCTACCCTCCAACCTCAAGCAGGCCCTGGTTTCTATTGTTTCCTTCTTTGCATCTATATGTACTCAGTGTTTAGCTCCCACTTATAAGTGAGAACATGCAATGTTTGACTTTCTGTTCCTGCATTAATTTGCTTAGGATAATGGCCTCCAGCTATATCTATGTTCCTGAAAAGGACATAATTTCATTCTTTTTTATGACTGTGTAGTATTCCATAATATATATATACTACATTTTAAAAATACAATCCACTATTGATGGGCACCTAGGTTGTTTCCATGTTTTGCTATTGTGAATAGCATTGCAATAAACATATGAGTGAAGGTGTCTTTTTGGTAGAACAATTTATTTTCCTCGGGTATATATCCAGTAATGAGATTGCTGGGACATGTGGTTGTTCTATTTTTAGTTCTTTGAGAAATATCCAAACTACTTTCCACAATGGCTGAACTAATTTACATTCCCAGCAGCAGTGTATAAAAATTCCCTTTTCTCTGTACCCTCATCAACATCTGTTTTTTGTTTTTTTTTTTTTTGCTTTTTTTCCTTGACTTTTTAGTAATAGCCATTCTGACTAATGTGAGATAGACTCTCATTGTGGTTTTGATTTGCATTTCTCTTATGATTAGTGATGTAGAGCATTTTTTATAAGCTTGTTTTATAGGCTTGCTGGATGTGCATATGTCTTCTTTTGAGAAGTGTCTGTTCATGTCCTTTGCCCATTTTTTAGTAGGGTTGCTTGTTTTTTGCTTGTTAATTTGTTTAAGTTCCTTATAGATTCTGGATATTAGACCTTTGTCAGATGCATATTTGGCAAATATTTTATCTGATTCTATAGGTTGTCTGTTTACTCTGTTGATAGTTTCTTTTGCTGTGCAGAAGCTCTTTATTTAACTAAGTCCCATTTGTCAACCTTTGTTTTTGTTGCAATTGTTTTGGAGTCTTCATCATGAAATCTTTGCCAGGTCTTATGTCCAGAATGATCTTTTCAAGGTTTTCTTCCTGAGCTTTTATAGTTTTAGGTTTTACATTTAAGTCTTTAATCAATCCTGAGTTAATTTTTGTATATGGTGAAAGGAAGGAGGCCAGTTTCAATCTTCTGCATATGCCTAGTCAGCTATCCCAGGACCATTTATTGAATAGACAATCCTTTCTCTATTACTTGTTTTTACTGACTTTGTCAGAGATCAGATGGTTGTAGGTGTGCAGCTTTATTTCTGGGTTCTCTAATTTGTTTCATTGTTCTATGTGTTTTTGTACCAGTACCATCCTGTTTTGGTTACTGTAGCCTTGTAGTATAAGTCTGGTCAGGTAGTGTTATGCTCCCAGCTTTGCTCTTTTTGCTCAGGATTGCTTCGGCTATTCAAGCTCTTTTTTTAGTTCTACATGAATTTTAGAATAGTTTTTTCCTAATTCTATGAAAAATGTCTGGCAGTTTAATAGAAATAGCATTGAATTTGTACATTGCCTTTGGCGGTATGCCATTTTAACAATATTGATTCTTCTAATTCATGAGCCTGGAATGTTTTTCCATTTGTTTGTGCAGTCTGTGATTTCTTTCTGCAGTGTTTTGTAATTCTTTGTGCAGAGATATTTCACCTCCCTAGTTAATTGTATTCTGAGGTATTTTATTTTTCTGTGTGTGGCTACTGTGAATGGGATTGCATTCCTGATTTGGCTCTAAGCTTGGAAGTTATTGGTGTATAGAAATTTTATATTAATATTTGTAATTGATTTTGTATTCTGAAATTTTGCCGAAGTTGTTTATCAGTTCTAGGAGCCTTTGGGCAGAGACTATGGAGTTTTCTATGTATGGGATCATATTGTTTGTGAAGAGAGATAGTTTGACTTCCTTTCTTCCTATTTGGATGCCTTTTATCTCTTTCTCTTGCCTGATTGCTCTGGCTAGGATTTCCAGTATTATGTTGAATAGAAGTGAGAGTGGACATCCTTATCTTTCTCAAGTTCTCAAGAGGAATGCTTCCAGCTTTCACCTGTTCAGTATGATGTTGGCTGTGGGTTTGTCATAAATGGCTCTTATTATTTTGTGATATGTTCCTTCAATGCCTAGTTTGTTGAAGGGTTTTAACATGAAGGGATGTTAAATTTTATTGTAAGCCTTTTCTGCATCTATTGGATAATCATGTAATTTTTGCTTTTTGTTCTGTTTAAACAATGAATCACATTTATTAATTTGCATATGCTAAACCAACTTCGTATCCCAGTGATAAAGCCTACTTGATCATGGTGGATTAGCTTTTTGATGCGCTGCTGAAATCAGTTTGCTTGTATTTTGTTGAGCATTTTTACATCTATGTTCATCAGGGATATTAGCCTGAAGTTTTCTTTTTTCATTGTGTCTCTGCCAGGTTTTGATATCACAGTGATGCTGGTGTTATAGAATGAGTTAAGGAGTCTCTCCTCCTCAATTTTTTGGAATAGTTTCAGTAGGATTGGTACCAGCTCTTCTTTATATGTCTGGTAGAATTTGGCTGTGAATCAGTCTGGTCAGGACTTTTTCTGGTTGGTAGATTTTTCATTATTTATTCAATTTTGAACCTTGTTATTGGTTTATTCAGGGTTTCAGTTTCTTCCTGATTCAATATTGGGAGACTATATACTTCCAGAAATTTGTCCACTTTTCTAGATTTTCTAGTTTGTGTGTATAGAGGTGTTTAAAATAGCCTCTGAAGGTTTTATGTGTTTCTGTAGGGTTTGTGGTAATGTCCCCTTTCTCATTTCCAATTGGGTTTATTTAGATCATCTTTTTCTCTTTATTAGTCTAGCTATGGATCTATCAATCTTATTTATTCTTTCAAACAACCAAATTTTTGTTTCATTGGTCTTTTGTATGGTTTTTCATGTCTCAATTTCATTCAGTTCAGCTCTGATTTTGGTTATTTATTTTCTTATGCTAGTTTTGAGGTTAGTTTGCTCTTGATTTTCTAGTTCCTCTAGATGTGATGTTAGGTTGTTAATTTAATATCTTTCCAACTTTTTGATTTGGGTATTTAGTGCTATAAAATTTCCTCTTAACACTGTGTTAGCTGTGCCCCAGAGATTCTGGCATGTTGTATCTTTGTTTTCATTACTTTCAAGGAATTTCTTCATTTCTGCCTTAATTTCATTATTTACCCAAAAGTCATTCAGGAGCATGTTGTTTAATATCCATGTAATTGTATGGTTTTGCAAGATCTTAGTATTGATTTCTATTTTTATTGTGCTTGATTTGAGAATGTGGTTGCTATGATTTGGGGTTTTTTGAATTTGTTGAGAATTGCTTTACAGCTGAGTATGTGGTGGATTTTAGAGTGTCTGTCATTTGCAAATGAAAAGAGTGTATATTCTGTTATTGTTGGGTGGAGTGTTCTATAGATATCTGTTAGGTCCATTTGATCAAGTGTTGAATTAGGTCCTGAATATTTTTGTTTTTTTTCTGCCTCAATGATCTGTCTAATACTGCCAGTGGGGGTGTTAATGTCTATCATTTTTATTGTGTGCTTATCTAAGTCTCTTCTCAGGTCTCTAAGAACTTGTTTTATGAATCGGGGTGCTCTAGTGTTGAGTGCATATATATTTAGGATAGTTAAGTCTTCTCGTTGAATTGAACCCTTTATTGTTATGTAGTATCCTTCTTTGTTCTTTTTGATCTTTGTTGGTTTAAAGCCTATTTTGTCCAGTCTACAGACATACCACCCTGAATACTCCCTATCTTGTCTGATCTTGGAAGCTAAGCAGGGTTGGGCCTGTTACTACTTGGATGGGACAAACTCTATTTTGTCTGCAATTAGAATATTAACTCTTGGCCTTTTTTTATTTTCCCTTTGCTTGGTAGATCTTTCTCCATCCCTTCACTTTCAGCCTATGGGTGTCACTGCATGTGAAATGGGTCTCTTTAAGATACCATACAGTTGGGTCTTGCTTCTTTATCCAACTTGCCACTCTGGGACTTTTAAGTGGAGCGTTTAGCCCATTTACATTCAAGGTTAATATCAACATCTGTAAATTCATCCTGTCATTGTGTTGTTAGCTGGTTGTTATGTAGACTTGATTGTATAGGTACTTTATAGTGTCAATGGTCTATGTACCTAAGTGTGTTTTTGTTGAGGCTGGTAACAGTTTTTCATTTCTATACTTAGCACTTCCTTAAGAACCTCTTACAAGGCATGTCTGGTGGTAATAAATTCCTTTAGCATTTGCTTGTCTGAAATGGATTTTATTTCTCCTTTGCTTGTGAACTTTGTTTGGCTAGATATGAAATTCTCAGTTGGAATTTCTTTTCTTTAAGAATGTTGAATGTACACGCCCAATCTCTTCTGGCTTGTAGAGTTTCTGCTGAAAGGTCCACTGTTAGTCTGATGGGGTTCCTTTTGTAGGTGACCTGCCCCTTCTCTCTAGTTGCCTTTAATATGCTCTCCTTCACATTGACTTTAGAGAATCTGGTGAGTAGGTCTCTTGGGGATGGTCATCTTGTATAGTATGCCACTGGGGTTCTCTGAATTTCCTGAATTTGAATATGACCTCACTAGCAAGGTTGGAGAAATTTTTGTGGAGAGTATCTCCAAATATGTTTTCCAAGTTGCTTGCTCTCCCTCTCTTTCAGGGACACCAATGAGTTGTAAATTTGGTCTTTTCATCTAATCCCATATCTCTCAGAGGTTTCATCCATTCTTTTTCATTCTTTTTAAATTATTTTTGTCTGACTGAGTTGATTCAAAGAACTAGTCTTTGTGCTCTGCTATTCTTTCCTCAATTTGGTCTTTTCTCCTATTAATACTTTCAATTATATTATGAAATTCCTGTAGTGAGTTTTCCAGCTCTATCAAATCAGTTTGGCAGTTTGGTTCTTTCTTAAAATGGCTATTTCATCTTTCATCTCTTGTATCATTTTACTGTATTCCTTACATTCCTTGGATTGGAAAGTTTCAATTTTCTCCTAAATCTTGATAATCTTCATTTCCATCCAGATTCTGAATTCTAAGTCTGTCATTTCACACATTTCGGCCTGATTAAGAACCATTGCTGGCCAGGCGCAGTGGCTCACGCCTGTAATCCCAGCACTTTGGGAGCCCAAAGCAGGTGGATTACCAGGTCAGGAGTTCGAGACCAGCCTGACCAACATGGTGAAACCCCATCTCTACTAAAACTACAAAAAGTAGCCAAGTGTGGTGGCGCCACCTGTAATCCCAGCTACTCAGGAGGCTGGGGCAGGAGAATCACTTGAACCTGGGAACCGGAAGTTGCAGTGGGCTGAGATCATGCCATTGCACTCCAGCCTGGGCGACAGAGCAAGACTCCGTCTCAAAAAAAAAAAAAAAAAAAAACCCTTGCTGGGGAGCTAGGTCAATCATTTGGAGATTTGGAGGTAGGAATACACTCTTGGTTTTTGAGCTGCCAGTTCTTGCACTGCTTTTTCTCATCTGTGTGGGCTGATGTTCTTTTAATCTTTGAAGTTGCTGTCCTTTGGGGAGGGGTTTTTGCTTTAATATTCTTTGATGCTCTCGAGGGTTTGCCTATGGTGTAATTTGGGTTCAGTTGACTGGCTTCATTTCTGAATGATTTCAGGGTGCCTAACCTCATCTCAGCACTCCTGGGCTATGTGTTCCAACCACAGGGGCCTGGGATCAGGCCACAGCTTTGTTCTCTGGCCCCCAAGGTTAAGCACCTGCTGTGCTAGAGAGGTCAAGATGTTTCCAGTCTGCTGGCAACAACACTCTGATGGTGGGTGCCAGATAAAGTGCTTCATCAGGACAGTGGCAACGAGGTCTATGTTCATGTGCTGGCAGCAGCTTGGCAGTGGCATGGCAGGGTCTGCATGCACATGTGCCAATGGTGGCAGTGCAGCAGGGTCCATGTGCACCAGTAGCAACAGGGTGGCAACACAATGAGGTCCACACATGTGTCAGCAGCAGCAGGGCAGTGAAGTCCATACACATAACACATAAACACACATGGAAACCAATAGGGGTAGGCTGTGGCCAGGTACGTGCAGGCACAGTGGTAGGGGGAAGCTGCTGGTGGGTGCACATTGGCAGGGACCCATCTGCTGAAGTTCTTCAATGTTATACAGGGTTTGCTGTTGAAGGAGCTGTGGTGGCAGCCACAAGGAAGTACCCTGGTTGGGCCTCCAAGGCTGAGCTGCAAGCAGGCATGGCTGTGGAGGAACCCCAGGAGAGACTGGTAGACAGGACAATGCTCAGATCAGACTGGCCCCATCCCATGGACAAGATAGCCCTGTTCTGACCAGGTCTAACAGTCAACAAAGGCCAAAGCCATCTAAATAAGCATGGTGAACCGTGGGGAATGGGTGTCCCTGGCCATCCTTCACTTCAGCTGTTTCCACACCAAACCCTCTAGGCCCCACACAGGCTGGAGTCCTGTCCCTGCCACTTCTTCAAGCAGCTCTCCCTTCCAGCTCAAATGTCTGTGGGGGGTCATGGGGTCTCCTGCAGTTAGGATTCTGGAGGTTTGGGGTAAGAGTGGGCCACTCTTTGCCTATTTAATTCACACCTTTTTCAGGAGCCAGTAGGGGCCAGGAACAAGTCCTGGTGCTCGGCAGCTCCATACAGGGTTCCCAGCTTCCTACCCCTTCATCCTAGGGTCTGCATCCACTCTCAAAGCCTTCCTTCTGAAGATCTGTTCAGATCGTGCCAGTCTTCTTCGTGGTCTGGTCTGTCAGCTGGAGACACTTCCTGGCTGCATCTAGTTAGCCATCTTGGCTCAACTTGCCCATAATTTTAAAATAATTAAATGTATGTCTTAGATTTAAGTAAGTGGAATTTTTTTCTTTTTCTCACTCTTGCCTCTGGAATCAGAAAGTGCAAACCCTTCTTTAATGGTGTTAATTTTAAATGTAATGATACTTTAACCTTGAAGAAGAAAGGGGCCTTAAAAAGGGAGAAAACAATCTCATGGTCTTTTGCTTATTAACATACAGTGCAGCGAGATACATATGTTTTATATATATATATATATATATATATTTCTCACATTTAGTTTCTATATGAGATATATAACATAGTAATGTCTTTAAGAAAATATACTGATGTATTATATGCTTTAATATATTAAAATAAAGACACTAATATATTAATAAAGAGCTAACATTTATTGAGGGCTTAATATGTGCTAGATGCTGTTCTAAGAAACATTTGTTTCCTTCTTTCACTGCCTAACAGTTCTAAATATTGGGCACTTTTCTTAAGCCATTTTACTGAGGCAAGGAGAAGTTAAGTAATTTTTCCAAACCTACATATTTTTTAAGGTGTGGAACTCACCTTTGAATCAACGCAATCTCACCCAAGAATCCCCATCTTATTTACACTCTGCTACTGCATCACTTGAACACATAATTCTCAAAAACACGTTTTGGGTATATGAGAGAGACTGATATATTTCAGTTCTGTCAATGAACCTGTGAGATAGGAATGGCTGTATTGATAGAAATGATTCAGCTGGTGATTGCATAGCAGTTTTTCTGCCATGATCTGCAAAACATGGGCATAATCCTTGGCAGATTACTCTAATAGGCAAAATATAAAGAATAAAGCTGTACAGGTTTAAAATTAGTTTCTCTGGGACAAATCTGTCCCAAGTCTTTTGGCAGCTCTTCTCCTGAGGATTTTATGTTATTGAGTTGATCTCTTTCACACTTTTCTCTTTTGAATTGTTTTGATCTTGTTAGTACTTTTCAGTTTATAATGCTTTTCTCAGCAACCCAGTGAGGTAGGCAAGGCAAGTATCCTTATTCTTATTTTACAAATCAGTTAAGTGTTTTGCCTAGGTCACACAACTAGAAAGTGGCAGAGTCAAACTTAGCCTATGTTATTGACTCCAGATCCTGTGCTTTTGCCCATTGTGTCATAATTAGCATTCTAAAACACCACTGCCACCTCTCTTTTTTGCAATTACCCTTTTTGCTTTTTAATTTGTTCTCCTCGCCCCCTACCCATAGGTTATTATACTAAATAATTATATGCAGCAACAACAGCCCTTCCATACATAGCATCTGTGTCTATATTATTAGAAACCTTGATGACCCAATTCAAGGTTTTTTTTTTTTTTGAGATGGAGTTTTGCTCTTGTTGCCCAGGCTGGTGTGCAATGCTGTGATCTCGGCTCACTGCAGCCTCCGCTACCCAGGTTCAAGTGATTGTCCTGTCTCAGCCTCCCTAGTTGCTGGGATTACAGGCACCCGCTAACATGCCCAGCTAATTTTTATATTTTTAGTAGAGACAGGGTTTCACCATGTTAGCCAGGCCTGTCTCAAACTCCTGACCTCAGGTGATCCACTCACCTCGGCCTCCCAAGGTGCTGGGATTACAGGCATGAGCCACTGCACCGGGCCCAATTCAAGGATTTTTGCAAGAGTATTCCTCCCTGATAATTTTTCAAGTTTTAGATGTTTGGAAAAACTTTTCTAATGAATTTTCAGTATAACTAAATAATTAATTCAAGTGTTTTTTTTCTTTTTCTTTCATCCTTTCTTTTTTTTTTTTTTTTTTTTTTTGAGACAGTCTCACTGTCACCCAGGCTGGAGTACAATGACATGACCTCAGCTCACTGCAACCTCTGCCTTCTTTTTTTTTCTCTTTTTTTTATTTTATTATTATTAAACTTTAAGTTTTAGGGTACATGTGCACAATGTGCAGGTTTGTTACATGTGTATACATGTGCCATGTTGGTGTGCTGCACCCATGTACTCATCATTTAGCATTAGGTATACCTCCTAATGCTATCCCTCCCCCTGCCCCCACCCCACAACAGTCCCCGGAGTGTGATGTTCCCTTTCCTGTGTCCAAGTGTTCTCATTGTTCAATTCCCACCTATGAGTGAGAACATGCAGTGTTTGGTTTTTTGTCCTTGCAATAGTTTGCTGAGAATGATGGTTTCCAGTTTCATCCATGTCCCTACAAAGGACATGAACTCATCATTTTTTATGGTTGCATAGTATTCCATGGTATATATGTGCCACATTTTCTTAATCCAGTCTATCATTTTTGGACATTTGGGTTGGTTCCAAGTCTTTGCTATTGTGAATAGTGCTGTAATAAACATACGTGTGCATGTGTCTTTATAGCAGCATGATTTATAATCCTTTGGGTATATACCCAGTAATGAGATGGCTGGGTCAAATGGTATTTCTAGTTCTAGATCCCTGAGGAATCGCCACACTGTCTTCCACAATGGTTGAACTAGTTTACAGTCCCACCAACAGTGTAAAAGTGTTCCTATTTCTCCACATCCTCTCCAGCACCTGTTGTTTCCTGACTTTTTAATGATCGCCATTCTAACTGGTGTGAGATGGTATCTCATTGTGGTTTTGATTTGCATTTCTCTGATGGCCAGTGATGATGAGTATTTTTTCATGTGTTTTTTGGCTGCATAAATGTCTTCCTTTGAGAAGTGTCTGTTCATATCCTTCACCCACTTTTTGATGGGGTTGTTTGTTTTTTTCTTGTTAATTTGTCTGAGTTCTTTGTAGATTCTGGATATTAGCCCTTTGTCAGATGAGTAGGTTGCGAAAATTTTCTCCCATTTTGTCAGTTGCCTGTTCACTGTGATGGTAGTTTCTTTGGCTGTGCAGAAGCTCTTTAGTTTAATTAGATCCCATTTGTCAATTTTGGCTTTTGTTGCCATTGCTTTTGGTGTTTTAGACATGAAGTCTTTGCCCATGCCTATGTCCTGAATGGTATTGCCTAGGTTTTCTTCTAGGGTTTTTATGGTTTTAGGTCTAACATGTAAGTCTTTAATCCATCTTGAATTAATTTTTGTATAAGGTGTAAGGAAGGGATCCAGTTAAAGCTTTCTACATATGGCTAGCCAGTTTTCCCAGCACCATTTATTAAATAGGGAATCCTTTCCCCATTGCTTGTTTTTCTCACGTTTGTCAAAGATCAGATGGTTTTAGATATGCGGCATTATTTCTGAGAGCTCTGTTCTGTTCCGTTGATCTATATCTCTGTTTTGGTACCAGTACCATGCTGTTTTGGTTACTGTAGCCTTGTAGTATAGTTTGAAGTCAGGTAGTGTGATGCCTCCAGCTTTGTTCTTTTGGCTTAGGACTGACTTAGTGATGTGTGCTCCTTTTTGGTTCCTTATGAACTCTAAAGTAGTTTTTTCCAATTCTGTGAAGAAAGTCATTGGTAGCTTGATGGAGATGGTATTGAATCTGTAAATTACCTTGAGCAGTATGGCCATTTTCACGATATTGATTCTTCCTACCCATGAGCATGGAATGTTCTTCCATTTGTTTGTATCCTCTTTTATATCATTGAGCAATGGATTGTAGTTCTCCTTGAAGAGGTCCTTCACATCCCTTGTGAGTTGGATTCCTAGGTATTTTATTCTCGTTGAAGCAATTGTGAATGGTCGTTCACTCATGATTTGGCTCTCTGTTTGTCTGTTGTTGGTGTATAAGAATGCCTGTGAGTTTTGCACATTGATTTTGTATCCTGAGACTTTGCTGAAGTTGCTTATCAGCTTAAGGAGATTTTGGGCTGAGACAATGGGGTTTTCTAGATATACAATCATGTCATCTGCAAACAGGGACAATTTGGCTTCCTCTTTTCCTAATTGAATACCCTTTATTTCCTTCTCCTGCCTAATTGCCCTGGCCAGAACTTCCAACACTATGTTGAATAGGAGTGGTGAGAGAGGGCATCCCTGTCTTGTGCCAGTTTTCAAAGGGAATGCTTCCAGTTTTTGCCCATTCAGTATGATATTGGCTGTGGGTTTGTCATAGATAGCTGTTATTATTTTGAGATACGTCCCATCAATACCTAATTTATTGAGAGTTTTTAGCATGAAGCACTGTTGAATTTTTTCTTTGTCAAAGGCCTTTTCTGCATCTGTTGAGATAATCATGTGGTTTTTGTCTTTGATTCTGTTTATATGATGGATTACATTTATTGATTTGCATATGTTAAACTAGCCTTGCATCCCAGGGATGAAGCCCACTTGATCATGGTGGATAAGTGTTTTGATGTGCTCCTGGATTAGGTTTGCTAGTATTTTATTGAGGATTTTTGCATCAATGTTCATCAAGGATATTGGTCTAAAATTCTCTTTTCTGGTTGTGTCTCTGCCAGGCTTTGGTATCAGGATGATGCTGGCCTCATAAAATGAGTTAGGGAGGATTCCCTCTTTTTCTATTGATTGGAATAGTTTCAGAAGGAATGGTTCCAACTCCTCCTTGTACCTCTGGTAGAATTCGGCTGTGAATCCATCTGGTCCTGGACTCTTTTTGGTTGGTAAGCTATTGATTATTGCCACAATTTCAGATCCTGTTATTGGTCTATTCAGAGATTCAACTTCTTCCTGGTTTAGTCTTGGGAGGGTGTATGTGTTGAGGAATTTATCCATTTCTTCTAGATTTTCTAGTTAATTTGCGTAGAGGTGTTTGTAGTTTTCTCTGATGGTAGTTTGTATTTCTGTGGGATCAGTGGTGATATACCCTTTATCATTTTTTGTTGCGTCTATTTGTTTCTTCTCTCTTTTCTTCTTTATTAGTCTTGCTAGCGGTCTATCAATTTTGTTGATCTTTTCAAAAAACTAGCTCCTGGATTCATTAATTTTTTGAAGGGTTTTTTGTGTCTCTATTTCCTTCAGTTCTGCTCTGATTTCAGTTATTTCTTGCCTTCAGCTAGCTTTTGAATGTGTTTGCTCTTGCTTTTCTAGTTCTTTTAATTGTGATGTTAGGGTGTCAATTTTGGATCTTTCCTGCTTTCTCTTGTGGGCATTTAGTGCTATAAATTTCCCTCTACACACTGCTTTGAATGCGTCCCAGAGATTCTGGTATGTTGTGTCTTTGTTCTCATTGGTTTCAAAGAACATCTTTATGTCTGCCTTCATTTCGTTATGTACCCAGTAGTCATTCAGGAGCAGGTTGTTCAGTTTCCATGTAGTTGAGCGGTTTTGAGTGAGTTTCTTAATCCTGAGTTCTAGTTGGATTGCACTGTGGTCTGAGAGACAGTTTGTTATAATTTCTGTCTTTTACATTTGCTGAGGAGTGCTTTACTTCCAACTATGTGGTCAATTTTGGAATAAGTGTGGTGTGGTGCTGAAAAAAATGTATATTCTGTTGATTTGGAGTGGAGAGTTCTGTAGATGTCTATTAGGTCTGCTTGGTGCAGAGGTGAGTTCAATTCCTGGATATCCTTGTTAACTTTCTGTCTCATTGATCTGTCTGATGTCGACAGTGGGGTGTTAAAGTCTCCCATTATTATTGTGTGGGAGTCTAAGTCTCTTTGTAGGTCACTAAGGACTTGCTTTATGAATCTGGGTGCTCCTGTATTGGGTGCACATATATTTAGGATAGTTACCTCTTCTTGTTGAATTGATCTCTTTACCATTATCTGATGGCCTTCTTTGTCTCTTTTGATCTTTGTTGGTTTAAAGTCTGTTTTATCAGAGACTAGGATTGCAACCCCTGCCTTTTTTTGTTTTCCATTTGCTTGGTAAATCTTCCTCCATCCCTTTATTTTGAGCCTACATGTGTCTCTGCATGTGAGATGGGTCTCCTGAATACAGCACACTGATGGGTCTTGACTCTTTATCCAATTTGCCAGTCTGTGCCTTTTAATTGGAGCATTTAGCCCATTTACATTTAAAGTTAATATTTTTATGTGTGAATTTGGTCCTGTCGTTATGATGTTAGCTGGTTATTTTGCTCGTTAGTTGATGCAGTTTCTTCCTCGCCTTGATGGTCTTTACAATTTGGCATGTTTTTGCAGTGGCTGGTACTGGTTTTTCCTTTCCATGTTTAGTGCTTCCTTCAGGAGCTCTTTTAGGGCAGGCCTGGTGGTGACAAAATCTCTCAGCATTTGCTTGTCTGTAAAGGATTTTATTTCTCCTTCACTTATGAAGCTTAGTTTGGCTGGATATGAAATTCTGGGTTGAAAATTCTTTTCTTTAAGAATGTTGAATATTGGCCCCCACTCTCTTCTGGCTTGTAGAGTTTCTGCCGAGGGATCTGCTGTTAGTCTGATGGGCTTCCCTTTGTGGGTAACCCGACCTTTCTTTCTTGCTGCCCTTAACATTTTTTCCTTCATTTCAACTTTGGTGAATCTGACAATTATGTGTCTTGGAGTTGCTCTTCTCGAGGAGTATCTTTGTGGCATTCTCTGTATTTCCTGAATCTGAATGTTGGCCTGCCTTGCTAGATTGGGGAATTTCTCCTGGATAATATCCTGCAGAGTGTTTTCCAACTTGGTTCCATTCTCCCCGTCACTTTCAGGTACACCAATCAGACGTAGATTTGGTCTTTTCACATAGTCCCATATTTCTTGGATGCTTTGTTCATTTCTTTTTATTATTTTTTCTCTAAACTTCCCTTCTCGCTTCATTTCATTCATTTCGTCTTCCATCACTGATACCCTTTCTTCCAGTTGATTGCATCGGCTCCTGAGACTTCCGCATTCTTCACGTAGTTCTCGAGCTTTGGCTTTCAGCTCCATCAGCTCCTTTAAGGACTTCTTCATGTATTTCTCGAGCCTTGGCTTTCAGCTCCATCAGCTCCTTTAAGGACTTCTCTGCATTGGTTATTCTAGTTACCCATTCGTCTAATTTTTTTTTCAAACTTTTTAACTTCTTTGCCATTGGTTTGAATTTCCTCCTGTAGCTCAGAGTTGTTTGATCGTCTGAAGCCTTCTTCTCTCAACTTGTCAAAGTCATTCTCCGTCCAGCTTTGTTCTGTTGCTGGTGAGGAGCTGCATTCCTTTGGAGGAGGAGAGGCGCTCTGCTTTTTAGAGTTTCCAGTTTTTCTGCTCTGTTTTTTCCCCATCTTTGTGGTTTTATCTGCTTTTGGTCTTTGATGATGGTGACATACAGATGGGTTTTTGGTGTGGATGTCCTTTCTGTTTGTTAGTTTTCCTTCTAACAGACAGGACCCTCAGCTGCAGGTCTGTTGGAGTTTGCTAGAGGTCCACTCCAGATCCTGTTTGCCTGGGTATCAGCAGCGGTGGCTGCAGAACAGCGGTGGCTGTAGAACAGCAGATATTGGTGATCCGCAAATGCTGCTGCCTGATCGTTCCTCTGGAAGTTTTGTCTCAGAGGAGTACCTGGCCATGTGAGGTGTCAGTCTGCCCCTACTGGGGGGTGCCTCCCAGTTAGGCTGCTCGGGGGTCAAGGACCCACTTGAGGAGGCAGTCTGCCCAATCTCAGATCTCCAGCTGCATGCTGGGAGAACCACTACTCTCTTCAAAGCTGTCAGACAAGGACATTTAAGTCTGCAGAGGTTACTGCTGTCTTTTTGTTTGTCTGTGCCCTACCCCCAGAGGTGGAGCCTACAGAGGCAGGCAGGCCTCCTTGAGCTGTGGTGGGCTCCACCCAGTTCGAGCTTCCCGGCTGCTTTGTTTACCTAATCAAGCCCGGGCAATGGCAGGTGCCCCTCCTCCAGCCTGGCTGCTGCCTTGCAGTTTGATCTCAGATTGCTGTGCTAGCAATCAGTGGGACTCCATGGGCGTAGGAACCTCCAAGCCAGGTGCTCTCCTGGTGTGCCGTTTTTTAAGTCCGTTGGAGAAGCTTAGTATTAGGGTGGGAGTGACCCGATTTTCCAGCTGCCGTCTGTCACCCCTTTCTTTGACTATGAAAGAGAACTCCCTGACCCCTTGTGCTTCCCGAGTGAGGCAATGCCTGGCCCTGCTTTGGCTTGTGCCCGGTGCGCTGCACCCACTGTCCTGCACCCACTGTATGGCACTCCCTAGTGAGATGAACCCAGTACCTCAGATGGAAATGCAGAAATCACCCGTCTTCTGCGTTGCTCACGTTGGGAGCTGTAGACCAGAGCTGTTCCTATTTGGCCATCTTGCAACCTCTGCCTTCTGGGTTCAAGTCATTCTGACACCTCAGCCTCCCGAGTAGCTGGGACCACAGGTGCATGCCACCATAACCAGCTAATTTTTGTATTTTTTTTTTGGTAGATATGGGGTTTCACCATTTTGGCCAGGCTGGTCTCAATCTCCTGACCTCAAGTGATCTGCCTGCCTCAGCCTCCCGACGTGTTGGGATTATGGGCATGAGCCACTGGGCCCAGCCATATGTTCACCATTGAAATCTTGGTTTTTGAATCTAATTTTTCTGGTTTTATTATCATCATCCCTCCATGTAAAATATATTTTAGATAAGGCTAAAATTGTCTTCGATTACCATCAATAATCTGGATCCTTCCCCTTTCACCATAAGTAACTACTGATATTACTTAAATTTTTGACCTCCTAGACTTCTTTCTCTGCATTTATATACATTCATCCATACATTTCCATGGGGAATAAATAATTTTGTAGGTTAGTTTAAATTTTATATAAATGAAGAATGTTCTGAAACATGCTTTTTCTCATTCACTATTATATGTTAGGTATGTTTCCATATTAACATTGTTTATTTTAAGATTACATAGTATTTTATGGTGTGGCTCTACCACAATTTATTTCCCCACACTCCTTAGTCTACTTCTTATTTTTGCATACACAAACAATGCTACAATGAACATCTTTGCGTGTGCATCCTTGTTCACTTATGTTGATATTTCTTTTGAGCAAATATGGAGAAGTAGAATTGCTGAATCACAGGGTGTATATGTTTTAAAGTTTTATTAGTTTACTGCCAAATTGCCTTCCAAAATGACTGCAATTTACTATTGGCAGTGTATGAGATCATCTTTTTCCCACCCTTAGCTACACTTGATATTTTTAAACTCTTTCAGTTTTGCAAATCTACTACTATCTAATTGATAATTTGCATCTTCCTGTTTTCTAGTGAGATTCAGTCTCTTTTCATATCTTTCTGGGCTACTGAGTTGTCTTTATATCACCTACCCTTTTTCTAGACAGGCGATCTTTTTCACATTGTTATTGTCTTGTAACTGAAAAAAAGTTTTACAGGTTGATGAAGCAATTTATGACTTTTGATTTTTTTTTTTTTTTTTGAGACAGGGTCCTTCTCTCTCTCCCAGGCTGGAATGCAGTGGCATGATCTTGGCTCACTGCAGCCTCAACCTCCTGGACTCAAGTAATCCTCCTGCCTCAGCCTCCCCAGAAGCTGGGACTACAGGTGAGCCACCATGCCTTGCTAATTTTTGTATTTTTTGTAGTAACAGGGTTTTGCCATATTGCCCAGGCTGGTCTCAAACTCCTGGGCTCAAACCATCCACCCACCTTGACCTCCCAAAGTGCTGGAATTACAGGCATGCACCACCACACTAAGCCAATTTTTAAAAATTGAGGTAAAATTTACATTAAAAAATTTACCTTTGGAACCATTTAAAAAATATACAATTCAGTGATTTTAATATGTTCACAATGTTGTGCAACCATCATCACTAATTCCAGAACATTTTCATCACCCAAATGAGAAAGCCCCTAGCCATTAGGGTTTCATTCCACATTCCACCCTAACCTTCATCCTCAGCCTCTGACAACCAGTAACCAGCTTGTGTCTCTGTGGTTTTTCCTGTACTGGACATGTCATACAAATGGAGTCAAACAATATGTGGCTTTTTGTGTCTGGCTTCTTTCACTTAGCGTAATGTTTTCAAGGCTCATCCATATTGTAGTATGTATCAGTACTTCATTTCTTTTTATTGCTGAATAATATTTTATTATATGGATATACCACATTTTGTTTAATTCATTCATCAGTCATGAGCATTAAATTGTTTCTACCTCTTGGCTATTATGAATATTGCTGCTATGAATATTCCTATACAAGTTTTTGTCTGAACAATTTGTTTGCAATTCTCTTGTGTGTATACTTAGAAGTGGAATTGTTGGGTCTTACGGTAGTAAGTTTCGAAGTCTGGAATTGTGAATCCTCCAACTTTTTAATTTTTTTCAAGATTGTTTTGGCTATTGTGGGTCCCTTGCTCTTCTATATGAATTTTAGGACCAGCTTGCCCATTTCCACAAAATGGGAAGTTGGAATTTTGATAGGGATTGCATTAAATCTGTAGATAAATTTGGGGAATATTGCCATCTTAATAATAGTAAGTCTTCCACATAACTAGAGGAAGGTCCACTTATTCATAAGGTCTTCTTTAAAGACAGTATTACAAATAGCAGTTTGTAGTCTTTAGTGTACCAATTTTGCATGCCCTGAGTTAAATTTATTCCTATTTTATTATTGTTGATGATAATATAAACATAATTGTTTTCTGCCACAGCCTCCCAAGTAGCTGGTACTACAGGCACACACCACCATGCCTGGCTAATTTTTGTATTTTTGGTAGAGATGGGGTTTCGCCATGTTGTCCAGGCTGATCTCAAACTCCTGACCTCAGGTGATCCACCCGCCTCAGCCTCCGAAAATGCTGGGATAATAGACATGAGCCACCTTGCTCAGCCTTATTGTGATTTTTTTTGTCTGACTTTGGTATTGGGTGATAGCAGATCATAGAATGAGTTAGGAAGTTCTCATTTTCTCTTCCACTTTTTGGAAGAGTTTGAGAAGAACTGGTGATAATTCTTTAAATGTTTGATAAAATTCTTAGTGAGTCATCTGATCCTGGGCTTTTCTTTTTTGAAAGTTTTAAAATAACTGATTCGATCTCTTTACTTGTTATAATCCTATTCAGGTTTTTTATTTCTTCTTCCATCAGTTTTGGCAGCTTGTGTATATCTAGAAATTTATTCATTTCATTGAAGTTATCTAATTTGTTGGTGTATAACTGTTCATACTGTTCTCTTATAAACCTTTTTATTTATATAAGATCTATAGTGAGATGATCTAGGGAGGGAAGATATGTAGAGAAGGAGGCTGGGCATTGAGCCCTGGTGGACTCCAGCAAATGTTGAGGACGAATCAACAATGGAACCTTTGAAGGAGCAGACTATGAGGTAGAAGGAAAAAATCAAAAGCATGTAATGTCATGGAAGCCAAGTGAAGAAATATTTCAATGAAAAGTAAGTGGTCAACTGTGTCGAACACAGCTGAAAGATTAATAAAATGAAACTGAGGAATAACCATTGAATTTGGAAACATGAACATTGATAACTTTGCCAAAGTTGTTGGAATAAAAGCCTGACTGAGTGGATTTTAAGGGAATTGAAGGATTGGAAATAAAATAGAATAGATGACTCTTTTGAGAAACGTTGCAATAAAGTGGGACTGAGGAAAAAGCAGCATTTGTAGGGAGAAGTGAGTTAAAGAAGCATTTTTTGTTGTTGTTAAGATAGGACGCACTAAATGGCATGGCTCTGAGAATCTTCTATTTAGTTGACACAATATTATATCACTCCACAACCTCCCTAATACACTCTTTGGATGTCTTAAGCAAGATACTCAACCTGTTCGCTGAACTTTTTCCCATTTATGTGAATCAAACCCATGTACACCAAGTTGGGCTGAGAGTAGAGCAGGTCAAATCCAAACCCCTGATTCTTCTCCTTCATGGTGAACTCATCAACAGATACTCTGGTTTCACTGACATCCTTCCCAGGGATTCTCAAAGTAGAATCACTTCTGGTCTTAATGATGGAGATATCTTGCCTCAACTCAGGCCTATGGATCAGAATCTCTTTAAGACTACATGAGTTTGAAAACTGCTCCTTCTTACTCTTCCTCATTGCTGGTTCTCCTTGCTTCTTTTGTTCTGAACCTAGATTCCTTCCTAATACCTGCCTCTGGCACTTTTGACTATGGAAAAGCCTAGGTCAACTTCAGGTACAACTTTAATATTCACTATTTGGCTCTAGGATCTTTGACAGCATGCAAAGGATACTCCATCTCTAGCCTCACAGCCTCCCAGTTCAGGGAATTAGATAACAGCCTTAAACCTATTTGAGTTAATGTGGAAGACAGCTGGACAGAAAGCTTTGTGTTTAGATGTTCAACCAAATGTGTGATAGTGCAGTAGAAATTGAGTTAAATATGCCACTTAAACTTTTAATATGTAAAAAATAATGGCATAGTGGAGTCATCTAAGAAAGTGTTATCTCTTAAGGAAGAAAGTCAAAAACATTTTAAGAAGTGAAAAATTTTTCTCAAAAGCAGAGTTGGAGTTGGCTAAGGAGGGATTATTTCAGGTCATGGAGAAAGGCTCTTCAGACATATAGTTATGATTAAGCAAAGATTAAAAACAAAACAAACAAATTTTTTGAAAAACCATGTGTTAGTCTGTTTTCACATTGCCATAAAGAAATACCTGAGACTGGATACTTTATAAAGAAAAGAGGTTTAATTGTCTCACGGTTCTGCAGGCTGTACAGGAAGCATGGTGGCATAGCTTCTGGGGAGGCCTCAAGGAATGTACAATCATGGTAGAAGGTGAAGGAGAAGCAGGCATGTCTTACATGGCCAGAGCAGGAGAAAGAGCAAGAGTGGGGAGATGCTACACACTTTTAAACAACCACATCTCATGAGAACTCTATCATGAGAACAGCACTAAGGGGACCATTCATGAAGGATCCACCCCCATGATCCAATCACATCCCACCAGACCCACCTCCAACATCGGAGATTACAACTCAACATGAGATTTGGGCAGAAACACAGATCAAACCAAATCAACCCACAAAAGCAAAAATCTTGTTAGAGGGGAGGTAAAAGGAAAGGAATTGTGAAACCTTTTCCATCCTTTGGCTTTTGTCTGTTAACTTGTCATTTGTTCAAACTTAAACACAAAGCAAAGTAAAAGAAAACAAACTGCAAAATATTGTCCTGTTGAAAGTGGTTCTAAACCAGAGGTGTCCATTTAACAATTCATCCCATTTGCTTTTTTCTTCCTGACTGCACAAAGAAAACCCGAAGGACCAAATGAAGAGCTACATTCCTAGTGCTAGAAAACCAATCACCTCAGTCCTGTCAAACGACTTGATGCCTGTAAAGCCCCATTACCATTTTGTGAATTCCCTTCTTTCACTTACTCTGCTCTAATCTCCAGACACTGGTCCTTTCTCCGGCATATTCTGCAGTAAATACACAGTATACTCAGTAGAAGCAGAAACTCCAAGGAAGAATTTGGCTTGCTTCTTGCATCACTGTTTATTGAAGGATAGGGATCCATGCTAACTCTTAGAATACAGTGTTTTTCTCTGTGTCTGCAATACTAAGCTCAATGTTATGGTTGTGACATAATATTAGATACCAGAGAGAGCCATTGAAATACTTGACATGTTCTCGGCCCTATCCACGCTCATGCTGACCAGTAACCTTGTTTTACATTATGTGATCACCTCACCCTAATTGGAGCCAGATAGGGCTCTGACTGCAGAACAACCAGCACATCACCTGGTCTATGTCTGTACAGTAGGATGGCATGAAATGCTTTGCATTAACTGAGGTAGGAGTTTGGATGCTAAAGACTAAACCTGAAAAAAAAAAAAGGTAGATAAAGGAAAAGTTTCATTTTATATGTTGCAAGCACTTTCTGCCATCCAGGATGGAAAAACAGCTTGCTTTACAAGAAGAACCTTCTCTGTGTGTTGGGAAGTATCATTTTCACATGGCTTTTTAGTTACATGGATACAAGTTAAACATCTGGCAATTTTTCTTTGGGAAAATAATGAAAATACCCAAATTGGGTGGGTTTAGGTTGAAAATTTTAAAAAATTTAGAAAAATAAACTGGTCTTTTAGCAGACCCATATTTCTGAAAAATGATGTTAAAAACATTTTCCCCTAATCTGAAACTAGAATAGCCTATATCTCAAAATCACTGTTTTGAAGAAATGGATGTGAATTTGTCCAAACAATTAAAAACAGAATATTAGAACTGGAGATAAATCATAATAGTTCAAAATGAACTTAATTTGGGAGCCTATATGTGATATTATTAAAAATCAAATTATTCACATTTTGGAAAATGCACCACTTATTATTTTCAGAGGAACCTTCTGGTGAGAGCTTAAGGTAAGAAATGACAGACTTGAGGGTGGAAATGAAGAGAATTTGTGGCTCCTACCTTCAGTCATCGTAGGATAAGACAAATTTTCAAGCGTTAAAGTGAGGACTCTGGAGGAAAATATAAAAGTAATTTCTCTCCCATTGAGCCTTGGAATTTGAGGAATGCACCTTAGGAAGGAGAAATTTGTGGAAAGGTACTTTAACAAGAATTCGGCTGGCCCTTAGCATGAGGAGAAATTTGTGGAAGGGTACTCTAGCAAGAATTCGGCTGGCCCTTAGCATGTGGATAGAATAAGGGATAGCTTCCCAAACACCGGGCTGAGGCAGTCCAGGGCCAGCAGGATGAGGCAAGTGAGGTGTCCAGGGTGGGACCTTCAAGGAGGTGCTTTCTCTCAGGGCTGTTCAGTTACAGGGTGGGCACCACAGACTGAGTGACTCTGGAAATGTTGAGCCCTGGTGCCTTGCTTGCTTTACCCTAGCGGTGGCCTGGTGTGGTATTCTGGATTTTGGGGGAACGAGCTTGGCAAAGTCTGAATTTCAGAATACTGAAAGTTCCAGTAAGTTAGAGATGACAGGAGAAGCTCAGAAATCCAAAGAAGAGGCTCTCAGGGGTGATGGCATTTAGAACATGCCACCCAAAATAGGCTCTTTTGGCAAATTCATTACTTTGAGCTGCAGATGTTTGAGAAACATCAGATGCAGGAAGGGCTCTCTGACTTCCCTTTTTCTACCTACAAGCAGATCATAAACTTTTCCATGAGAACAATGCCCTCCATGGACCAGGAAGATAACATTTTTATCACCAGAGAATGGAAGTTAATGCTGCAATGGATCTATACAAATAAACCTACCAAAATAACCTTTATCTTCCTTTAGCTTCTCTATATTTTCTAGTCACTTTCTAGAAATTTCTTCACAATTTGCCACTCCTAGAAGTGGTAAATATCCTATTAATAGTAGAAATCCTATTCTATCTTGTCACTTCTCTGCAAATTTATTGTTCTTTATTTTTAAACAAGTATATAAGCTCTCAGTCCTAATTGCTTCTTCAGGTCTTCATTTTTCCTATGAAGGCTCTTATTAAATAAAATATGCACATTTTTCTCCTGGTAATCTATTTTATACCAGTTTAATTCTCAGGTCCAGCCACAGAACCTAAGAGGGTAGAAGAAAGGTTTTCCTTCCCTAAGGCATCATGAGTGTGTTGAAGAAAATAACTGAAAGTTTGAGTGTACAGAAACGGTGAGCTAGAGAAAAGATAAAAGGTGAAGAAATTGATTGGTGATAGAGACACAGATTCGGAGAGCAGCAATTAGGCAAAGAGTAGCTGACCATGTCACACTGGAGAAATGGTTCTGAATTTCTCCTGCTGAGGACCTGAGGGCTGCTTTGGATTCTGCATGACCATCCAGTCTCACCGGACCCAGCCCTACCAGAGTTCCTGCCATTCATGAGTGAATCCTTTTGTGGCAAACCACAGAAAATGGCTCTAACTTAGGCAGAAGGGGATTTATGTAAAGGAATTAGGAATAGAACCAAATTGACAAGAGCCAGGAGAATCAGGCTTAGGAACTGGTGAGAACCAAGACAGCTCTAGAGACAATAGCCGTCTCATGGCAGGAATGGTTTGGTCAGGGTGCTGCTATGCAGACCGAGGGGAAACTTTAGTTTCTTTATCCCTGTGCCAGAGATTCAAATTCTAGGGAGAACTTACATAGTTGCCCTAGCTTGGGTCACAGACCTGCTCCCAAACAATAACAAGTCAAGTCCCAAACAATAACAAGTCAAGTCCCAAACAATAGTTTTACTAATTAAAGTGGACAAGGCAATGGAAAAAAATGGAAATTGGGGTGCTGAGAAGGGGAAAAAGAGAAAAAGATGAATATTGGAAAGCTAAAGCTAGAACTGTCCACTGCCAAGCAACATGGCTTATTGTCCTTTACTGATTTGCCATAGGCCTTCTCACATGATTGACATTTCTGTCTTTGTTCCTATGAGTATCTTACACCAGCTATCCCATAACCATTACTTGATGATTCTCAATGTCTTGCAACCAAAACAGCTGAGTCAGACCACTGAGGAAAAGGGTGCTGCTCTGTTTTTCTTTGTATATTTTCGACAGCAATGATTACGGCCTCTCAAAAAAGACTCCAACTTTCTTCTGGGAGTATTTGGTTCTGCTGGATTCTCTTAACTTGTCTTTTCTGTCAGCTTTCTCTTGGGGCATTTTTCATGTGGGAAAGGAAGGGGTCATAATATTATAGTTATTTCCTTTCCCAGTTAATGCTTTAGGCTAGTATGGCTCAGAAGACCAGCCCAAACAAGGGCAATACCAGGACTCTCACACTCCCTCATTCTTTTTTTTAACTGAGATATAATTCACATGCCATAAAATTTACCCTTTTAAGGAATACATTTCAGTAGTTGTTAGTATATTCATAAACTTGTGCAAACATCACCACTGTATAATTCCAGAATGTTTCCATCAGTTACTCCCTATTCTCCCCTCACCCTACTCTTGGCAACTACTAATCTACTTTCTGTCTCCATGTATTTTCTTATTCTGAACAGTTCACATAAATTGAATCACATAATATGCAGCTTTTTGTGCCTGTCTTCTTCTACTTAGCATAATGTTTTTAAGGCTCGTCCAGATTATAGCGTGTGTCAGCACTTTATTTCTTTTAATGGCTAAATAATATTCTGTTGTATCATTATACCACAATATATTTAGCCTTTCATTGATATTTGGGTTATTCCCACTTTTGGCTACTGTAAACAATGATGCTATGAACATCATGTACAAGTTTTTGTGTAGACATGTTTTCAATTATTTTGGGTATATACCTAGGAGTGGAATTATGGTAATTCTATGTTGAACATTTTGAGGAACTGCCAAACTGTTTTCCATAGTGGCTGTGCCATTTTACATTCTCGAAAGCAATACATTGGGGGTTCCACTCCACATCATCAACACTTGTGTGTCTAGATTTTACAGATGCTTGTCTGAATGTTAACCATCCTAGGGGGTGTGAAATTGTATCTCATTGTGTTTTGATTTGCATTTCCCTAATGGCTAATGATGTTGAGCATTTTTCTCATATGCTTATTGGCCATGTGTGTAACTTCTTTGTAGAAATGTCTATTCAAATTCTTTACCCATATTTTAATTGGATTGTCTTTTCATGGTTTAGTTGAAAGGATGAAAGTATCTTTTATATATTCTGAATACTAGTCTTATCTGATAAATGATTTGCAAATATTTTCTCCTATTCTGTGGTTTGTTAATTTTTTTTTTCATTTTTGAGACAGAGTCTCTCTGTGTTGCCCAACCTGGAGGGCAATGGTGCAATCATGGCTCATTGCAGCCTTGACCTCCTGGGCTGAAGCAATCTTCTCACCTCAGCCTCCTAAGCAGCTAGGACTACAGTCACATGCCACCACACTTGAACTTCTATTCTCTGGTTTGTTATCTTACTTTTCTGACATTGAAGTACAAACATTTCTAATTATAATGAAGTTCAATCTATCTATTTTTTCTTTGGTTACTTGTGCTTTTGGTGGCATATCTAAGAAACCATTGCCTGATCCAAGATAACAAAAACTCACACCTGTTTTCTTCTGAAAGTGTTATAGTTTTAGTGCTTATATTTAGGTCTTTTGTCCATTTTTAGTTTATTTTTGTGTGTGGTGTGAGGTAGGGGATCCAAATTCATCCTTTCACTTCTAGATATTCCATTGTCTCAGCATCATGTGTTGAAGAGATTTTTCTTTTTCCCATGAATTAATTGTTTGGCACCCTTGTTTAAAATCAAATGACTACAAATGTAAGCATTTATTTCTGGACTCTCAATTCAATTCTATTAACTCATATTTCTATCCTTATACTAGTACCATGCTGTCTTGATTACTGGGCTTTGCAACTAGTTTTAAAATCAAAAAGTTTGTGTCCTCGACCTTGAATCTTTTTCACGATTATTTTTGCTATTCTGAGTTTCTTGCTATTCCATGTGAATTTTAGGATTAGCTTGTTCAATTTCTGCAAAAGCTAAGCAGCTGGGATTTTGATAAGGATTACACTGAATCTGTGGATTAATTTGGGAGTACTACCATCTTAATAATATGTCTTCCAATCCATGAACATAAGATGTCTTTGCATTTACTTAGATCTTTAATTTCCTTCAAAATTTTAAATAAGTTTTGTTAAATTTCTTTCTAAGTGTTCAACTTTTTTGATGCCATTATAAATGGAATTTTCTTAGTTTTATTTTCTGGCTGTTTATTGCTGCTGTATATGAATACATTGGTATTTGTATATTGATGTAGTATCCTGCAAAACCTTGGCAAATTAATTCATTTGTTAATTTTAGTGGTTTTAATGGATTCCTTAGGATATTCTATGTACAAGAGTATGGCATTTGCAAGTAGAAGTAGTTTTACTTCTTCTTTTCTAATACAGATGCTTTTTAAATGTCTGTTTCTTGCCTAATTGCCCTGACTATACTGTCCAGTACAATGTGGAATAGAAGTGGAGTGGCAGAAGCAAACATTCTTGTCTTATTCCTGATCTTATGGGGAAAGCTTTAAGTCTTTCATCATTAAGTATGATATTAGCTGTGGTTTTTCATATGTGCCCTGTATAAGATTGAGGAAGTTTCCTTCAATTCCTAGTTTGTTGAATGTTTTTATCAGAAATATTGAGATGATCATATAGCTTTTTACAAATTTTATTCTATCAATATGGTTGATATAAACCAACCTTGCATTCTTGGGATAAATCTCACTTGGTCATAATATATTCCTTTATATATTCAGCTGAATTTGGTTTGCATATATAAAACTATGCTCTCATATTTTGCTGAGGATTTTTGTGACTATCTTCATAAGGAATATTGGTCTGTAGTTTTTTTTCTTTATTTGTGACGTCTTTGTCTGGTTTTGGTATCAGAGTATTACTGGCCTCATAGAGTGAGTTAAAATGTGTTCCCTCCTTTTATTTTTCAAAGAGACTGAGAAGATCTATAGTTTCACAACTTAAGGCCAAGAAAATGATAGATTCTGCTTTGTCTATTCTTCTGGGTTAAAAGGATGCAAAAGTATTACAAAGATACTGTTATGAACAAGATACAATAATTTATTCAAGCTATATCATAAATGTATTTTTATAATGATTATATCTAGGAAAATAGAAATATGGAATATTCTTGGATAAGCATTCAATCAACAGAATGACATATTAATGAGAACATAAAAAAAGTCAAAGTCCTACTACCTAGCAATAATCATTAAAAGTATTTGGTAAATACCATTTCCGACCATGCTTTGTATCACAGCTGTTTAATTCTATATTTAAATGTATTCATTATTTACCACCAATCTTTTTTCTTACTTTGTCTACACTCAAATCACATGGATATATGGATTTTATTGAAAGTAGTTTTGTTCTAGAACTTCTGGGTACTGTAGTTTCCGAGTTCTTGGATGCTTAGGAATGTAAATAGGCTTCTTTTACATGCAAACAACTTGGCTATGAAATATTCTCATATCACATTTTAACCTTCCAGATTTTGCTGTTATCTTCTGGCATTGAATATTGCTGAGGAGGATTAGAGGATAATCTGATTTTCCCCTCTTATTTTTCTGTATGGATGCCTGAAGAACATTCTTTAATCCTCAAAATTTAACTTAATTTGATGTGTCATCTCAGCTCAATCACTTTTTTTTTTTTCTGGAACAAGATGGCCTCTTTAATTTTCAGATTTTGGGGTTTTTTTTTAACACCTTTTTGTTCTGCTGCATGTTGCTCTTTCAGGGACAGTTATTAGTCTCATGCTGTATGTTAGTCTTTTACATTGACTAACTTATCTCCAATTGATTTAACCTTGATTTGCTTTTCCTTCACCATTGTAGTGAGTAAGCAGGCTTGCTTTTGTGTTAGAAATCTCATTTCAGTTGTGTCCATTCCATTTCATGTTAATTTATTAACTGAGAGTTGTTGTTACTTTGATCCTTGAATTGTTTTCTTAAATCTGCTATTCCCCTTTCCATCTTCTGTTGTTGTTTTATCTGATATTTGAGTTCTTGCTTTATTGAATTGCTATTCTTATTAAATTTTCCTAGTATAAAGCACTCATTTACATTTTCTCCTGTTCCTTAGTACTGAATATGCACAGTATTTTAAGTTATGTATGTTTCTTTTTATTTTCTTTCTTTATGTTTACTCTAATCCCATTACAGATTAATACTTTTTTTTCAAAGACAGAATTTTAATACTTTGCCCAGGATGGCCTCTAACTCCTGGGCTCAAGAGATTGTCCACCTCAGCCTCCTGAGTAGCGAGAACTACAGCTATAGGCATTCACCACCACACCCAGTTTTGTTTCTTTTTAAATACCTCACACCTCTCTACACTTGTACCATTTGGGTATTTTTTCAGAGAGTGGCAGAATTCTTAATATAGATCCCTAGTCATATTATGTTTTAATCCTATCTGTTACAATGCTTTGGGCTGCAAATAACAGAATCTCTGTCTAACAGTTTAAACAATAAAGACACTCTCATATACCTAATATCTAAAGGTAGTCAGTTCCAAGGTTGATTCAGCAATCTATGTATGTCATTAAGGACCTGGGCTGTTCTTATCTTTCTGCTCTGCCAGACGTCAGAATCAGAAGATAGTAGCCACAGCTCTAATAATTCAGTCCATCAGCCTCCACGGCAGCAAGAAAAAAGAAGAGACTAAAAGGACTTTTTTTTTTAGCTCTTTTTTTTGTTTGTTTGTTTTTTTCAGAAAGGAACATCTTCCTCAGAATTCTTTTCCTTCCTCCCCCAGCCCCTGAACAGATTTTCTCTTTTATCTTGCCAGAACTGGATCATATGCCCTTCCCTATATAAGTGCCTTATGAAAGGGCAGGGGGGAACCAGTGAGGTTCCCCACTATTTTTTTTTTGCCCTTCTGCAAAAACACAGCAACGAGGCACCTTCTAAGAGGGCATCTCTTAGAGGCAGAGAGCCCTCAGCAGACACCAAATCTACTGACAGATTGATCTGGAACTTCTCAGCCTCCAGAAATGTGAGAAATAAGTTTCTATTATTTATAAATTACCCATTCTTAGATATTTTGTTATAGCAGATCAAATGGACTAAAATAAACGCTAAGAGTTTTCACCATTTTTCATAGTGAGATGGGAACTAGACATTTCTGTGGGAATTCACTGTGTTTTTGTTACAGTTTGATGTATGCATTAGCCAGAGTTCCCAGAGATCTCTAAACAGAACCAATAGGAGACTGTGTGTGTGTGTACATGTAGTTGTCCCTTGGTATACACAGTGGGTTGGTTCCAAGACTCCCCTCATAAACCAAAATCCTCATGAGTTTTGGGGAATTGTTTCTAAATGCAATTCTACTGTAAAAATACACAGGAGATAGCCTGAAAGAGTTCTCAATGGCCAAAGCTGGAACAACTTGAACAACAAAATAATGATGGTATTCTATTATAAACCAAAGAATAAAAAATATACACAAGAGCCCGTATTGATATAAATAAATGATAAATATATAGGTAAGTGCAGGAAAAGCAGAAAATTTTCTGTACAGAAGAATTTTAAACGTATTTGTAGATATTTGTTCCTCCAGGAGGTAGTGCTTAATTTCCCCCACCTTAAGTGTGGATTGAACTGAGTGACTTCCTTCTAAAGAAGAGAATATGGGAGAAAAAAAAATAGTAACTTTCCAGTGAAAAAAACTGGCAGATATTACTCGAAACAAGTAGATAAGGTTAACATCATCAGTGATAATTCATGTTGATAGCATGTACTCCCTGATATGATGTGATGTTATGAAAAAGGCACTTCACCTTTGTGGTAATTTTCCCCAAAACTCATAACTCTAATATAATCATGAGAAAAACATCAGAAAAAACAAATCTGAAAGATATTCTACAAAATATCTGCCCAGAGAACTCCTCAAAACTGTCAAAGCCATGAAAAACAAGGAGAGATTGAGAAACCATCAAAGATTAGAAGAGATTAAGGAAACATATCGACTAAATGCAATGTAGGATTTTGAATAGGATCCTCAAACAGAAAAAGGACATTAGTGAAACAACTGACAAAATCTGAATAAAGTCCATAGTTACTTGTATTGCAGCAATGTTAATTTCTTAGTTTTAACAACTGCACCATGATTGTATAAGATGTGGACATTAGGGGAAGCTGGGTGAAAGGTATATGGAAACTTTATAGACTATCTTTACAACTTTTTAGTAAATCTAAAATTATTTCAAAAGTAATATAAAAATGTTTGAGCAAGTTCAGAAAAGCAAATTCTGGCAGTGACTAGTATAAGAAAAGTATTATTTTGTAGGTCAGGAATATTTCCGCAGGCCTCTGCATGAGTTGTCTGAAAAATGCCTCAAGTCTAGCTATCTCCTTTGGCTAGAATTCCTTGCTTAACCAGCAAATTTTGGAATTCAGCAAACATGGGACTGTGGTCCTGAGAAAAGGAATGCATCAAACATGAGCATCCTGTCACTAGGAAGATAAATGCTGTATTAGTCAGGGTTCTCTAGAGGGACAGAATAATAGGGTAGATACATATAAAGGGGAGTTTATTAAGTATTAACTCACATAATCACAGGATCCCACAACGGGCAGTCTGCAAGCTGAGGAGTAAGGAGAGCCAGCCCGAGTCCAAAAACTGAAGAACTTGGAGTCTGATGTTCAAGGGCAGGAAGCATCCAGAATAAGACAAAGATGTAGGCTGGGAGGCTAGGCCAGTCTCTCTTTTCACATTTTTCTGCCTGCTTTATATTCTAGCTTCACTGGCAGCTGATTAGATTGTGCCCACCCAGATTAAGGGTGGATCTGCCTTTCCCAGCCCACTGACTCAAATGTTAATCTCCTTTGGCAACACCCTCACAGACACACTCAGGATCAATACTTTGCATCCTTCAATCCAATCAAGTTGACACTCAGTATTAACCATCACATATCCTCAAATTGTAAATCAATTAACTAGCATTCAAGACAACTGCATCAACCTCAGAAAATCTAATTACTGAGTCTCTCTCATCCTAGGATCTAAAGTCTGCTTTCTGGACCACCAAGGCTCAAAATGAGGCCCTACAAACTGTTGGGCTACATTAGTCTGATCTCACATTGCTATAAAGAACTACCTGAGACTGGATAATTTAAAAAGGAAAAAGGTTTAATTGGCTCACAGTTTCACAGGCTGTACAGGAAGCATGACTGTGGAGGGCTCAGGAAACTTACAATCATGGCAGAAGGCAAAAAGGAAGGAGGCAGGTCTTTCATAGCTGGAGCAGGAGGAAGAGGGGAAAGGGGGAGGTGCTACACACTTTTAAACAACCAGATCTCATGAGAACTCACCATCAAGGGAACAGCAAGGGGGTCATCCGCCCTCATGATCCAATCAGCTCCCACCAGGCCCCTCTTCCAACATTGGGGATTACAATTCGACATGAGATTTGGACGGGGACACAAATCCAAACCCTATCATGGGCTTCCCCTACACACACACCCCTAGTCACCTCCCCACTCTCTTACGCCTTCACTCTTTTATCCTTGTTGCTGTTCTAGCCCATTTGTCCTAGTAGCCAGCTCTCTCAGGAATAGCCCCAGCAACACCAAAGCTGCTACATACAATCAAGCCTATTTCTGATACTTTGGCATTTCTTTTACTTTCTTAAATAATAAGAACACTAGTTGTCATCCCTCTCTCTCTCAACATTTTTATTAATTAAAAGCTTTGGCTGTATTGTGGAAAATACAGAATAATCAAAGGCCCTAGAATCCAGTCTCAACTAGGTTTTTACCGTGTTAAAAGAAAAAAACTTGATTCACTCCCTCTTGTGTAATGAATTTTTCTTTAATCTCTGTGTACTTTCCTTGTGCTTTTAATCATTATATGTTCGAAGGCCCGTGTAACCTGAATTGCCACTTTTCTTTTTAGAGATAAAGAGAAAAATACACATTTCATTTGTATTTCAAATATTAGGTCCTGCCTGTTTATCACTTTATTTTTTATAGCTTCTAAGACTTTGCTTTGAACTTCAAGTTCTTCTGGCCAACGTGACTGTAACGTGGTTGTCAATAATTTTTAGTACTTACTGTAACTGAGAGCTTTTCTTTCCCACTCAAAGATCACCAAATGTTATGCTGTATTGTCAACTAGAATGTGTCAGTGAGTCAAGCATAAGGCATGCAGGATATCTTCTTAGGTAAGCCAGAATGAAAACCAAAGTTACTGAATATTTGTTTCCTCTTTATTGTTCAAATTTTATTGCACATAACTTATTTTGATGATTCCTCATTCCACAGTAGACAGGCCGACAGGCCGATGCAAACCTATCTGTAAGAATTCAAGGAAGCAGAGAAGCTGAAGAAAGAGGCTGACATATTCAGTTTCTCAGAAAGAAACATTTAATAGGGACTTTTGAACAGAAACCGTGTCCATATCTCAGGTAGTGGTGAGGCAAGATGGTGGCTCCATTACTGCCCAGACCCAGGGCTTATATACCACAGGGAAGGAATGTGTGGGACAACTATAGGGAAAGGCAAGAATGCTATAGGAATAGCATAAGGATGTATGGTCAAGGTTGTTCTGACCTAAGAACAGGATTTAAAGTAAGTATGTGTTCTTACACAAGGAACAGTCCATAAAATAGAAATCTTAGAGCTATTCGTGGAACTACGGTTAATCCAAAATCAAAATGGCAGATTAGTATTTAAGATGGAGTTGCTTTGGCCTCCACACTCCACCTCGCTAACCTGGCTTTTATAATCTCATGCACCTCCCTCTTCTGTGATGGTCCCTGAGCTTTTAGAGAGAGTGGTTAATATGGTACAGCTTTAGCAGCAGTGCACGGGCAATGGAAAACAGATCAGGCCCAGTGGGATTCCAAATGAGGGAGATTAACAGGCTCTGTTGAATCATCTCTTGTCTTTGAAATACCATGGCTTCAGTTTTCTTTGAAAAAGTAAAACAATGAGATACAAAACATTAATAATTGGAATAGTAAAAATATGATGCACACAATGATTACGTCAAAAGAGAATTTGTATGTCAGAACAGTAACAAAAAGAACCTATTCTGTTAGAAAGCCCCCACAGGAAGAAAATTAAAACCCTATTCTCCTTTAGAGACTTCTTGCAGCCAGGAAATAATTTGGGTATAAAATAATTTCAAGCTATAAATAGCTTAAAAGAAAAAGGTTTTCTTTCTTTTTTTTTTTTTTTTGTTTGTTTGTTTTTGAGATGGAGTGTTGCTCTTGTCACCCAGGCTGAAGTGTAATGGCGTAATCTCCACTCACTGCAACCTCTGCCTCAAGTGATTCTCCTGCCTCAGCCTCCAGAGTAGTTGGGATTACAGGCGCCTGCCACCATGCTTGGCTAATTTTTGTATTTTTAGTAAAGATGAGGTTTCACCATGTTGGCCAGGCTTGTCTCAAACTCCTGACCTCAGGTGATCTGCCCACCTTGGCCTCCCAATGTGCTGGGATTACAAGCGTAAGCCACCTTGCCTGGCTGAAAAAGGTTTTCTTGACTCTTCTTCAATCAGAGTAGCAGACTTCCAAACAAGATGTTGTTTGGAAACAACAACAAGATGTTGTTTTTTCACTTTAGAACTGCCATCCACAAACCAAGCAGCTCTTTGTCAGTCAGGTGAGAGCTGTTTATCAGTCTCCCTAGAATCCAGCAGCTGCTCACACAGTTGCAGAGTTAGTCCTAGGGGAAAAAGAGGCTCCCTGCTCATGAGTATCTCTGCATGCTTTTAGGTAGCAAAACACTATATAAACCATTTCAACTTTATCATGGAACTCTTTTGGGCACTGCTATCCCCATGAAAGTGGTTCCCTGATATCACCCCATGAGTCCCAATAAATGTTCCACTAAGGGCCATCGAGTGGAGAATTTGTTCTTACCAGCACTCCAGCTTCTACTCCACACTGTGTGGGCTTGGGCAACCTTACCAGTTCCCATTTATCATGCCTGATTAATATTGCTCAAAGAGCAGAATTACATGCTTCTCTTTTGAAGTACTAGGTAGGGAAAACATTCCCCATTTAAACATAAGATTCATTTTCATAAAACATTTAGGTAAAAGATATACAACTACTTTATATAAAGCTTTTTTAAACTTTTCAACTTTCATAATGCTGTCAACCTTTACATTTTCTGTTCTGGTCCCAGAAACTTCGTATTTCCACCTTCATGATATTTTACCCTCTCTTGTGAAAAAGGATTTGAGTTCCCAGCACAGGGTGAAGCCTTTTGGCCCATATTTGCTCCAAGTAACTCACCTCAACGTTGCCCCAGGCAATTGGTCAGCTTTCTCATTGTAACCTTTGCCTTCCAATATTTTTTTTCAACCTGGAGTAGATACAGAAAACTCATTTGCGGCTCCCTTTGGTTCACTCAACTTTTGATAGTGTTGTATTAAAATCTTTGCTCTAACCTCATCAATTTCTATTTTACTCATTTCATTTCTTAATAACCATCTACAGATTTCCACCCTGTTGGAATGAGTCCCGTGACTTTTTTTCTTTTAGTTTCACCCCATCAATGTTTTCTTTCCTTTTTTTTCTTTTTTCTTTTTCTTTCTTTCTTTTTTTTTTTTTTTAAGACAGAGTCTTGCTCTGTTGCTCAGACTGGAGTGCAGTGGTGTGATCTTGGCTGACTACAACCTCTGCCTCCCAGGTTCAAGCAATTCTCGTGCCTCAGCCTCCCAAGTAGCTGGGACAGGCACATGCCACCATGCCTGGCTAATTTTTACATTTTTAGTAGAGATGGGGTTTCACCATGTTGGCCAAGCTGGTCTTGAACTCTTGGGCTCAAGTGATCCTCCTGCCTTGGCCTCCCAAAGTGCTGATATTACAGGCGTGGGCCACTGCATCCAATCCAATGTTTTCTTTATTCACCTTATTGCTTAGTTACTTTTCAAAAATTCTCACCTTCATGAGATAATTCTTTTGACTCTTCCCTCTACTCTTCACCATTTTCTTGTTAATTGAATGTTTTTATTACCATCTGTAAGACCCATGACAGAAAGCCGTGATAGCACATTTGATAAGGTTCCTGGAACCAAACCGTTGTTGGATTTGCAGAAGTAATGGCATCACATGGGATGCCCATGTAGAAGGAGTCTCCTAAGCCACAGCATTTATCATGACCTGGGTAATGGACATTTTGAATGGCCATTTGAATGGCCCTGTGGTCACGAAGCCAGTCCCACATGGTTTGCATATGAAACATATCAGCTTCTTCACCTGGTGATATGGTTTCAATTTGTGTCCCCACCCAAATCTCATATAGAATTGTAATCCCCAGTGTTGGAGGAGGGGCCTGGTGAGGTGATTGGGTCATGCAGGCAGGCTTCCCCCTTGCTGTTCTTGTGATAGTGAATGAGTTCTCAGAAGATCTGGTTGTTTAAAAGTGTGTAGCACCTCTCTCTTCACCCTCTTCCTCCTGCTCTGGCCATGTAAGATGTGCCTGCTTCCCCTGCACCTTCTGCCGTGATTTAATGTTTCCTGAGGCCTCCTTAGCAGTGCTTTCTGTACAGCCTGTGGAACCATAAGCCAATTAAACCTCTTTTCTTTATAAATTACCCAGTCTCAAGTAGCTCTTTATAGCAATGCAAGAACAAACTAATACAGCTGGGGTACTTCACTTGGCATTTATAGGGGGCGTTGGGCAGGCCCCCTTCTCCGGGTAAACATATCTTACAGTGGCTTTTATCTAGTCCACCAGACTGGCTGTTCCTTCAGGTATAACCTACTGTGTATCTGGATCATGTATAGCCATCTGCTATACATTGTTCAATACTGAGCTTTGGGTCCTGCATCAGCCCAAACATGCTCTCTCAGTCTGCAGCATTTAAAACCAAAGATACTGCCCCTAAATTAGTTACTCTCACAATCCACTTTATTAAAGGCTACTCAGGGAGCTGATGATACCTGTCTACAAAATGGAGCACTTTATTTACACTGTGTCCTCTGGTTTCAATAATTAACTTGGTTTTTCCTTTCCCCCACATTGACTATCTTCTTGGTGACCACAGGTCTTAAAGGTACTTTCTGTTGCCCTGGCATAATTTTGCCCCTCATGGGTAGTTTTGAGGCTAGTGACCTGAGCTCAGACAGACCACATCTGAGCTTGGTCCAGCCTCAAGGGCTGATCCAGCACTCTCTTTTACTTTCATTCTAGTTATTACAGATAACAATAACCAAGGGATTGAATATTTTGTGTTTTCCTTATTAGTTTGCATTTCCTTATGCATCCAGTGAACATTCCCCCAGGAGTTGAATCCATCTCTGAATTCCACTGGTAACTTTTACCTTCAGTAACTGAGTGCAGCACAGCTGCAGCTCTATACCATGGATGGTGACCACATGGCCACCTGGGAATGAAAAGTTCCTCATCTCCACCCTTTTATCCTTTCTCTCTCTCTCTCTCTCTTTATATAAACACACACACACACATATACACACATACATGTGTATACACATGTGTATATATATGTATACACACGTGTGTATATATGTATACACGTGTGTATATATGTATACACATGTGTGTGTATATGTATACACATGTGTGTGTATATGTATACACGTGTGTGTATATGTATACGTGTGTATATATGTATGTGTAATATGTATATGTGTGTAATATATATTTGAATGTATATGTATTCATAAATGAACATATATATTAATAATGTGTTCATTATTTATATAATATATATTCATATATACATTAACTCAAGACAGGGTCTCACTCTGTCACCCAAGCTGGAGTGCAGTGGCATGACCACAGCTCACTGTAGCCTTGACCTACTAGGATCAAGTGATCCTCCCACCTCAGCCTCCTGCCTCAGCCACCTGAGTAGCTGAGACTACAGGGCTGGTCTCAGATTCCTGGTTTCAAGTGACTCTTCTGCCTTGGCTTCCCAATGTTTTGGGATTACAGATACTTGCTGCCACACCTGGCCTATCCTTTATTTTCTGTCAGTTTAATTTTATCTATACCATCCTTCTCTTCCTCCTCCTCCTCCTCCTCCTCCTTCTCCTTCTGTCTTGCCCTGAGCCCAGGCTGGAGTGCAGTGGAGCCATCATATCTCACTGTAACCTGAAACTCCTGGGCTCAAGCACTGCTCCCATCTCAGGCTCCCGAGTAGCAAGGACTACAGGCATGTGTCACCATGCCTGACTAATTTTGCTTATTTGTTTATTTGTTTTTTTTAGAGATGGGGTCTTGCTTTGTTACCTATACTAGTCTCAAACTCGGGCCTTAAGCAATCCTCCCGCCTTGACCTCCCCAAAAGCTGAGATTACAAGTGTGAGCCACCACATCCAGTCTTTTCCTTCATTTTGAAACAACCTTTAACTAACATCTAACCTAGACAAAAATCACTTCTTCTTTAGCAAAAACCACATCTTTATGTCTTTTTTATAAACTTCCTTACCAAAAACACATCTTTCTTTACATACTCCCTATATAGAATTGTTTCTTTTATATATAGTAGTTTTAATTACACATACTAACAACTATTTAAACTCCTAGTAACCCTAATTTCCAGTGAAAAATCTAGGATTGCTTAATTTAACATAACATGACTTTAAAATTTTAAATTACTGAAGAAAATGTTGAAACAAGTTTTATTTATCAAAGACCACTAAAGTCATGTGAACTAAAAGGCATTTGAGTTGGTTTTTATTTTTCTATAAGTGCTACTTTTTCTTTAAGCCAATTAATTAGAGTTCTTTCATGTAACTTGGTAGTAAATATCAAATACACATGACACATATAAGACATACAGAGACATAGACAGAAGTTGATCTTATAGATTTATAACATTCTTCATTTGCCAGTTTTCAAATAGTTTCTCTACCCCTGTTAGAGACTATCAGTCATTTCCAGAGACAGGACTTTTAGGTAAAACAAGGTAGAAAAGTTACATTTCAGGTTGCTTCCAAGATGGCTGAATAGGAACAGCTCCAGTTTATAGCTCCCAGCAAGATCGACACACAAGACGGGTGTTTTCTGCATTTCCAACTGAGTTACCTGGTTCATCTCACTGGGACTGGTTGGACAGTGGGTGCAGCCCATGGAGGGTTAGCCGAAGCAGGGCAGGGAGTCGCCTCACATGGGAAGTGCAAGGGGTTAGGGGATTTCCCTTTCTTAGCCAAGGGAAGCCGTGAGTGAATGTACCTGAAGGAATGGTACATTTCTGCCCAAATACTGCAGTTTTTCCCATGGTATTTGCAACTGGCAGACCAGGAGATTCCCTCCCATGCCTGGCTCGGCAAGTCTTACGCCCATGGAGGCTTGCTCGCTGCTAGCATCGCAGTCTGAGATCAACCTGGGATGGTGGGGCCTGGCTGGGGGAGGGGTGTCTGCCATTGCTGAGGATTGAGTAAGTGGTTCTATGCTCACAGTGTAAACAAAGCAGCAGGGAAACTTGAACTGGGCAGAGCCCACCGCAGCTCAGCAAGGCCTACTGCCTTTCTAGATTCCACCTCTGGGGGAAGGGCATATGTGAACAAAAGGCAGCAGACAGCTTCTGCAGACTTAAACGTCCCTGCCTGACAGCTCTGAAGAGAGCAGTGGTTCTCCCAGCACAGCCTTCAAGCTCCGATAACGGACAGACTGCCTCCTCAAGTGGGTCCCTGACCCCCGTGTAGCCTGACTGGGAGACACCTCCCAGTAGGCACTGACAAACACCTCATACAAGCAGTTGCCCCTCTGGGATGAAGCTTCCAGAGGAAGGATCAGGCAGCAATATTTGCTGTTCTGCAGCCTCTGCTGGTGATACCCAGGCAAACAGGGTCTGGAGTGGACCTCCAGCAAACTTCAACAGACCTGCAGCTGAGGGGCCTGTTAGAAGGAAAACTAACAAGCAGAAAGGAATAGCATCAACATCAACAAAAAGGACATCCACACCAAAACCCCATCCGTAGGTCACCAACATCAAAGACCAAAGGTAGATAAAACAAGAAAGATGGGGAGAACCCATAACAGAAAGGCTGAACATTCCAAAAACCAGAATGCCTCTTCTCCTTCAAAGGAACAGAATGCCCTGCCGGCAAGGGAACAAAACTGGATGGAGAATAAGTTTGACGAGATAACAGAAGAAGGCTTCAGAAAGGCAGTAATAACAAACTTCTCTGAGCTAAAGGAGCATGTTCTAACCATTTGCAAGGAAGCTAAAAACCTTGAAAAAATGTTAGATGAATGGCTATCTAGAATAACCAGTGTACAGAAGAGCTTAAATGACCTGATGGAGCTGAAAACCACAGTACAAGAACTTCATGAAGCATACACAAGCTTCAATAGCCAATTTGATCAAGCAGAAGAAAGGATAGCAGTGATTGAAGATAAAATTAATGAAATAAAGCGAGAAGACAAGATTAGAGAAAAAAGAGTGAAAAGAAACAAACAAAGCCTCCAAGAAATATGGGACTATGTGAAAAGACCAAATCTACATTTGATTGGTGTACTTGAAAGTGACAGGGAGAATGGAATCAAGTTAGAAAACACTCTTCAGGATACTATCCAGGAGTTCCCCAACCTAGCAAGGCAGACCAACATTCAAATTCAGGAAATACAGAGAACACCACAAAGATACTCCTCCAGAAGAGCAACCCCAAGAGACATGATTGTCAGATTCACCAAGGTTGAAATGAAGGAAAAAATGTTAAGGGCAGCCAGAGAGAAAGGTCGGGTTATCCACAAAGGGAAGCCCATCAGACTAACAGCGGATCTCTCAGCAGAAACCCTAAAAGCCAGAAGAGAGTGGGGACAAATATTCAACATTCTTAAAGAAAATAATTTTCAACCCAGAATTTCATATCCAGCCAAACTAAGCTTCATAAGTGAAGGAGAAATAAAATACTTTGCAGATAAGCAAATGCTCAGAGATTTTGTCACCACTAGGCCTGTCTTACAAGAGCTCCTGAAGGAAGCAGGAAACATGGAAAGGAACAACTGGTACCAGCCACTGCAAAAACATGCCAAATTGTAAAGACCATCGATGCTAGGAAAAACTGCATCAATTAACAGGCGAAATACCCAGGTAACATAATGATGACAGGATCAAATTCACACATAACAATATTAACCTTAAATGTAAATGGGCTAAATGCCCCAATTAAAAGACACAGACTGGCAAATTGGATAAAGAGTCAAGACCCATAGGTGGGCGGTTTTCAGGAGACTCATCTCACTTGCAGAGCCACACATAGGCTCAAAATAAAGGGATGGAGGAAGATCTACCAAGCAAATGGAAAGCAAAAAAAGAGGAGGGGTTACAATCCTGGTCTTTAAACAGAATTTAAACCAACAAAGATCAAAAGAGACAAAGAAGGCCATTACATAATGGTAAAGGGATCAATTCAACAAGAAGAGCTAACTATCCTAAATATATATGCACCCAATACAGGAGCACCTAGATTCATAAAGCAAGTTCTTAGAGACTACAAAGAGACTTAGACTCCCACACAAAAATAATGGGAGAATTTAACACCCCACTGTCAATATTATCAACAAAACAGAAAGACCCACAAGACAGAAACTTAACAAGGATATCAAGGACTTGAACTCAGCTCTGGACCAAGCAGACCTAATAGACATCTACAGAACTCTCTACCCCAAATCAAGAGAATATACATTCTTCTCAGCACATCACACTTATTCTAAAATTGACCACATAATTGGCAGTAAAACACTCCTCAGCAAATGTAAAAGAAGAAAAATCTCAACAAACAGCCTCTCAGACCAAAGTGCAATCAAATTAGAACTCAGGATTAACAAACTAACTCGAAACCACACAACTACATGGAAACTGAACAACCTGCTCCTGAATGACTACTGTATAACTTATGAAATGAGGGCAGAGATAAAGATGTTCTTTGAAACCTATGAGAACAAAGACACAATGTACCAGAATCTCTGGGACACATTTAAAGCAGTGTGTAGAGGTAAATTTATAGCACTAAATGCCCACAAGAGAAAGCAGGAGTGGTCTAAAATCAACATCCTAACATCACAATTAAAAGAACTAGAGAAGCAAGAGCAAGCAAATTCAAGAGCTAGCAGAAGACAATAAATAACTAAGATCAGAGCAGAACTGAAGGAGATAGAGACACAAAATCCCTTCAAAAAATCAGTGAATCCAGGAGCTGGTTTTTTGAAAAGATCACCAAAATAGACTGCTAGCAAGACTAATAAAAAAGAAAAGAGAGAAGAATCAAATTGATGCAATAAAAAATGATAAAGGGGATATCATCACTGATCCCACAGAAATACAAACTACCATCAGAGAATACTATAGACACCTCTAGGCAAATAACCTAGAAAATCTAGAAGAAATGGATAAATTCCTGGACATATGCACCCTCCCAAGACTAAACCAAGAAGAAGTTGAATCTCTGAATAGACCAATAACAGGTTCTGAAATTGAGGCAATAATTAATAGCCTACCAACCAGAAAAAGTCCAGGACCAGACGAATTCACAGCCGAATTCTACCAGAGGTACAAAGAGGAGCTGGTACCTTTCCTTCTGAAACAATTCCAATCAATAGAAAAAGAGGGAATCCTCCCTAACTCATTTTATGCAGCATCATCCTGATACCAAAGCCTGGCAGAGACAAAACAAAAAAAGAGAATTTTAGGCCAATATCCCTGATGAAAATCAATGCAAAAATCCTCAATAAAACACTGGCAAACTGAATCCAGCAGCACATCAAAAAGCTTATCCACCACGATCAAGTTGGCTTTATCCCTGGGATGCAAGGCTGGTTCAACATATGCAAATCAATAAACGTAATCCATAACATAAACAGAACCAACAACAAAAACCACATGATTATCTCAATAGATGCAGAAAAGGCCTTTGACAAAATTCAGCAGCCTTTTATGCTAAAAACTCTCAATAAACTAGGTATTGTTGGAACGTATCTCAAAATAGTAAGAGCTATTTATGACAAACCCACAGCCAATATCATACTGAATGGGCAAAAACTGGAAGCATTCCCTTTGAAAACCGGCACAAGACAAGGATGCCCTCTTTCACCACTCCTATTCAATATAGTGTTGGAAGTTCTGGCCAGGGCAATCAGGAAAGAGAAAGAAATAAAGGGTATTCAATTAGGAAAAGAGGAAGTCAGATTGTCTCTGTTTGCAGATGACATGATTGTATATTTAGCAAACCCCATCATCTCAGCCCCAAACCTCCTTAAACTGATAAGCAACTTCAGCAAAGTCTCAGTATACAAAATCAATGTGCAAAAATCACAAGTATTCCTATACACCAAGAACAGACAAACAGAGAGCCAAATAATGACTGACCTCCCATTCACAATTACTACAAAGAGAATAAAATACCTAGGAATACAACTTACAAGGGATGTGAAGGACCTCTTCAAGGAGAACTACAAACCACTACTCAATGAAATAAAAGAGGACACAAACAAATGGAAGAACATTCCATGCTCATGATAGGAAGAATCAATATCATGAAAATGGCCATACTGCCCAAGGTAATTTATAGATTCAATGCTATCCCCATCAAGCTACCACTGACTTTCTTCACAGAATTGGAAAAAACTACTTTAAAGTTCATATGGAACCAAAAAAGAGCCCACATAGCCAAGACAATCCTAAGCAAAAAGAACAAAGCTGGAGGCATTACAGTACCTGACTTCAAACTATACTACAAGTCTACAGTAACCAAAACGCATGGTACTGGTGCCAAAACAACCATATAAACCAATGGAACAGAACAGAGGCCTCAGAAGTAACACCACACACCTACAACTATCTAATCTTTGACAAACCTGACAAAAACAAGAAATGGGGAAAGAATTCCCTATTTAATAAATGGTGCTGGGAAAACTGGCTAGCCATATGTAGAAAGCTGAAACTAGATCACTTCCTCACACCTTATACAAAAATTAACTCAAGATGGTTTAAAGACTTAAATGTAAGACCTAAAACCATAAAAACCCTGGAAGAAAACCTAGGCAATACCATTCAGGACATAGGCATGGGCAAAGACTTCATGACTAAAACACCAAAAGCAATGGCAACAAAAGCCAAAAATAAACAAATGGGATCTAATTAAACTAAAGAACTTCTGCACCGCAAAAGAAACTATCATCAGAGTGAACAGGCAACCTACAAAATGGGTGAAAATTTTTGTAATTTATCCATCTGACAAAGGGCTAATATCCAGCATCTACAAAGAACTTAAACAAATTTACAAGAGAAAAACAGCCCCATCACAAAGTGGGCAAAGCATATGAACAGACACTTCTCAAAGGAAGACATTTATGCAGCCAACAGACATATGACAAAATGCTCATGATCACTGGTTATCAGAGAAATGCAAATCAAAACCACAATGAGATACCAGTTAGATTGGCAGTTAGAATGGCAATCATTAAAAAGTCAGGAAACAACAGATGCTGAAGAGGATGTGGAGAAATAGGTATGCTTTTACACTGTTGGTGGGAGTGTAAATTGGTTCAACCATTGTGGAATACAGTGTGGCAATTCCTCAAGGATCTAGAACTAGAAATACCTTTCAACCCAGCAATCCCATTACTGGGTATATACCCAAAGGATTAGAAATCATGCTACTATAAAGACACATGCACATGCATGTTTATTGCAGCACTATTCACAATGGAAAGATGTGGAACCAACCCAAATGTCCATCAATAATAGACTGGATAAAGAAAATGTGGCACACATACACCATGGAATACTATGCAGCCATAAAAATGGATGAGTTCATGTCCTTTGCAGGGACATGGATGAAGCTGGAAACCATCATTCTCAGCAAAATATCACAAGGACAGACAACCAAACACCACATATTCTCACTCATAAGTGGGAGTTGAACAATGAGAACACATGGACACAGGGAAGGGAACATCACAAACTGGGACCTGTTGGGGAGTGGGGGGGCTCGGGGAGGGATAGCATTAGGAGAAATACCTAATGTAAATGACGAATTGATGGGTGCAGCAAACCAACATGCCACATGTATACCTATGTAACAAACATGCACATTATGCACACGTACCCTGGAACTTAAAGTATTAAAAAAAAAAGAAAAAGAAAAGTTTAATTTCGAAGGTGCAGAACTTAGACCTAACATCATTATCTGAAGATAAGATTGATAGAAAGTGTCTTCTTTTTAACTTAGCTTCTTAATTAGATTACCAGCTTCAGGGTGAAGCCCTTTGTATTAACCTGTTTTCATGCTGCTAATAAAGACCTACCTGAGACTGGATAATTTATACGGGAAAAAAGTTTAATGGACTTACAGTTCCATGTCGCCAAGGTGGCATCACAATCATAAGGGAAGGCAAGGAGGATGGTGGGAGGCAAAGAGAGAGTTTGTGCAGGGAAACCCGTTTTTAAAACCATCAGATCTTATGAGACTTATTCACTATCACGAGAACAGAACAGGAAAGACCCACCCCCTTGATTCAATTATCTCTCACTGGATCCCTCCCACAACACATGGGAATTATGGGAGCTACAAGATGAGATTTGGATGGGGACACAGAGCCAAACAATATGACCCTTCAATGAACAGAGGACAGAAAGCATGCAGTTTTTAGGGCCTAATGTTTACTGAAAGGCAGAAGACTTAGATCCCTCAAAATCAAGGATTCCATTTTACACTGAATCCTGGGTCCTCAAAAAGAAAAACCATGAACTGGTTAATGCAATGCTACCACAGTGCACCTCCTGCAAGACCATTTCCCTGAGGCTGGTGGGCAACCCAATGCCAATCAGCCAATTCAGTGATCAGGCCATCCCCCATGGAGTTTTATCTCTCAGTGTCAAGAGTTTCTGTATCCTCTAGGTACATAAACCAAAGAAAAACAGGTAGCTCCTTGTGGAAATAACTATTTAGTGTAAGCAACTGTCATCAGTCACCTCTAACACTGTAGCTCTTGCCCATGACTGCCAACCATTATACACACTGATGTCAAGTCCTCTCATAGTACAAAGTAACCTCTGGTGTCCCCCCATACCCAAAGAGATCAGACAAAACAATACAAAAGAGAGCAATTTTAAACCTGAGTGGAATCTATCCATTTACAACTTTTAGGGTTCCATGAGGAAAAACAGAGATTCCTTTCCAAAAAAGGAGTCTTTGTCACCTTTCCCTGTTTTTCCCAGGGATCTCAGGTGACATGGTTTGGATCTGTGTCCCTGCCCAAATGTCATGTTGAAATTTAATTCCCAATGCTGGAGGTGGGGCCTGGTGGGAGGTGACTGGATCATGGGAGTGGTTTCTCATGAATGGTTTAGTACCATCCACCTAGTGCTGTTCTCATGATAGAGTTCTCACAAGATCTGATTATTTTAAAATGTGTGGCACTTCACTCCATCTCTCTCCTTCTACTCCAGCCATGGGAAGTGCCGGCTCCTCCTTCACCTTCTGCCATGATTGTAAGTTTCCTGAGGCCTCCCTAGAAGCAGAAGCCACTGTATAGGCTTCCTGTACAGCTGGCAAAATCATGAACCAATTCAACCTTTTTTTCTTATAAATTACCCAGTCTCAAGTATTACTTTATAGCAGTGTGAGAATGAACTAATACAGAAAATTGGTACTGAGGGGTGATGAAGTGCTACAAAGAAATGTGGAAGTAGTTTTGGAAATGTGGAAGTACCTGGAAATGTGGAAGTAGTTTTGGAACCAAGTAACAGGCAAAGGTTGGAAGAGTTTGGAGGGCTCAGAAGAAGATAGAAAGATGAGGAAAAGTTTGGAGCTTCCTAGGGACTTGTTGAATAGTTGTGACCAAAACGCAGATTGTGATATGGACAGTGAAGTCCAGGCTGATGAGGTCTCAGATGGAGATAAGGAACTTATTGGGAACTGGAGCATAGGTCACTTTTGTTACCTCTTGGCAAAGAAGATGGCTGCACTATTGCCTCTGGCCCTATGGATCTGTGAAAGAACTTTAGAGTGATACTATAGGGTATCTGATGGAAGAAATTTCTAAGCAGCCAAGTGTTCAAGATGTGGCCTGGCTGCTTCTAACAACCTATGCTCATATGTGTGAGCAAAGAAATGATGTAAAACTCAAACTTATATTTAAAAGGGAAGCAGAGTATAAAAGTTTGGAAAACTTGCAGCCTGACTATGTGTTAGAAAAGAAAAGCCCATTTTCTGGGGAGGAATTCAAACCAGCTGCAGAAATTTGCATAACTAAAAGGAAGGCAAGTACTGATAGCCAAGAAAATGGGGAAAATGCTTCGAAGGCACTTCAGAGACCCTCGTGGCAGCCCTTCCCATCACAGGCCCAGAGCCCTAGGAAAACAATAGTTTTGTGAACCATGCCCAGGGCCCTGCAGCACTGTGCAGCCTCAAGACACTGATCCCTGCATACAAGTCACTCCAGCTCCAGCTGTGGCTAAAAGGAGCCCAGGTGCAGCTTGGGACACTGCTTCAGAGGGTGTGCAACCATAAACCTTGGTGGCCTCCACATGGTGTTAAGGCTATGGGTGTGCAGAATGCAAGATTTGGGGTTTGAGAGCCTCTGTCTAGATTTCAGAGAATGTATGGAAAAGCCTGGATGTCCAGGCAGAAGCCTGCTGCAGGGGCAGAGCCCTCATGGAGAACTTCTATAAGGGTAGTATGGAAGGGAAATGTGGGATTGGAGCCCCCATACAGAGTCCCCACTGCAGCACTGCCTAGTGGATTTGTGGGAGGAGGGCCACTATACTCCAGACCCCAGAATGGTAGAGCCACCAACAGCTTACAACATGCACTTGGAAAGCCATAAGCACTCAATATCAGCCCATGAGAGCAGCCTTGGGGGCAGAGTTGCCCTAGGCCTTGGGTGCCCACCCCTTGCACCAGTGTGTCCTGGATGTGAGACATGAAGTCAAAGATTATTTTGGAGCTTTAAGTTTTAATGGCTGACCTGCTGTGTTTCAGTCTTGCATGGTGGCTGTAGCCCCTTTCTTTTGGCTGATGTCTCCCTTTTGGAACAGGAGTACTTACCCAATGCCTATACCCTCATTGTATCTTAGAAGTAAATAACTTGTTTTTTATTTTACAGGATCATAGGCGTAAGGAATTTGCCTTGTCTCAGATGACACTTTGGACATCTGAGTTAATGCTGAAATGAGTTAAGATTTGGGGGGACTGTTGGGAAGGCATGATTGTATGTTGCAATGTGAGAAGGACATGAAATTTGGGAGGGATGAGGAGCAGAATGATATAATTTGGATCTGTGTCCCCACCCAATTTCATGTTGAATTGTAATCCCCAATGCTGTAGGTGGGGCCTGGTGGGAGGTGATTGGATCATGGGGGTAGTTTCTCATGAATGGTTTAGCACCTTCCCCCTAGTGCTGTTCTCAAGATAGAGTTCTCATGAGATCTGGTTGTTTAAAAGTGTGTGGCACTTCCCTGCCCCACTTATGCTCCAGCCATGCAAAGTGCTGGCTCCCACTTTGTCTCCTGCCATGATTGTAAATTGCCTGATGCCTCGCTAGAGGCAGAAGCTGATATGCTTCCTGTACAGCCTGCATAACTTGAGCCAATTCAACCTATTTTCTTATAAATTACCCAGTCCCAGGTATTTTTTTTATAGCAGTGTTAGAATGGACTAACACACCAAGCTATTTGAAATTCCCTTTTTCAGGTCCCTCATGTGATATCAAGGGCGTCAAGAGAAAGGAGGGACAGACAGATAGAAAAACAGAATTCAGTCAACTGAGAAGTTTTACAGAGAAAACAGAGGTCTTAAAACAGTATATATGTACTTTTGACCATAGAGCTCTTTAAAAAACACGTTTTAAAAGTGTTTCCTCAAGCCATCTTACTTTGCTTCTGCTGGTAGCTGGGCTTCCATTGTCAAATGGACAGCCCACAGAAGCAGCAATCTGACTGCATCAGCTACTCAGCACCCTTCCTTACAGCAGTGTGATGTGTGACAGATGGCTCATAGTTAACGATTGCTCTAAACCCATCAGCATTTTCAGGGTGTTTCTGGATTTGCTTTGTGGCCCACCAATGTCTAACAGGTAAGCCACACCACTCCACATTGAAGTGGCTGGCCAGCTTGGGATTTCCCCCATGGATGCTTTATTTCCTTTGCCCATTTCTTGTTCTCTCAGCTCCTGCCTGCCTTGCCACATTTCTGTGGTAGGCAGGTCTATGCAAATCTACCCCCAGAAGTCCAAGGGAGCTGAGAGGCTGAAGAAAGAAGCTGAAAAACTAAGTTTCTCAAAAACAAAACAAAAAACCATTTAATAGGGACTTACAAATGGAAGCTATGTCTGTGTTTTGGGCAGCAGCAAGACAAGAAGGTGGACCCCCCCATAACATTACCTCCTGGACACAGGGCTTATACACCATAGGGAGGGAATGTGTAGGGCAATTGTAGGAAAAGCCAAAAATGTTACATGAATATACCTAGGGTCTGATTTATGGTCAAGGTTGTTTTGACCTAAGGACAGGATTTAAGGTAGGTACATGCTCTTACACAAGGAACAGTACATAAAATAGAAATCTTCTTCTTCTTTTTTTTTTTTTTTTAGACAGAGTCTCTCTCTGTTGCCCAGGCTGGAGTGCAATGGCACGATCTCAGCTCACTGTGATGTCCACCTCCTGGGTTCAAGCCATTCTTCCACCACAGCTTCCCAAGTAATTGGGATTATAGGCATGTGCCACCAGGCCCGGCTAATTTTTTTTTTTTTTTTTTGTATTTTTAGTAGAGATGGGGTTTCACCATATTGGCCAGGCTGGTCTTGAACTCCTGACCTCAAGTGATCCACCCACCTCAGCCTCCCAAAGTGCTAGGATTACAGGCACTGTGCCTCATGCCTGATGTCTAGTAAATGTTTTAAACTGAATCACACAACGTTATGACATTGTCACTGGCAGCCCATTAAGCACCAATACCCTACTACCTGGCACCCATATGGGCCTTCAGTAATATTTGTTGAATGAACAGAAGGAAATTGTCACTCTAGCCTAGCCTGTGACCTAGTAGGAACACTTCTGGGCATCTCTCTTAATTCCTCTCTTTCCTTTACTTCTCCTACATGAGTTACCAGTTTTCGTCAATTCTACTTCTGAGATACCTTTTGTGGCCCTGTCCTCTGCATTCTCACTACCACTGCCCAAAATTATAGCCATTTAAACTTCCTATCTTTGTTTCCTATTCTCCCACCCCAAGTCTTTTCCCCTCTTTAGTTCAACTTCCATGTGACCACTGGAGTTATCTTTCTAAAGCTCAAGAAACATCAATCCTTTTTATTAAAAATATCAATGGTGTGTTGCTTTCATGACTTTTCATATCTTGCTTTAATCTATTTTTCCAACTTCATTTCTTACTACTTTTCAGCGAGCACCCTGCCCTCTATGCCAAACTTGAGAAACAGCAAGCTATTTTTAACATTTCAACTTGCTAGTCACTCTTTCATGTTTATGTAACATTCTACATGCTCATCTTCTGCCTGGGAAATACTTATCAATATCCTTACTCACTCATTGGGATTCAAGTCATATATTACCTCCTCTGTGATGCCTTCCTAGAATCTCCTACACAGTTGTTCCTCTGTGTGCCCACAATACTTTCTATTGACTTTTCCTATAGCAGTTATATTTTATTGTGTTTATCTTTTTTGCCTTTTTTTTTTTGAGACTGAATCTTGCTCTATTGTCCAGGCTGGAGTGCACCAGCACTATCTTGGCTCACTGCAACCTCCGTCTCCCGGATTCAGGTGATTCTTGTGCCTTAGCCTCCAGAGTAGCTGGGATTACAGGTGCCTGCCACTACACCCGGCTAATTTTTGTATTTTTAGTAGAGACAAGGTTTCACTATGTTGGCCAGGCTGGTCTTGAACTCTTGACCTCAAGTGATCCACCCGCCTTGGTCTCCCAGAGTGCTGGGATTACAGGAGTGAGCCACCACACCTGGCCTTTTTTGCCATCTTGACAAATGCTGTCCAACAGGAAGATAATACAAGCCACATATAATTTATTTTTATTGTTTTTTAGAAAGAGTCTTGCTCTGTTCCCCAGGTTGGAATGCAGTGGTGTGATCATAGCTCAGTGTAACTAACCTCAAACTCCTGGGCTCAAGTGATCCTCCTGCCTCAGCCTCCCTAGTAGCTAGGATTATAGGCATACGCTACCATTCCTGGCTAACGGCCACATATAATTTTAACTTTTCTAGTAGCCACATAAAAAAAAAAAGTAAAAAAAAGAAACAGATGAAAGTAATTTTAATTATATATCTATAAATAACTGGCTGCTCTAAGAAATACCAGAACAGAATGATTGAATGGCTTTGTTTATGGAGAAACTGTAATCTGTGCACTGTTCTCTACTTTGGATAACTGGAGATTAGCAAATGAGTCAAATGTTTTATTTCCTTAGAGTCATACCTTTGTAGACACTGACAAGCTTTTTTACACATAGGTGTGGTTGGCTGTGTGAAGTTCTCCCAGTTTAGGGCCTTTGTTTGCAAATATATCCAGGAGGAGGCCTTACCTTAGAAGCCCAAGGGTGTGCTGGTAGTGACTTTAGGGACTTTAGGTACTATTCTCAAGAAGCACCACCCAAAGAACAGGGCAAGTCAGAGTCTGGGGCTTACATCTTGGACATGCTATGACCTTAGATAAAAGATGTCGAATTAGTCATTCTCATTTCTGGGCATCTGTGGCAGCTCTGTTCTGACTCATGTGCAAAGGGAGTAAATCCCTAAGAAAGAAAGAAAAAGAAAAGAAGACAGGAAAAAGAAGAATAATTTCCAGAGTTCTATACAGTTACTATTGCTCCCAAATGAGCTCCAAATCATGGCAATGCTACCCACAAAAGACAGACAGAACAATGACCATCTAATGAGATGTGGAAATAAATTGGCCAACAAGATGCCTTCTTTTCACAATGATGCTTGGGAAATTGACAACAGATGGTATCTAAAACATGTTACAAATACTGTGCCTCTTCTTTCCAAGACCTGGGAGCTGGGTAATACCAGGGCACTTTTATCAATCAACAACGTCTAGAGGAGATAGTCGAGAACCAGAAAGTCAATAGTCAAGACACAAAGAATAATTTAGAAGATCGAGGGACATAGCAGCTCCATTTTTGTTCCACTTAGATTAAACTTGTGGAATATCTGAGGGTCAGAGCATTCCCCTCCAGATGAAAACCAAACTTATTTCACAGACCTCTGAAACACCCAGAACAGATACTGGGGAAATGAAGCCACAGGAACCTGTGTGTACTTGCCTAGACAGGCAATCAATGTACTGGTGGAAATGTTAAAACCTTAATAGGATTTTTTTGTTTTTGTTTTTACTAACAGGCTTTAAAAATATTTTTAAAGCAGACCTATTCTGGAAGTCATGATTGGGTGCAGGGCAAGGCAGATACCATAAAATGAACTACAGAGAATACTGCTCTCATTAAAATTTAGTTCACTTGGGAAAAGTTGCCTGTAACTCTTTCTATGCTGAGAGTGAACATCTCTGGTGCATTCTAGACAGTTATGATGGGTTTTCCACAGCAACTACAAAGAAAGTTGTATTCTCATTAGTTTTATCAAAACAAATATTTTTAATGTGCTACAGTTACTTTTAAATAGTTTATACTTTCTATTGTCATGCAATCTGTAAAGTAAAGCATGGTGAAAAGAAGGATTAATTTGGTGAATTCCATGATGGGTGTGTATATAAGATGCTGGGCCAGGCGTGCTGGCTCACGCCTGTAATCCCAGCACTTTGGGAGGCCAAGGCGGGTGGATCATGAGGTCAGAAGTTCGAGACCAGCTTGGCCAACATGGTGACACCCTGTCTCTACTAAAAATACAAAAATTAGCCAGGCATGGTGGCAGGTGCCTCTAATTCTAGCTACTCGGGAGGCTGAGGCAGGAGAATCACTTGAACCCAGGAAGGCAGAGGTTACAGTGAGCCGAGATTGCATCACTGCACTCCAGCCTGAGGGACAGAACAAGACTCCGTCTCAAAAAAAAAAAAAAAGGCTGAAGGCTGGGCACGGTGGCTCACACCTGTAATCCCAGCACTTTGGGAGGCCAAGGCGGGCAGATCAGAGGGTCAAGAGATTGAGACCACCCTGGCCAACATGGTGAAACCCCATCTTCACTAAAAGTACAAAAAAAAATTAGCTGGGTGTGGTGGTGCGCACCTGTAGTCCCAGCTACTCGGGAGGCTGAGGCAGGAGAATGGCGTGAACCGGAGAGGCAGAGCTTGCAGGGAGCCGAGATTGCACCACTGCACTCCAGCTTGGGCGACAGTACGAGACTCCTTCTCAAAAAAAAGACTCTGTACTACTTATTGTGAGGGATACAAAGATGTATAATGACAAGACATAATGACTTGGTCTGGTTTTGGAAGAGGCAAATGAAGCATAAGTAGAAAGATAATGGGGCTTGCCATCAAATCTATCTAGATTTTAATCCTACTTCTGCCACCTAACAGCTATGTGTCTTTAGACAAGTTACTTGCCTCACTGAGCCTCAAGTTTGTCTTCTACAGAATTTAGATGAATAGATGAATACTTGCATAGGGCTGCTGTGAGGATAAAGTGAAGACTTCATCAGAACTATACTGAATAAGACATTTCCACAAAAAAAGTGTTAGAAAATGACACATGCCAGAAGAAAACTGTTTCCTCAGAGCAGTATTTGCATAAAAATGCTTGAACTTGTTTTTTGTTTCTAAAAATGTTATGAAATTCTGAGAGTCATAATAGCCACGTTATGGCCAATATGCCAACCACGTTAAGGGTAGCATATTCGTTTTGGTCTTTATTCCTATATATTTTCTCAATGATATATAGTATCTCCCTTTAGGCTAGAAACTATAATGGTACATTTTTGGCTTGGTGTAATTTACCTTCATTTAAAAGATATTGTTTCTATAGCATGGATCAAAAAGATGTAGAGTTGTTTCATGTTTGAATAAAATTATAATGCAGTTGATACCAATATATGGCGCCCAATTTTCAGGGATCTTGCTGAATAAAGATGGGAAAGGCAGATGAATGAATGATTGATGTCATTACATTTTTCTAGTTTAAACTCTGGTGCAAAATCTTTCACTGCCTTTTATTACTCACTTTTTGTAGATTTATTAATTCTCTGAATTCATTTAAGAATGATAGTATATTATGGAAGATTCGAGTCATACAACATGCCTTACCCATGAAATTGTACCATCTTGGAGAGTGATCCATTGTTTTTTAAAGTCTTCCTCCAGAAAGCACTCTGTCCATTTGTGGGGGTCTGCCGGAGGCACACATTTCATACACATTGACTTGAATCAAATGAGATCCCTTTGTGCTCTCAAGTGTACGGCTATTTTTGAGAATCATTTATTAAGTGATTACTTAATAATTACATCATATTTTCCTCAGAACTAAGCATTACTTTGCTTTTGTACTTATATCAATTTTTAAAATTAAGACATATGCACAAACAACAAAAAGTTTATGAAGTATTTTCTGGAAATAGTGTCTATTTCCTATAGTGATATTACCCTATCAGTATACTGATAAACCTTAGCAGTGGTTAACTTAGCTACACATGTTCTAACATGCTCCTGAATCCCCCATGCTGGGTTACATCCTCTTTCTAGGTATTCCCTCATCCTGTATTACACTGGCATTGTTTATGTCTGTCTCTCCATTAAACCCTATGTTCTGTGGAATACTGTCATATCCAAGTTTATATGCCTAGTGTAGTGACAAGCACTTTAAATAAAGGCATTTACCTGATTTAAACAACTTAATGACTAAATTAATAAATATGAATACTGTAATCTTTGTTTTGTTGCTTGTGTTCTTTTACAGATTAGAATTTGGTCCATAGTTCTTACGTTTGTTTTGGGAGAATATTTTGACCCACTTCTAAGAAGTGTTTCACCTGATCCTGGCTATTTATGACTATGGCTATTGGACTGGATGGGTTCCAGGCATACACTGTCTTGCCTAAAGTAGCGGAATGCGACATCCCTGAGGGTAAGCAAGTGTGTTAGCTTTGTGTTCTGTGCCCTCCTCCAGAAATGACAGTACTTGCTGCAAGACTGTGAGCTCATCGAGGCAGAAGCCATGGCATTCAAATTAGTTTCCTGAGCCAGAACTTAACATCTGCCACAAAGTAGGCAGTTCAGTGAGCTTTTGTAGTTTCCAACTGGATGCAGCACTATGACTGCTTTTAGCTACTAACAGGGCCAGGCACTGAAACAAGCTCTAAATCCCCACAGAAAAATCACTCTGAGCCATCCATCCCTAAATACCAACCTGTGCATGCTATTCACCGTGCCAAGAGCGTTCACTCATTTTTGCTTCTCACAAATCTTTTTTTTTCTTCCTATGGCTTGCATGTTTTGAATGACAGCTAAATCCTAATGCGGACTGTTTATACAATGGAGTCCCACGGAGCCCAAAGATTGTGGTAATATTATTACAGAATTCTCATGATCCTTTTATTATTTTTTAAAAATGAGCCGTATGAATGTGGTAATACTATTAAGTGTCCGGCTCGATGAATTCCTCCATGTGTACACAGCCCGGAACGACCACCAGGATCAAGACGCAATGTTTCCAGCTTTCCATAGGTTCCCTCGTGCCCCACCCCTCAGAAGTAAACGTTATTCTAACTCCTATCACTACCGGTAAGTTTTGTAGGGAATTATTTTGGAGGAAGTGGAAGGTGGAATGAATGGGCCCACAGTCCCCTGGGACTGGGCGAGACCCGTGGAGGCTCCAGGGGTCCGTAGAGCTCTTCGCTCTCACCGACCCGGGCCACACCCGCCAAGCTGGTAGTTCTCCGAACGGATCCCTCACGCCCAGCAATGGCCGGAGGGCCCCCGGGCCCCACCATAATAGCGCTAAGCACGCCACAATGGCAGCCCCGCTGTCTCCCGCGCGGGCCTCGCTGCGTGCTCCCAACCTTGGGAGTTGGCGCCCCTCCCGCGCGACGGACAGCCGGGCGTGGCCCTGGGCGCGACCCGACAGGACGCCAGCAGCCGGCGGGGGCGCTCCAGGACTCGAGATGTGGGGCGCGGGCCCATTGGCTGAGCATTCCCCCGCGAGCCTCCCGGCCGCAGGGCCCACCTCCCGGCCCTCTCTCCGCGCCCCCATTGGCCGTTCGCGTTCCGCGGGCGTCCGCTCCCGCCCCACTCCCGCCCGGAGGGAAACCGGGTTGGGGGTGAGAGGCTAAAGCAGGGAGGAGGATGACTGGTCCTGCGGATAAGGGTGTGCGCGAGAGCCAATCAAAAGCGGATGTCGAAAAGAGGCGCCGCTCCAGCCAGTCACGTCGCGAGGTGCGGTCGGGGCCGGCTGACGCGACTGCGGGCCTCAGCCAATGGGCGTGCCACTGCCCGTCCGCTCTTCAGCAGCCGGTCGCGGGCGGTGGAAAAGCGAGTGAAGAGAGCGCGACGGCGGCGGCGGCGGCGGCGCAGCTATTGCTGGACGGCCAGTGGGAGAGCGAGGCCTGAGCCTCTGCGTCTAGGTGAGAAGGGGGTGCGCCAGCGGGAGCGGCCGGGCTGCGGGCTCCTCCTCGCCTGGCTCGGGAAGTGGTTGCGGGAGCTCGGGCTGCAGGCCTGGCCGAGGCGGGGGCGCCGACCAGCCGTCCCGCCCCCGCCCCCGCCCGGGTACGCCCAGAAGTGAGGGCGCCCGCCTCACCCCGGGTGGTCTCTGCCCCTCTTTGCCCCGCCGCCGCCCTTCACAGGGCCGGGACCGCGTGGGGGACGTACGGTGGGGCCTGGTTTGCAGCCGCGGAGCCCGGGGAGCCGCCTGGGGTGGGAGGCCGCTAGAGGTGGCGAAGGTGGGGCGGGGTGGTTAGCCGAGCAGCGGGCTCCGCGTGCTCGCGGGAGGGTAGCGGCAAAGGGAGGCCTAGTGATTGCAGGATTCCGGGTCTGGGGAGGAAGAAAGTGGTGGGAAATAGGTGATGCTCAGAAAAGGGTGCTGAGGGAGAAGGCGCGGGGCCGGGGAGTGTGGTTGGCCTATTAGAAGTAAGGATTGATAGGGCCTGGGTGGAGATCAGCTGGGAGTGAAGGGGGGACGGGCTTGGGTTTTGAAGGTGAAGGTCTCTGGAGAACTGGGGACACGTGGATCTGGAGTAAGAGGCACCTACTGAAACCGGAAGGTGGCTGAGAAGGTTTTATGTGAGGTGTGGACGGGAGGCTATTGGACTAGAAGGCATTAGTTGGTCTGTTAGGACAAAGTATACAAGCAGCAAACGCGGTAGATTTATGTGTGGTAGGTGAAGGCTGTGAATCTTTTATGAGTAGTTGAGCAAGAACAGTTGTCTGATTCTGCGGTGTCGGAGAGTGGAGGGTCTCAGGTAGTGTCTTGGTCAGGTTTGAAGGTTAATTTACTGCTAGTGGAGGGCCAAATACTCAAAAGAGTTTTTAATTCTCACTACTGGGGCTGATCCTCCTCCTACACTCCACCCCTCCTGCCATCCCTGTGACAGTTCATCTCGTTTTGCCTCAGCAGCACAAGAACTCACTCCCTCCGAAGTAATGGCATACATATTGTTTGCTTTTGACTAGATGGCAGTCAGGAATCCCTTAATTCTTTATGTTAAAAAAAAAAGTGTTGGTTTAAAGACAACATCAGAAGATACTCTCAGAAAATCTGCCCTCCAGGGGAGTTTCTCAGCTGTCATGTTGGGCATGTGTAATATAGCATAAAAATGATGCAAGATCTCTTACAGTAATACAAGTGAGAATTAACGTATAAGTACAATCCTGATGTATTTTTTTCAAATTAATTTAAAAAGTAAACAGAGACAGGGTTTGCTGTCGCCCAGGCTGGAGTGCAGTGGCGAGATCATAGCTCGTTCCAGCCTCAAACTCCTCGGCCCAAGAGATCTTTCCACCGTGGCCTCTCAAAGGCTTGGGATTACAGGGGTGAGCCACCCCACCCAGGCCCTGTTATTCCATACATTTTCCATAAAATTATTTTATAATTTTTGTTTTGTTTTGTTTTTATTTTATAAATTTGTGTGTGTGTGTCTCGCTTTGTTGCCCAGGCTGGAGTGCAGTGACGCGATCTTGGCTCGCTGCAACCTCCACCTCCCAGGTTCAAGTGATCAGCTCTTGCCTCAGCCTCTCGAGTAGTTGGGACTACAGAGACATGCCCCACCGCACCGGCTAATTTTTGTATTTTTAGTAGAGGCGGGGTTTCACCATATTGGCCAGGCTGGTCTCGAACCCCTGACTTCAAGAGATCCATCCGCCTCGGCCTCCCAAAGTGCTGGGATTACAGGCGTTAGCTGCCGCGCCGGCCAAAATTATTCCATAAATTTATCCATAAAAATTCCACATAAATTTTCTGGAGTTTGATTATGTATTAGGCTTGTTGGGAAATTTATTACCCTTGTGAAGAATTTTGTAGCTAAGTAGCTTGAGGGTTTTTTTTTTTTTTTCACTCAGGAAAGACATGGTATGTATGCATCACTGCTATTCTATTTGAAGCTTTTGGAATTTTTATTTATGGGGTGTGGATAGAGGCTGGAGGCAGAGACTGAGGTCAGAGAAGAGGTAGTAGAAAAGAAGGTGGCCCACTACCATATTTCCAGTGTATTTAAATGGGAGATAGAGTTTCTGTTTGAGGATAGGACAAAAGGTTTGTGAAGAGTTATAGAGTCAAGGACAGAAGCCAAAGAGAGCATTTGCTGTGTAACATGTTTGCTTGTTAACCAGATCAGCAAAGCATTTTAACTAATGGACCATTATTTATGATCTAGAAACAATTTTGTGAAAGCGATTTCTTAGTGATGCTGTTTACTGTGATCACATTTGCCCTTAGTATAACAATACCTAAGTGCTGAGGCGACTTGCAGTAGAGAAGTAATCTGAGTGGCGTGGAGTGAATCAGGGAAGGTTTCCTGAAAGAGGTGAGTTTTGAGCCATCATGTGAACTAGAAGTTGGGATGTGGGTTATTACAAGACATGAGGATGACATTCCAGTAGTTTGTACTTGGTATAAGCAACTGTGGACAAGAGTGACAAATTAAAAATGGTTTTTAAGGATGATTGAAGATTCGAATGAAGATTTAGGGGTTTGGAAATCAACCAAGGCTATGTTGCAGCTTAGCTGATAAATAATTTTTTATGTTGGTTAGGAGAGAAAATTAACAGTTGATAATGGATTGGAGATAGGTAGTAAAGGAAAGAGCATAAAATATTTGATAGTTATAGGAGAATGAAGTGAAAGTAAGGTTATTGAGAGGTAGGTTTAACAGTCAACCATATATCATAAGTTGGAAACATTTTTGAGTCCTGTGCTAGAGTATATTGATAATAATAGCAAAATTTATTGGGTGCTACTTTGTGGCAGACACTGTTTTGAACCTTCCAAATATTATCTCATCTTCTGATTATCTGTATTTTATAGATGAGGGAGATAAGACTCAGAGAGATATAACTTGCCCAAGGTCACACAGCTAGGAGGGGACAGGTCAGGATTGGCAGAATCAGTCAGTAAATGTTAATTGAGCATCTGCTTGATGCCAGGCACTGTAGTAAGTGCTGGGTGTTCAATATTGACAAGAAAATTCAAGTCAGACCTCATCTATTTTCTAGAGATTGTCAGTTTATGTAAGAAGAGCCAGTGAAGAAAGAAAAAGATTAGTTGGAGAGATTTCTGTAGATACTGAGGAATACACTGTTTAGAGAAACCTGGGATAGAGTTTTAAAGAGGTGGTGGTTAGCAACAAAGTATATAGCTGAGAGACTCAGAACGATTGAGAAGAAACCATTGAGTTAAGTAAGTAAAAAAGTAATGTGAATTTAGTCACAAGAAAGCTGGAATGAAGATATTAATGTTTGGGCTGGTAGTTAATTGTGTTTAGTGGCAGGTACTCTATACAAATTTAAATATTTTCACAGTTATGGTCAGATTCATAGGAAAGATGATGGTATGACCCCTTGTAATGTTTTAATCTTTGGCTGGAAGATCATGGATGCTTTAAAATGCTTGCACTTTTTAGTTTTTTCAAATTTAAAAAAATGAGCAGGCAGACCGCCTGAGCTCAAGAGTTCAAGAGCAGCCTGGGCAACATGGCAAAACCCCTTTTCTATCCAAAAAAAAAAAAAAAATTAGTTGGGCAAGGTGGTGTGCACACCTGTAATCCCAGCTACTTGGGGGGCTGAGATGGGAGCCTGGGAGGTTGAGGCTGCAGTGAACCTTGATCATGCCGCTGTACTCCAGCCTAAGTGACAAAGTGAGACCCTGTCTCAAAAAAAAAAAAAAAAGTGAGCATTATTTTTATAATTAGTGGGGACAAGCATTCAACTGAAATGAGCTAATACTCAGGAAAATGTGGGTAGGCTAGTCTGAACTTGGGGTAGGAGAGAAGATAGTCTTATTTCAGTCCCTACTTGGTAAGAGCCACCTTGGTAGGTGTGTTCCTATCTTGGAAATGACTGGATTGTCACTGATGGAAACTGAAACTGTATGTACTGAAAGGTGGTATTTGCTTAACCTGAAGGATCAAGTTACTAACCCACCCTGAATGGTGGAGATACAGTCTTTGTTTTCCTGAACACTTGTTTTCTTAGAGTTTAATACATGAATTTAAGGTTTAAAAAAACCCAACAAACCACTGATAGAATTGTGTCATTTTAACTGCTTCTTTTGGCTTTATATCCTTCTTCCTACACATTGGTTCTATAGTTCCTCTCATTAATGGGTTTGCAACAGGCTTAGAGTTTCAGTTCAGTAAGACAAAATGGAAGTGCTGGATTTAGATATAGCTGATCAACTTAAACACTTATAAATTCACCATTGTTTTCGGTTCCCAATTTGAAGAGTGGAGACAGAAGTCAAGAAAATAAGCTTTTCTTATTCAAAGAATGATTCCCAAACCAATAGGATTTGCCCTAGGATCAGTACAGACTTATTACAGTCTCCTAAACAGAGAGGAAAGAGTTGCGTAAATTCATCTAGCTTTTAGTTTAATTTCACTTAGCCCATAGGGATTCTGAGAGGAAACGATATTAATGTGATTCCTATTTCATCTAGGCACTGTAGCATAATCCTTCAACAAATTACCACATTTGATTCTCATATAATTCTCTAAAATGTGAATACCATATTACAGATGAGGAGAGTGAGACTCAGAGAAGTTAGTAACTTTCCAAGGTTGGAGAGCTAAGTGACAGAGCTGGGATTCAAACCTTTCTTTGTCTAACTCCAAAACTCCATGCTTGTGAAACTAATAGCACGGAGGACTGATTTATACCTTCAACTGAAAAAAAATGCCACAAGCCTTAGGTATTTGTTACCTTAGAAGATGAGACTCTTGCTCTGAGTGTTTGTGCTCTGTGACACTGCCTCTAAATAAATGACAGTGATTTTTTAGTGTCTAATAGGATACCTTATATTTTCTTGCTTTAGAGATGTATGTTTTCATATTTTAGAATTTTTTGAAGATGTATATTGTCTATATTTACTTCAAAATGTTTGTGAAATGGTTACTATGTCTTAAATGTATCTCAAAATTGATGAAGCATGGCATATGCCTGTAGTTTTCACACATAAGTATCTTACCAATTTGTTGTGCACTTTTTCTTCCCAGCCTTCCCCATCTTATCCTATTATTTTTTTAAATATGATTTAATAAATAATTGAAATATATACTACCAATAAAATAACTCATTCTCTTTCATTAGTTAACATTACAGTGTACAGAAAAGCATTATGATGTAGAAAATTCAAATTGGGCCGGGTGCGGTGGCTCACGCCTGTAATCCCAGCACTTTGGGAGGCCGAGGTGGGCGGATCATGAGGTCAGGAGTTCGATACCAGCCTGGCCAATATGGTGAAAACCCCATCTAGTAAAACTACAAAAATTAGCCGGGCGTGGTGGCGCCCACCTGTAGTCCCAGCTACTCGGGAGGCTGAGGCAAAAGAATTGCTTGAACCCGGGAGGCAGAGGTTGCAGTGAGCCAAGATAGCGCCACTGCACTCCAGCCTGGACAACAGAGCAAGACTCCGTCTCAAAAAAAAAAAAAAAAGAAAAAAAGAAAATTCAAATTGAACTGTGAATCAGCAGATCTGAGCTTTAATTTTGGTTTTGTTAGCTACTTGATGTGTAACTTGCTAGGCAAGTCACTTCCCCTCTATGGGCTTTAGTTTCCTCATCTGTAAAATGGAGGGGGAGGAGAAATTTTAAGCCCGTCTTCCTTGAATAGGTTGTATGCCTTCTTTCTAATTAAAAACATAGATGCCCTAGATGCCTTTCTTAAAAACTGTATTACTGCATTTTACAATATTTTCTTTTAATCTTCCTTCTTTCCCTTCTTAATTTAGTAGAGAGGATAAATTATTTTTGGTATCCTACATTTACCAGGACAGCATATCTTAGGAAGCAGGGACCCAGAAAATAATGAATGAGTGAATATATGTTTTATTTGAGCTAATGAAAAATTTTTTAAATAAAGTACCGTCAAAAAGATGTTGAAGTTTCATTGAAAAGTAGTTCTACCTAAAGAATGAAACGTGTTTAGTAAAGTTCAATTGGTCTGTTCTGTATTGGATAGATGTACAAAGAAGAACACTCTTGAACTTGTCTTTAAGAAGCCCTCTTACTAGTAGGAGAGGCAAGCTTCTAAACTTTGTATTATGGAAAATTGACAGCAATAATACACACATCACCAACTTTAAGAGTTACTAACTTGTGGTCAGTCTTGCTTCATCCATACCTCCATCCACTTCCTTCTTTATTTTGAAGCAAATCCCTAGACTTTTTTTTTTTTTTTAACCAGTTGTTACCATGCAGTGTGATAAGTATAATAATAGACATGTTAATCCAAGTGAGGTGCAAATTTGTTCATATAAATATATTTTGAGACTTGAGCATTATACTGTTCTGGGCACGAGAAATTAGATATAGTAAGCTACTGTAGGGCAGGGATAATATAATTGAAGAGACTGTACATATGTGAAACAGAATGTAGCAACACTGGATCATGTGCCAAAATTGGTGGTAGAGACTCTTAAGTGGGAACTGACATTATTTTAGAATGAAAGTAGAACTTAAACAAGTGGCGATAGAGAGAAAGAACATTCAGGGATAAGGTGAGGGTAATCACATGGATAAAGCGTGCGGTTAGGAAATCTAATTTTGGCGCTATAGAATAAGTTATATCTAAATCTGTATCTCTCTATCTTTATCTTTTAGACTACTACAACATGTAATTGGCATACTGTAGATGTTATATCAGAACTTGAACAAAGCCGGTTGCTGTAGCAGAAATTAGGACACACTACTTTGTGAATATATCACTGTTCGTGGTTAATTTTTTGGCACGTTCTGTTAAAAAGCCTTCTAAATATCTTAATACCACATGTATTAATGGATCCATTCTTGTTAGAATGTTTGTGGGTTTGTGCCATCAGCTTTGGTGTGCAGTTGTGTGTGTGTGTTTAACTTAAATGTTAACTATTTGACAATTTTAAGATTATTTTGAAATATCTAGTTTAGATCATTCTTGTCTTACATGAAATTTTTTCCAGAAATGTTGGCATAATTCATGAGAAATCCTTGAATTTAGGGAATTGTTACCATTATAGCTTATTTTGAAGTATTCTGAGAATAAAATCTTAAAGTATATTCCCTAATGCAGAAATTGCTTGTCAAAGGTCATGAACTTCTCTGAGCATCTCCTCAAAGTGTTGTGCTATCTCATCAGAAAAATGTACGTTCAAATATCCTTGGGGGGTCTGTGGATTCTGTCTTAATAATTTATTCTTTAATGTGTAGGCAGAAAGCATACTGCTAAAATTCAACTCAATTATCTTTCTGTGTGTTCTGCTTGCCTTTTACAAACAAGTGTTTTTAATTATTAAGAGTGATAAAATGATAAAGCTTATTATTGCAAATGCCTAATTAAAAAATTAGACATTCTTAATTGAATTCTTGGGGAAAAACAAGCTGTAGCCAGTTTAATAAATAGGAATTATTTCACTAAAGATTTTGGAATAAGCATGTGGTACTTTATTTATGGCTCCTGTCCATCCTGGATTAACAGGAAGTAGAATATATGACATATGAATGAATAAATGCATAAATACCTTTTTTTCCCCCAGAAGTAAAAACTTTGACTTACTGTGTCCTTAGGCAGTTAAGATCTGTGGAGGAAAGGATCTGCTAAAGTATTTTGAGGTTCACATCTGTGTTGAAACAACCAGAAGTAATGCAGGAGCTTAGAAACTGTTTTTGGCTGACAAAGGATTGATTCTCAGTGGAGCCCTGAGATACAAGTGCTCATAGTTCACTTAGTTTGAGGAATGGCCCTAAATGAGTTTCTTAGAAATAGGTGGTTTTAAAAACTTGTGGATTGTAATTAAAATGTAATTATGATAATGATTATGAGCATAAGCAGAATTCTCAGGAGATAGGAACAGGTGAATTAGCTGGTAATGGGACATTTGACCCCACAGAGCTGTGCACAGACTGTTCGAAGTTCAGTGAATATTAGGTGAATTGCTTTAAAGTGATACCCTTGTGACCTGTTGGAGTTAATAATTTTTCAAGTACCTAATCTACTAGTAGGAAACAACTTATTCCAATACATAGTAGTAAAAATACAGACTGTGAAAGCCAGAAGAGATTTTAACAATCAGTGATCTGGCCTCTCCTTCAATAAATTTAAAGAGTGATCAGAGAGGTTGACTTGCCTAAGGTCTGTTGGTTATGGCAATCCCAACAGCGTTGTTTCTCATTACCTGATTTTTGGTAAGTCTATTGTGCTTATTTATTTTGTTTGTCTTTTCATTCTGGATCTCAGTATTTGGAGAAGGAAGTATATTAACTTTAGCATGGTAACTAGATTATTGGTAAATTGGCTAAGAATTCCCTGAAATGTTATACCATAATGTTTTTACTTTGCCATCATATACTCCTTCCATCTTTAACATAATAACCCATAGTTACAAGATTTATTAGGGTAGGCGTGTTTTAGGAGCTTAATTCCATTCCACAGTTGGAAACAGATATTAAGAATCCACAGTTCTTAAAACATTTTCCTCATGCTTTTTTATACCTTTCTAGGATGATCTTTGCCTAACAGCATTTAGTTGCAAGCTGTGTCTATGAACTTGGCAAAGTTTTAAAAATAAACTAGGAAAAGATTTTTGAGAAGAGAGTTTGTTATGGGATTTAGTCATTTAAATACATTCCTAAAAGCTGTTTTTTCCCCACTCAAAACTAGACACTGGAAGGATCATTGACATCCAGGTTCAAAGAAGTTACTGCTTACATGACTGATCCCGATTCTGAGTTCTTTTGCCACATTTGGTTCATGTGGAAAGGCTGGCTGGGGCTAAGACTTGCCCGTACATTAGCGACATCATAGCCAGAGTGAGGACCCTTAGAACAGTGCCTGTCAAGCTTTTTTAGTCCTAGCCTTTTGGCTGAGTCATTCTTTAGCTCAATAATTTCTACTTTCTAATGGAATAATAACACTTGTCAAGGTATAAGCATTTTTTGGGAAGAGCTATATGGATGGTTCCTAATTGAATCACAAAAAATATGCTTGTCATAAAGTCTAGACTAATTAGAAAACTGCAGGCCTCAAATCCTAGTGATGGAATTGTATCAATATATTCTCTACAGTTATAATAAAATAACCAAAAACTAAATTGATAACGATGAGCCAAACCTAATGGTAATTTAATTAAAAGGCAAGAATAATGACAATTGAAAACGAAGACCAACTAAAGACAACACAGTTTCACTGATGGCAAGTGCCCCTCTTGAAAGTTACGGACTTCTACGTTTTGAGTATGCATATGTGGTAGGAGCTTGCAGCATTGCCAGTTGCAGCAACTGGATATACTAGTGGAATACAAATTGAAGTTTTTGGTACATTCTAGTAAAGTCTTCATTTTTGCAACTCTTGGTAACTAGCTTAATAGTTTATTCATAAGTAGCTTTATGGATTAAAGGAAGGTCATGTTTTCTTTTTTTTTGAGACTGAGTCTCGCTGTGTCGCCCAGGAGGGAGTGCAGTGGTGCGATCTCCGCTCACTGCAAGCTCCGCCTCCTGGGTTCATGCCATTCTCCTGCCTCAGCCTCCTGAGTAGCTGGGACTACAGATGCCTGCCACCATGCCCAGCTAATTTTTTGTATTTTTAGTAGAGACGGGGTTTCACCGTGTTAGCCAGGACGGTCTCGATCTCCTGACCTTGTGATCCACCCGCCTCGGCCTCCCAAAGTGCTGGGGTTACAGGCATGGCCACGAAGGTCATGCTTTCTAAATCATTTATAGTCCATCAGGAGGCTTGGCCCTTTCTTGGAAAATCATTACTTTTGAAGGCTGGTTTAGTAATCCTTGAGCTTCTCATGAGCATTATTTCCCTAGCTGTGTTGGGACATTTATGAAGAGCAGGGCTTAGATAGAATTTAGTGGGTCTTTTTTTTGTTTTTTACCTCAGGACATTTGTAATCTTTGATATGCTAATATACATCTTTAATCTGGTTGGGATAAAGCATATAGTTTCCTAGCACCATTTACCACAAATGCTGCCTTGGAGGACTGAGTCCTGTTTTTAGGTTCAGGCTTGAGAACAAGATTCAGAAGGCAGCCATAAGAAAGTGACACAAGAAAAATAGAAAATACAGCATATATATGAAGCATACATAATTTACCTTTGTTAATCTTGGGCGAAGCGGTATGTAGTATATATGTAGTGTTCAGGGTAAATATGGTATGTTTTCCTATAACATCGGTTTTACTTCAGTAATTTGAAATATTTTATATAAATCTTCAGGTATATTGTGAAGTCAAATTTTATAAATTTTTTTTAGCAAAAAAGATATTGCAATTCTGTTATAAAAGTTTGAAAAGCTCTGTCTTTGGTAGTACAGTTAAAATATTAGTATATCTTTGTATATTGAAATATGTGTTTCACTTCTCTGAGTCTGAAAGTGTTAGGATTAAAATTTCATGTCTTAATATGAAAACATTATTATTAAGGTAAAAAGTGATCAAGCACAATAGTTTACCTAAAAAAAGAGTCATGTATGACTTACGGGAATTACTTTATTTAAAAAAACTGTTTTCTTCCCCTAGAAGGAAATTGAATACATGTTTTTGCAAGCAGCAGACTGTTTTTTCCCCCTCCAATTTCTCTAACTTAACTAATTGTTAGAACTATTTACTTTTTTGTTATTTTGGGTGCTTCTTCCTGTTTATTATTCAGTGTTATCAAGCTGTGTGTTAACAAGAACACAGCCCACCTTCTGTAGGCTTTATAGTAGAGAAGTTACCCTACTGGTTCTGGCCTTAAGGACAGAAACAGAAACAAAGGAAAATGTATATTATTGAAAAATTTGTTTTCTGATCAGCAGATAATTTTAGTGCTACAAAACTGACATTTCCTCTCTCATAGAGTAGAATTTGACTTTTTAAAGGTGTCTTTATGTTTGATTTTTACATCACTCAGAGGAATTCTGAATCTTATTTTTCTCAGTGTGTAACATTTCCCAGGATAGTAAGATCCTAGAAGCATTTTAACTCTTGTCAAAGTGCCATGCTTATGGAACAGCATCATTATATGAAACAGTTGTATAGTGGCCTAAGAACTAATGAACGTCTTTAGATTCCTTACTACCGAGAAGTGCCTTGGGGGGAAGTATTGGGGAAAATAGGATATAGACAGTTAAATATTGGTAAATCAGTGCTTGTGTAGGCAAACAAAGTGGCCATTATATCTACTTCAATGGGTACTTACCACAGGGTTGGACACTAGCATCTTTTATTGAAAAAAGAAATGTTAACCAGGATGCTACAGCTGATCTTTATTTGTGGAAAATGCTCAATAAGCCTTAATTTTTGAAAAAGGAAAAAGGAACCCACTGTTATTAGGAGCTTGACTACACTAAATAATTTGTACACTTTGGGTTTGCATTTTGGCTCTTTTTTTGTTGCTTATAGATTTCTTTCAGGTGAGGTTTTCTTTTTTGAGATAGGTTCTCACCCTGTTGCATAGGCTGGACTCAAACTCTTCGCCTCATGCACTTCTTCTGCTTCAGCCTCCCAAGTAGTTGGGCACACAGTTGTGTGCCACTGTGCCTGGCTCAGAGGATGTTTTCTTTGATGTTGAGTCTGTCTTAGTCCATTTGTATTGATATAAAGGAATACCTGAAGCTGGGTAATTTGTAAAGAAAAGAGGTTTATGTGGCTCACAGTTTTGCAGGCTGTACAAGAAGCACGGCATCAGTATCTGCTTCTGATGAGGGCCTCAGGAGGCTTCCACTCCTGGTGTAAGGTGAAGGGGAGCAGGCATCACACAGTGAGAGAGGAAGCAAGAGAGAAAGAGGAAGAGCTGCCAGTCTCTTTTCAACAGCCAGTTCTTGTGGCTGAGAACTGAGCCAGTTCTCACTATGAGTGAGAACGCTTAGTGGCACCAAGCCATTAATGAGGAATCTGCCCACATGACCCAAACACCTCCCACCAGGCCCCACCTCCAACATTGGGAATCAGATTTCAACATGAGACTTGGTGGGACCAAACAAACCATATGTAAACCATAGCAGTCTTAATCAAAACATTAAGTGATGATTGCAGTTACCAAAATATAGTAGGAAAAACACTGGAGGATTGGTTTTCAATGCTTCAGATGGGAATCTATCAGAAAATCTTAATGGATATACTTAGCTCGAGGCTTCTTCATAATCTAACTTCTGTAAAACAAGTTGTCTTGCTTTTGACTAGAGGTGTGTCAACTCCAGATGGTAATGCTGCAGAACTTTGCTCCTTAGTTCAGCTAAAACCAGGTTCAGGAGTTCATAGTTAATTGAACATGGGAAAGTTAATTGAACATGGGAATGTGAAATTCTCGTTCAGTAGATGAGGTTATTGGGTAGACAGAATATTTCAAAGTGTGAGATCCATGAGTCCATATTTTTAAAATGGGTTTTGAGTGGCTAAAAAAAACAGTAAGAAACAACTCTTCGTTGTACCGTAGTCCTGTGAAATAGGTCCAACATGGGTTGGTGGTTGACAGTCTCAAGAGTAACAGGCAGTTACTTGATGCTGTTTGTGACAGACTGTATTTTCTAAGGATGGTTGCAACAGTATTTTCCATCGCACATGTGTGAGCTTGTACAGACCCTAACTGTTCTCTCATTCTGAGGTGGGATTTAAGTCCCTTGAATTTGGGCAGTCTTGTAAATCACTTGTAGCCAATAGAATGTGGCAGAAAATTACACTGTATGACTTCCAAGGCTAGGTCAGAAAAGGTGAGAGAGCTTTTGCCTAGCTCACAAGAATACTGGTCTTTAAGCCATTAGCAGCTTTGTAAGTATCTGACTATTCTGAGGTCCCCATGCTATAAGGAAGCCCAAACTATCTCATGGGGAAAATCGAAGAGGCTAAAGTCCGGAGCTAGAACTGCTCAGCCAGAATTGCTTAGCTGAGCCCTTTACAAATTCCTAACTCATAAAAATTGTGGAAGAAAATAAAATGGTGGTTGTTTTAAAACACTAAGTTTTAGAGTGATTTTGTTATGTAGTGATAGGTAGCCAGAATACTCCATTCCATACTACTTTCCCATCCATACTTTTAAATTCTGTGCTTTTTTATTATTATTATTATATCAAGTTTTTGAACAAAGTAGTGGGCAAGAGTTTCTCTGAGTTTGTGACAGGATTATGTTATGTGCTCTTCTTCACTTGTAGTCTTTTCTGCAAAATAATACAACCCAAGCCTCATCCCTGCATATCTTAATGGGCTTTCCTTTTAGAAATACAGATTTTTAAAAATATATATCTTGAAAAAGGCTATAGGTCATGTCATCCTTTTGCATTCAGCCTCTGGCATATCTGTATTTCTGAAGCCTGGCATTAATGTGTTGTTTTGTTCATGAAGATATTATTGTATCAAACAAGCATTTGTTGGCCATTTTACAGTGTGTCAGTAACAATAGTAGTAGTGAAATCATAGACAACGAATATTTAGACTGTACTGCTTTCCCATTGATGTCTTTCTCATTTATACTTCATTTTTCTGAATGTTTGTGGAATATTGGAAATCATTGTTTAAAACAGAGGTTGGCAAACTATGGCCTGCAAACTGTCTTCCTGTTTTTTTAAAGTTTTATTGGAACACAGCCACACCCATTCATTTATTTATTATCCATGGCTGCTTTTCTGGTACAGTGGCAGAGCTGAGAAGTTGTTGCTGAGATTGTATGGTTCACAAAGTGGAAAATACTTGTTACTTGGCCCTTTACAGAAACCTTTGCCAGCTCCTGGTTTAGACTGTTTCTTAGAAGTTGATTATCCTTTTTACTTTTTTAGTTTTTTACTTTTGAGGCAGGGTCTCACTCTGTCACCCAGGCTGGAGTGCAGTGGCACAATTATGGCTAACTGTAGTCTCAACCTCCTGGGCTCAAGTGATCCTTCCACCTCAGCCTCTCAAGTAGCTAGAATCACAGGTGTGCACCACTACAACTGGCTTATTTTTGTATTTTTTTTTTTCAAGGTGGGGTTTTGCCTTGTTGCCAAGGCTGGTCTCAAACTCACGGGCTCAAGCAATCTGCCCACCTTGGCCTCTCACAGTGCCGGGATTACAGGCATGAGCCACTGCACTCAGCCAGTTCCCCCTTTTAAAGGGACATTTATTTGAAGTTATTTTTTCTTCTACTTTTAAAGACATGCAATCTAATGAATATTAAAAGATTATTTAACGTAACTTTCTATCTGCTGCTTGAATTTCTTTCAGTACTCCTACCATATGATCTTCCAGCTGAAAGGGATAAGATAATGAGATAAGCAGAATTAATTAAATAATGACAGCTGGGAGTGGTGGCTCACGCCTGTAATCCCAGCACTTTGGGAGGCTGAGGCAGGTGGATTTTTTGAGGTCAGGAGTTGGAGACCAGCCTGGCCAACATGGTGAAACCTCATCTCTACTAAAAATACAAAAATTAGCTGGACGTGGTGGTGGGTGCCTGTAATCCCAGCTACTTGGGTGGTTGAGGTAGGAGAATTGCTTGAACCTGGGAGGTGGAGGTTGCAGTGAGCCGAGATCACACCACTGCACTCCAGCCTGGCTGACAGAACAAGACTCCATCTCAAAAAAAAAAAGACAAAGCAGCATTGGATATGGGTGTGTTAAACACAGAAATTGCACCTGATTGGGAGTAAAAAAAACATAGATGAAATACTAATATTTTGTTATTTGTCCATTTGCTCAAAACTGTCTCTTCATTGGTAAGTTTTTTGTTTTTTTTTAACAATTTTTCATAGAGATGGGGTCTAGCGATGTTGCCCAGGCTGGTCTCGAACTCCTGGCCTCAAGTGATCCTCCTGCCTGGGCTCCCAAAGTGCTGGGATCACAGGTGTGAACAACTGTGCTTAGCTTCATTGGTAGGTTTTGACTTTGAATTTGTTTACTTGCAGAAGGCACAGAAGAGCCAATTTTAATAGAAAAAACACGTAAATGGGCTGGACTTCCAGGTATAGCTATAGGTGGTAGAAATTTTTAGGTAGCTGGATTTAATGGTTAGATATTCAATTTGAGACTTTCCATTGCAGTACTTAGTTTCCCTAAATAAATGTGTAGCAGCTAAAACATGGAACTAAAAGTCCTTACAAATATACCTGTTGTGAGTTACTGGGTTTGTACAATAAATGATGATACAGAAAGATGCATACAAGTAGAGCCAGTCTAGACTTGACTGCAGTACTATATTGTGTATTGTACTATATTTGTATATTCTATGTACTTTATTGCTTTGTGAACATGGTGAACATTGTGAATGAGGTGAATCTCACAGGAGATAGAAGAAGGTACATCCATTTCCAAGATCAACATTATCTCGAGAGGGAAAGTAATTTTTCACATTCCATTCAGGAAATCCATCCTGTTAGAGTCCCGTTAATTATTTGTTTCATACATAAGTAACCATCTAATGTTTTTAATACATTTTCCATCTAATAAAGAAATGGAATGAATTTAAGTAATAAAGATTAGTAAAAGAAGGAAAACATAGGTTGAGCATCACATTAAAAATTTTTAGACTATTTCTGAAATATTACAGATCAGACTGACAGCTGAAGGACCATACTGAGAATCATTACCATAGAAGTAAAGGGAAGATGCATAAGGAAATGTAATTGTGTGCCCAGTCTTTTGTGTTTATTTTCACAAAAATGCTATAAGGTGGAGTTGGGTGGGTTGGATGTTTTATCTGTATTTTAAAGATAAAGAAACTGCAGACCCAAACAGGTAAGCAAGCTCAACAGCAAGGTAAACAGGTGAGTTTAGATTCTAACCTAAACCTGCTAGACTTGGAGTCCCAGGGATTTCTATTGTGTCTTGGTGCTGGATTATCTGAAAGGCTTGTTTCTATAAAGGGCCTACCTTATTTAGGAAGGAGCAGTTTATAAGCTGGGCCTCATTTCATTCAGTATTGAAAATGTTTTCACTAAACATTTAGTTTCCTAATAGCTCACTAGTCTGTGTACTTTATTGCTTTGTGAACATGGTGACCATTCAAGTTTAAGGCATTTAAGTTACAGTATATATTTTCAAACTGAAGTGATCCATAGGATTACCTTGGTATAGGAATTTGTAGAAACATGTTTGAATGTATTATTAGTCTTAAGCAAGACCGCAAATCTTCTTGTTTTCTACCTTACCTTATTAACTCTACTGCCTTGGGGGTTTTTTGTTTCTAATATTTCAATAAAAGATTCTATCTAGGTAAGATCTCTCTGTGGATCAGGTAGGGTGGAGTTGGAAATAAAGCCACTGATCTTTGATATGTGCGTCTTACCTGAAAATGATGTCTTTTTATTCAAATTGATAGTGACAATAATTAAATCCACCTAGAAGATGGTCTTCTGAGTAGTGTTCTAAGGTTGACAGTAGACTTTTCTCCCTCTTGTTTTGGCTGCCTCTGGAAATGGCCCTCAGGGAAATCCTGGTAAAGTCTAATTGCCTTTAGATTTTAACTACCTGATTTTTTTTTTTTTGTTTTTTGAAATGCAAGATCTCACATATTTATTATTGAACCCAGCCAACTGGCACCTTCATAGCACATACAGAGAGAAAAAATATATTCCCAATAAGACGTGTCCAACTGTCCAGATAGTGGTGACATTTTCAGCTTGATATGGTAACATGGTTGTGATCTTGACATAGCATAAGTATGTGTGCCATCTCATGTGCAATTCTTTATAGACCCAGTCTGGTTCTTCTCCAGTGTTTCCTTTTGGAGTTGTACCTGATTTTATTACCAGTTTTCATCTAAATCCACTGGGAGTGGGACAATTTTTTGCTTTTGTTTCTTGGCCAGGAAACACTTAATCCGGAAACTCTTGTGAGAAGACATGGTGAGAAGCCAAGTCGAGCACACACAATGATGGTGGAGAAAGGAAGAGAGAGCCTGAATTTTTTAACAGTAAAATTTCTATACTGAGTTGCTAGTTTGGCCCATCAACTTTTAATGCAATGATGTGGAATTTTTAAGGATTCTCAGCAAGAGGTTGTCTTATTTCATATGTTAAAATTTTCTGTGGAGCAGATTTTTGTCCATTGTATGCAGTTAGTAAAAGCTGAGGCCTTGTAGTGGAGACTGCTGTTGTTTCCTCCTGTCGTGAGTCATACAACTTTAGAACTGGGTAGGACCTTTCAGATCATCTATTTTAACCCCTTCACTTTCTCTGAACTTCTCTTCTAGCGCTGTGCACTCAATTCTCATTCATGATGTGATGCCTTGACCTCGCTGAAGGACAAGTAGAAACTTTATGTGCCTTCTCTAAAAGTGGGATTTAGTTAGAAGATTTGGTTCCAATTTCACCCTACCCGTATAGACGTGCTGAGGGACCTCAGGCAAGAAAAGTTATTAAGGAGACTTTTGGAAAATAGTATCTGAAGGCATGAGAGAGAGACAGTTTGTGCTAAATAAATTTTTCTTTCCCTTTCTTCCCTTAACTATGTATTTTTCTCCTCACTGGTGAGTCTTCTTTAAAACTTCATTCTTATTCTACCTGGCTGACCCATGGAATTTCCTCTCATTTCCTTTCCGCATACCCCACTTCTTATATATTTGTTCATAATTTGTCTTACTGCTTAGCAAGTATCTGAAATAATCAGCTAACATTATGTTAAAAGTTTTAATTAATTTGAGTTGTTTTAAATTCTAATACAGAAAAAGGAATTCTCATTTCTCGGCACCAAAAAGCTGCCGTTTAAAAAAAAGTGGTAATTTTTTGTGCTTTTTAAAAAATGACTAGTCAAGTGCAATAGTGAGAAGAAGGGAACAAGTAGAGCAAAGAGTTCAGTCTATAACTGTGAACAATCAGTTGTGATAATTCACTATCTTCGGACCAGCTTTACACTTTTCTGATTATTGGAATACTCCAATCTCTCCTTTTAATTGTTTTATCTGTTTAAAAAAAACTCTTTTAAAAAGTTGAAGATGAGAGGATCTTGTCTTTAATTATCCAGAAGTTTCTAAAATTAATGAAACAACATGATTAGCCTTCCATTAATATTAGGGCATTTATTAAGAGAATACAATCATGTTACAAAAGTGCAGGTTTATATTGAGTGGGGTGTTACCTTAGAAGTTCTCTGTGATTCTCCATTTGTGGTCATTTCAGGCTCTTTTGGCCCATGAGACCTGCGTGTTCTTTTGCAAATGAGGAAACAGGTTCAGAGTAGTAGCTTTATCTTAGGATCTCATAGCTGCTAAATTGCAGAGTTTGGACTTGAACTCCTAGCAAGTAAATATATCTTAAGTAGCTTTGTATTATGTTTCTCTTAGTGCATTTATAAATGCAAATATGTGATAATTTTTTTTACAGCCACTAGGAAAACCCACTTTGTAAGTAAGCCTAAGTGAATTCCTTGAAAATAATGGTGATACATGGTACTCAGCATTTTGCTGATCTTCAGAAAGATTGCTTCTTTAACTTGAGTCAAAAGATAAGGTGTGTTTTGAACAAAATAGCTAGCTACGACTGCTAGGTGCTATTTCCTAAAGCAGCTCAAGAACAGTGAAAATAAATGTAAATTACCTTTCACAGTCCTGTCGTCCCCTTCCCCAAGTGTGTGGGAATGCTAATGCTGCAGCTTTTCTCATATTGCAGTGGTGCAGCTACTTTTCAACAGATGACAGGCGCTTGTAGATATCTTGCTGTGTAGCAGGAATCTGAACAGCATGCTCTGGAAGGATTGTCAGCATTCCTTTCATGGCTTTTGCTTTTCTAGTTGCTTCTGGCCACTCTGGCAGGACTGTGGAAGATAGGACAAGTCTGAACTTCCCTTAAAAGAACTCTCATTTTTATTGGCTTTGCCAATAAGTTTGTAGGGTGAAGTGTATTGGTTGAATGGGGAAGCCAAGAATACATTTCTTTTCAAATTAGTGCGGCTTTCCTTTGAGCCAGAGGCAGAGTTTAAAAATATTTAGTGCTTGTCATATACACCATGGAATACTATGCAGCCATAAAAAATGATGAGTTCATGTCCTTTGTAGGGACATGGATGAAGCTGGAAACCATCATTCTCAGCAAACTATCGCAAGGACAAAAAACCAAACACCGCATGCTCTCATAGGTGGGAATTGAACAATGAGAACACATGGACACAGGAAGGGGAACATCACACACCGGGGACTGTTGTGGGGTGGGGGGAGGGGGGAGGGATAGCATTAGGAGATATACCTAATCCTAAATGACGAGTTAATGGGTGCAGCACACCAACATGGCACATGTATACATATGTAACAAACCTGCACATTGTGCACATATACCCTAAAACTTAAAGTATAATAATAATAAAATTAAAAAAATTTGAAAATAAATATCAAAATGCACAATAAGAAAATAAAATGAGTCTCTTGTTGGCAGCAAAAAAAAATATATATTTAGTGCTTGTGAAGTTTTTGGTGGCATTATGCTAAGTTGTGGGAATTGTTTTTTTTTCCCCTAGGAGGAAAATTGTGTAAGTCATTATAGTAGTATAAAATCACTTGTTAATAGCTTTGAAAGAAGCCGCTTCATTCTACAACTCTCTTAGCAAGCAATCTTTATTCTGTTAGGCTTGAGGAGAATTAAGCCTAACAGAATATTTATTTTCTGCTATTTGGTGGTGACAGATTAGCTGTTTAGGCTTTGGTAGGGCAGATGTCTTGATAACTGAAGGAAGTACATCATTCTGGGTTTTTTTTAGGGTTGAACTCATCCCAGGCTCTAATTTCTCAATTGTTAGAGGGAAAACTGCTTAATATCTTTCCCTGTCTTACATGCATATGTACACCTATGGAAAACTTTCTGGTGCCTGGTACCTAGTAGGCCCTTAATAAATATTTGTTGAATAAATTTTTACATAAGAAAAAAATAAAGCTCAAAGAATTAGCTGATCTAGGTATGTTCTCAGTATACTATTTAATATATATTGAGTATGTAATTGTCATTAATACCTACTTGTTAGGAAGTATATTGATGCAGAATTATTCTTCATATCTCCCATATGAGGTTATTGACATCAAACCGTTTTATTTATTTATTTTTTTTAAGAGATGGGGTCTTCTGTGTTGCCCAGGCTGACCTTGAACTCCTGGGCTCAAGTGATCCCTCTGTCTCAGCCTTCAAGAGTAGCTGGGACCATTCATTTGAACTTCAATGCTCTGTAGTTTTAATTAGGCTTTTTGTCACTGAAATCTTGAAATAGTCTCAAACCTGAAGTAGATTATAATGAAAGTAACCATATAATTTATTGTGCAAACTGAGACACTTCTGAGAAATCAATCAAAATTAAGTTGGAGCAGCATGTATAAACCAGGCTTGTTCTAGGCAAACTAGGACATATGATCCCTGTTTGTTTTTATTTTTCAAAGTAAATGTTTTATCGAAATATAATAAATTCAGAAAGTCCATATATTCGAAGTGGACAGCTTGATGAATTTTTAAAAAATGAGCCTCCCAGATCAAGAAATAGAAATAGAACATCACCAGAATCCCAGAAGTCTCCTTCATGTTACCTTCTGGTCACTCCCTCTTCTTCCCTGCAAGACTTTTGGCCGTAGATGTTTTGCCTAGTTTGAACTTTATATAAATGGCATCATATAGTAGTACACACTTTTTTACCTGGCCTTACTAGCTCAACGCTCCCTTTGTGAGATCCCTCCACATGTGTTTTAGCGATCGTTCCTTCATTTTTATTGTTTTTAAATATTTCATCATATGCATATACCACACTGTATATGTTATATTGTTGATGAACACTTGGGTTTTATTTTGGGCCAACAAAAATGGTGCTGTTATAACCATACTTGCTTGTTCTTTTGATGAACATATGTACTTATTTCTATTGGGTATATAATCAAGAGTGGAATTGCTAGGTCCTATGATATGTGAATGTTCAGCTTTAGTGGGTAGTACCATCTCCTAAGTATCATATCAACCTGTACTTCCTCCAGCAGTAAGATGAGAGTTCCAGTTATTGTGCACCCTTATTCTGAGGGTCAGTGTAGTGGGATCACATAGGGGTTTTAACTTGATAACTAATGAAGTTGAGCCCCTTTTCATGTGCTGTCATTTCGATCTTTTTTTTTTTTTTTTTTTTGAGTTAGAGTCTTGCTCTGTCGGCCAGGCTGGAGTGCAGTGGCACGGTCTTGGCTCACTGCAACCTCCGTATCCCGGGCTCAAGCAATTCTCCTGCCTCAGCCTCCCAAGTCGCTGGGATTAAAGGCGTGTGCCACCACGCCCGACTAATTTTTGTATTTTTAGTAGAGACGGGGTTTCACCATGTTGGCCAGGCTGGTCTCTGAACTCCTGACCTCAGGTAATCTGCCCGCCTCAGCCTCCCAAAGTGCTGGGATTACAGGTGTGAACCACCGCGCCTGGCCCAATCCTTTTTTGTAATGCCCATTTGTATACTTTCTTTTCTTGTTTGTTCAAGCCTTTCCCATTTTTCTATTGGTTTATCTCTCATTGATTTGGAATTTACATATTTATGTATTCTAGATATTAATGTTTTCATTATATATATATTACAAATATCTTTTACTCTGGTTTGCCTTTTCTCTTTATTGTTAATGTCTTGGGATAAACTTCATTTTAGTTTTGTCCAGTTTAGCAATATTTTCCTTTTTATGTTCTGTTTAAGAAATGACTGCATGAAAGTCATGGAAATGGTCCTCCTCTGTAATCTTGTAGAAGCATAATTGTTTTACCTTTCACATTTAGATCTCCAGTTTATCTGAATTTCTGTGTATAGTGTGAGATAGAGTTCAAAATTTCATTTTTTCTATATGGATAATTGACTCTGCACCATTCTCTTCTTGTCCCAATACCACATTCCTGTAGCTTTATAATACATCTCAATATATGGTAATGTAAGTTCTCCATCTTTGTTATTTATGTTTGTCTTGGCTAATCTTGGCCCTTTGTATTTCCATAAACATTTTAAAGTCTCAGTTTCCATATTAAAAAAACAGCGTAGATTTTGATTGGGATTATATTGACTTTAAGGATGGTAAATTGACATCTTCAGTCTTCCAATCTAGGAATATAGTATATGTCTCCACTTATTTAGGTGTTGTTTAATTTCTGTCAGTATTTAGTAGGTTTTAGAATAGAGGTCTTATATATCTTTTCTATCCTTTTCCAATTCTTGATGGTTTTTTAAAAAATAATTTATTGAGATGAGATTCACATAATATAAAATAACCATTTGTGTCTGTTTTGTGCTGCTATAACAAAATATCTTAGACTGGGTAATCTATAAAGAACAGAAATTTATTTCTCACCATTCTGGAGGCTGGGAAGTTCAAGATCAAAATGTACCAATTGTTTTGGTTGTCTGATGAGAGCTGCTCCCTGCTTCTAAGATGGCACGTTGTTGAACCCTCTATGGGAAAGGAATGTTGTGTCCTCACCTGGCAGAAGGCAGAAAGAAAAGCAAGAGAGCAAACTAGCACAATGTTGAGTGAAGCCACTTTTATGAGGCCCTTAATCCCATTGATGAGGAAGGAGCCCTCCTGCCCTTATCTCCTCTTAAAGAACCCTTCTCTTAATAGTATCACATTGGCAAAATCTGAATTTTGGAGGGGACACATTCAAATCATAGCACCATTTAAGTGAGCAATTCAGTGGCATTTAGTACATTCAGTGTTGTGCAACTGCCACCTCTATCTAGTTCCAAAACATTTCATCATTCGAAAGTAAAACTCCTTAAGCAGTTTCTCTATACTCAACTATTCCCCTATGCCACAGGCACAGGCAACTACCAGTTTGCATTCTGTCTCTGTATATGTATCTGTTATGGATATTTCATATGAAAGGAATCATATAGTATGTGACCTTTTGTGTCTGACTTCTTTCATTTGATATATTTTTGAGGTTCATCCATGTTGTAGTAAGTATCAGAACTTTGTTCTTTTTTATGGCTCAGTAGTATTCCATTGTATGTATAAACCACAATTTGTTTATTCATTTGCTGATTGACATGTGGGCTATTTGTGCCACTTGGCTATCGTGAGCAGTGCTGCTATAGATTGAGTATCCCTAATCCAAAAAATCTGAAATTCAGAATGCTCCAAAATTCAAAACTTTTGACCGGGTGTGGTGGCTCATGCCAGTAATCCTAGCACTTTGGGAGGCCAAAGTGGGTGGATCACTTGAGGTCAGGAGTTCAAGACCAGCCTGGCCAACATGGAGAAACCCCATCTCTACTAAAAATACAAAAATTAGCTGGGCGTGGTGGCGGGCACCTGTAGTCCCAGCTACTCGAAGGCTGAGGCAGGAGACTCACTTGAACCCAGGAGGTAAAGGATGCAGTGAGCCGAGATTGTGTCACTGCACTTCAGCCTGGGTGACAGAGTGAGACTTTCTCCAGAAGGAAAAACTTTTAAGCACCAACATGATGCTCAAAGGAAATGCTTCCAGATTTCATATGTTCAGATTGGGGATGTTCAACCAGTAAGCATAATGCAAATATTCCAAATTTGAAAAAAATCTGAACAATGAAATGCTTCTGGTCCAAAGCATTTCGGATAGGGGATACTTAACCTTACAAACCTGTGTCAACTTGTTTGAGAACCTGTTTTCAGTTTTTTGGTATGTTTACCTAGGAGTGGAATTGCTGGGTCATATGATAATTCTGTTTAACTTTTTAAGGAACTGCCAAACGTTTTTCCACAGCAGCTGAGCTATTTTACAGTCTCACCAACAGTGTATGATTGTTCTGATTTTTGTACGTCTTCACCAACACTTATTTTTTTCTGTAATTTTGGTGTTCTATACTGTTTTAAGTGGTATAATTTTGAGTTTAAAATTTTTCACTATTTCTTATTGGTATACAGAAATACATTTTTTCTCCATATAAACCTTGTAATCAGGTGACATTAAATTCGCTTGGGGGCTATTAATTTTAATAGTCTATTTATTTACTGGATTTTGTACTTACACCTGAATTTCCATTTTCTAAATGCTTTCATATTATTTGTTTCCTTTTTTAGTAATTATATTATGGATGCAGCAGTCTTGTGAACAACTTAGAGAATATAGGAATTTAAGTTTTCTTAAAATTTTTCCTTAGTTTCCTTTGTAGTTCTATTGCTTTTCATTTTGGTCTTTCTTTATTTTGTAGGTATTTTTCAAATATCTGGTGATCCGTGGTTATCTGTTTGTATTTATAATGGAATAGGGTGGTTGGTTTTGGTAGCTGATAGTGGCTTCCTCTAGTTTTTTGAGGTCTGTTTTCTCAAAAGAGCTTTTCCACAGATGGTATGATTGAGAACTCTGCGTGAGTTTCCTTTAAGGTGGGGATATCCAAGCTTTTGGCTTCCCTGGGCCACATTGGAAGAAGAATTATCTTGGGCCACACATAAAATACACTGACACTAACAACAGCTAATGAGCTTAAAAAAAATCACAAAAAAGCTAATGATGTTTTAAGAAAGTTTATGAATTTGTGTTGGGCTGCATTCAAAGCCATCCTGGGCCATGGGTTGGACAAGCTTGCATTAAGGCCGGCAGCAGAGGCTGAGGACTTAAAATGTATTCTGAGCGCTATAAATGCTTTTTTCTTTTGTTTGTTTTTGTTTGCTCTCTCCTGATCCACTGCCTCCTCCACCTTCGTTTGTGGATGTTTGGAGCAACCATCAGGCTCAATTCCAGTTCTCTTTTGTCCCTAGTACCCATGCTGGATGCTCTTCTCAATCAGATCTAGATACTAAGCCTGGGAGCCAAAGTTTATGCAGAAAGTAAGACTGTCATGAGTAGCTCTGCTGTTCTGTGAGCAATCTTTTAATTATCTTGATTTCCTTATGATTTAGTCCAGCTTTTGGATCCTGACCTTGATGTTTTCTCCCAGGTTCCATTTAGGAGATTGGTAAAAAGAGCTCTTGCCTCATTATAGTCCTTTCCTGTCCTTGTTTTGCTTGGGTTGCTGTTTCTTCTGGTATGGCTATTCTACCAATTCAGTCTTATCTGTTTCTTCTAGAAATTCTTCTGTTTCTTTTCTTTCTTCCTTTTTGTTTGACTTGGTTTAATGGAGCTATTTTTTCCAGGTTGTTATGAACATATATTTTTTAATTATGAAAAATTTGGACATAAATCACATGTATCTACTCCCCAGCTTAAATAAAACATAAATACAATTCAAGCTCCTTATTCTCTCTCTGGTTGTATTGCACTCCCTCTCATGCATCTATTAATATTTTTCCATCTGTATGCATTGCTAAACAATACAGAGCATTGTTTTGAATGTGTTAGAGCTTTTTGTAGTGACATAATACATGAATTCTTCTGCACCTTGTTTTTATTTTTTCTTTCATTATGGTTGTTTTCTTAATATGTCTTTTCTGCTGTTTTAGAGGAATTTGGGTAGAGAAGATAAGTCAGCTCATGTATTTCTTACTCTAACTTTTTAAAAGGGGAGATTTAAGCACCTTTTGGATATACTGTCACTAAGAGACACGTAGTAGAAAGGGCTCGGTGTCACCTCTTCTTGTTTCAATTGGTGTTGATACGCGAATATGACACCTCCAGTGTTACACAAGCTAGGTAATTGAGTCTTGCTGCTGACCTGTATTTGGTGTTATAAATCCCTTTGGAGTCAGAGAAACCATTCATTTGTGTTTAGGGTATAACTGAGGTTGAATGAAGATTTGAGTTCTTATTGCTGGAAGGAATTTTTAGACATCCTTTAGTACAAATTGTACCAAAGAAACTCAAGTCCAGAGAACGTGAGTGACTTGTCTGAGGTGATCCAAGGGAAAAACACAGGGTTAAAAATAAGCTATAGTTCTCATTCTTCTTTCCACTTTACTATAATGAACTTGAGGTTAGAGTCCTCTCTTGTTAATGTTCTATTTTGACTTTTGTCTGCTTTTTAAAATACTTATTTGAATACCAAGAGATTTTTAGTATGAAAGAATGATGGTGAATCCTTAAACTAATGCTTATTTGCCATGTTTTTCTTAGGATCAAAATGGTTTCAATCCCAGAATACTATGAAGGCAAGAACGTCCTCCTCACAGGAGCTACCGGTTTTCTAGGGAAGGTGCTTCTGGAAAAGTTGCTGAGGTCTTGTCCTAAGGTGAATTCAGTATATGTTTTGGTGAGGCAGAAAGCTGGACAGACACCACAAGAGCGAGTGGAAGAAGTCCTTAGTGGCAAGGTAAGTATGGAAAATGAGCACTCAGAACAAAGAAAAAAGCGTGTGCTTGTGTATATAATTATTGTAGTCGTCAATAGCTTGGTATATTTCTTCAGTATTCTGAAAAAATTAGTAAAACAAAAAAACTTAGTAAGTTCCTACAGGATGGCAAGAAACTGGATATGACTTGTGAATCACAAGGAGAAAAAGTTTTCCTCTGTGACTGGCAAAATTGTATAACAAGCTCTAAATTACCTTTATGGTAGGTATTTAAAGTATGTTTTTAGAACATTTGAGGCAGGTTGTTTGTAACTACTAAATAATTTAAATAGCCTTGATAATAATAGTAATTAGGTAGTGAGACTACCTACTATTCTGTAAGACACTATGCTTTGATAAAATTTATAAACACCACTTACTCCCCCACAACAGTATTAGGAGGTAGAGAAGTCACATATTCCCATTTAACAGATGACAGAGGGGCCGTATAGAATATAATATGTCATATATTTTGAGCCTTTGGAAAAATATTACTAAGAAAAAATGGAAATGAGCTAGAATAAAATTATTTCACGATCATAAGTTTGTGAATTCTCTCAAAATGAATGAATTTATCTGACATTTACTAATAAATAGTAAGTTGAATCGGAAGGCTATAAGCTCAATTTTGGTACACATAAGGAATCTGACTGCAGGCATATCTCAAAAAGGAATTTCAAGTAGAGCATTTATTTTACAATTAGAATAACACTCATTTGAATATCTACATTCGTATAGGCCTCTTAAAAAATCCTGAAACTGTAGCAAGCCTCTTCATAGCAACCAACCAGACTTTTGACTTTGAATGAACTTCATATACCTTTATAGATAGTTCTTTGGAATTAATTGTCATATCACATCAGCATTTGTTTGACACCATGCAACAGATATTCCTCATTATGTTGGTTTTATTTTTTAATGATGGGATGTAAGATTCTTTCTTAGAAGTTTAAAAATTATTATTATACTTTTAAATTATTCAAATTAGTCTACATTAGTCTCCCTTAATCATTTTTTCTCTCTGATTCTTTGCTGAACCCTTCTGGAATCCTTTGCTTCCCTTAAAACCTACAAGGAAAGAGTCATCAATGGGGCTGTAAAACCACAAGGCTTGTTCTAAGTAAAATGTCTACATGTATGTTTTATTGCTGTCTCTGCCCTTTGTTTACTCATCTTGGCATTTTTATTATGAACCACTTGTAATTGGTATGTTTTAATTTTTCTCCTGATACTCCTCTCCCCCCAGTGAGGGGTTATTTGTTCTTACTCACTTTTTATTTTTTAGATAATATTTATTGTGCCTGCTTAGTCCTGGGCACTTGACTTGTTGTAGGGGGTGGAATTCAGGGATAAGTAAGATACGTTCCTGGCTTTTTAGACAGTTTTTAAGAGGGAAGGAAGAGGGAGTGATAGACGTGTCAGGAGTAGATAGGAACAGATATTTAAGCTGATGTGCTGGCCAGAATTGAGGGTCTGAGTAAAACATGAAGAAGACTTGGGCATCTTCTTCGGGGTCTTCAGAGCAGTGCTTCTAAAATTTCTTCCACACTAAGCCTAAGAGAAGGAGTATTTTCTACTTAGAGCCTGAGGTTTCATTGAACTTCAGTGGTTTAGCCTGAACATACAGCTATTATTTTCAATAAAAAAAAGTTTTTTCCCCAAATATTTGACTTAACTTGATACTCCATAAAATTATGTAATTTTATCTTATGCCTTCAGTTACCTCCTGGCATATCCTACCACTTAATCCTAAAGCCATGTATTCTCCATTATGTATAGCATTGCTGGTGAGTCCATAAAAATGAGTCCTTTTTATGTCAAATAGCAGTGAGTGTACACTTAAAGTTAGTAAGAAATTTTAGGTATGGTCTACTCTGATTTTGAAATAGGTATAAAGAACATAAGGCCAAAAGCACATACCACCATATGGGACATTGACTTATAGCAGGGTTTCTCAGCTTCAGCACCATTGACATTTTGGGCTGGCTAGTTCTTTGTTCTGGAGGCTTGTTCTATGCATGGTAGGGTTATCAGCAGCATTCCTGGCCTCACTCACTCTTGTGACAACCAAAAATGTTTTTAGACATCACCAAATGTCTGTTGGGGACCAAAATCACCCCTGGTCAAGTACCATGACTTATGGGAATGTCTCAGGTAACAGAAACTCCATTGGGTGATGAAGATTGAATTAAAATAATTGATCATGGCCTGTCACGGTGGTTCATGCCTATAATCCCAGCACTTTGGGAGGCCACGGCTGGTGGGTCACTTGAGGCCAGGAGTTCAAGACCAGCCTGGCCAATAATGGAGAAACCCCATCTCTACTAAAAAATACAAAAATTAGCCGGGCGTGGTGGTGCATGCCTGTGGTCCCAGCTACTCGGGAGGCTGAGGTGGGAGGATTGCTGGAACCTGGGAGGCAGAGGTTGCAGTGAGTTGAGATTGCGCCACTGCACTCCAGCATGGGTGATGAGTAAGACCCTATCTCAAAAAAATAAAAAATAAAATGAAGTAGTTGATCATGAAGTAAATTCAGGAAAGAATCAAGGATATTAAAAAGGCATTAGTAAACGTAGTAAAGTAGGAACTAATTGGGTACTAGTGGGTTGAAAGCACCAGAAAAGATGGTATTGAGTAAAGAGATGTTGGCCAGAGAAGGGAAGAGTATCACATTTAAGATCTAGCAAGTTTAAGAGCAGCATGATCATGTCCTGGTGGTAGTGGTATAGATAACTGATATTAAAGGAAATTAAAGGTCATCAGCAATTAGGAGAATGAAGAAGTACGAATCAGGGTGTTAAAAAGTACTTTTTTAGTCATTCCTTAGGTTCCTTTTCCTCTGCTTGCCCCATAAGGATTGATATTCTTCAAGTTTCAGGCTTAGGCCTTGTTTTCTCACTAGGTCCAGTGAGATGGTTACTCAGCCTTCCTCTGTTTTATGTGAGATGAATGGATGTCCTTTAAATTAGATTTGGATTTAGTTTCATATAGTTAGGATCTTGTGTCCTTATTATTGCTGTTACCTGGATAAACTCTTTTCTACTCCCAGGGCTTCAGTTACTACCTGTATGTGGTTAGTAAAATCTATGTTGATAGTCCAGCTCTCTCCCTGAACTTAGACCCACAAAGCCAGTCACCTTTACTAGACCTGTCTTCTGGGGTGTCATGCAGGCACTTTACACTTGACATTCAGAAGACTGAATTTGTATCTCCAAAACAGTACTTCTTTCTCTCCCTGAGTTCATTAGTCTACTGAATTTATTCACTTAACAAATGTTTAAAGTCTTTATCTTGCCAGGCAAGATCTGCTCTCTTGGACTTGTATGCTGAGCAAAATAGATATGGACCCTACCCTAATGAAGTTTGCATTCCTTATCTCTCAAATTCAGTCATAAGCCAAAATGACTACATCCTGAATGTTACATCCTGAATCTCATTGCCGTTATTTTGATTCAGACAAGTAAATATCTTGATATGGGCAACGACAAGAGTGTCCTAAAACTCATTACTGCCAAAGGATTTTTTAAAAATTATGAACATGCTTGTATCACCTCTCTGCTTAAAATCTGTCAATAGCGACCGGGCTGGTGGCTCACGCCTATAATCCCAGCGCTTTGGGAGGTCAAGGTGGGGGGATCATGAGGTCAGGAGATCGACACCATCCTGGCTAACATGGTGAAACCCCGTCTCTACTAAAAATACAGAAAAATTAGCTGGGCGTGGTGGCGGGCACCTGTAGTCCCAGCTACTCTGGAGGCTGAGGCAGGAGAATGGTGTGAACCCGTGAGGTGGAGCTTGCAGTGAGCCGAGATCGCACCACTGCACTCCAGCCTGGGCAACAGAGCAAGACTCCGTCTCAAAAAAAAAAAAAAATCTTTATCAGTAGTTCACCATGACTCCCAGATAAAATTCATCTTTTTAATGTGGCTTAAAAGGCACAGTTATCTGGCCTTTCTTATCTCCATACAACTCTAGCTGCTTTTCCTGCATACTCTATGTTCCAGGCTGACTGAATTATTTTTAATTTCCCAAGCATATTAATGCCTTCTGATTTCTAAGGGGTTATACTGCTACTTCCTCTGCCTGGAAACACTATTATTCTACTTTGTAATTTCAGGGCCTTCCTCCCTCACTTTTGTCCCTAACACACACACACATTCTGTTAAATGTCATTTTCTCTGAGAAGCCAGCTTGTGTGTGGTCTTTTAAAGCTGGGTTAGTTGTTTCTCCTATGCAGGCCCGTAACACTTACCTGTTATTGCTTAACACTATATTTTAATTGTACATTTACTTGGACCAAAGGCCATTTCCTTGTGTCTTTAGAATCTAGAAGGTGCCTGCCTGGCTCATATGAAATACTCAGTAAGTTTTTATTTTTTAAATTAATATAAGAAAACATTAATATTCAAGTCATGTGCTAGCAGTGGAAGTAGCAGTAGGAGCTATCAGTAGGAGCGGGAAGACTGTTTATACTAAAGTCATCCAGGAATGTGGAAGTGAGCACTGATATGTTATATAGACTTTCTTCTTAGGTTAAGAATCCTGCTTAAACTGCAAGTTTGAACTTCAAATGGAGAGTCAAAGTGTGATAGAGCAGTGACCTAGAGGTGGCATCAGTGTTTCTCTGTCAAATCTGGGATAAAAAGTTAAACTTGACTCACAATTGAATATGCCTTTAAACTGTAATCATTTTGTGATCTGATTGTCTAGCAAAATTTATTCCTTTGGGTACACTTAAAGAATGTTTAATGTTCAGCTTAAATCCTATATATGTAATACTTCTGAAGTTTGTTCAGTTTCTGGTTTGCGTTTGCTTACCAACTTTTTCCTTGAACATATTGACTTTGTTTTCCTTTTTAAAAATTTGTTCTAAGATTTTAGGTAGAATGTAAATCGTGTTTTTTTCTAATCTACTAAAAGGGAATAAAATAAAAATGAAGTGAAGTGAAAAATTAAGATCTAGATTTTAGAAATCTGAATGATCATTTTAAACATTGTCCTAATGTCTATATTGCTGAAGTCTATTCTGAGGGGTGATACAATCTAATCAGCCAAGGCATGGACAGTTCAAATTCAACTTTGTGAACTACCAGCTTTGTGTACTTAGCAAACTCCTTAACTGCTCTGAGTCTCAGATTCCTTATCTGCAAAATGAGGATAATAGCGTGGGCCTCATAGGGTGTTTTCTATACAGAATAATGGCAATTAAGAATAGCAACTTTAGGAATTGTATAGTTTAAGTTTCTAAAAAAATAGTCATCCTTGGTGGGAAAAAAATGGTGATAATGAGTTTTAGAAAGTGGAAAAATACTGCTGTAAAATAAATATTTTTCCCTCTTGATAGCTTTTTGACAGATTGAGAGATGAAAATCCAGATTTTAGAGAGAAAATTATAGCAATCAACAGCGAACTCACCCAACCTAAACTGGCTCTCAGTGAAGAAGATAAAGAGGTGATCATAGATTCTACCAATATTATATTCCACTGTGCAGCTACAGTAAGGTTTAATGAAAATTTAAGGTAAGTACAAGTAATTATATAATATTTGAACTTCAGTATAGTTATTAAAAAATCTCATTTTAATTCTACTTTTTAGTCAATTTGTTTTGAATGTGATTTGATACTATTTGCCTATGTTAACTGTGGCTTTCAGTGTCCTACAGAGTGTTAAAAGAATTCTCTTCTTCTTCTCAGTTTAAAAATCTTGGATAACTAATACATGTTTATTGGAAGAAGTTGCCATGAATTTAAACATGCAACAGGGAAGAGGCAAAAAGTGGAGTAGAAGAAAACTTAGTCTTAACAACTAATAGTGTTTGTCTTCTCTTTCTTCAGAAGCCTATACCCCAGCAGCTTTATTCTTCTAATCTACATCATATCCATGTGAAAATAAACAAAATTAGGCTCAGGTTTTACAGGATAAGGAAAAATTGGTTATAAATTTAAATCACACCTTTTTATTTTCAAACTTTTGCAGTAGTGCTAGGGGCAAGGTATGTTGGACATAAATTTAATTTAAAAAATAATTTAGACTTCTTTCAAGATTCCTGTTGCAAGAAAAAGTTAAGACTCTAAATGTCCACTATTCTTAAAAAAATCTAATGAGTATGCATTTCAAATAATGGTTCTGAATTCAGAGCATTCTTTTTGACAGTGTGTCAAAAAATACAGTTTTTATAATGTTAATCTAATTGTATAGTCTCATGCCAATTAAAATGGTGTAGACTTGGTATAGGTTTCAAAGCTACTTGAAATGTAAAATGTTGTCTTTAAAATGTTTTAAAGATAAATAACTAAAAGGAGGATATTGAATGCTCTAACAAAGAAATGATAAGTGTTTAAGATGATAGATGTGCCAGTCACCCTGATTTAATTACTATACATTGTACGCATCAAAACACCGCTATGTATCTCATAAATATGTACAGTTATGATATGTCAATTTAAAAAATAAAATACATTTTTAAAAGTTTAAAAAATTGAGTTCTGAGGCTGAGGTGGGAGGATCACTTGAAGCCAGCCTCAGCAACATAATGAGACCCTGTCTCTATAAGCAAAATATTTTAATTAAGAATTAAAAAAATTAAAAATTAAGTTCTGATTACAAAAGGTTTGATATTATTCCCCCTATTGTCTTTATCTAATATGGAAGTATAAACGTCAGTCAACATTATATAAGGTGACAGTTCAGTGCCAAAGCATTACAGTGTGTTTTGCCTGTATTCCAGGTGAGGGCACTGTAATAGTTCCTTAGATCTCTGCAGTAGTCCTTTATGGGTTTTCAGTGTATTTTCTCATTAATTATTTTATTCCATAGTCACCTTACCTACTGTAATATTATAGGGAAATCCATTGTACGCTTGAGGAAGCTGAGGCAGCATTGTAATGGAAGGGCTATGAGCTTTGGAATTACATACATTAGTTCTAATCTTGACCATATCATTCATTTACTGGTGAGTTTGTATAAGTTATTAACCGCCTTAAGCCTCAGCTTCCTGATTTATAAAATTGAAGTAACATTTCTCAAAAGATTATTTTTTTTTCCTTCAGGAAATTTAAGTGATGTCTCAGTTTGACTGTCCATGGCAGGAAATCTGAATCTGTAGCAGTTGCTTTATTTATTTTTTAGCTCTTTCTATGCAGCTGACAGGTAAAATATTGTGCAGCCATTATGTGTTAATGATTCAAAGGTGACAAAAGTATGTTATTAGGACTATAATATGATCTTATTTTCATAACATATATGTGTAGATGTATTTATGTACATGTCTTTCTATATTTGCTGATAATACATTTATCTTTGAATGTTGCAGTTACAGGTAGGTTTTTAGTCTTACCTGTATATTATTTTTTCTACTATGAACATGTGTTAATCTTCAAATAAAGGTGTATACAAATGACTTTTAAAAATTATTTTTAAAAGTAACACCTATAAGAAATCTTAAAGGGACTGATACCCTCATCAACTAACAAATATCCTTATTTTTTACATTTAAAATTTTGTTGTGTGTGTATATTTTTGTATATAGGTCTAACTATTTGTTTTTAACTAGCATTTCCAAGATTGTGAATGTGGTCTCTAATTTTTAGTGATTTATCTTTTCCTAAAATTCATTAGTGTGAAATGGTCAGTAAAGTCGATTTTTTCCCCCATAGTTCTGGCTTTTATTATTTCCTTCATAGACAAAAGAAAGAGTTCACATAGCTTTATGAAGCTTAGCATGTTTTCATGAAAAACATACGTAGATATTGGCTAATGGTAGTATAGTCTTCATTGACTTAACGAGGAAAGTTATATGCTTTGAAAGGTGGACAGGAAACATTGATTAGGGTAAAACTCATAAAGGGAAGCTTTACAAGGAGGACCAAAGTACAGCACTTTCAGGGAACTTTCTTTCTGTCCCCCTAGGGTAAGCAAGGCTACCATTAATGAAAAGGACATCTTCTCGTTATTATTTTCTTCTTTTACTAGAGATGCCATAGCAGAAGGCATCTTATGTATTACATTGTTTTTCTTTTCCTTTGTCAAAGCATCTATGTTCACTGACCTAGCCCTTGTCATTACATTGAAATTATTTCTGGGAAGCAATTTTAATGGATGTTGACTTCCAAGTGGTGATAGGACATTAGGTTTGGGTCAGACACTCTATAATACTCCAGGCAGGCATATAACAACTTCGTATGAAAGAATTACTGTTTGTTTTTGTTTTTGTTTTTGTTTTTGTTTGAGATAGGGTCTCACCTTTATCGCCCAGGCTGAGAGTGCAGTGACACAATCATGGCTCACTGCAGCCTCGACCTCCTGGGTTCAAGTGATCGTCCCACCTCAGCCTCCCTAGTAGCTGGTACTAGAGGCATATGCCAACACACCTGTCTAATTTTTGTGTTTTTTGTAGAGACAGGGTTTCACTAACAGTTACTCTTTATAACTACTTGTTAAGTTAACCTACAAATAAAAAATGGCATGAAGCTTTTACTGTTGGGGGGAAGTTTTCAGATGTTACTACAACATTAAGCCCAATACCTTGGGAGAGAAACCAACATAAATTGCACACAGATCTTATTTGCAAAGTGCATATGGTCTAGAGGCGATAGGATATGCAAAATAACCATAATGTAGGATAGAAAATAAGGATGTATTAAGGAGCACACATGAAATCCTATTAGAGTTAAGAGAAGGTAGATAGAGCTCACTTGTTTTCAGATGTGGTGGTTCCTAAATCTTGAGACAGGAGAAAAATAGATAGGCTTAGGATTCATAAGGAAATACTGACAAAAAGTGTGGGGAGGGCTGGGCGTGGGGGCTCACGCCTGTAATCCTAGCACTTTGGGAGGCTGAGGCAGGTGGATCACCTGAGGTCAGGAGTTCAAGACCAGCCTGGCCAACATGGTGAAACCTCATCTCTGCTAATAATACAAAAATGAGCCGGGCATGGTGGCACACGCCTGTAATCTCAGCTGCTTGGGAGGTTGAGGCAGAAGAATCACTTGAACCTGGGACGTGGAGGTTGCAGTGAGCCAAGATCATGCCATTGCACTCCAGCCTGGGCGACAAGAGCGAAACTCCGTCTCAAAAAAAAAAAAAAAAAAAAGTGAGAGGAGAAGTGAAGATAATAAATGGAGTAACTTAAGTAGTTCATCATGGGATCTGGCATAAGGGAAGGTACTAGCTGGTATAAGGGAAGGTACTAGTAAAGGAAGTGCAAGTAAGACAGGGTCACTAGAGTTGAGAGTAATGGAGAGGCAAGAAACTGGAGAATGTGAGGACAAAAACCAGGCTGAAGGGAGAGATGGATGGACAGATGGTGTGGTTTGCGGAAAATTCATAGTACAAAATTTTAGAAATAGAGCAATTCTGAGTGATAAAACCCAAGGTATGAATATGAAAGATTTTCAGAAAGGAATGGAAGTTAAGATTGATGCTTAGAAAAGATCAAGAAACTATTGAGTTTGTTGGGCATTGATTATCAAACTTTAGAATGTATTAAGAATCTTAAGAATTACTGGAAAGTGTGTTAAAAATGCATATTCCTAGACTGCACTTGCCAAATTTTGACTTTTTAATTTTGGAATCATACTCCAGAGTTCTTTTTAGCAAGAGCCTTAGGTGTTAGTCACTGTTGCACCTTGTTTTGCCCCTTTAGAACCATTGCTGTCAGAATCAGCTTTGGAGACATTTTTTAAATTACAGATGACTGAGCCCCCTACCCTAAGATTGCGTCATTGTTCCCTAAATATCTGTGTCTATATTTTCATTAAGATTAAAAAAAATGGCAGTAGTAGTGATAAGATCTCATCTAGACAGTATTTTCTCAGGGGCAGTAGGGTGGAAAAGAGACTTGTGTCAAAATGGCCTGGAGAACTTATTTAAAATATAGTCTTTCAGACCTCATTTCATGTGTTAAAAGTATCTGATGATGAGGTCCAGGAGTCTGCATTTTTAATAAACTGCTAGTTATATGTTATGCCAAGTATGAGAACCCTGGTTTAAGGTCTTTAGAAGTATTATCAACATAGATTTCTTTGAAAAACCTAAGATGCCTGTAGAAGAAAGACGAACAAGAAAATGTATTGGCACTTCAGGTCGTTGAGCTTTTTTTTCTTTTTAAATTTTTCTTTGAAGTGATTTCCATGTCTTCATTTAGTGAAGGATTCTAATTACAAAGACTTTCTCATTTTGTACCCCCCTCCCAAAAGCCTGTCTTACCGAAGATACATTTATGACTCCATATAACCAAAACAATGAGAACATTATTTTTGTTTAGTACTAAATGACTTCTGATATAACATGTCAGAGTCTCAGTCTGAAGGTCAATGGAGTAGAAATTGGATTGAGGTAAAACACAGTTAGGTTAACTAGCCTGGCAGAGAGATACTAGATGTTACTCACTTGGGTGCAGAATGGCTTCAGGTTTGGGCTCTCAGGTACAGATGCAAAGGGAAAAAGGCAAGGCATAGAAGTGTTCCTCTCAAATTATCCCTTATTTTCGGTGACCTAGAAACTCTGTCACCATCCTCAGGGACATGTAACAGAATATCCTTTGTGTACTTTTCCCAAAACATGGCTCTTCCTGCCCCCATTGTTTTGCAAATGCAAAAGAAAATAGTGCATTCCCTTATAGTCTAGTGGACAGTATCCTCTATGTGAAATGTCTTTCTTGTTGGATTTTCACTTGAACAGATTTTCTCCCTCAATTAAGGAAGAAAAAAAAATGCATCCATGATTTTAAGAACTCAACCCAATTATTTCATTAAAAAAATTATTTCTAGTGTGTTTTCATAGGGTCTTGGATACTATTAAATTAAAAGAGAAACTATGGCACAGGACTTTTTTTCTCTCCTGGAGTTACTCCTTGTTCCTGGTGACCCAAAACTTGTCCTGTCCTCAGGAACCTGTAACAGAATATTCTCTGTATTCCTCTCCCAAACAGTACCCTCCCTATCCCCATTGTTTTGCAAATGTGATAGACATCAAAGCACTGCTTCACTTTACAGTGAAGTAGACTGGATTCTATCTATGACATCTCCTGGTCTTTTAAAACAATAGTTGGATTTTTTTCTTAAATACTGAAAATATAAGAATTTTAGAAAGTACTGAAAACTTTTTTTAAAAAATTTCCTTTGAACATTATTTTTCATTATTATAAACATAGACTTTCTAATTTTACTTTTAAAACAATATAGAAAATTTCTGTATTTCTAATTTTTTCCATAGTTATAATTTTAGTGATTTGATGATATTCCATCATGTTGACATACCACAGTTTATGTATTATTCACTTAGAATAAACTTTAAGGAATTTTAGTTTCTTTTTATTTGGAAAATGAGGATTAGAACAAGTTTTTCCTCTGAGTTAATTTCAACAGGTTAACTAGATTAATAAATATACCATTTCTGTAATTCCTGGTACTTTGTCCTAGTTTCCTTCAAATCATTTGTGTCAGTTTGTAGTATCAACAACAGTGTATTACTTTGCCATTTTTGTCACTAATATTGAGTATTTAAATCTTTTCGTTTGTTTGTTTTTATTTTTTTAATTGACAAAGGTATATATATTTTTCATTTACAACATGTTTTGAAATATGTATATATTGTAATGGTCAAATGAGCTAATTAGCATATTCATTATCTCACATACTTTTTGTGGTGAGAATACCTAAAATCCACTCTTTTTGTAATTTTTAAAAATAACAATATATTGATATTAACTATAGTCTATGTTGTACAATAGATCTCTTGGTCAGTTTTTTAAAAGCTGTAAACAGAAGTTTAATAGAAAGCAAATCTATCCACCATCTCATTACCTTAAGGAATATTTGTTGACTGCCTGTTTGGTGACTATGTTAGAAATACTGCTAAATGTTTGCAAGCTATTTGTTTAATTTTATACCAGTCTTAGTAGGTAGGTTTCATTATTGTTCCCATTTCCAGGTAAGAAAACTGAGGCCTGAGTGCTTCAGTTTATGTCCTGATAAGTAGGCCAAGTCAGGATTTGAACACAGGTCTGATTCCAGAGCCTTGTTTTTAATCCTGCTTCAAAAAAATCGTATGTATTCTTTTGGTATTATTCATACAAATGTTTCATATTTTTATAGACTTCAAATAATTATTTTAGTAGCTATATTCTTTCATTGTGATAAAATACTTACTTTATTGAGTCATTCCATATTCCATAGTGAATATTTGGGCTCTCTAGGTTTTTATTAATTACATGATGCTTCATTGATAACTTTTCTGCATATATACTTTTGCTTTTGTGGAATTATTTACTTCAAGTAAATTCCAAGAAGGGAATATATAGATTATTTTGGGGTCTTGCATATGCCTTGTAACAGATGTACCAGTTTTATTATAATATCCCTTTGAATTTTGTAGGGTAGCCTTAGAAAAGTGTTTGGATTGATTGCTACAAAGAGGAAAATAAACATCTTCTTTCTTGATTATATGTTAATATAATTTAATGTTTCTGAGTTTTCTCTGGCTGTATCACCCTTATTAGTGACTCTACGTTAACATTTTAAAATTACTTAACCATTCTATTTTTTTCTCCCTGTGGCACATCCATATTATGCAAGATTATACTTTTAAAAATCAAGATGCAAAATAAGTCTAGCATGACTTAAAAATGTATGCATAAAAGCTAAAGACTGAAATTATCTGTTTGTTCCTGGACAATTATATAATTTTTAAATTTCTACTTTAATTTTTAAGGGCTACAAGGCAGGTTATTTTATAATCAAATTTTTTTAACACAGCTGATAAACATTTAATATGGAAATAAAATACACAAAATCACAGCTAAAGGATAAGTTGTAAAGAAACAAAAATTTCTCTGTCTCTCTACTTCTCTAATGAAAATGATATTTTTAACAGGTAAAATAACATAGCTTCCCAATTTTCTATTGTCACTTTTTCTTTTTAAACAGAGATGCTGTTCAGTTAAATGTGATTGCAACGCGACAGCTTATTCTCCTTGCACAACAAATGAAGAATCTGGAAGTGTTCATGCATGTATCAACAGCATATGCCTACTGTAATCGCAAGCATATTGATGAAGTAGTCTATCCACCACCTGTGGATCCCAAGAAGCTGATTGATTCTTTAGAGTATGTTTGTTTGAAATTTATATACATTTACTTTGATCCCAAAAGAGGCCAAGGCGGGCGGATCATGAGGTCAGGAGTTCAAGAGCAGCCAGGCCAACATAGTGAAACCCCATCTCACTAAAAATACGAAAAAAATTAGCCAGGCATGGTGGCAGGCGCCTGTAGTCCCAGCTACTTAGGAGGCTGAAGCAGGAGAGTTGCTTGAATCCCAGAGGTTGCAGTGAGCCGAGATGGCGCCACTGCACTCCAACCTGGGCAACACAGTGAAACTCTGTCTCAAAAAAACAAAAAACAAAAAAAAAACCTTTGGATTCAAGTCCCTCCCTCTTCTCCTCACCCCACCCCATATACATGTGCGCGCGCGCGCGCACACACACACACACACACACACACACACATACATTTATCTCTTTTCTTCAAAAATTTTTGCATATCCCCTGCATTCTTATTGTATAGATTAATATCTAAATAAATGTTAATGAAGTCAATGTGTAGTTTTCACTTTTGACCAAGTATAATGGTAATATTTGGAGGAAGGCTCCTGAACATCTTATTAGTGATATTAGGGGCTCTCTTTTTCAGGGAATCAATCTTAGCAACCAAGAAGTACCAATGGAGACCCATGACTGCCTGTTTAATAGCAAGGCTCTAATTTATCAAAGGATTCCCCTCACCACCCCCCAGCCATGGAGTATATATATAGAGGGGCCTTTAATTATTAGAGAATCAGAGGAATCATAGTCTTTTAATTCATAACCTTACTTTTTATCTTTCTGAGGACTGAGATCCTGTCAGCAATTGTTACATGAAAATTATTTGTGAGTATTGATAGATAGGGATTAAATGAGGGAGTATATACCATGACCTTATTCTCATTTGCTGCAGCTCAGGCTTTCTCATCAAACAGACAAGGTTCAGACAAGAAAAAGAGAGATCTTTTTTACTTTTACAATTATATAAACATTCCAGTATCCACCATATTTTCATGTTTGTTAATCCTTATATAATATCTTTGAATTTTTTCCTCCTTTATTCTTCCCTCTTTTAGTCTTCTTTCTTTCCAGAGATTCTATCCACTTTGACTGCTTAGTTAACATCTGCTGCTTTCTCCTAAAATAAGCACAGTCTTTTCTTTAAGGCTTTCCTGCTAATATGAGGAAACAGATAGATTGTAAAAAAAATGAGAAATTACCAAGACATTTTCATTGTAATTCCCTAATTTCTATTTTCTCACTCATTTTCTTAGATGGTCCCAAATATCTACTTCATTTTCTTCATAGATCAATAAACAGAAATATTTAATATCTGCGGGAAAAGTTGAGTGTGAAAGTTAATGGAGCATTTTACTTTTTCTCTTACTAACAATATATACAAACATTTGAGAAACTGAAAAAGAACTTGTAAGCTAATGCTGTATCTCCTTTCCTTGCTGCAAAGAAATCTAGCTAACATAATTTTAAGATAACTCATGGGTTTGTTCTGTAAACTCGTTCTAGTAATAAGGCTTACTAGCTAAAGTTTCTCCTGAGTTTAGGCAGGTTTTTTTTTCCTCATGTATCAACTATCCCTTTCATTTTTCAAATCTCATCTCCATGGTGGAATTTTTCCTAAGTTGGGTAGCAATTTCCCTTCAATTTAATTGATGTTCTTTTCCTTTCATATACAAAAAGTACTTCCATATACAGAAGAAAATTTTATCTTGATAATCTCTGTTTTATGCTTTCTTATCAATTAGTATGGGTATCATTAGAGTATGACAATATACTGAGTCTACTTGCATACACAGCATTATTGACAAGAAGTAAAAACAAGTACATAATGTATTAGAATCAGAAGTTTAGGAAAAACCATGGACACCACCTAGTATATCGCCCTCCTTTTACAGATGAACAGAGTAGACCATTTCTTCAAAGAGAACTGGAGGAATTTTTTTGACTTCATAGTAGGTTGCTAATTGAATTTTTATAGCATGCTTCAATTTATTTTTATTGTTCATCATAGCATTTGTTAATCTCATTAGAGCATATGATTTGCAGTGCTGCACCTTAAATACTAGGCCTTTTATGCCTTTTGTGTTCATTATAAATGTATGTTAATTATAACTGTATATAATTAACATGTTACTTCATTAGGTGGTTATATACAGATCTGTATTTCCTAACCTGCAAACTTCCAGAAGGTTTCAGATATATTTTGGAATTTATTTGGACTTTAGAGAGGGTATATAATTTATGTACTGTGTAATAAGAAAAAACTTTAACTTGATCTGGGTTAGTATCCCTGATCAAATACATGTAAAATATATGAATGTTTAAGTTGTATCAAAAAAAAGACCATAAGTCAGTGTAGATCAGATTTTGCTATCCACTGTATGATTTATGAAAGAACTCTTAGTTTTCAGATCTTTTTGGATACAGAAATTGCAGATAAGGGATTGTGGACCTGTAGTTGATGTTTAAGAAAAATAAGACTAAGTTCCATTTTTCAGTAAAAGTTGTCAAATGATTTGAGTCAGAACAGCAGATATGTTTGAATGTGCGAAGTTCAATTAAGTAGCTTTTTATTTTATAGTAAAATATCTGGAAATATATTTGTATGCAATTTCTTTACCAGGTGGATGGATGATGGCCTAGTAAATGATATCACGCCAAAATTGATAGGAGACAGACCTAATACATACATATACACAAAAGCATTGGCAGAATATGTTGTACAACAAGAAGGAGCAAAACTAAATGTGGCAATTGTAAGGCCATCGATTGTTGGTGCCAGTTGGAAAGAACCTTTTCCAGTAAGTTGTTAGAAACCTTTATAAATAACTGGAGTTGAGAATTTTAAGTTGTAACTCTGTATAAAAAGAGCTGGCAGTTCTTTAAGAACAGGTATTATTTACTAAAGGTGAATTACCATGGCAAAGCTGTTTTGTGTTCATAGAGTTAATTTTATTGGTACTTTCATTTCTATAATGTGACGCTGGGTATATAGAAATGTAGATCAACATTTAAAAAATCCTAAGTGAAAATTAAAAGCTGTGACATTTTCTTAAGTCAGAGGAGATTTGGTTTGTTTCTTAGTAGCAAAAAGAGGCAGACCTTCCAGGAGGTAGACCCCTTCCTCTGTAGATCACAAAGTAAAAAAGGTACAGGGTGTTAGGGTATTTGTGAATTCCTGGAATGAGAGAAAGCAGAAATATAAACCAGTTGGGTCAATTGATTTAGGCAAAACCTAGGTCTGTGTAATGGTAGTAAGTGATAGCATCTGTTGTTGCTTTGACAATTATTCTATTTTTCTCTGTTTTATTCATAATTTTGAGGAGGATTTACCATTTTCCCTAATCTCAGGCTATTGAATTAGTAAATAGCATAAAATCAAACTTGAACAAGCTTAATTTTGTAAAAATATTCAACAATATAAACCCTCTTTTATAAATTTCTCTTTGCAGAGAGTTAATGGAAGAGTAGTAGGTAGCCCTTTGAAAATGATTTTACTCAATTATTTTTGATCCCAGAGGAAGACTGCTTCTGTTTGGGACTGGTAGAAATAGTCTGGCCTGAATCTAGTCTGTTTTTTAGTTTTTAGAAGACAGCTACCAAGTATATATTTGGGGTTGTAGAGTTCAAATAATAAATCTCTAGCTTCATAATGTTTCTAAGCTTCTCTCCCTTTTAAAATTTTTGGTATTAGGGATGGATTGATAACTTTAATGGACCAAGTGGTCTCTTTATTGCGGTAAGTAAACCTTTTGATTTATTTAATATTCTATACATTTTTCTGCTTTTTGTATATCTTTAAATATATATACACTATGGCTTATATATCTTAAGGTGTTGTTTTTAATTTCAACAAAGGCAGGGAAAGGAATTCTTCGAACAATACGTGCCTCCAACAATGCCCTTGCAGATCTTGTTCCTGTAGATGTAGTTGTCAACATGAGTCTTGCGGCAGCCTGGTATTCCGGAGTTAATAGGTATATGAGGTGACAATGTCGCTTATTAAATATATAGTAACTGAAAAGGGAAGACATAGCTTTTGAGTAATGTTAATTAATCCCTCTATCCAGATATTGCCATACCAATATTTAGGCTGTATCACTGCCAACTCCAAGAGTTGGTATTATCACAGACAATAGCAAGTGCTCCCATCAGTAGTAATGAAGAATTAATGTTAATGCTCATGTATTACTTACAGGATAGACAAGTTCACTTAAAAATGAAAAAAAAAAAAATACCCTCCCCTAAGCATGATTTTTTAATCCAAACTAAAACTTGTTGAATATATAAAGAGCTGAAATTCACAGAATATGGTTTACATATATTAAACATGGTACACCAGAGCAGCTTTAATCAGCCCATGAACATCTTTCCTTTAAAAAATAATAGTAGCATTTACAGGTAACACTTAAACTTTAAACTTCCCAATAACTTTTTTTTTCTAGGTAGTAAACTACCCTTATTTTTGATAATCAGTATTTTCTGTCCTAAAAAAAGAGAGATAGGATTATATGAATATGTTGTTTCTGGCAAAAGGAAACTTAGTCCATAATTTTTTTTCAGCTAGATCCTCTGAAAATGAGACAAGAAGAGCTGAGGTCATTTGTTGTTTTCCTCGTGTTTAAAAATAGACATTCCTGCTAATATAAGGAGGAAAAATGTGAAAGAAAAAAGTCTGTATTTTTTAAAATAAGTTATTATTTTTGGTAGGGGAAGAAGAAAGGGTAGTTGTAAATAGTCATTAAAGTAAAAACTAATCCTTTAAGGATAATTAAAAAAAAATAGTATAGAAAAGGTGCCCATCATCCTCATGTCTTCTTGAATACTATGTAGGACTTAGATTGGATATGTTTGGCCTCTTATTATGATTAATTGGTTTCATCTTTGTCTTTGCAGACCAAGAAACATCATGGTGTATAATTGTACAACAGGCAGCACTAATCCTTTCCACTGGGGTGAAGTTGGTATGATTTTACCTGTGTTTTTGAATGTTAGAATAAATCTTAAAGAACCAAGTTCCCTGAAGTTTTAATGTTAGAATACCTATGAGGCATTAAGGCCACTGAGTTACCAATTTGTTCTTAATTGTCGTCTTAGAAGTATTATCTACCAATACTACCTTGTGGTCCTTAATAATGTTTCACAAATTTAAAAATATACTGCTGTCTATTCTTACCCACCCACCCTACCCTTGTCTAAGCCTTGCTGTTTTTCTCCTGCCATCTGCAGTAGCCCTCGTAGATACCTATGGCATGGGAACAGTGCTTTTTTTCTCCCTTGTGAGCACCCTCAGTCTTGATGTTGCCTATCCATAGGCAGTATCACTTCTTACAAGAGGTGGTATATCAAGTGGTACCCAGAGTAATAAATGAAGGAGTTAGGAAGTAGGATACAGTTTGCCAGAATATTTTCTATTAACCTGTATTAATCTATTTAAATTCACAGATTCACAGCAGATATACATGTTCCTAGTTCTATAGGAATAGCATAACTTAAATAGGAATAGTTAAAACCCATTGAAATTGAGTCAATTTTAAATTGTTGGTTGATGAGTTCAAATTTAAAGTAAAATTTTTTTGGCATTGATTTAGTGATAGGTCTTATTTAACCTCTAATTGATTAATTACCCCTGCAGAACAATTTTGATTTCAATGTAGATTTTTTATGACATTTGTCCTAGGATTTTTCTGTGGCATTTTTATTTCAGTGTAAAATTGACCATTAGAGCATATAAGAAAAAGATAAAATCTAAGGTGATTTTAACTTTATGATAATTATTTTCAGTATTCTTTTAAGAATATTTAAACATTTTTAATGAGTTAGGTTTTTTTGTAATCTTTTATTGTGTTATAAAGTTTAGTAAAAGCTGAAATTGAGCGTTATATTTTAGTGACTATCTCAATATACATTTCTAGTAAAGTATTAATATAGATGATACTAGGTTTGATTATGTTGACATTACATAGCCTATATAAATTACAACAGAAGTTAATTTTGGGTTGTTTTAAGCCTGTTAATGTATGTTAATTTGAGCATCTTAAGCAAAGGATGATTATTTTCCTTTTCTTTTTTAAGTAAGTACAGTAATAAGAGTCTGGAAAGAGGAACAGAAAGGAAGAAGCTATCGTGAGAGGTGAAATATAGAAAGTGACACTGTAAACTGACATAGGTAAAACATTAAAAGGATTTTAAGAGTGAATTTTAGCAAAAATTCATTCATCTAAAATTCATAAATAGCGGCAGTTACAAAACCACTTGAGTTTAGCAGTCTAATAACCATATTCTCTTAGCTACTAGAGAGTAGAAAAGTTTGTTTTTTAAATGTACGAACTCTGACATCTTTGGTAAAATATTTTGCATTATAAAAACATGATTTTTTTTTTTCAAAACTTCATTACATGGTTATTATCAAAGCTGTTACACAACTTTTCTTCTTCAGAGTACCATGTAATTTCCACTTTCAAGAGGAATCCTCTCGAACAGGCCTTCAGACGGCCCAATGTAAATCTAACCTCCAATCATCTTTTATATCATTACTGGATTGCTGTAAGCCATAAGGCCCCAGCATTCCTGTATGATATCTACCTCAGGATGACTGGAAGAAGCCCAAGGTAATGGTGACTAGCTCTGTCTTATCTGTTCCTCTGTTAAACAACCCATGCTTACACTAAAATGCATATTAACTCTGTATTTGTTTATGCTTATGATAAGGCTTAATAGCCTTTTGTGAATGAGAAGCCTCTTGAATTTAAGACTTTGTCAGAAAAGCAAAGGTAGTGTTGTAAGTCACTCTAATTTGTTTAAAGTTTGGATAAGTTATTGTCATGTATTGAATTCTAAGTCTTACTTTAGGCTTCTTTCTGAATAACAATATTTAAATTGCTTTGACGCTTATTTTTCCTACAGGATATTATGTAAGTCATTCCTTCAAGATGAATCCTTTAAACCAAGTATTCAGGTGCCCCAGTTTTAAGTTTAATTCCAACAGCCTATCGCATCATTATCGGAAGGGTGTCAGCCATAGAGTATCTGCATTATTGCTCGATTGCACTCATGTTGACAGGTCAGAAACCGCGGTAAGAAGAATAGCAGTAAATACACTATGTATTGGTAAGGTGGTGGCAGCTTGCTGGAGAGATGAAAAAAATCACTAGCATGAGCTTTACCTTTAGATTTACTCACCTGATTAATCACAATCAGAATGCTAGGACATTTCTTAGAATTTGGAGATCTTTGGGGACACTAACTATGGATCACATCGTATTGGGTCGTTCATCCTCCAAAATTCCATAATATAGGAAATGTCCTACATCATGGTTGTCATTGTTATTATAAGCTGAAATTAAGCCCTTCTCTCCCTCTTAAAAACCTAGGGATGAGTTTGTATAGGGGATTAAGGGCAAAAGTTTTGCTTCAAATGGATGGTGCAGTTTTATGTGAAAAATATAGGATGCTTCTAGAAAATTACTTGAAATATCTCAGCTGCCCATTCAGCTTATAATATGGTTATTTCAGTTTTTGACTAATTATCCAGGTTGGGAATGGCATAGTTATGAAAAAAAAGTTAATAATAAACAGAAAACTTTGTTTTCTTATCGTTGTTATAGCTTTTCTTTCTTTTTTTTGTTGAAATCCCGCAAACTTAAAGATCTCCTACTGTCTTTACCACACAATTACAGTGGAATATACTATTAAAATACTTAATTTTTTTTAACTACATTGGCATTACAGTGGAGTCGTTGATTGGAGAGTTCAGGATTTGAGTATTTTTGTATAAAGAAGATGCTGATCCCAGAACTTCCATCAACTACTCAAAAAATAAAAGTGAGGTAACTGCCAGTTACAGTGTATCAGGATCTGAGTTCCTCGTAGGTATTGTCTGTGGATTCACTTTTCCATGATGTTTCTAACCCTATATGTTAGCTAATTGAAATATGTGAGAGGTGTTGAACAACTTTAGAGCAGGTAAAGAAATATTTTCAGACTTTTCTAGAATGATCTGCAAAATGCAATACTTGCCATTGGAAGCATTCTTCATGGCTAAAATGCAGATGTAAATTCATGAATGGTGGCAGTGCATGCTTTCTTTATATTAATAAGGTTGTTATAATTTAGGACAGAAAAGTAAAAACTGGGTCAAAAAAAAAACAGGTTAAATACATCACATTGCCTTACACGAAGAAAGAGGGCTTAGTAAAATTTTAAAAAAATAAGTGAATAGCTGGTTTACTAAATGCTTCAGAGGAGATGTTGCTGCATAACAAATCATCTCAAACTTAGAAGCTAAAAACAGCAACAGTTATTTTATTATTTCTTTCAATTATTTCTGTCAGGATCAAGAATTTGAGAAAGAATCCACTGGGCAGTTTTGGCTTGGAGTCTTTCATGTGTTTGTGATCAGATGAAAGAGGCCGGTGGGCAGAGAGGCAATGGAACAGCAAGGGGACTGATGTTACTCTTTGTCGTGTCATAAGGATCTCTCCATATAGCTCTTTGCAAGGATTAATGATAGCCTTAGGGGAATTAGACTTCTTATATAGCAGCTGATGGCTTCAAGGGGGAAGTCTTTTAGCAAGTAAGGTGGAGGCTGCGTTGCCTTTTCTGAGCTACCCATGGAAGTCATGCAGCATCACTTTTGCCTCATTCTTCTAGTTACAAGTGAGTCACAAATCTTCTTAAATTTTTTTTCATATGTTCATAATTTTATTTTGGTGCCTGACATAGCACATTTTTTAAAAATACTTCAAGTTCTAGGGTACGTGTGCACAACGTGCAGATTTGTTACATATGTATACTTGTGCCATGTTGGTGTGCTGCACCCATTAACTTGTCATTTACATTAGGTATTTCTCCTAATGGTATCCCTCCCCCCTCCCCCCACCCCACGACAGGCCCCCAGTGTGTGATATTCCCCACCCTGTGTCCAAGTAAGGGGATTTAGAAAGTGGTCAAGATGAAGGGTATTGTTGCCATCATTTTTGGAAAGTACAATCTGCTATAGTCAACCTTCTGGCCAAAACAATTCATATTTCTTCTACATGGAAAGGACAGTTGCTTCTTCCCCACTCATCCTGCCTTCCCCCTCGCGCCTCCCCATCCCCACCACCGCCCCAGATCCCTGTGGCATCAGCTGGAAGCCAGGGTTTTGTCATCTAAATCTGGTCAATTGGCGGATGACGCTCTTTAGGAGTGATTTTGTCAGCATAGCTCCTCAAGTATAGTTCCTCAATAATTGATATGTGAACTAAAGCAACGAGTTACTGACTGCCCATACGCCCATCATAAATGATGGTAAGCATAGGATAATGGCTTTAGACAGTTTTATTCAAAAAGAGAGAAATTGGGAGGCACCCAGCAAACACTGGTCTATAACATTTCTGAATTCCAGTCAGATATGTGTTGATGATTTCTTGATAAGGAGCTCAGTCTTATTCTCTGGGAGTTCTCTGAGGTTCTTGCCTCTGCCCTCTGAGTCATCCTTCCTTTTGCATAAAAACTGGCCTGTGGGCTCTGTGTGCAGCCAAGTAGCCTTCTTATCCTGCTTCGTGCCCATGAAAGGTTAGGGGATCAGGGCAGGAACTGGAAAGCTTTTCTTGTAAATTAAGGCCATATAGTAAATATTTTAGGTTTAGCAGGACATGCGGTTTTTGTTGAAGCTACTCATCTTTGCTGTTAAAAATGAAAGCAGCCATAGACAATAGGCAAATGAATGAATATGACTGTGTCCCAGTAAAACTTTATTTACAAAAACAGGTGGTGGGCTGGATTTGGTATATAGGCTCTGGTTTGCTGACCCTTGATATAGCAGTCTCTTCATTTTTTTTTTCTTGTCTATCCCTTTACATGTAATCTGACATGATTGCTTAAAAATTGTGTGAGTTTCCGGTGTATCTGTTTTCAAGGAATCCAGCCTATTAGACGAAAGCCATACCCATAAGTTTCTTTGACACAAACCCTTCTCTATCTTGGGTCCCCTGTGAGGTTCCTATGGGACAGCACTTTTAGATCTTAAATCCTTGCCTCTTAGATCCTGCCTTTTGAACAATAAGAGTTTCTGTTACACATTTCTTTAAGATCTGGAGAGTGCCTTTTGTCTGTCTGAAAGTTCTGGAAGGCACTGCCTAGGTCTTTCTAAAGTCTTAGCAAAGGATTCATCTTCCCCTACCCTGCTATGCTCAGAAACTGTTTCTTAAAGAATTCCTGGCTGACATTTTACATTTCCTCCAAATTCCACTCAAATAGTTCATTTTTTTAAGATCATCTTTGTCCTCTTTTGCCCTCTTTCAGCAAATTTCTGCTAGATCATTGAGTTTATTAGTACACTTTCTATATTCCATATAACCAGAGGTGACAGTTTGTTGTCCTCACTTCAAGCCCTCACCAACAGCTTTCTTAAAACCCTTTAAGGCTTCCATTAATAATGTTTTCCTGGTCCTTTCACATTTCACTACTGATCACCTCACAGGCCTTAGAGATTTTGTTTACCACTTGACCCTGAAGCCAATACCACATGTTTTAGGTTTTTATTATAGCAGCCCCTCCCAGTGTTGAGATCTGTGTTGAGATTTGTTAATCTGTTTTACATAACAAGTCACCTCAAACTTAGTGTCTTAAAGCAATCATTTTATTTGTGTGTCACAATATCTGTGGGTCAGGAATTCTAGAAGGGTTAGCTTGATGGTAATGGCTCAGGATCTTTCAAATGATTGTAGTCAGACAGGGACTGGAGGAACTTTGCTGTGGAGGGAGTGGTAAAGGGGGGAAGGGGACAGAGTAGCTGGGGTGGCTGGGCATCTCTCTCTCTCCAGTAGTGTCATACCCTCTCCATGTGGCCTCTCCATATGGACTAGTTTGAGCTTCCTCGCAGTATGGCAGCCTCAGGGGGAGTTGGACAGCATACACAGTGACTGAAGGCTTCAAGGGTGAGTATTCAGTGAGCAAGACAGAAAGCTCTACACCTTTCTGACCTAGCCTCGGAAGTCACATCATGTCACTTCCACCTCATTCTGTTGGTTCTAAGTTATTTTCAACTCTCATTGAGAAGACAGTCAAGGTGACATTGTATTGTAGGTGGGCATGTAGGATGGAGATAATATCATAGGCACCTTTGGAAATTAATATCTTTCCTAAATAGGAAACGTTAAGGAAACAGTCTTCTTAACTGAGGTTTGTGCTGTGTGAGGCTTTCTAAGTATCAAAGCAGGACAGATCCTTGACCTCCGGGAGCTTATAATCTGAATGCAACAAGGAATATAAAGGTTTTTTTACTTAGACAATTTTGTAAATGTTAAATACAAAGTCTTATAATTTATAATATTTCATTTGTTCAGAAATTTATTGAGCACAGTAATAGACTTTACACCTTATATTGGGGCCTTACTATGATGCCTAATTCTACATTAAACTGATGTCAGTCATGTCATTCATTTCATCCAGTTTACTTGTTTACATAATAATTCTGAATGTGAGCTAGATAAGCATCTGACCTGACATTTTTTAAAAAATGGCTCCATGATCTTATGTTTTGGTTAACTAGCATAACTTTATCTAGCTTAACTTCTCTAAACCAGGTATCTATTTTTAATCTGTGTACTTCTCAGCTGGAGACATTTGACAACATTTGCAGGTATTTTTAGTTATCACAACAGGGGGAGGGCTGCTACCAGCACCTAGAGGCCAGGGATGGTGACAAGCATCTTATAGCATGCAAGATAGCCCTCCACACGAAAGAATGATCAGACCCACAATATTTATAGTGCCAAGGTTGAGAAACCCTGGACTAGATAATCATTAAGATCTTGCCTTACTCTAAAGGATTGTGATTATTTTTTTAAGTTGCCATAATAAAGAATAAATACATATTCAGAACATACCTGGCAATGTAGTCATAAACATCTGTTCTAAGGTATGTTTAACCAAGGAGTGATGGTGCAAAGTTTTACATTTCTTATTCCCCAATAGTTTTCAATCCAGTATTTTTGTTGCATGATAAATATTCTATAAATTTCACACACAAATATATGGCCTTTCAAATTTCTTCCCCCTCCCCGATTTTTTATTGCAATTATTTTTTGAATGGCTGAATTACTGATTGATGTTAGGGTGATTGTGTCACTTGAATGAATCTGAAGATAAGATTAGGTGAGAGAATTATCAGTGAACAAGAGTTAAGAAAAACTTTTTAATAAGGTATATATAGGAAAACCGTGTTAGCTGTGTGTGTGTGTGAGATTTAAGTATGCTAAACTGGCGTGATAGTATATATTGATGTAGTGACAAACTTGTTGTATCTTTTTGTTTAGAAAAAAATAATCACCTAATCTTTTCTAAGAGCAGCATGTGTTTTTCCCCCAGATGCTTTTTATCTACAGAACTATCCCTGTCCAGAAATTGCCTTAGATGCTTGATAATTCGTTTTGTGTTTGAGATTTTATTTTGAAGTTACTTTATTGGATGAAATATAGTTTTTTTTTACATAGTTTATATTGCTTCATTTTCTTCCAGTATTCTGGATTCAGAGTTTATTTCTAAATGTATTGAATTGTGTTATCAGAAGTGCTTAGCTAATGATACTTTTTTGATTTTTTTCTCCTTATTTCTAATGTAATTTCCCTCCATGCCCCTCCCATTTCTAAAACCCCTAATTTTGAGACTGTCTAAACTACATGATACATATAATCCTAATCGTTATTATAATATAAATGAAATCTTTAAAAAGTACTTCTCCAAAAATTCTTTTTCTGTTCACAGAAGTGGGGATTTTTTTGGTGTTTGTTTTGTTTCAGAAAGTTCTTTCTTCCCTTTCCCTACTTATAATAAATATTATTGTATAGATGTTACTGCTCAAGTTAGTGTTATGATATCAATGACTTACAGTGAGCCATGATATATAAAATGACAGATTTAAAGATTAAAGCTCCTTGTACTTTTAAAAACAAAGAATCACAGTCTTTCTTTAAAGACACACTTTAAAAAGAGTGTCACACTCCTTTATTTCTGTAAGGATGAGTATTGGTGGGGTATGGAGAGGTGAGTGGATATCTATTTCAGATAGTTTTCAGCATGAGTCATTGATTTCACAGCACATCCAGATGATCAAGAGTGGTGCCAATCATTGTTAAAGAAAAGTTGTTTTGTTTTTTTAAATGAATAGAGTTGACTATGTGGCAAACGAATATTTCTGTATTGTTTGCTTCAGCAGTGCTGAAGAGTTGGAATTATAAATATAACACAGTATGTTATTAATTCACAGGAAATCTTAGCAAATGCAGCTGTGAATTAAAATGTAGTTTAAGGAATAGAAAGCAAGGAAATATTAATTGAATCCATTCATTTGCTTAGTATTTTATGTAGAAAATTTAAGAGTATTGTATACCCTTTGAGAATTAATTCTGTATATCAGCAGAACTCTGTTTAGGTGGTATTAAATGCATTTGCTGCTGCTTTCAAAAAAAATTTGTTTTCCTTTTGGATTTATAAATTGTTCATCCAAGATGCAGAAATAGTCTTATTCCCTGCTGATTTGGTACACTTAATGATTAAATGTTATAATTTTAATACTAATGTCTATATTATAGGGGGAAACTTGCACCCTGGGTGGTGATAGGATTTTTCCTAATCTATACAAAATATGAATCTGTCCATTTTTCTTACAATACAGGATGATGAAAACAATAACTCGTCTTCACAAAGCTATGGTGTTTCTTGAATATTTCACAAGTAATTCTTGGGTTTGGAATACTGAGAATGTCAATATGTTAATGAATCAACTAAACCCTGAAGATAAAAAGGCAAGCAAGTATTTTCTGTTTTATATTAGAAAATAAGTAGCATACTAATTACAGAACTATTAGCAACCTGAGAAATATTTTCCACAGCTATTATGCAACAAGTAAGCCATTATTTATAGTCTCTCATAAAGCTTTAGTCATAATTGTTAGTGGTGAAATAAAATTGCTGTATCTTAACATTTCTAGTGTAAGTATTTTAGAGTGGCAAAGGTATTTTCAAAGCATGATTGAAATGTTGATTCTTTTTTTCCCTTAATGTTGGTTTCAGAGAGAATTTTATCTTTATGTGTTTTTCTTTCAAACACTTTGTTTTCTCTTGAGTTTTGAGAAAAAGCTTCTCTAAGAAATTGTTTTTTATAAACTCTTTTACTTTTTGTTATTCCACATTTTGCCCTTTGTTACTTTGGAACTTAAATTCTTTGTGTATGTTCTTTTTGAGCTTACTCTAGATGTTTTAACATGTATATCTAACACAGACTAAGTTAAGCAATATTTATAGCCTCCTTCTTAATAATAATAATATTTAGAACCTTAAAATGTTTTAGTTGTGATTACCACTCCCACTCACTTAAAATGGTTGTATTAATACATTACTTCAGTTCTCTAATTTTTTTTTTCTTTTTCTTTTTTTTTGAGATAGAGTTTCGTTCTGTGCCCAGGCTGGAGTGCAATGGCACAATCTTGGCTCACTGCAACCTCTGCCTCCCGGGTTCAAGCGATTCTCCTGCCTCAGCCTCCCAAGTAGCTGGGATTACAGGCACATACCACCACACCCAGCTAATTTTTGTATTTTTAGTAGAGACGGGGTTTCACCATGTTAGCCAAGCTGCTGGTCTGGAACTCCTGACCTCAGGTGATCTGCCCACCTCAGCCTCCCCAAGTGCTGGGATTACAGGCGTGAGCCATCACACCCGGCACAGTTCTCTATTTAAACCCCATGTTGAGATACTCTTTTGTTCATTTAGTTTTTATTTAGATTTCTCCCTCTCTCTCTCTCTCTATATATATATATATATATAAAATATGTATATATGTATACCAATATCTGTGCTTTCAGATTTTCTCCTTATGATCTTCTTTCTGCCTGAAATATATTCAGCATACCTAGAATATGTTTTACTTGGGAATCTGTTTTGTAGTGAATTCTGAGTTTTTGATTGTCTGATATGTGTGTTGTTTCACCCTTGGTTTTGGAACATGATTTCAGCACGTTAAAGAACTTTTTTGCTGGTCATAGTAGCTCATGCCTGTATCCCAATACTTTGGAGGCTGAGGTGGAAGAATGGCTCGAGGCCAGGAGTTCAAGACCAGCCTGGGCAATGTAGCGAGACCCATCTCCACAAAAATAAGAAAAAATCAGACAGGCATGGTGACATGTGCCTGTAGTCCTAGCTACTCAGGAGGCTGAGGTGGGAGGATCAGTTGAGCCCGGGAGGTCAAGGCTGCAGTGAGATGTGATCACGTCATTGCACTCCAGCTTGAACAATAGAGTGAGAGTCTCTCAAAAAAAAAAAAAAAAAAAAACCCCAAAAAAAAACTTTTTTATTTATATTCTGTCTTACATTTTTGCTGTTGAAAAGTCGGTAGTTGGCTCTTCCTTTATAGGTGATATGTTATTCCTGGCTCGTCTTCCATTTTCTCTTTATGTTTGCCGCTTGGCAGTATCACTATGATAGTGGGTGTAATTTTGAAAAATTTACCTAGATTGCATTGGGCTTTCTGAATCTGAGGTTTGGTGTCTTTAAGCAATTCAGAGAAATACTTAGCCAGTGTTTCTTCAAATATTGCCTCTTCACTATTCTTATATCGTCTTCCAAAATTCCTAGTGTATGTTAGATTATTCTGTTCTCCAAATCTTTTAACGTTAATTTCATATTTTGTATCTCAGTGTTTCTGGGCTAAACTCTAGATAATTTAAGATTCTGTGACAGTCTGCCAGCTGTGTCTAAACTATCCAATTGAATTTAGAGTTTTATTGTTTTATTTTCAGTTTTAGAAAGTATAATTTTTCAGATCTTATAAATGTTTCTTAAACAGTCTCTAGAATTTTTTCTTGAAACATATTAAATATAATTGTTTTTCATTCTGCTTCTGATAATTTAAACTTGCAGATGATTTGCAGCATCTGATTCTGCCATCTATTACTTGAGCTAGGTCTCACCCATGGCACCTAATTTTTTTAAAAAATATTTGTTTGACTATAAATTTATATTCTTTGAGGATTTCTGTGAGAATTTTTTTGAAGCCGGGATTGAAATTGCAGTTTTCTGATAAGGATTTGCCTTTGCTTCTACCAGTAGCCTAGTTAATTAGCTAGCTGGCATTTATAAGCCAGGGCCCCTTTAAAATATCTGATTAGGTTTTTAGCACAACTCAGATTAATGTAGGCCTTAAATAGACAGTAGGGGCCGGGCGTGGTGGCTCACACCTGTAATCCCAGCACTTTGGGAGGCCAGTGCTGGGATAACTTGAGCTCAGGAGTTCGAGACCAGCCTGGGCAACAAAGTGAGACCCTCTCTCTACAGAAAAAAAAAAGAAAAATTAGCCAGGCGTGGTGGCGCATGCCTGTAGTCCCAACTACTTGGGAGGCTGAGGTGGGAGGATGGATTGAGCCTAGGAGGCAGAGGTTGCAGGGAGCCGAGATTGTGTCACTGCACTCCAGCCTGGGTGACAGAACGAGACTCCGCCTCAAAAAAAAAAAAAAAAAAAAGACTGTAGATTTGGGTCATTACAGTTTCTCAAGAGTTTCTTTTTTCATCCAGTGCCAGCTTCCTTTCTCTTCCCACTTACTTTTTTTATTTTCATAATGTTTTATTTAACCTAACATATAATCAAAAATATTGTTTGAACATATCAAAAACCTAAAAATTATTTAAAGGATATTACTTTCTGTTTTTTCATACTGAGCCTTCAAAACCCAGAGTGCATTTTATACTCCACTGCATGTCTCAGTTTGGACTAGCCATATTAAAAGTGCCCAAGAGGCACAGGTGGGTACAGAAACAGAAGCCTGTACTGCCTGCAGAACCATGAGCCAGTTAAACCTTTTTATCTTTACAAATTACCCATTCTCAGGTAGTTCTTTGTAGGGTTGCGAGAATGGACTAATGCACCTAATCACTACCTCCTCTGTCTTCCCAGAGGGAACAACTCTTGAATTCTAGCACTCAATATTAGTTTTACCTATTTTTGACTTTATATAAATGGTATTATACAGTATTTTTTCATTCTTCTGTTGATAGACATTTGAGTTATTTCCAGTTTCTGGCTATTAGGAATAATTATCCTATGAACATTCTTTATGTCTATATGTACACATTTGTGTAGGGTATATACCTAGAAATAGGATAGCATAGGGCATTCATATGTTCAGTTTAGCAGGTAATGGCAGTTTTCCAAAGTGGTTGTATCAGTTTACATTCCAGAGGGCAGTGTATGAGAGTTCCTGTTAATCCACATCCTCCATAACACTTGGCCTTTTAATTTTGATTTTCAATTTTAGCCACTTAGGTGATATATAGTGGTATAACAAAATGATTTTAGTATACATTACCTAGTACATAAAATGTTTATTTAAAAATAGTAAAAAAAAAAAAAAAAGTAATCCTATTGGAAAATAGATTAGAGAGATGAACAGTTTACAGAAAATGATTCCCAAGTATTTGAAAAGATACTCAGCTTTACTCAGTGGAAATGCAGACTAAAGTTAGACTGGGATATTATTTACTATTTATCAAATTTACAAAAATGCAGACTTGGACAATGTACTCTAGTGAGTTCCTGGACAAATCAGCATCCTTACACATTGCTGGTAGAACTATATGGTGTATGTTTCTCCATTCTTTTATTTTCAGTCATTTTGTATCTTATCTTTTAGATATGTCTTTTGTAAGCAGCATATAGTTAGTTGTAAGCAGCATATAGCTGTTAGTTTTTATTTTCAGTCTGACAATTTTTGACCTTTAATTGGAGAACTTAACCCCTATGTAATTCCTATCATTTTAGATTTAGTCTGACTAGTAGTGCTTTGTATTTGTCACTCTGGTTTTAAGTTCTTTTTTCTTTTTTTTTTGGCCGCCCTTTAGATTATGTTTTGAATAATTTAATATTTTCCCATCTATATGTGTTACATAGAATTATGTTCCTTTTTGGTTTAGTAGGTTACTCTAGAGATTACAATGTCCTTTAATTTAGCAAGGTCTAATATAAATTGATACTTTTATCCTTCTCTGATAGTGAAGGATCAGCATGTATCTGTTATTGTTGTTATTAGGTTGGTGCAAAAGTAATTGTGGTTTTGGCCATAATGCATGTTTTAATTCTATATATATATTAAGCCACACAAGCCAGTATTTTTATTGCAGCTTATGCAATAAATATTCATACAGATTTACCAGCGTAACTGTCCTTTTATTGCTCTTTATTTCTTCCTCCATCCCCAGACATAAATCTAGAATCATTCTCCTGCCTAAAGAATATCCTTAAGTTTACTTTCTCTAACATGGGTTTTCTGCTGATGTCAGATTGTCTCAGGTTTTATTCTCTGGAAATATCTTTATTTCACCTTTATTTTTCAAGGATATTTACACTGGCATAGAGTTTTATTTAGGACTTATTTTCATTGCGTACTTAGAAAACATCTCTGTCTTTTGGCTTTCATTGCTTCTGTTGAGAAGTCAACTTACAGTCTAATAGTTGTTCTTTTGGAGGTAATCTATAGGACCTTTTTCTGACTCTCATATGCCTAGATGTGTGTGGGGGCAGGGATGGGGGCAGTGGGAGTTGTATTTGTGTTTTGAATTGGTGACTTGGTTTCTTATTTTTGGAAAATTTCCAGGCATTGTCTTCTCAGATACTGCTTCTCTTCCTTTTTTTTTTTTTTAAATAACTGTTCTTATGGGATTCCCAATAACATACACATATACCTTCTCAAAATGTTTCCTAAGTCTTCATTTTAATGCAGAGTTACTGCATTTTTATATTTTACTGAATTTTTTATAGTAGCTTTCCCTTCCTAGAATTGGCTATTTTTAGATAAGTGATGGTATATACTGAATAATATCTTTGTAACTCCAAAAAATTATCTTATTATATGCTAAGGAGCACTGAGCAATGCATAGCCCTCTTACTTTGCCATAACATTTCTGAAGGCTTTCTTTTCTGGATTTACCTATCCTTCTCATCAAATAATCTAATTACTGTTATCCAAACTCCTTAGCCAGCTTTCATAACATATCTTGATGTCAGAGATGTTGTTTTCATAACGCATCTTGATGTCAGAAGTATTCTCCAGGAAAATTAGTCTGTTCAGTAGGCATGAACTGGAAATGTATCAGTACGTGCATAAAGTAGTGAGGAATACATAGATCTATGTGGACAATATAATTTTGTCTTTTTTTTTCTTTGTTTAGCAAAATGGTACAGGCTTTTTTCTTCTTATATTTAACCTACTTCTCTTTAAATGCTGACATTAGTTTCCAGATTATCTTCTCAAATGTTTCCATGTTTAATGGATGGTATGAACTAGGAATACAAACTTTTCAGTGACTAGCGGTAAGATTTCAGAAGTTAATTCTGTATTTAAGAATTTTGTAATTATGTCACTTGGAACTGGCCTTTAGAAAAAGTGTGAATTTCTGACTGGTTGTGAGAAAAATTAGTCAAGAAAATAATCAGTAATTTTTTTGTTAACGTAGACCTTCAATATTGATGTACGGCAGTTACATTGGGCAGAATATATAGAGAACTACTGCTTGGGAACTAAGAAGTACGTATTGAATGAAGAAATGTCTGGCCTCCCTGCAGCCAGAAAACATCTGAACAAGTGAGTTTGATGCATGGATTTGATTGCTTCTTGTCTTCCTTATGAAATATTCCACAATTTTTTTGGTAAACTGGTATATTTGCTATATCTGTCATTCAAAGATGCAGATAATTTTTAATGGTAATCTCTTATATTTGTAGTGCTTTTTAATGTGATTTTTATGACACTTTTTAAGACTTTCACATTATTATCCCTCTCATGCCTCATAACTCTGTGCGACTTTGCAGGGCAGCCAGTTCTATAGATGAGGAAATTGAGGCTTAGGAAAGTTATATTTGCCTAAGCCATATTGTATTGAGTGGCAAAGCAAACTAGAATATTGATCTTTGACTCCATATTCGAACCTCTTTTCTCTACATCATTTTTCTTACATTGCCGTCCTATCTTGCACTGCCTGCTGAGGTCAGTATAATTTATGTAACATTATTACATCTCTAAAGGTTTGTATTTCTTTCAAACACCATCAGAAACATCAAAATTTTTTGAAACATGAGCTGAAACATGAGAGTAACATATTGTTACTCTTTGAGAAAAGGGAGGATCCTCCTTTATCAAGTTAATGCCATGTTTTATGCTTGGATAAGGGCTTATCCACTTGGCCTTTGATCTTGTGACTGTCACCTGTAACTGAAAGAGTAAGTTACTTGTCTGACAACTTGTAAGCAACTAAAGATGTCAAAAAAAAAGTTTGCTCTATTTTGTCTGTACTGTGATGTATGTAATGAATGAACCTTTTTAGATTAGATGGGAAGCTCTAGAAATTCAAGGTACATATCTGTTTTACCTACAGTATACTTAATGCCTATCATAAGTTTCAAATTAATATGGATTTGAGCTTTGATTAAAAACTCAGTATTAATTAGCTGCCATCTAACAATATTTTTTTCTAGAAAATACTGTCTAACATATCTCTTGATTTGCTTTCCAGGTTGCGGAATATACGTTATGGTTTTAATACTATCCTTGTGATCCTCATCTGGCGCATTTTTATTGCAAGATCACAAATGGCAAGAAATATCTGGTACTTTGTGGTTAGTCTGTGTTACAAGTTTTTGTCATACTTCCGAGCATCCAGCACTATGAGATACTGAAGACCAAGGATTCAGCATTAGAACATCTATACATATGGTGATCTAAATGTACAAAATGTAAAATGTATAAGTCATCTCACTTTTTGTCAAGACATTAAACCATCTTAGATCGGAGTGTGAAGTAAATTATGGTATATTTTATGTAACATTTTAATGTTTATGCTCATAAAACTTAGTGAACACACTGTGTTATGCCAGCTCAAATCTACAGTAGCCACCAAAACCATGACTTAATATTTTGAGCCCTAGAAGAAAGGGGTGTGCTGAGGACAAGAGTGGGGAAATAGGAACACTGACCAGTATAACTGTGCAATTCTGGAACATATTAATTAAAATAATATGCCTTAACATATAGTGAATTTCTAATTCTAATGTTCAGTGCAATGGAAGACATTTATTTGGACAGTAATACTAGCAAAGTTGGTAGATATTTGATTCTTCATTTTTTGTTTTTTTCATTAGTTGAAGTGGGTTTTAGTTTTGTTTAAAATTATAACCAGCGTATTTTCACATCATTCTGTAAGTTAAATGATATCAAACATGAAAGAGATGTTCTCATTTTTCTTTTTCTGATTAAACGTCTGATGCATATCATTTTTCTATAAGTAATCAGTTGCTTTTAAAATCAGAAGGCTATATTATTCTAATGACCCTATTCGATCTAAATGGGTTTGAGAATCCATATCAGCAACATACGTGTTTTTTGACAGAAAGTGAAAACAAATTCCGTAAAACTGTTAGTATCAAAAAGAATAGGAATACAGTTTTCTTTTCCACATTATGATCAAATAAAAATCTTGTGAGATTGTTTATGTTTTGAAGCAGGAGGATTTCTTGAGATTTGATGGAAGTGGGAGTTGGGAAGGATTCACCATACTTGTGTTCTCCTCCCTTTATAAATTTTATTCATAGGACTTTTAAAAGGCTTGTGCTATCTTTCCAGTGAAAACTGAAAGTGCATTATTATGGAAGAATGTATTTGCAGGTAGTAATAGCATTAAAAAATATACTCGTGTGTAAACACATACTAATTTTGACCTTGAAAGATGAATTCCTTCAAGAAAAATAAAATAATGCTTAAGATAATGTGTACGAAATTAAATAAAGGACTTTATTTACATACTACATAAGGTAGCAAACTGTTGAATGAGTTTGAAGGTATCACTTATTTTTTATGCATGTGATTTTAGCTTTAGAAAGAAATGCGTTATAGAAACAAGTAATAGCAAGAAAATTGATGTATATTTTAATGATACATTAAAATTCCCTTTTAATCATAATAGTTAACTCTACTTACTGTTTTAACATACATTTGATTTAACAAATTGTTCAGCATAACACTTCTAATTAAGTTTATCAAGTTGTACTGTATTAGATAATCAGCAGTGTATCTGGAGTATGTTTAAAGAGAACAGTTCGCAATACAAAAAGTTACATGGAGCTTTACATCTTAACTTTCTTTGTCAATTTAAATGCAATGTATAAAAAGTTTATTTTGCTATTGTGAAAAACTAAATGTAAAGGAAATCACCTACTTTCATGCAGGTGTATAATCTTGAAAAGGAAAAATGCTTCCATGTTGAAGCCAGATTTTCTGTAGTAAAACTTTTAAATATTATTTTAAAAGAAATATGTATATAAATATCTCTATATTCTTTGGAATGATACTAAAGTCTCTGGTCTAGGACCATACCTTATATAAAGGTATAAGAGACCATGACAATGTCTGAAAATGGAATAGATAATGATGCCTTTTATTTAAAGTGGCCCACATAATATACATTGAGTACTCCATCTCTCCAAATGTATTTCCATAATGTGTTGAAAACATGCTAACATTTGTATGATTTTTATACTTCTGCCGAATAGACTTAGAATCAGATGAATTGTCTGTGTGTCTTGCAAAAGAGTTGGGGACAACTTGGGCAGGCCTATGAAGTGCATAGGGAGTGTATGTCTTCTGAATGGTTTTATTGTTCTTGTAATCTAGCTTAAAGAAATGTTAACTGGGAGGGTGCTGAGGCCACTCACTGCATTAATTTTGTGTGTTTAGAGTTCTGTTGTCAAAAGAAAACTAATGAATAAATTAGTTTGTCATTCTAGAATTTAAAGTTCTAAGATTAGTATAAAGAGTATATAGATTGTTAATCCCCACCAGCTAGACTTTGAACTTAAGTCAGACTTAAAGATTTGAGAAATTATTTGTGTCATTTACTAGACGTGATTTTTAGTTCTGTTTGATTATATTTCCTACACAAACTTCTTATTTAACAGGATAGCCTACTAAATTAAATGTTTCTTATTTCACTTAACTCATTTGATTAAACTGTATTCTAAAACATTTGGGGTTTTTCCCCCTATTCAGTTTTAATCTTGGAATATGCATTTGTAAATTGTGATGTCATTGAGACTATATTTATATTTGACTTGGCAACATTAACATGTCCTAAGACTTAGTGCAGAGAAGCTTGGCAGTACGTTCTTTGACTTAAGGATGGCATAAAATAATCATTTTTGAACCTGTGTAATAAAGCTTGAAAGCAGGGAAAAGAATTTCCTTTTCCCCCTTTTTTGTGTTGTCTATAGGAATTAACTTGGGATTGTTTTGTGGGTTTTTGTTTGTTTTAAATGTAAATTGAGAATCTTTTATAAGAAATAAAAGCATTATTGGGTGCCTTTGTTTGTAAACCAAAAAGTAATAAATGAATCCCTATATTTCCATTATAGTATTTATTGTATTTTTATGTTCTGAAAATTACCCATGGAACAATATGCTTAGGATTACAGGAAGCAGTCCTTACTTACACTTCTTGTCTGTTTTAGGTGTACTTGTTAATTCTTATGTCCTAATTTTATTTAATTCTGAGTTCCTTACACAGCATTTTAGGGAAAGAATACAGGCAGGATGACACTTTGTGTTAAAGTGTTATTTTTATGTATTACCTGGAATGAGGCAGGTTTTTTTCTGTTTTCTAAAAAGAGTAACCAAGATACCTCCAGGGTGTCATTGGGTTCCAGCTGCTCTCCTCCACATTGAATGATATCTTGTTAATTTATAGGCACATTTGTGGTAATTTATATGTCTATAGAGTAAGTATAAGAGATAATTCATTAGTAATAGGAATTAACTGACCCCTTTTGGATGGGGGAGAGCATCAGGCTGGGGTCAGGTAAGTGTAAATGGCCTTCTGAGCATGCTCTTCTAGGCTGACTCCCAGCCCTGACTTGAAACCATTAGCGCTAACTTGCTCTGTTTTGAGAAAAACTTTCCAAACTTTTGCATGAGAAACTAGAAAAAGGAATGTATGCCACGTAACTGGATTACAGAAATGAGTTAATTGTCTCTGTGATAAAAAAAAAAAATGAAATATTTTCTTATTGAATTAATATTTTTGTCTTGAAGCATTTTCTAGTGATAGAATGTATTTGTCTTTTTTCCTGGTGGTACCCTCTTAGCATATATCTTTGCTATCCTTAAGATCCTAAACAAATCATCTTTGTCAGTTAAGTATAGTTGCGCAAAAATTGTTAAATCCTTTGTCTTTATTAAAGAAAAATTTGAGTAACATTAAGTTTGATGTGCTCCTTTGCAAGTTGATGTCTCTAAAATTCATTTATTTAGAAAAACATGAAGTGGTAAGTATAAGTTTAATGTCTTTACCGTGGGCCTGAACTCAGAGAAATAAGGATATAATTGTTTTTTGGCCTGAGATCACAGATGATAGCTATGATACCTGTAATTTTATACAAGGGGGAAGGGAGACAATCAAGATTTTTCTGAATTCATTTGTTTAAAACAAAGTTAACATTCCTAGTTATTGTCTTCAAAATACTTTTCTCCTCTAGACATTTAATTTTCATTTTTAAAGTTCCATGAAGTTGAATTAGGTGTCTTCCAAAGATGCTTTGGAGGCAGAATTCCTTTATTTTCTGCTGTTGTACAGTAAATTCTTTCTCTCTCATATAAATCTAGAGAGCTTCCTTTCACTTGTTTTGAGCAAGGTGTAACTAGAAAGTGTTAGGTTGAGCCGTATAAAAATGCTAATATGTCTTTGACCTGTAAGAAATTTCATATGGCTCAGTCTAGTATTATAGCTGCCTTTTTTTCTTTTGTTTCTAACAAACACACCTGAACCTAAACAGATGGGTGTAGTTTTATTAAAGTAGTCATCCAGATTGTTTATCAGTATTTAGTTGTTTGACATTTAATACCTAACTTTCTGCTTTATGTCACATCTTTAACAGGTTCTTGTCATTTCCCCTAACTTCTGCCAAGTTGGTTGTTGGTTTCTTGAGAGTGAAACCAGCATTGCACATTTTATGTTATAAAAACAACACTAATAACATTTGTTAAGTTCTTACAATGTGCCAAGCACTACTATAAGCATTTTACATGTAATAACCCACTTATGCCCTCTGTGTTTGTAAGTGTGATAACTAAGGTGTATGATGTTAATAAAGTACCCCAGGTTACACTGCTAGTAGCAGAGCCGAGACTTGAACTCAGACTAGTTCCAAAGCCCACTCTCCAGTCCATTATACTGTACTGTCTTTCACCATAGGAATACAGATATTTCTGGACTATTCAGAGGTTACCTGACTTGTACTAAATGTCTTTGCTGACTTCATTTCAAAAACCCAGCATTCATCCATTCAACAAATTTTGAGTGCCTGTTATGATTTAGGCACTGTGTCTTATATTGCAATTATTGCAATTATCTATCACATACCAAACTAACCTGCTCAGTGGCCCAGTCCTGAATATGACACACTGCCTTCCCTTAGGATTTTGTGATTTGATATAGATAAATAAGCAGATAATTTTAATATGTAATGACAGGTAAGAACAAAATACTAAGGGCACAGAGCGATTTCTTGCTTATTTCGAGAAAGCTCATACAAACTACTTTTGAATTATGGTTTTATGTCAGATTGGTGGGATGCTCGGGTAGGGAAGCATCCAGGTTTCAGGAAGAGCATTTGCAAAGGCTGGGAGGTATAAGGAACCGAGAGGAAATGTTTTGGTGCTAAAGGAGAGGATGGCTAAAGAAAGATGAGGCTGTAGAGATTGCTGGGCCATCTGAGGGCCTTCAGACGCTCAGAATGCACTATAGGCTGTGGAATGGCTATTGCAAAAACACTAAGAAGGTTTTCCTAGCCAAAGCACATCTGTTACTGGAAAAGGGGTCCCAATCCAGACCCCAAGAGAGGGTTCTTGAATCTCGTACAAGAAAGAATTCTTGGTGAATCCATAAAGTGAAAGCAAGTTTATTAGGAATGAAGAATGGCTACTCCATAGGTAGAGCAGCCCCAAGGGCTGCTGATTGCCCATTTTTATGGTTATTTCTTGATTATATGCTAAACAAAGAATGGATTATCCATGCCTCCCCTTTTTAGACCATATAGGTTAACTTCCTGATTTTGCCATGGCATTCGTAAACTGTCATGGCCCTGGTGGGATTGTAGCAGTGAGGATGACCAGAGGTCACTCGCATCACCATCTTCGTTTTGGTAGGTTTTAGCTGACTTCTTTACTGCAACCAGTTTTATCAGCAAGGTCTTTATGTCCTGTATCTTGTTCTGACCTCCTATCTCATCCTGTGAGTTAGAATGCCTAATTTGGGAATGCAGCCCAGCAGGTCTCAGCCTTATTTTACCCAGTCCCTATTCAAGATGGAGTTGCTCTGGTTCAGATATCTCTGACATATCCAATTTCTCTTAAATATGAGTAGATTTTGTACTTTAAATGAACAGACTTTTAAATATATTTTCTAAATGAAAATTTAAGAGAAAAAAAATACTGGTATAGTGTCACTCGTTTTTTGAGAATACAGACCATATCAGTGTTTAAACAACCAGTCTCTGTTTTTCAGTTTTCTATGATTCTCAAAGTGCAATCCCCAGACCAGAGGAGTCAGCATGGGCATCACATGGGAATTCATTGGAAATGCAAATTTCGGACCCCACCCCAGATCTATTGAGTCAGAAACTGGGGTGGAGCTCAGCAATCTATTTTAACAAGTCCTCCAGGTATTTCTGATGCACACTAAGATTGGAGAACCACTGGTCTAAGAGTCAGTCTTCATGCCATACCAACACGATCTAAGTGGAATGCTTTTCTGGGGTTTTGGGACAGGGTCAAGTAAGCACCATTTAAAAATCAACGTTTAATGCCAGGCGAGGTGGCTCAAGCCTGTAATCCCATCACTTTGGGAGGCCGAGGTGGGCGGATCATGAGGTCAGGAGTTTGAGACCAGCCTGGCCAACATGTTGAAACCCCATCTCTACTAAAAATACAAAAATAACCAGGTATAGCGGCGCACACCTGTAATCCCAGCTACTTAGGAGGCTGAGGCAGGAGAATTGCTTGAATCCAGGAGGCAGAGGTTGCAGTGAGCTGAGACAGCACAACTGCACTTTAGCCTGGGTGACAGAGCGAGACTCCATCTCAAAAAAAAAAAAAAAAATACAAAACGTGTGTACATAGAAAAAGGTCAACTGGCAAGAATAAGGCCAAAATATTAAAGAAGTTAGCGCTATATGGTGGTTATGAGCCCCTTGTTCTTTTAGTTTTCTGCAGTGACCCTGAATGATTTTTTAACCAAAGCAAAGTTTTTATTTTAAAGTAATGTAAGGATGAGTATGCTTGGATCTAGAAAAATAACAAAAGTGTAAAAAATGTCTTATCTCCAATAAAAGGTGAGGGTTCATTCATTCTGAATTTTTAGCTTGAGACAATTTTTCTTGTGAGTCGGGAACAACAATTTACTAGGCTGCTATGTCCCTTGAAATTGTCCAGGTTTTTTTTGTTGTGTGTTTGGTGGACTTGGTAAATACTTCCACCCTTACCAGTTTCTAACTTGGTCTTTCTCTGATGACCTTGCCAACCCCCGAATATACATCCTGTCCATATAATAAGTAATCACTCCTCCAGCTAGCTTAGTTTTCCTTTGTGATTCCCATTATAATGCTATGTTGGCATTCTCATTTATAAATCAAGTAACTGAGTTTATAGAGAATCAGCTCTCACAGAGACTGCTCAACTCATAGTAGACTGAGAAGGTATTTCTGGCCCTTAAAGCTGAGTTCTAGAGCCTGTGCTATGGGAACGTCTAACTACCATAGCATGGTACCAACAGTTGAAAGTATTGCTAATTTTCAAATGTCTTATTAGAAGAAATCTGAAATAATCAAGATTCTTTTGCCTTAACCTCTATGAAAACGGCCTAACCTACCCCATTACATTAAAAACACCAATTTACATTTTTTTCCTCTATTTGATGTATGAGCATTCTTACAGGGCAGGGCCTATTTTTTAAGGTACCTGGCACACAGAAGTTACTCAATGAATATTTCGTCTTAACTGTAGAATGAAGTTTGTCCTTCCTTCCATCAGTCACAGGATTCTTAAGCTTCCTGCTTATATATAAGATTTTGCAATCAACACTTTGCCAAGAAGGGTATAAAAGTTAACACCACTAACTCTTTTGTTGTTGGTCACCTAGAGATGTTAACGCAACATGTAATGCAAATACCCCATGTTAGAAACTCCACAGTTGACAAACTTTACTGTCTTTTATTCAATAAGCATTGATTAGCTGTTTGTGGTCCATTAATGTAAAATCATGCTAAGTGCTCTTTTCTAAATTGTTAACATCATAATCAAAGTACTAACAGATGCCTTTATACCTCCAGGATTTTTCTTTGAAGACATTTTTCCAAAGAGATCTAGTTGTCTAGATTGAGGGGCAACTTAATTTCTGGTTTATGGGTAGGTTTGATGACTCCGCTGAGCTCAGTAGTGCTGAAGTGGTTAGGAGGGTGGGCTGTGCATGTGACACCTGACAGAACACAGTAGATGGAACACTGCCCTGCCTATATCATCTGCCTTCTGCAATATGCCAGAATGCATCTTATAGACCTGCATTGATTTTTTTATTTTTCCCCCATCTGGTACAAGAGACAGTATGCAGTGCACTGTAAGAACTGCCTACCTTGCTCTGAGATTCACCAGACTTCAAGCCTTAGTTCCCTCAGTATTCAATATTGTTCTAACTCATACCGCATTATAAACACCCTTCTGCCTCTCATGAATTGTCAGATATACTTCACCTGCAAGTACATTGTATATATCCATACTCTGTTAGTTTTACTAGACCACTAGATTCTGGGTTATCACAGAGTAAATGGATAGTTCTTAAGTAAATGTCAGTACTTGGGTCCTCGACTACTCAGAAATCCTCCTTGGCACTAGGTAGACAGTAGTATCAAAAACACACAAAAACCATCCTGTAGGAGGAAAATGGAAGAGCCCGTTAGAGCAGAAAGGAAATCTTTTTTTCACTTAGTGGAGAAAAATGCAAGGGGAAAATGTTGACTTTTAGGCATTCTAAAACTCCAGTTCACAGGCTTTTTTACAAAGCCTGAGTATATTGTATAAACCTAGCTTCATCTCTTTGAAAACCACTTATACTTGTTTGCCTACCCTGGTCTCATTTGCTATTCTTCTTTTTGTCACATAGTTCCTTGACTGATCCTGTCTGCTCGTGCCTTCCCCATCTCCCATTTGAAAGCTCCCTTGCCAGCTGTAATGAGCCTCCCAGGATCAGCTGGCATTCTTCTTCCAGGGGACTGGGCTCCTATAAGGTCCACATACAAGAAGAATGACACTTTTGGAAATAACCAAGCAGTTAAAGATTAGTGTTGAAAGGGATTCTTAAAAAGCATTGAATATTGCTAACTTGCTTTACCCTTGAAGAGTCAGTGGTAAAATTGGAGTCAGTATATATATATTATATATAATGTTAATATATATATCCTATTCCTTTTATGTCACATAACTCAGCAAAAAAAAGTGCTGTCAGAGAATATTGGTTTGTGGGGGGAGACCTTTTCTGAAACCTAATAGTTTTTAAAAAGCAGAAAAGGTTTGTCAAACATTATGCTTATTTAATTCTTCTTTAATTCAGATGATTTCTCTGAGCTCACACTCTTCACATTATTGCTAGGGTTCTTGAAGAATCAGATCGTAAGTTTATAAAGCCCCAAACTGAAAATGCCATCTCATTGGATGATACCAATCACTTTGCAATCCACAAGCTCAGAGTTCATTCTAGCTAACCCCCAAACCAGGATCTGGCCAGGTCAAAATTACTGGCTAACTTTTTAAACATAGAGTTTCCCTGGACTGACCCCTGGAGTTAGTTTCTTTCTTTCTTTCTTCTTTCTTTCTTTCTTTCCTTTCTTTCCTTTCTTTCTTTCTTTTTCTTTTTTTTGAAACAGAGTCTCACTCTATCGCCCAGACTGGAGGGCAGTGGCACGATCTCAGCTCACTGCAACCTCTGCCTCCTGGGTTCAAGCAATTCTCCTGCCTCCGCCTCCCAAGTAGCTGAGACTGCAGGCTAGCACCCCTGCACCTAGCTAATTGTATTTTTTCTAGAGATGGGGTTTCACCACTTTGACCATGATGGTCTCCAATGCCTGACCTCAAGTGATCCACCCACCTTGGCCTCCCAAAGTGCTGGGATTACAGGTGTGAGCCACCATGCCCGGCCTGACCCCTAGAGTTTGTGATTAGAGAAAAGCCCAGGGATCTGAATTTTAAAATTCTCTCCCAGTGACTCTGATGATCCAGATTTGATTGTCTCTGCCCTAAGCCAGTGGTATGCAGCAGGATCATCTGAAGAGCTCCATATACATAGAGGTGTCTAGGAGCCATGTATCCCAGACAACTGGGACGCAGACTAGACATTTATAATAATCCTTGTGGGTGATTTGACATACTTAGGGTATTTAAGAGCCACCCAAACCTTTTCAAGAAATGTTTTGCCACTCTTGGGAAAAAAATTTCAGCATTTTTTCCAAATAAGACAAAAGTAGATGACAACAGTATACACAATTTCAGTTCTTTAGCATTTTTTCAGCAAATTCCACTGCCATTTTAGTATAAACATTCTGCTGTTTTTGTAAATAAATATACCTTATCTGCATCTCTAACATACTATTCCATAGTAACTCCAGAGCAGAAGTACCTGGTCACTTCTAAAATTTAAAAAATAATATAATAATATAATACCAGCCTGGGAAATATAGTGAGACTCTGTCTCTACAAAAAAATAAAGAATTAGCCTGGCATGGTGGTATGTGCCTGTTGTCCCAGTTACTAGAGGTGGGGGTGGGTAGGGCTGGGGAGCTGAACACAGGAAATCAAGGCATGATCACACCACTGCACTCTGGCCTGGGCGACAGAGAGAAACCCTGTCTAAAAGAACAAAAAACTGTGATAACAAAACTCTTCCATAAGGATAGAGAAGCAGAACTGTATTGTGGAAAGAGAGAGACTGACTAGGTATAAATTCACTGCCAGTTACCAGCTGTGTGGTCATGGATAAGTCATTTAGCCTCTCAGCTTCAGTTTCCACATCTGTAAAATACCTACCTGGGAAGGTGGTTGTAAGCATTTAAATGGTACAATGAATAGAAAGTGTGTGGTACATAGTAAGTATTCAGTAACTCTTCCCTCAGAATCACCAAAAAAAGTCCCAAACTATAAAAGGAATTATATTAGAATTATACAAATGCAACCTAATTTATATTTTCCACTTTTACACTATGGTTTTCCAATTTCTAACATTTTATTTCTATCACATTTTCTTTTTTAAAACTATTTTTAAGGATTACGGATTCTGAAATTTTGAGAAAAAATAGAAAACATTAGTTCCCTTTTCTGTTTGTGGTGTTAATAATAATATCTCTTTCCTTGAGCACCTCCCCTACTGTGGCTTTTCTGCAGCCAGCAGTTCTTGGCCTCACAGATAGAGAAGATCCTTCCAATCTTTCCCACCCAACGACACAATTCCTACTTACTTCTCCCACAGGCAGAAGAATTCCTCAGTTTGCAGCTTCCAAATTATCCATCCCATGGTTTTTTTTTTGTTAGCCAGACCTCGAGACAACTCACCCTCTTTCCCACCTCCAGTGGTCTGTAGGCAGCCAGTTTTCAAGCAAACAAGGGTTTGTCTTCCCTTCTGGGGTTGAGAAATTTACAGAATGTAACTTGGGCCCTATTTGTTTCCCAAGAACATTTTGGGAGTTTCCCTCCTTTTGCATGTATTTAAAAGAGATAAACCTGAAACACAAAATAATTTGATTTTTCTAATTGTGTAACTTGGCTCCCAAGAACATTTCACATTCCACTAGCCTTATAGTCCTCCAGGCTGAAAAATTATAGGCACAGGAGGAGCAGTGGCTTATAATTCATAAAAACTTTAAGCTGTCCGGGAAACAAGCTCCCAGCTAACTGAAACAGGAAGGAAATCATCCACTTAGCTGCGTATGCATCTAAAATCTTGAAATTGATCTAGGTTCCTTCCTCAGGACAAAAATCTATGCCAGAATAATTTCACTTACAACTAGAAATTGCAAAACATGTGTTTAGAAATTGTTAAATCACAGGTTCTTAGCTCTAGTTTTGGGTCTTTTTTTTCTTTGAAAAACAGAGTCTCGCTTTGTTGCCCAGGCTAGAGTGCAATGGCATGATCTTGGCTCACTGCAACCTCGGCCTCCCGGGTTCAAGCAATTCTCGTGCCTCAGTCTCCTGAGTAGCTGGGACTATAGGTGCCTGCCACCATGCCCAGCTAATTTTTGTATTTTTAGTAGAGATGGGGTTTCGCCATGTTGCCCAGGCTGGTCTTTAACTCCTGACCTGAAGTGATCCGCCTGCCTTGGCCTCCCAAAGTGCTGGGATTACAGGCGTGAGCCACCATGCCTGGCATAGTTACGATCTGGGTCTTGTTGCTCCAGGCATTCCATCAGCTTTCTCAGCCATTCTCATTTTCAAAGGAGTGTGTATGATGTTTCCACAGTCAGTTGCCAGGGTTTTTTCCTAGGCTAATTTACTCTTTTTTTCCATTACAGTTCAAATGAATACATTCACAAAATAAACTTGGTTATCTTTTATCTTTTTTCCTTGGCTAGAACTTCCTAGTTATTTCAACTGAGGTGAGTTTCTAATTCTGATTCAATCCCCACCCTAACCTCCTTCCCCTAAAAGGAGGGTTCCTATGCTCAGTGTTCCCCCTTCACCCCTGCAGAACCCTCTTCTCTCTTTTCCACACTGCTCTTTGCCACGGCAAGCTGACCTTTGTGGATGACACATTTGGGTTCCCTTGCCTTCTGGCTTCCGGTGAGGTTCAGCCAATGAGGGGTATTGGCAGGAGCAGAGGACCGGAGAGAGGACTGAAGGGTTATTCCTGTCACTCCCTATGGGCTCTGGCTTAGCAGTGGTTGCCTTCCTCTACCAAATGCCAGTGCTTCCATAAGGTGGCCCTACTCTTAAGGCTACACATTTCTCAGAGTTTCAATAACTGCCACCTCCCTTTGCCCTGACATTCTCCTCATTGTGTTTCACCATCTCTTGTTGGGTGCCATGACCCTACTCACACGTTTGTAAACAGTCGTTTCCTTAAACTCTGTTACTTTTCTGAGGATGCTGCTTCCTGCTGGACTCGGGTACAGCTCCTCATATACATCTTGGTAGTGCTGGTTCAAGACACCAAATATGACGGAATAAAGCCTGTTGACCAGTCTTGACAAAAATTGTCACTGCCTTTTTCTGTTTTTCAAATTGGCAAGTACTTTCCCTGTCAATACCTGATGTACCATGAGGACACCATCATTACATGGGAATCATGTATGCTGTTTCACGTGTCACTGTATGGAAGAGTGCCGAGACCACAGATTTGGTCAGTCCACCAACATCCAGAAACCAAATTCTTTGCCTTCACAAACTTCTTTTCTACCCAGTCTGAAAGTCATAGCACTTCAGTAGAGTGCCCTTCATCCATTCCCTGAGATCCACTCTGCTCTGGAAGAGGAAGAGACTGCTCAAGTTCCCCAAGGTGGAATTAGCTTTTTTTTTTTTTGAGAAGGAGTCTCACTCTGTCGCCCAGGCTGGAGTGCAGTGGCACGATCTCGGCTCACTGAAACCTCTGCCTCCCGGGTTCAAGCGATTCTGCTGCCTCAGCCTCCCAAGTAGCTGGGACTACGGGCACCCGCCACCACACATGGCTAATTTTTGTATTTTTAGTAGAGACGGGGTTTCACCATGTTGGTCAGTCTGGTCTCGAACTACTGACCTCAAATAATCTGCCTGCCTCGGCCTCCCAAAGTGCTGGGATTACAGGCGTGAGCCACCGTGCCCAGCCGGGAATCATTCTTAAATCTTCTCTCTCCTTATACTAAATAGTGCATAAGTCACCACATGTTTTCCACCCTAGTCCCTTAACTTTCTTACATCTTCACCACTACTACTGTGATTCAGAAAACCAACACTTCTCTTACATGGAGTATAACATCTTTGTAACTGGTCTTTGTGCCTCTAGCGGGGTTCCTTTCCAAAGCATGCTGTTTTCAGCAGCCAGAATAATCTTTCTGAATCACAAATCTGATCATCCCTTTTGTATACCAGCCCCAGGATCAAGTCCATACTTCATAAACAATTTCTAAGCTCATTATGGTCTGGACAATAGCTTCTCATGTCTCACATTTTTCTTACTTCTCACGCCCCAAGCACTTTTCATTCCACCAAAATTCTAGTCTCTTTCTTGCCTTCATCATTATGTTCTTCTGCCTGCAAAGTTCTGTCTACTTTCACCTGTCTTTCAAGTTTCAATGTGGGCATCATGCCTGTATCAGGAATGCTTTCAACTGCAAATATCTAGAAGCCCAGGCTGCAGTTAATTGTTTTTTATGTGAGAAGTCTGGAAAGTGGCAGTGGCTAGCATTGACTCACTGTATTTTTATTTTTATCACTATTACTTTTAATAGAAATTATTATTTATTTATAACAGTAAGATTAGTCTTTTAAATTATTGCTCCTATGGTTCTGATAAAACTCTATTCCACATTCTCATTCTCCTGGTCCAAACCAGGGATCACAAAGAACCAGGTTTTATCTGACGTTTTTGCAAATCAGCTAGTTAATAGCTGATATCTGTGTTAAGAAAACTGTTAAGGCCCAAGAGGGGCTCAGCAAAAGAGAATGCCATGCATGATCGTTTAGTCATGTCTGTCACGGGTGCAGAAAACAAAAACATGACAATGTGTGCTATGTATCTGCCATTTTTTGTCAAACTTATGTATCTGTAAGTGGCCTGGTGTTAATACAGTTTTCCATTTACCTTGTCAGGATGGAAAAGGACAGTTCTAGAACAGGAAAAACATTGTGATTATTTGCCTTTAATCTGTGGAGCTGGTGAATTATTCCACTTTAAATGATAAAACCTCACATTTCTAGGATTAAACTCAATTAGTCATGTTATACTAGCTTTCATATAGACCACTAAATTTATTTGGCTAATATTTTGACTTATCATAGTATACTTTCAATTAATGTTACACCACCTAACATATAAGAGCCTTACAATAGTATATTTCCATTTATCTCCTCCCTATTTTGTGCTCCACTGTGGTCAACCTTTTTTTTTTTTTTTTTTTTTTTTTTTACTTTTCCAAATGGTACACAGAGGTGCAATACATAGTTAATATTTTGTTTAAATAATCAACTGTTTTTCTTGTAATGAACTTAAACAATAATAAAAACATTTCTGAAGTTTTTTGTTCCAAAACTCCATGGTCAATTCATATTTCCAACTGCTGACATTTCCCTTCAGCCTGAAAACATTAACATTTCTTGTAGTATATAGCTTTGCTGGTGATGAATTTCATCAGCTTTTTTTCTTTATTTGGAAATGTCTTTATTTTTCTATATTTTTATTTATCTCTGGAAAAAATTCTAGGTTGACAATTTTTTCCTTATTACTTTAAATATTAATGCATCATTCTATTTTCTTTTTATCTCTGTTGCTTCCCATAAAAAATCAGTGATTATTCTTAGGATTGGTCTCCTATATGTACTACACCCTTTTTCTCTGGCTGCTTTATTTTACTTCCAGCAATTTAACTATAATGGATGTGTTAAGGTTTTTTTTTTTGTTTTTTTTTTTTAATGTTTATGCTGCTTAGGTTTTATTGAGCTTCTTCTGGGGTCTAGGGGTTTATAGTTTTTATTTCATTTAGAAAAATTTGGCCATAAAAAAATTTTTTTTCTGTACCAATCTCACCCCCTTGTATGCTGAGACTTCGTGTATACATATATTAGACCCTTTAGTGTTACCTCATGGGTTACTCAGTCTATGTTTAATTTTTCATTTCTTTTTCTCTTTGTGCTTTGGTTTGGATAGTTTTTAATGACCTGTCTTCAAGTTTACTGATTTTTTTTTGTAGTGTCCTATTTACTATTAAGTCCATCCAGTAAAATCTCATTTCAAATATTATAAATTTTAGTTCTAGAATTTTCATGTAATTATCTTTTTTTACTTTCAATTTTTCTATTGAGAGTCCCTATGCCCATCTATTCCTTTGAATCTTGAATATATTTATAATAGCTGTTTTAAAGTCCTTGACTGCTGATTTTAACATATATGTTGGGGCTGGGTTTGGTAGCTCATACCTATCTATAATCCTAGCACTTTGGGAGGCCAAGGCAGGAAGATCACTTTAGGCCAGGAGTTCAAGATCACCCTGGGCAACATAGTGAGACCCCAACTCTACAAAAAATTTTTAAAAATTTGCCAAGTGTGATGGTATGCACCTGTAGTCCTAGCTATCCAAGAGACTGAAGTGGGAGGATCGCTTGAGCCTAGGAGTTTGAGGTCGCAGTGAACTATAATTTTGCCTGGGTGACAGAGTGAGACCCTGTTTTCAAAACAAAACAAAACATAAATATCCTGTCTGGGTCTGTTTCTTTGGACTTTTTTGTTTGTTGTTGTTGCTGCTGTTGCTATTGCTGTTCCTAATTATAGGTCCCGTTTTCCTGCTCCTTCTCATATCTAGTAATTATTATTGCTTGATGAATATTGTGGTTCTTGAACTCCCGGCCTCAAGTGATCCTTCTGCCTTGGCCTCCCCTTATTCTAAGACTAGAGCAGACCTACTCCAAAGGTATGGTCATTCCAAGCTTTCAACTGAATGCCTGGGGTACTCAGTGAAGTCTCTTTATTCTGGCTAGATGGAAGACCAGTATCTCCAGCAGTGTGCAAGCTTCAGAATTATAATTTAGCTGATAGGGACCCCATTTGCTGTTTCTTGACAGGCCTGTGGTCTATTGCTCTGTGCATCTTCTGCTTAGCACTTGGGCAAAGACTCAAGGGGGCCCATATGCAGATTTCAGGAGCTCCTTCCCTGTGTAACTCCCTCCGTCTGGTATCCTAACCCTCAATTTCCAGCCATTTCAGCAGCTCCAGCCTCTGATCTGTTTCCTCCATGCAGGTGGACCATTGCTCTCCGTTAGTCTCCACTTTTCTGCCTACGTATATAGTCAGATCCATTTAGCTTTCATTTTAAGGGATCTGGGGAGTCACTCAGCTCCCAGCTTGGCCTCACTGGCTGGGCCCAGAGAACTTACTGTTGGCTCCCTGCTGGACAGAGAATGGTCCAAAGGCAACTAGGAAACCACCCTGCCGTGTGAGGCTCTGCTTTGCTGTTTGTACCCTGCCAACATCTTCCTGGCTAGCCTGACTCACACTTCCCCTGGATTCTAAGCAGCCTGGTCCAAGCTGACAGTGTGTCACTAGGTAGAGAACACTTTTCCTTCCTCATCTTTTGACCCTCAATCTAATCTTGGTAGTGTTTCTGGCTGTCTGAATAAGGAAGTGCCTAATGTCTAGAAAGAAACCTGAAGCTTTCTTTGACTCACTAGGCAAGGGCAACAAGCTCCCTGTTGTCGATGTACCCTTTGCTAAGTTCACCTGCACCCTTAGGACTTTCAAACCAGAGAGCCCCACCAGAAGTCAGTATTAGAGAAAAGGGGAGACTGGAGGGAGTTTTAGCCTCTTCATAATCTCCACTAACATCCCCTAGCCTTCCCTTGTTATTCTTTGATAGGGATAATTTTTCTATCATAAAAAGCTTGCATATAAGCATTTTAGAAAATATTGCTACTTATATTGATCTGTAAGTTAAATAATGTGGAGTTTGGGTTCTTCAGAATAGACTCTGGGTTGGGTTTAAATTTGGGCTCAAGATCTGTATGAGCGATCAATACCTGTGAAAAGAAGGGAGTGAAAGCTGGATTGGGCAAAGAAAGAAATCAAGCTGTGTTGCAGGCCTGATAAATTCTCAGTCCTTCAATACCTGTGAAAAGAAGGGAGTGAAAGCTGGATTGGGCAAAGAAAGAAATCAAGCTGTGTTGCAGGCCTGATAAATTCTCAGTCCCACGGTGGTGGTATTGCCTGTTAAAGTGTGGTGCATCAAGCTGCAATGGCTAAGCCTTGATACCCTACCTCTCTCAGGCGCCAGATAAAGACTGATGACTTTGAGCTTGGCAAATCTGCAGGTGAGGTAGACCTGGAAGGAGCTGACATTGAAGGCTGTCTGCTGGCTACATCTCCTGCAGTTAGGCAGCAAGCCCTTCTTCAAAGAGGAGTGCAGTGGTACATCTCTATTCCTACCACACAAGAAACGGTTGCAATGGAAATGCAAATTTAAGACAGATCTTCTCGCTGACCTTTCCAACCTGCTTACCACTCCTAAGAGCCTCCTATTTAGAAAGTCTGGAGCCAACTGGACTCATCTTTTGAAACACCAGGAGGCAGTGAGGACTAGACTTATCACGGAGCCTCACTGAGAGGCAGTCAGAGCAGGGGTCACATGGCAGGCTCCAGCAGTGGTCAGTGTATGCATCCGCACATCTACCCATCTGTCCATCTTTCCATGTGTCTGTCCACAAATGGACCCTGTGTCAGGTTCTTGGTCAGGGGCTGATGAGATAACTGTGGCTCCAACACCTTCTCTATCTTCAAGGAACTCATAGTGACGGTGACATCGCCCGGAGCACAGCAACCCTCAGACAGGTGACTGCACCCTCAGCAAGAGGGCTTCAGCTAGTCAGATATTCACATAGCCTCTGAGCCCAGAAGCCAGTGTCAGGCATTGAGAAGTCACTCCATGGGAGAAAGTACTAGTCATGAAGCCACAGGCAGGGCTGGGCAGGCAGTAACTGCCAAAGTAAGAGTCTAGGCCTGGTCTCAGGAGGCATGGGTGGGCACAGAAGAGCTAGGCCTTGGGCTCCATGGGAATCTTGCTGGTCCCAAAGCCTGAGGTGTCTGGGCACAGGATGCAGCTGAGCTTTGAGGAACTGGGGAAGCTGCAGTAAATCCAGAAATGAGGGGTGACAATGATGTAGGGAAGATGTAGGAGTGGAATGAGGTCAGGGGCACCAGCAGTGGGTGTCTGTGACAGGTGGGAGGGCCACAGACTCAGAAAGCTTACGCTTTCACAAGACACTTTTCTTTTGGAGAAAAGTGAAAGGAAAAAGGGGATCAGCATGAACTCTCAGGTTGTTTTCTGCTGGGGCAAATTCTCTTGCACACAGGCAGTAGGGAAAGAAAACTAAAACCAAAGCACAACTTGTCTGAACAGCCCTGGTGGGGCTGCTTTGCCCACTCCCCATGGTGGCCATTTTGTGCCTTCTCCACTCTCCACAAGTTCATAATCAGTCCAGATTCTTTCTCTCAAATAACAGAGAACATCGGTCATGAAACCCCTCTAACTTATAGACTCTGACCTACACCCTCCTGGGTCTCAGCCACATCCCTTCTCCTTCAAAGCCAGGCTCCCACCTGTGCTAATGTGCCCTTTTCCCCCTGACCATTCCAGGACATCTACCTATCAATTATTCCTTCTAGCCTTTTGCTGTCCACTTCCTTCCCTTTACCCTGGCAGCCTACTCAGATATACTCCGTGGAGAGACAGGCACTCCCTGTACTGGCTCCTCCTCACACGAATGCCTCGTTGTTCTCTCCTTCCACCTCTAAACTTCAAAGAGTTGTCTATCCTTTCTCTCTCAACTCCCTCCCTTGCCACCCACACTTCAGCACATTGCAATCTGGCTAGGCACATCTGATGCAGTCAGATGCAATCAGGACTTGCTAAAAATTAAGTCCTGATTGTATCTGACCTCTCGGCACCATTTGGTACTTTTGACCAATTCATTTCCTTGAATTTCTCCCTTCCTTTGACTGTACCTATCACAATGATATCCCAATCTACTTTGTTGACTTTTTATTTTTATTTTTTGACCTCTCTTTACATATCAATGTCCCACAAAGCTCTGCCCTCAGCACTCTTCTGTCCTTTAGATGCTCTCCGGCAATAACCCATCCACAAACAAAATTTCCCCTCTGATGATCCCAAATCTATATCCTCAGCTCAGACACCTCTCCTGAGCTTCAGATGCATACTTCCACAGGTCTACCTGTCAACTCCCAAAAGGTATCATAGACATCTTCAGAAAGGAACTTCCCATCTTCTAATTCTCCCTTCTACTATGTTATCTCCCTTAGTCACTGGCTTCAATACATGTGGTTATTTAAGCCATAATCCTGAGAGCTGTCCTTCTCCTCTCTGCTTATCAACCTGCCCCAATCCTCATCCTTCTCCTCCTCCTGCTTCTCCTCTTCCTCTTCTTCCTTTTCCTCCTCCTGCTCTCCTTAACCACTGCTCAGCCCTGTTCCTTATAACCTCTTACCCCAATCTTTCCAACAGCCTGCCTGGTAGGTCCACTCCTCCTCTTTGACATTGTTCAAATTTATTCTAGGTGACCAGAAGAATCTTTCTAAAGTGCACAGTTAATCATCCTCTCCTCTGCTAAACACCTTCAATGGCCTCCCTGCTGCCTGAAAGTACAATCTCCTCAATGTCATCTATAAAACCATCTTTCATTTGGCTTCTGTTGACTCCTCCAACTTCGCCTCTCCTTCCCTGCCCTGCATTTTACACACCAGCAACACCAAGCTGATGCCTCTACAACTTTGCTTATGCTGTTCCTCCTGTCTGGAATGCCCTATCTGTATGTCATCCCTTCAACTTTTCCTATTAATTGCTTAAGGCTAATTTAGATGCCCCTCCTCCAAGATATACTTGTCTGGTTTACATGCCCTTTTCCTGTCTTGCAACTAGTTACCTTTTGTCACTGCTACATTGTAGTTACATATGCACAAGAGTGTCCTAGTTGAGCCCAAACTGGGAGTCAGAACTGGTGGAACAGTCACCCTCTTGGACTCTATTTATATGACCTGATATGCATGACAGTATGTACTGTCATGGATAATATATAGTACTATAATTGCTTAAATTATAAGCAATTATAATTTAATTGGGATGGAAGACTGAGAGAAGAGGGAGATAGGATATTTTTGGGGGGTGTATATTTTCTGCCAAGCCCCTTGAAATGTTTGTGAGTCCTGATGGAGAGGTGAGTTAAAGATGTTGTGAGACTCTGGGCTCAAGCAGAAAGGGAACAGCCATTTCTGGGTGTGTGGATGCTCCCTTATGCAGATGTGACAACAGAGGACATTGACAAGGGAGAACCAGGGCAAGCTGGAGGGTGGGGCCAAGTGTTGGTTAAAACTGATGGATTGGTTCATAATTCTATGCCAAATATTCCTTGGGAACTTCAAGAAGTATTTGAGAGATGGCGAACTGGAGTCAGGACTAGATTGCAGCTCTAACTTGGATGGACGGAGCAGTGTGAGGAGGCTTGCATCATGAATTTTTGCTCCAGAATGACTGCAGGAATAAATCAGGAAATCTGAGAGGTCCCACAGACCCCCTAAAGGAAGCGGGTTGCTCCTGCAGGACCTGGGAGACACCTCAAATACTGTACTGGTATCTACAGCTGAGAGACCCACAGATGGTTCATGTCACAGGACTCCATGCAGACAACCCCCAATAACATCAAGGGTTAGACCCAGAAGAGAGATAACAATCATTACAGCTCAGCTCCCAGGAAGCCACATCCATAAAAAAAGGGGGGAGAATACTACATCAAGGGAACATCCCATGGGACAAAAGAATCTGAACAACAGCCTTCAGCCCTAGATCTTCCCATCTGGCCTACCCAAATGAGAAGGAACCAGAAAACCAACCCTGGTAATATGACAAAACCATGTTCTTTAACACATCCTCAAAATCACACTAGCTCACCAGCAATGGACCCAAACCAAGAAGAAACCCCAGATTTACCTGAAAAAGAATTCAGGAGGTTAGTTATTAAGCTAATCAGGGAGGCACCAGAGAAAGGTGAAGCTCAATGTAAGGAAATCCAAAAAATCATACAAGAAGTGAAGGTAGAAATATTCAAGGAAATAGATAACATAAATAATTAATCAAAACTTCAGGAAAGAATGGACACACTTAAGAAATGTAAAACCCTCTGGAAAGTTGCAACAACATAATTGAAAAAGTAGAAGAAAGAAATTCAGAGCTGGAATTCAAGGTCTTCAAATTAACCCAATCCAACAAAGACAAAGGAAAAGGAATAAGAAAATATGAACAAAGCCTATAAGAAGTCTGGGATTATGTTAAACAACCAAACCTAGGAATAATCAGATTATGTTAAACAACCAAACCTAAGAGAAATCTAAAAGTTTGGAAAACATTTTGGAGAATAATTGAGGAAAACTTCCCTGGCCTTGCTAGAGACCTAGACATCCAAACACAAGAAGCACAAAGAACACCTGGAAAATTCATAGCAAAAAGAGCATCGCCTAGGCACATTGTCATCAGGTTATCTGAAGTTAAGAATCTTTTTTCTTTTTTTTTTTTTTTTGAGACAAAGTCTCACTCTTTCACCTAAGCTAGAGTGCAATGGCATGATCTCAGCTCACTACAACCTCTGCCTCCCAGGTTCAAGTGATTCTCCTGCCTGAGTAGCTGGGACTAAAGGCATGTACCACCATGCCCAGCTAATTTTTATATTTTTAGTAGAGATGGGGTTTCACCATGTTGGCCAGGCTGGTCTCGAACTCCTGACCTCTTGATCCACCTACCTCGGCCTCCCAAAGTGCTGGGATTACAGGCATGAGCCACCGCACCTGGCCTGAAAGAAAAAATCTTAAGAGCTGTGAGACAAAAGCAACAGGTAACCTATAAAGGAAAACCTATCAGATTAACAGCAGATTTCTCAGCACAAACCCTACAGGCTAGAAGGAATTGGGGCCCTATCTTAAGCCTCCTCAAACAAAACAACTATCAGCCAAGAATTTTGTATCCAGTGAAACTAAGCTTCATATATGAAGGAAAGAGACAGTCTTTTTCAGACAAACACTGAGAGAATTTGCCCCTATCAAGCCACTACTACAACTGGTAAAAGGAGCTCTAAATCTTGAAATAAATCCGGAAAATATATCAAAACAGAACCTCTTTAAAGCATAAATCTCACAGGACCTATAAAACAAAAATACAATTTAAAAAACAGAAACAAAAAAACAAGTATATAGGCAACAAATAGCATGATGAATGGAGTGGTACCTCACATCTCAATACTAACATCGAATGTAAATGGCCTAAATGCTCCACTTATAAGATACAGAATTGTGGAATGGATAAAAATTCACCAACCAACTATCTGCTGCCTTCAAGAGACTCACCTAACATATAAGGACTCATGCAAACCCAAGGTAAAGGGTATAAAAAGACATTTCATGCAAATAGACACCAAAAGCAAGCAGGAGTGGCTATTCTTATATCAGACAAAACAAACTTTAAAGCAGCAGCAGTTAAAAGGCAAAGAGGGACATTATATAATGATAAAAGGCCTTGTCCAACAGGAAAATATCACAATCCTAAACATATATGCACCTAACACTGGAGCTCCCAAATTTATCAAACAATTACTAATAGACCTAAGAAATGAGATAGACAGCAATACAATAATAGTAGGGGGCTTCAATACTCTACTGACAGCACTAGATAGGTCATCAAGACAGAATATCAACAAAGAAACAATGGATTTAAACTATATGCTGGAACAAATGAACTTAACAGGTATATACAGAATATCCCATCCAACAACTGCAGAATATACATTCTATTTAACAGCACATGGAAATTCTCCAAGATAGACCATATGGTAGGCCACAAAATGAGCCTCAATAAATTTATGAAAATCGAAATTATATCAAGCACTCTCTCAGACCACAGTGGAATAAACCTGGAAGTCAACTCCAAAAGCAACCTCCAAAAGCATGCAAATAAATGGAAATTAAATAACCTGCTCCTGAATGAGTATTGGGTCACAAACAAAATCAAGATGAAAATTTAACAATTCTTTGAACTGAACAACAATAGTGACACAACCTATCAAAACCTCCAAGACACAGCAAAGGCAGCGCTAAGAGAAAAGTTCATAGCCCTAAACACCTACATCAAAAAGTCTGAAAGAGGCCAGGCACCACCGTGGCTCACGTCTGTAATCCCAGCACTTTGGGAGGCCAAGGCGGGTGGATCACAAGGTCAGGAGATCACAACCATCCTGGCTAACATGCTGAAACCCCATCTCTACTAAAAAATAACAAAAAAATTAGCTGGGTGTGGTAGCGGGTGCCTGTAGTCCCAGCTACTTGGGAGGCTGAGGCAGGAGAATGGTGTGGACCCAGGAGGCAGAGCTTGTAGTGAGTGGAGATCGAGCCACTGCACTCCAGCCTGGGCAATTGAGTGAGACCCTGTATCAAAAAAAAAAAAAAAAAAAAAAGTCTGAAAGAGCACAAATAGACAATCTAAGATCACACCTCAAAGAACTAGAGAAACAAGAACAAACCAAACCCAAACCCAGCAGAAGAAAGGAAATAACCAAGATCAGAGCAGAACTAAATGAAATTGAAACAAAACACATACAAAAGATAAATGAGACAAAAAGCTGGTTCTTTGAAAAGATAAGTAAAATTGATAAACCATTAGCAAGATTAACCAAGAAAAGAAGAGAGAAAATCCAAATAAGCTCAATAAGAAAAGTAAAAGGTGATATTACAACTGATACCACCGAAATACAAAAGATTATTCAAGGCTACCATGAACACCTTTACACTCATAAACCAGAAAACCTAGAAGACATGGATAAATTCTTGGAAAGATATTTCCAGGACTCTCCTCCTCCTAGCTTAAACCAGGAAGAATTAGATACTCTGAACTGACCAACAACAAGCAGTGATATTGAAATGGTAATTAAAAAATTATCAACAAAAAAAGCCCAGGACCATACAGATTCACAGCAGAATTCTACCAGACATTCAAAGAAGAATTGGTACCAATCCTATTGACACTATTTCACAAGATAGAGAAAGAATGAACCCTCCCTAAATCATTCTATGAAGCCAATATCACCCTAATACCAAAACCAGGAAAGGACATAACCACAAAAGAAAACTACAGACCAATATCCTTGGTGAACATAGATGCTAAAATCCTTAATAAAATACTAGCTAACTGAATCCAACAACATACCAAAAAGATAATTCACCATGATCAAGTAGGTTTCATACCAGGGATGGTGGGATGGTTTAACATACATAAGGCAATAAATGTGATATACCACATAAACAGAATTAAAAACAAAAATCACATGACATCTCAATAGATACAGAAAAAGCATTCCACAAAATACAGCATCACTTTGTGATTAAAACTATCAGCAAAATTGGCATACAAGGGACATATCTCAATATAATAAAAGCCATCTATGACAAACCCACGGCCAACATAATACTGAATGGGGAAAAGTTGAAAGCATTCCCTCTGAGACTTGGACCAAGACAAGGATGCCCACTGTCACCACTCCTCAACATAGTACTGGAAATTCTAGCCAGAGCAATCAGATAAAAGAAAGAAATACAGGGCATCCAAATCGGTAAAGAGGAAGTCAAACTGTTGCTGTTTGCTGATGATATGGTCGTTTACCGAGAAAACCCTAAAGACTCCTCCAGAAAGTTCCTAGAACTGATAAAATAATTCAGCAAAGTTTCCCAATAATATATTATCTGGAAAAATACAAATTAATAATACAAATGGTGTACAAACTAATGTACGCAAACCAGTAGCTCTTCTATAGACCAACAGTGACCAAGCTGAGAATCAAATCAAGAACTCAACCCCTTTACAATCGCTGCAAAAAAATAAAATACTTAGGAATATACCTAACCAATGAGGTGAAAGACCTCTACAAGGAAAACTACAAAACACTGCTGAAAGAAATCATAGATGACACAAACAAATAGAAACACATCCCATGCTCATGAATGGGTAGAATCAATATTGTGAAAATGACCAGACTGTCAAAAGCAATCTACAAATTCAACATAATTCCCATCAAAATACCACCATCATTCTTCACAGAATTAGAAAAAAAAATCCTAAAATTCATATGGAACCAAAGAAAAGCCTGCATAGCCAAAGCAAGACTAAGCAAAAAGCACAAATCCGGAGGCATCACATTACTGATTTCAAACTATACTATAAGGCCATAGTCACCAAAACAACATGGTACTGGTATAAAAATAAGCACATAGACCAATGGAACAGAATAGAGAAACCCAGAAATAAACCCAAATACTTACAGCCAACTGATCTTAGACAAAGCAAACAAAAACATAAAGTTGGGGAAGAACACCCTTTTCAACAAACGGCGCTGGGATAATTGGTTAGCCACATGTAGGAGAATGAAACGGGATCCTCATCTCTCACCTTATACAAAAATCAATTCAAGATGGATTAAAGACTTAAATCTAAGACCTGAAACTGTAAAAATTCTAGAAAATAACATTGGAAAAGCCCTTCTAGACATTGACTTAGGCAAGGATTTCATGACCAAGAACCCAAAAGCAAATGTAATAAAAACAAAGATAAATTGCTGGGACTTAATTAAACTAAAGAGCTTTTTCACAGCAAAAGGAACAGTCAGCAGAGTAAACAGATGACCCAAAGAGTGGGAGAAAATCTTCACAATCTATACATCCGACAAAGGACTAATATCCAGAATCTACAACGAACTCAAATCAGTAAGAAAAAAACAATTCCATCAAAAAGTGGGCTAAGGACATGAATAGACAATTCTCAAAAGAAGATATACAAATGGCCAACAAACATGAAGAAGTGCTCAACATCACTAATGATCAGGGGAATGCAAATCAAAACCACAATGTGATACCACCTTACTCCTGCAAGAATGGCCATAATAAAAAAAAAATTTAAAAAAACGGTAGATATTGGCATGGATGCAGTGAACAGGAAACACTTCTACACTGCTGGTGGGAATGTAAACTAGTACAGCCACTATGGAAAACAGTGTGGAGATTCCTTAAAGAACTAGAAGTAGAACTACCATTTGTCCAGCAATCCCACTACTGGTTATTTACTCAGAGGAAAAGAAGTCATTTTACGAAAAAGATACTTGCACATGCATGTTTATAGCAACACAATTCACAACTGAAAAAACGTGGAACCAGCCCATCAATCAACAAGCAGATAAAGAAACTGTGGTATATATATATACACCATGGAATACTACTTAGCCATAAAAAGGAATGAATTAATGGCATTTGCAGAGACCTGGATCAGATTGGAGACTATTATTCTAAGTGAAGTAAATCAGGAATGGAAAACCAAACATTGTATGTTCTCACTCATAAGTGGGAGCTAAGCTATGAGGATGCAAAGGCATAAAAATGACACAATAGACTTTGGGGACTCAGGGGGAAAGGGTAGGAAGGGGGTGAGGGATAAAAGACTACAAATAGGAGGCAGTGTATACTGCTTGGGTGATGGGTGCACCAAAATCTCACAAATCACCACTAAAGAACTTACTCATGTAACCAAACACCACCTGCTCCCCAATAACCTATGGAAATAAAAAATGTTTTAAAAAAGAAGTATTTGAGAGACACATTGCTGGGAATTAAATGGTTCTGAGGGGGTTATTTGAATTAATGGACTCCTGTTTATATTCATAGGCTGATGAGGACTGGGGACATTGAGTTTGTTATTTTCAGTCTTTCCACAACTGCACCGCAAACTTTGAGGACTGGAACTATTCTCATACTTTTGTTGTTGTTGCTACCTGGAGCAGTGTCTGCACCTTGCAGATGTTGGATGGATGGATGGATGGATGGATGGATGGATGGATGGATGGATGCATGGATGGATACATGGATGGATGGATAGACAGATAAAAAGGCTATTCTGTTGATTCCTTGCCTTGCCTTGCATCCAAGGGATCTGGGGAGGCCACAGAGCACTGCATGGGTCAGTCCCAACAGCAATTAGTCTCTCTTGTTTCTTTATGCATGATAATAGCCCTCTGAAAGTGATTTGGCCCTCACCCAGGAAGGTGAAAAGAAAAATAACCACTGGTGGGTGGGTGCAGCCTCCCGGGCCTGTGGGTACAAGATATTCAAAGAACACTTTAGAAAGAACACATTCCATGAAAAGTAAAGCTGCTCAAAAGTACATGTCTATTGATATGTTCAATTTTCCTGATAATTCTGATATCTCAAGCATTGGCAGTCTAGATGAAAATGAGAAAGATGAAGAACCTTAGGAAGGCTTTCATCCTCCTTTACACAACACAGCTATATATGCTGATGAAGAATTATTCTCCTGACATTGTGGATTATCTATCTCTTCAAATCCCCCAGGAAACAAAGCAAAAAGAAGTTCAGACACTTCTGAAAATAAAGCAAGTGAAAACAAATCTGCAAAAATTAGTGCAAAAGGCCGGGCACAGTGGCTCACACCTGTAATCCCGGCACTTTGCAAGGCTGAGGCGGGTGGATCATGAGGTCAGGAGTTCAAGACCAGCCTGGCCAACATAGTGAAACCCCGTCTCTACTAAAAATACAAAAAATAGCCAGGCATGATGGTAGGCTTCTGTAATCCCAGCTACTTGGGAAACTGAGGCAGGAGAATCGCTTGAACCTAAGAGGCAGACGTTGCAGTGAGCTGAGATCACACCATTGCACTCCAGCCCAGGCAATGGTGCATGACTCCATCTCAAAAAAAAAAACAACAAAACAACAACAACAAAAAAAAACAGTGCAAAAAAAGCCAGGAAGAAAACACAAGCCCATTCATAATGACTGGGAAAGTACTGAAGAAAGTGATGTAAGAAGAAAAGCTAAATCAGCAGACAAAATGGGTACACAATGACACGAGGCTATTCCTCCAACTACAGCATCTTCAGAACTTTCAGAGAAACCAGCTGAGTTGATCACTTCTAAAAAGATAGGACCTCTTAGTGCCCAGCCCTCTGTTGATAAAGAGATCTTGGCAACAGAAATTTAATTGAAAACTCAGAAAAAAGGAAAGATGTCTTATGACAAAAGGAAGAAATCAAGAAGTAAAGCCATTGACTCAGATACTTCCAACATTGTGCATATTTGGTGTCTATAAGAAAACCAGTAACATCATGGAGTTGAATATTGTTTTGCCCACAGTTGAGAAAATCCTCCTAGAGTATAAACAAAGAATAGAATCTAAAATTTGTAAGAAAGCCATCAACACATTTTATTTTAACATTAAAAAGAACCCATCAAAAAGTTTAAAGAAGTCCAGATGTTGAAAAACTTGAAAAGGAAGAATGCTAAGATGATTTCAGATATTGAAAAGGCAACGTTTGATTGAAGTTTAGGATGAACTGCTTCCATTAGAGCCACAGCTGAAACAACTACAAACAAAATGTGATAAACTTAAGGAGAGAAAGTCTTCCCTTAGGAATGCAGCATATTTCTTATCTAATTTAAAATGGCTTTATCAAGATTATCAGATGTTCAGGAGAAAGAAGCAAACATAAAGGAAACGTATAATTCAACCAGCCTTCCAGCTCTGTTATCTTAACAATTTTGGGAGCTGAAAATCACCTGCAAAATATCAACCATCAATTAGAGAAGCTCCTTGACCAGAAAGAAGAAGCGCAGCCTACTAAAATGTGCCTATAGAAATGTTAGTTTCATGCTACTGTTACCTTCTGAAACTATACTTTTATAAATAATTTTTTTTGCAAAGAAGTATGGCCTAGTTATCAGAACCTAATATTTGTCATTCAAATTAAATGACTGTGAACAATGTTAAATGGCATCCGTTTTTCAAATAGTTTTAAAGGCCATGATCATCTTTTCTGGCTAATATCTTGAGTAATAAATTTTAAACTGTTGACATCATATCTTAATCAGCCCCAGATACAAGAGTTTTAATAAACATAAAATTATCTTGATGTGAACATAAACTAATTTTGATTAAGAAGGAGATTTCTACTGAATTTAAGTACACCAAAGCTAATTTTCGGTAAAACTGGTTTATAGAAGTAAAAAACAAAAATTGGAAAACAAAGTGATAAAACTTAGTTTATGTAAACAGGTTTAATGACAATATATTTGTTATCAAATCTCACAGACATCAGGCAAATTATAGCCTGGTGACATAAGTGTCCATAGTGAATTAGGTACTTGTATAGTACTTCCGTGATTAGTTTATCAGGAATTTCATCCATTTCACTGTTATAACTGAGAAGACTGTTCTCTGCAGCTTCAGCTAATTCGACATCTTCAGTAGCTTCTAAAATATAAGCATCTTCAATGCCATTATCCCAGTCAGTGTCAGCAGAAGCATCTGTTGACACCTTACTAGTTGATGGTTTATGAGGATTCTGGGTTTCATTGCTCTTAATTTCATCTGCTTCAACCCCCTCATCATTCATGTCCAAATGCCCATACCTTTTCCCAAATGGGCCATGTGTATTTTGCACTTGCTTATTCCTCTTCCGGTAACCTCCTCTACTCTTCTCAACCAAGTGAAGATGTCCTTCATAAAACTCCAGCTCAAGTGTCACATCTCAGGGAGTTCCTCCTGTTCCCACAGCCTCCCAAGGGCTCCCACAGTGGCCATCTTCCCTCTGATCTAGCTGCGATCTCCTCTATTGGATGGGTTGTTTGGGGGTCAATTTCCTTTGTTACACTTGTCAAAAGACAACATTACCACAAATGTATAGATCTAATTGGCTTTTATTCGTGATTGAATTGGGGCAGCCTCCATTCAACAAGATAGAATAAGAGTTCCCACTGGGCAATGGCAGAAGAGTGGGTTTTGTGAGGTGGGGATGAAGAAACAGAATCAAAGAGGAGAAAAGCTGATCGGTTTACATCAGGTTACTTCAGGCTACCTTTTTGTAAGGATTAAAGCAGAGGGGACTTTCTTATTTTGCTGATTTGGGTAGACTGGAATCTCCTGTTTTCAGGAAAAAAAAAAAAAAAAAGAAAGGTCTGTTTTGGGAGCTGTTGCTTCCTTAAAGTTTCAGTTTTATTATGTGGCATTTACTACGAGTGACTCCACTTTGATTTGGTCTGGTCTGTTGGGCCTAGTGCAGGAGCTCAGTCCAAAACAACAGCCTGGATCATTTTTGTTTAACACACTGCAGCTCCTGAAGAGCTGGACCGTGCCTTACAAGTCTTTTTGTATTCCGCACAGTGTCTAGCAGCAAAAAGTGCTTCACCCGGGAGTCCTCAGGGAACTAACTTGTTTTCCTGAACAAGGTGGGACTGCACTTCAGGGGACCTAGCGGGACCCCAGCGTGGCTTTCACTGCCACGTGGCGGCAGACCCATTGTGCAGGTTTTCATGCAAATGAAAAAGCTGCTGGGCCCCAGGCTAGCCAGCCAGAGCAGCTGAGCTAAGGTCCAGTTACCGCCAGGAGCCAGGATGTTACAGTGGCCACCATGATTATTAGTACTGGGACAACCGCTGTCTATGCAACTATTTACACTTTAAAGAGCTTTGATTTCCCTCAAACCACCCTCAATCTTGTGAAGTCAGTGGAACAGCAATTATTATTCTTATTTTACAGATGGGTAAACGGGTGAATAATACCAGTAACAACATCATCTACCACCACAAAAATAACAACAACCTCTCCTCCTCTTCTTCCACCTCCAGTCTCTCCCTTATCCTAACGATTGCATGCTTAATGTGTGCCAGGCAGCAGGCTAAGGGATTTACAAATATCGTATAACAGACTTTTGAGTTTTTTCCAGGCCTTAAAGCCAAGTGCCCATACATTTCAAGGCAGTGCCTATAGAAATATAATGTAAGCCATGTATGTAGTTTAAAATTTTCTAGTAGCCACATCTTATTTTAAAAAGAGATGAAATCAATTTTGAGATATTTTGTTATTCCAATATGTCAAAGATATTATTTCAACAACTAATGAATATAAAAAATATTAATAAGATATTTTACATTATTTTATTTATACAAAGTCTTTGAAAGCTGTTGTGTCTGTTACACTTAGTACAATCCCAGTTTGGATCAGCCATACTTCGAAAGCTCATTAGCCATATTTATGTAGCCAGTGGCTGCCATATTGGATGGTACAGTTCTAAAGAAAGGAATTTGGCCATCTAGGCAGGCCTTGCCAACTGGAAATCTCCAACATGATTATGAGCCTTATCCCACCATTCTGACCATTTGTGAGAGAAAGTAGGGGCTGGAGAAAGAGAGCTGGGGAGTGAGGATTTCTTTGAGAAGAGTTGTTGGAGTGCTGTGTGATTTCCTTCCCCTGCCCATAGAGGAGAGGAGGGTAGTGCCCTTCCTCCGATTTCAGACAAGTAAGGGAGGCTTCATGAGTTTATACAGTACAGAAGCTGATGCCTGACTCATGCCTGGAGAATCCAAGAGGTGAACCTGGCTGGAGATGACTCTGATGTCAGAATAAGGAGAGAGGACTACAGAGTGAATTAGGTGGATTGTGCTGATAGCCGGGCAAGGGCCATGCCCTCCATGGGACATTAATCAGCTTGAGGGATCCAACCCAGGGACCTCATGCCACTACAGAGAAGCTTCCTGGAACGTATCAAAGGATCAGGGGCTTCAGGATGGGAGCAGTTGCATCACTCACAGCTGTGGATGGTATAGTAAGGGAGCCCCGGGTAGTGGGTCTCTGAGAAACCCACGAAAAGTATTCCATGAAAGAAAGAGCTAGTACTTTGGCATATGCTACCTACAGGGATCTAAAGCTGGATTACAATATTATGTATGGAAGGCCTTGCTCTTTTCTTCAAATCTTGTTTCTCCCTGCATGTGACCCAAGAGAAGGCCTAAAATCACAGTTTGAGCAAGGGGAAAGCAATGGAGCAAGGAAGGGACAACACTGACCACGGCCCTCCTTTCCTTCTGTGGCTTCTCCAGTAGTGCAGATGTTATATGAGGGCTGGGGCAGGCAAGCACTGAAATTCCTAGAGAAGGATCCGAGACTATGTGGCCTCAGCTGGGCCTTACCCTGTTGTTTGACAAGGCTTTCATTTACTTTGGTGACAATCATTTATCTCATGAACATTTACTGAGCACTCAACAATGGTAGCTGCTGTTATTACTATTCTAGCCTTTATTTGGGTTAAAATGTATTTTAATAAATTTTAATGGCACTATGAGGTTAATATTGGAAGAGGTATAATACAGGTAGATTAATTAGACATCTCTGTTGTGAACAAAAGAAATCTAACTCAAGCTAGCAAAAGTGAAAAAGTTAATAGAGTGGCTCATATAACTGAGAAATTTAGAGGGGATTAACATCAGTAAGTTTGATCCAGGAACTCAGACAATATTATTAGAATTATTTTTCTTCAATAGATATTTTTTTCCTTACTTCTCTTCGTGTGAGGATCATGAACTCTCTTATCATAAATGGCTTCTCCTGCTGAGCTGGGGAAGATGGCTGTCCATTGCTCCAGACTTGCATCTTTCCAATACTGTAACCCATGGGCAAGATAACACATTTCTGGCTAGTGGCTGCAGGAATGTTGGCCTGACTCATTCCAGTGTCCACCCTTTGGAGTTGGGGATCAGAAGAAGATGCGGTATGGCAATTGACCACATCTGAAACACAAGGATTGGGGGTAAGTTCCCTGGAAAATATGAAGGTGCTATTGCCAGAGGTGAGATGGAGGTGCAGGCTGAAGTAGTGAAACTCCATTGTCCACCACCTACTCCAGGGAATGAATGCAATGTGCCATTGGATCACAAATGAGGCTGTGACCAATATTGCTTTCTTATTTAGCACCTTTTAGTTATAGTACAATAATAAAAACAATAATAAATTTTATTTTTGATTTCTATAAGTCGGTACTTTACTTTCTATAGCAGCTTTATATCACATCAATGGCATGTGCTTTGTTCAATCAGATATGTGTATCTGGCATGAATTTCTTCACTTTTTCCTCAAGGAATTCCTGACATTCCTTGTCAAATACCTCACTTGCGTCCAGATACATTTAGAATATTTGATTTCCATAACAGTCTTCAGCTGGAAATTTTCTATTGGCCCCTGCAGACCTGCTTTCCACCCTGTCCACACTGCTCTGTGCCCCAGGAGCTGACTGCATGGATTACATCAATGGCTTTTTGGCCCTCTGGTTGGATTTTCAGTTGAGTTTGGTCAATGGAGACAAAGGAGATTGGAAGGAAAGAGAAGGATGAGTTTGGAATTTGGGATATCTCCAAATTCCCTTAATGCAGGGTCACTTCTGGCTGGGCAAGTGTCTCTGCATTTAGTCCCTCTGTTTACACGCTGCTAGTTCCAGGGTTCAGGATGCCCCCACCCCTTCATGCTCAGAGGTAGCAACATCCCCACTGTTACTAGCCCAGGATTCTGTACTACTCCTTGTAATTTTTGTACATCGTGTTCATCTTTGTATATAGTCCCTTTATACAACTTTCTTTTAATGTCATCCTAATTTGAGTACGCCATCTGTTACCTGCCAAGACCCTGCCATAAAACCTGTCTGGAAAGCAAATGAAAATTAGTTGGCTGTGATTGCCCTTGGTGAACTGCACTGATTACTTATAATTGTTGCTTTCTTTTCTACAGGCCCACAGACCTTTCTTTTTACCTATTCCATCTAGATTCTTGTAGAGAGCAAAAGTCAAGCTTAGCAGCCTGTAGTTTCTGGAACATCCTTAAAAAAATACCTGTGTTTGCTGGTCTCAGTTCTTCAAGATCCTCTATTCTCTAAAGTGCCCTAGACATTTGGCCATTTCACCCTGTTAGTGTTTCTCAGTCAGAATAACCAAGGTTATGCTGTGATAGCAAACAATCTCCGATACTCAATGGCTTAAAACAAAAACAGGTTTCTTTCTCATTGCTGCTATGTATCTATCATGCATTAGGAGGGAGCTCTGCTCACAGAAAACACCCAGGGACCCAAAATGATAGCACTGACACAATTCAAATGGTGCTGATTGCTGTGCCGCCAGAGGAAAAGAGAGCACTGGAAGGTCTTGAATAGACAATTAAATGCTTGGCCTGAAAGTGACACCAAACGTGTCACATGGCTTCATTCCGTAACAGGGGGCTATGAAGGTAGTCTACTGAGTGCCTGTCTCTTTGTGGGGAATGTAGTTATTTCAGGAATATCTCTTACCTTTCCAATCAGGTTATAAGCTCTTTGGAGGGCAAGGATTTTTTTGGTACTGCTTTCTCTTAGCTTATGTCAGCATGCAAATCATGTGATCACCCACTTGAGGGGCAGCTTGTCCAACTATGATTTTTAAAAGTGAATGACATATGAAAGCAGGAAAGCGTGCTACACGTTATGCTGTTTAGCCAGCAGTTGCTAAGGTTTTGTTGTGTTTGTGTGTTTTATGTCATAGTAAATACTAGTTTTTCTTATAGTAAAATCTCATACAAGAGGTAAAAACTATAATACAAAAACAAAAATGTATTTTGTAGATGCACTGGTTGTACTATCAAGTTTATTTTGAAATAAATATACAATTTTTTTTGGAATCAACACAATGCCTAGCACATATTAGGCTAAATATTTGTTGAATGGATGAGTAAATATCATTATCTCTGCTTATTCTCTTAGCCTCATATATCAGCTTTTTCTTATGTTGCCAGGCAACAGAGAATGTATGTTGATTTTATGGTTAGTACAATATGGAGGAGCTGAACTATGTGCAAGATGATGCCAATAAGTGAAGTAAAGAGGGTTCTTATTGAAATACGAAACAGTAGAATCCGGACCAGAAGGGCCTTTTATTATAAAGGGGGTTAAGCAGGAGGCAGAAAGCCACGTAAGCCACACTTACTATTTGTTGGCCTTTGCTAGCCTTACCTATGTCACTTCAAGTCCCCTGGCTTCCTCAGCCTGAGAGTATAAAATATGATTGAATTAACATTGAATCTCACATCATGAGAGCTATGAGTCCCACCTGCTCACAGAGGAGTTTCAGGTGCTCTCATAGTGACCCCCAGTTATTTCTGCCTACCTGCGCTCAGGTGTGAGTCCATTCATGCTTTTCCACTCCTGCCTGCACACTGCTGCCTGGAAGCCATCCTGTCCCTGCTGATGGTGCCCTTGGTTTATTGTACTGCTCTGTCAGGTGCAGCTGTCTGTCTTCTGTTGGTGGCCCCCTAAGCCTTCAGTGGGGGTCTGGTGTGGTGTGAACACCCTCTCCTCAACTCTGAGTCACACTGGGTCACCTGGCTCTTAAAGCAGCAGCACAGATGCGTTCGTGAACAGAGTATCCTCAGCCTCTGACTCCATGCCCCGACCTTCCCCATCCTCTGCCCCACTCCCCAGCCAAGCTAACTCTATTCCCCTCTATTCCCCGTCACCTCTGGCACACCCTACCCCAACTCTCCACCCCTAGCCCTGGTTGGGGATGGCACAAAATGAGTCCCTCAAACTAGACCAGGGATCTATCAGCCTTTTCTTCTTCCCACCTTGGTTCTCATCGTCCCCTTTGCCCCACCAAGGGCCTCTCTACCCCATCCACACTCTCACTAACTCTCAGGATTCTTAACTCCAGCCAATGGATCCTTGGGCAGTGTTAGCTAATTTTACTTGCTAAGGAGCAGCCACAGACCCAGCCAAGAATCCTGTGCACTTTCAATATTCCATTTAGCCCTGCAAATTAGGCAGTTGTTATACCAAGAGGTCACTAACATTGCTCATGGTCAAACAAGTAGTGGGTGGTAGAGGATTTAAACCCTTGCCTGCCTTTGCCTTTTCCCCTAACAGCACATACTGCTACTGCAGAGCCACTCCTGACCCTATTAAGATAAAAATCAAATAGAGAAATTTGCTACTTCAAGTCAAGACTCTTTAGAACCCTCCCTTCCCAAATCCAGTCCTCTCTGTGTATTCCTTATCTCAGTAAATGGCACCACCACCCACCCAGCTTGCTCACGCTGGAAATCTAGGAATTATTCTCCATCCTGCTTTTCCCTCACCCCTCAGAAAGTCCTATCAGTGTTACTTACAAAATGCAGCTCAGATCCATCCACCACATTGCCACTGCCCCCATCCAAGTCTTAACCAGTGTTCTCCCTCTCTGATCTACTCTTAGTGATCTCCTTACTGGTCTCCTTGCCTTCAGGATGGGCCCCTTCCACTTAGTTCCCTGTAAACACCCCCTCTCTGTTAGGTTTCAAACACCATGCCAGCCTCCCTTGTGTTTGTTGATCACATTTCCAAATATTCTTGAGTGTTTTTTCCCCACCCCACCCACCCTGTGCTCTGTAACTTCCTTTATACTGGATCAGGAAGGCTTCTTCCCTGCTGGGTTGGAGCAGCTAGACAGACATCCCCCACTGTGGAAGTAGAAGAAAAGCCTGCAGATATTCAACTGGAAGCAAGCAAGCAAGAAAATGTTGCTAGTCTAAGCACAAGACAGAATATTCCAGTGTAAACTTGCAGAGTGAGTGTTTTTTTTTTCTTTCTCTTCAAGAGATTAGTTAAAAAGAGGCCAAGTCCTGCCCTGGGGAGAAGACAAGGCAGGGACAGATGGAAAACTCATCAGGCCCTGTGGACATGCCCCCTTTCTGTTGCCCAGCATGCTCAGTTACCCCTCAGAATGTGACGTGGTGGCAGGGGGTTTGGTACCTTGACAGGTGCAGGGGGGCGAGAAGGGGAACTATTTCCCAGTCAACAGGGGCTTGAGTAGAACAAATTTGTAATTTCCCTTGAGTTGGAACAGGAGTCAAACAGCTCTATCACATTTGTGAGACTAATGTCTGTCTCCCCAGCTAGACACTGTGCTCCATGAGGACAGGACTGGGGTCTGATTTTGCTGTTTGTGTGATTCAACAGTATCAGATACATTGTAGACACTTGACACATATCTCTTGCATGAATAAATTGTAAATATATACACACACACATAAGTATATGTATATAAACATACATGTAACATATGTGTATGTGTTTATATGTATGTGTGTATATCTTGAGTTGTAAAAGATTGAGGCTTTTGTTTGGTTAATGTCCACTCTTAAAGAAAAAATTCAACGATTCTTATTAAAGCATGGTAGGGAAGATTTTATTCAGGACATAGGTACAGGAATTGCTGCAGTGGGGAAGACAGATTGGGCTCAACTCCAATTACAGCATGGAGTGGGAATTTATAGCCAAGGAGCAGGTTGGGGGTCAGTGGATGGAAAATTACTAAAAGAAGAAACATTGGGGCTAAGGAGGATTCTGATGTAACTGGCTAAACCGATCTAACAAGATTATTGCTGAAGATAGGCCAGTGTAATCAGACATCACCTGGGAGATAGTGGAGGATGAGGAATCTGGTCAGATATCCAAGGTGTTAGATATGATTCGGGGATGTTCTTGCTAAACTGACTTAGCAGGGCTCTTTGCTAAAATGAGATTTTACAATGAAGTACACAGGTAGGCCTAGGAGAAGATTCAGAAGCCTGACTAAAGTTTGGCCAAGCAAAGAATCTTTGTCACCACTTTGCTTTTCAAATTTAACATTTCTCAGCAAAATTTAATAAAGAGCAGAAAGGACTAAAAAAGGTAGTGAATTCTACAAATCTTTATGTGCTATTATTATATGACTATATGAAGTCCTTGTTTTTTTTTTTTTTTTTAATCCTGGCTAAGCAATAATTGTCTATAGAGCTGATCCACTGAGGTTTCATCAGAATCTTTTTGGGGAGTGGGTATGATGTAAAAGTATCATTGCTTTGATTTAATTTTTAGCCAAAATAGTTTGACTATTTCAAATTACCTTAGAAGGCTGGGCGCAGTGGTTCATGCCTGTAATCCCGGCACTTTAGAAGGTCAAGGTGAGCAGATCATTTGAGTCCAGAAGTTTGAGACCAGCCTGGCTAACATGGTGAAACCCTGGCTCTACTAAAAATATAAAAACTAGCCTAGTGTGATGGCAGGCGCCTGTAGTCTCAGCTACTGGGGAGGCTAAGGCATAAGAATTGCTTGATCCTGGGAGGTGGAGGTTGCAGTGAGCCGAGATTGCACCATTGCACTCCACCCTGGGTGACAGAGTGAGACTCTATCTCAAAATAAAAATAAAACTAAATTTACCTTAGAAGAAGAAGATATGGGATTTTTATGTTTAACAAAAGAGGACAGAGGGTAAAAATGATTGAAAAATTCTGTTCTTAAGTGAGGAAACCAGTGAGCACCACAAAAAAAGGGCTTGTCTTTTTTTTTTTTTTTTTTTTTTGATAGGGTATCACTCTATCTCCCAGGCTGGAGTGCAGTGGCATGATCACAGCTCACTGCAGCCCTCTACATCCCGGCCCCAAGGAATCGCAATCCTCCTACCTCAGCCTCCCAAGTAGCTGGGACCACAGGTGTGCATTACCATGCCTGGCTAAGTTTTCAAATTTTTCACAGAGATGAGATCTCACTTTGTTGCCCAGGCTGAAAATCTGAATTAGATTTTCAAACTGGTTTCAAACTCCTGGGCTCAAGTGATCCTCCCACCTCATCCTCCCAAAGTGCTGGGATTACAGGCATGAACCACTGTGCCTGGCCATTTTGGGCTTGCCTTGTATATGTTTTTACTATTTAAAAAAATCTCTGGTTGGTCAGGGGGCCAATTCTTTCTAATATAAATAAAGAAGCTTTTTGAAGGGAGGTAACTCTCTCTTTCCTCTGTGTAGATCAGGATTACATTGTGGCAGCCAGGATGGCCTAGAGTACACAGCTTTGATGCTGGCAGAACAAAGATAGATTATGGCCAGTGAAATGTGGCACCACCTGATAACAGAGTGTGGAGAGAGGGTTGACTTAGAGCAGATGAAAGGGGAGGGTGTAGAATACAGTGGAATACAGCAACAATTGTTCAGAAGCTGCAGGAAAGAGACAGTAGAGGAAAGCAGAAAGTTGTTATGATGAAAATGAATCTGCTATGGTTATTTAAGTGGCAGAGACGTCACATCCCAAAACAAATAGATGTGGTTAGGCCCTTTATCTTCCACCATTAGTGAGACAGCAGATCTGCCATTGTGTGTGTGCCTGTGTGTGTCTGCACCTGTGCACCCACGCATGGCCTTCCCACCTAATGATTGTGCAGAGCCCCAGGGGCTTATGGATCTTTCCAAAAGAAGTCTCCTTACAGGTAGGTACAGCTCCTTGGTAGTACTTGCCTGTGTCCTGTTGGATCCATTCAGAAGCAGTTGAGCCCATGCCTGTTACAGCAGCCAAGAATACAGATCTTTGCCAAGATTCCTAAGCCTGGTGCCCAGTGTCCTTAACCATCTATTTGTATAACTGCCTGATGGGTTCATCCTGCCTGCTGCACAAATAAAGATTAGAGCATTGCAGTAAAGAAAGAGTTTAACTGACGTGAGGCCAGCCACGTGATGCAGGAGACACAGACTAATCAATCTCATTGAAGGCTCCTAGGTCAGTAGTTTTTTAAAGGCTGTCTGGGGGAAGGGGTGGGAATGGCCAGGTAATGGGTGCTTGCTGCTGATTGATTAGGGTGGAGATGAAATCAAGGGGGTTGAAGCTGTATTCTTGAGCTGAGTTGCTTCTGGGTGGGGCCACAGGAGTGGGGTTAGAAGGTCCAGGTGGAGCCATGGATGTCAGACATGCAAAAAACATGAAAATCTCCTCAAAAGGCCAATCTACAATAGTGATGTTATCCACAGGATGTATCTTGTGACCAGTCTACGCTTCAGCAGTATTTGGGTTCCTCTCCTTCCCCTAGCCTGATGGCCTTTCATTAGCTTTACAAGAGCAGTTGAGTTTTGGGGCCTATTATCATTTAAACTATAAACTAAATGTCTCCCAAAGTTAGCTTAGCCTAAGCCCAGGAATGATTAAGAGAAAGGCAAGTTGTGTGTGTGTGTTCTGGATGGGTGGGGTGGGGGTTATATCAGATCTTTTTTAACTGCTGTAATTTTCTCACCATTACAATTTTTGCAAAGGTGGTTTCATTTGTAGTCTCTAGTAGTTGCTCAGCATCCATGTCCTCTCTTGGTCCTCAGTTGTAGTATTCCAATTCCCCCCATTTCAGGGAAGACACATGTGACTGGCCAGTTAGAGTATTGTATCTTATGACTTTAGTGGTTGGCTTAGTAATTGACATATACTCTACTGAGAAGCCAATTAGATTTTTCGGGGTGGAGTCTGAGACAGCTGCTGGGGGCCATTTCATGGCTCCTGACAATGAAACCAACAGAGGGAAACACAATGTTGAAAGATGGATAGAATTCGTTTTCATGGTATCTTTTTGGATCACTGGATCAACCTATACCTGAAGGTTAGTTACTCTTCGACTTTCCAGTAATGTAAACCAAAAAATTACCCAACTCCTTTTGTCTTTCTTCTTCCTTAAGCCTGTTTGGCTGTGTTTTCTGTCACATGCAATACAAAGAATCCTAACAGATAATGAGTCCTGCCCCACTGGAGGACTTTGTGTGAGGCAAAGGTCATGGACATTGATGAATCCAGCATCTCTCCCCTATTGTTCAAGTCTCAAAGAATGTAATTCTTTTCTGAGTGTTTTCCCTCTTTGTCAACTCTTGGAATACTTTCCACTCGGGAACAATCCAGCTCTATAGGTTCTATGTGGCTAGGCCTTTGAAAACAAAAGCCTGTTAATTCTCCCATAAGGCAAAGGTCACTTAGGTCTCTAAGACACAAATGTTTGACTGTTCTTCCAGTAATGGGGGAGGGAAATTTCACCTTTTTATTCGCCTACAGCTGCGGGAGGAAGCTAGAATACATATCTCAATAAATTACCTGTTAATTAACTTTAAAGATGGGGAGCTAAGGCCTCCATGTCTTGATAATAGAGTACCTGACCATTGACTCAGCTTCAGACACACCAGAAACATCATAAGACTAGGACAGCAGAGCAAGACAGAAGGAACCTGGCTCAGCCCTCCCTCATCAGAGAACACTTGCCAGCTGCCGACCGAAAAGGTGTGTGGCCAGAGTTAAACTCACAGGGCAGATTGCAAACTTAAATGCTTCCACCTCCAGGTAGCTAAGAGTGAAGGAGGCTGGAGGGGCATAGGGCATAGTGGGGACTATTGCAGACAGGAGAGGCTGCTTCAATAAAGGGGCAGCTGTTACTTCACACAAACTACTGCTGCCATGTGGAAAAACAAGTCCAGTGTGGCTCCAGTTTAAGGAAAGCCCTAAAATGTGCGAATTCTAAATGTTGGCAACTAATTTTAACAATAAAAACAAAAACAAAAAAAATGGTACTATTGAGCTAAACAAAACACACAAGAAGGCCAGGTCAGCTTGAAGACTTTAAACCTCTGCTAGATAGTACATAATTATTTCTATACTTCCATAGTAAATCTGCTTATAAATTCATGGTGTGTTGAGATACTATTCTTTTAAGTTCAAGATAAATAGTCTCCTTCAGATAGCATATTCATCAGAAACCAGATTTCCTTGTCAGGTGCCTGGCTTGGACCACAATGAGTGATGGGTGTCTGAGCTGATCTGTTCCCCTTTCCAGGCACTGCACCTGTCTTCCTTTTGGTGAAAGACATCTCTCTCTCTTTCTACATGTGGTTTGGGTGGGGCTGAATCAATCCCTGAATCCAAGGGTCAGCCTACACCCTGGCCTGGCCAATCAGAGACCACAGTTGGACCACAGTAGACTGGGTCAAGTTTGGGGAACGTGTACAACAAATAATGTCAATGAGACAGTTCCTGGTTTTTGTGTCTTTTTGGCAAAAATTGGGAAAGAAAAGTCCATTTTCCTCTAGGGTTACTAGTTCTGAGGATTATGAATCTGGAGAATCCAGGTATCATCTGTAGGTGAGGGCTTGGGAAAAAGAGTGACACCCCCCACCACCAAGGGAAGCAGATTATAGGGGAGGGGGAGGTGGGAGAGGGAGATTGGCACAAGGACCAAATTTTCGTCCCTGATTCCAGCTAAGCCTGAAGCCACATCGCATCTGAACTCTTTATTAGGTTAACCAAGCTTTTCTCCCTTTCTTAGGACAGTTTTAGTTGGGAGTCTCTCACTTGTAACCAAAATAACCTTGTCAAATACATACTGTCATGCTAACTAGTATAGCACAGCACCTTGGACATCATAGGAGCCTTGGAGCCCAAAGCCATGATTGACCCCATTTGTCTGGCATACAGGGACATGTGTGAACCTGACATTGAGGCATAGGGAGACAGGCCGGAAAGGGAAGCAGAGCTGATAGAATTCATCCTTTTAGCGGGGGTTAGTGTTAAGATGTATGCTGGAGAAGCATCCCACGCTCAGTCTGTTTTGCTATAACACTTGTGTGTTTGTGTGTGATTTTAACATAAATTAGCTCAAATGGGGTTGATGTATGGTGGAACAATGTCAGTAAAATGGGATATTACACTGGTTCATCTATGATGTTCCCAGCCAGTCAGCATTTTGCACAGGCAAATGTCAGAAGACAAAGGCGGAAGGCACAAACAGCTGAATGCAGCAGGCTGATAAGGGAAGCAGTGTGGTCCACAGTTCTCATTTGCTTCAAGTCTCTCTGACCTTAGGCGAGCCATAATCTCTGGCTCAGGAGTGCCCAGGGCTCAGTTCTCCCTGATCCTGTGCAGTTTTTTTCCTTATTTTCATGACTCAGAAGACTATGAGTTCTCTTATATTGCCTTTCATCAAATTACCCAACCTTTCTTTCTTTTTCTTCTTTTTTGAGACAGTCTCGCTCTGTCACCCAGGATGGAGTGCAGTGGCACGATCTCAGCTCACTGCAACCTCCGCCTCCTGGGTTCAAGTGATTCTCCTGCCTCAGCCTCCAGAGTAGCTGATACAGGCTTGCACCACCACGCCTGGCTAATTTTTGTATTTTCAGTAGAGATGGGGTTTCAGCATGTTGGCCAGGCTGGTCTTGAACTCCTGACCTCAAGAGATCTGCCTGCCTCAGCTTTCCAAAGTGCTAGGATTACAGGCGTGAGCCACCATGCCTGGCCTTTCTTCTTTTTTAAGGCAAAGTCCTTTATTTCATGTAGAATTTATTTATTAAGCACTGAGTGAGCATACTCTTTAAACTGTGCTGGTATTTTAATTAAGATGTTATTACCTTTGTTAATGTTCTGGTTGCAAAGCTGCATATGTTTTGAATTGTCTGCCTCAATCCTATTTTCCCTACAAGTCTTAATTATTTTTAGTTTGCAATTTTATAGAAAGGATGTTTCTCTTTTCCCATCAGAAATATACATATTTGATTACTGCAGAAGTACCTGCATTTTCTTTATAGGCAGAGTGATAGCCATAGATGTGCTGACTCTGGACCAGGTTGCTTTGATTTTCAATCATTTCTTTGCTTTTATAGAGTATCGATAAAGTTCAACCTGACTTCTTATAACTTTCTTGTCTAATATTTAAATATAAAGAACACATACCTGATTCCCAGGTCCTACGCTAAACCCAGAAGCCTGTCTGGAATCCTGAATCAGATTTTCAACCTGGGAGACCTAGCACATGCCATGCCTCTCAGCATCCAGGAGGGGCCTTTAAGCAACACCATGTACACCAACAAGGCAGCATAAGCAGGTGCTACACACTGTAAAGGAGGCGGGATGCAAGCAGCTGGAAAATCATGGTACAAAAAAAAACACCCAATGTCTGCAAATTGGGTAACTCTCATTAGCCCTAAAAAGCTCATTTTCATGGTTAACTAGTTAAGCAGCTGATTAAAGGCACAAGACTATTTAGGCACCTGCTTATTTGTTCATTTTCTTTTAAACTTTGGACAGGAGATGGCGCTCTTGAATGTAATTTGGCAGAGGATCACTCAGCATTAGCGCTACAAGGACAAATTCAGCACCTGCAAATACTTCCTTCTTAAACTGAGAAAATGATTTGGATTTTCTGAGGGGGAGAAGAATGCAATTTTAAAACCAGCTAGAAGTTGAGTGGCTAAGAACATAATAGCACCACCTGTCATTTTTAATTTGGATTTAAAAATTCAATTAATGCTGATTAGTGGTGGGGACAGGTGCAGCCCCAATGCTGTGATGTTAAACGAGGAAGTAATAATATTTTGAAGTTGAAAAAGTCATTTGAGGAGGAACCAGTTTTAGAGCTTACCATAATAGAATAAAGACAGGTTGGTACACTGGAGTGTGGTAGACCTGGATTTAAATCTTGGAGACAAATGCCAAATATATCAGCTTACACCTTCCAGATGTGCCTTAGCAGGTTATCTGAGCCCCTTATAAAGCCACTATGCCCAGAACTGAGTAATGAGGGAGGAGGTCTTAAAAACCAAAGAATTTACATCTTCAAATACTGCGTTTTAGCAGTTTCCACCTGTATTTGAAGAGCTAGTTCTAGAATGCGGTGGCTTGAGGTCTGAATCTTACATGGAGATGTCGGGGCCAAGAGAGTGGAATCCTAAAATAGAATTATAGCAAACACTTATTGATGGCTCACGGCATGCCAAGCTCCACAGGAGGTGCTCTGAATGTGTTCTCTTTTTTAATCTTTATAGCAACATCAGGAGGTGGTTACTTTTATTATCCTGTTTTACAGATGAGGTAACAGAGGCTTAAAAGGGCTAAATTACATGCCCAAGGTCAGAGAGGTAGTAAATATTAGAGCTAATAAATTATTCATCTGGTTGTAGAACCCACACCATTAATTACTATGCTGTACTTAAAACCTTCTGAGGGCTTTCGAAGCCATGGAATAAAGGCCAGACCCCTTAGCCTGACACTCAAGGTCTTTTATGAATCAATTTCAAGCAAGAGTAGATCAGAGAAATGGCAGTGCTATTATCTGAGGCCATGCTAAGGCAGTGACCACTGATCATCATTACCAAAATTGTTCTGGAGCAGGCACCCACAATATGTGAATGTTTATTCATAATTTACAGGTCCTATTGTCAATCCATACATTAAAAATTATTAGACCTTAATTTATTTCTAATTTTAAATAAATTAGATAAATAAATAAATAAATAATGTCTAATAGTTCCCTCCTTCACTCCATCAAAGGTCTTTCTTATCTGTTGCTGTGTACACTCTGGAAATCATTGGTTTAAGGTAAGGCCAGCTCTATCTAGTTCTCTGTTCAGAGGACAGAAATTCTTCTCTCTTGTCAATGTTCAGGAAAGAATAGCCAAAGCAATCCTAAGCAAAAAGAGCAAAGCCAGAGGCATTAGGTTGCCCAACCTCAAACTATACTTTAAGGCTACAGTAACCAAAACAGCATGGTACTGATACAAAAGCAGACACATAGATCAATGGAACAGAATATAGATCCCAGAAATACAGCCACCTGATCTTTGACCATGTCAACAAAAATAAGCAATAGGGAAAGGACTCCCTATTCAATAAATGGTGCTGGGATAACTGGCTAATCATATGCAGAAGAATGAAACTGGACCCCTATCGCTTACCATAAGCAAAAATTAACTCAAGATGGATTAAAGATTTAGATGTAAGACATAAATATTAGAATCTTAGAAGAAAACATTATTCTGGACATCAGCTTTGGGAAAGAATTTATGACAAAGTCTTCAAAAGCAATTACAACAAAAACAAACATTTACCTCTAGTTAAACCAAAGAGATTCTGCACAGCAAAAGAAACTATCAGCAGAGTAAAGAGACAACCTACAGAATGGGAGAAAATATTTGCAAACTATGCATCTGACAAAAATCCAATATCCAAGATCTATAAGGAACTTAAACAACTCAACAAGAAAACAACAACAACAACAACAACAAAAACAAAAAACCAATAATCTTATTTTTAAAATGGGCAAAAGACATGAACACTTCTCAAAAGACATACAATTAGCCAAAAAACATATGAAAAAATTCTCCACCTCACTAATATTAGAGAAATGCAAATCAAAACCATAGTGAGATACCATCTCACACCAGTCAGAATGGTTATTATTAAAAAGTCAAAATACAACAGATGTTGGCAAGGCTATAGAGAAATGAGAATGCTTATACACTGTTGATAGGAATGTAAACTAGTTCCCCCACTATGAAAAGCAGCTTGAAGATTTCTCTTTGAACTTAAAACGGAACTACCATTTGACTCAGCAATCCCATTACTGGATATACACCCAAAAGAAAACAAATTATTCTGCTGAAAAGACATATGCACTTGCATGTTCATTGCAGCACTATTCACAATAGCAAAGACATGGAATCAACCTAGGTGCCCATCAGTGGTGGATTGGATAAAGAAAATGTGGTACATATACCCCATGGAATACTATGCAATCATTAAAAAGAATTAAATCATGTCTTTGTAGCAACATGGAGGCAGCTGGAGGCCATTATCCTAAGCGAATTAACACAAGAACAGAAAACCAAACACTGCACATTCTCATTTTTAGGTAGAAGCTAACCATTGGGTAATCATGGAAGTAAAAAATGGCAGCAATAGAAACTGGGGACTACTGCGGGAGACAAGCAAGGGTTGAAAAATAAACTACTGGGTACTATGCCTAGTACCTGGGTGATGAAATCATTTGTACCCCAAACCTCAGCATCATGCAATATGCCCAGGTAACAAAACTGTACATGTACGCCCTGGATCTAAAATAAAAGTTGAAAAAAAAATGTTCTGGAAAGCTCAGGCCCTGAGAGGTATTAGGACTGGTACACTTATGCTGAACAGTCAGAACATTCTTACCCTGGTGTGAGTAGGTGATGAGAATCATAACTTGGTAAGCCTGGAGACAGAACCAAGGAAAGCACAAGGACTGAATGATGCTTATGCCCAGGGCACCCAGGATGGGCAAAGTCCATTGGCCAATGCGTCACCTCCCATAAACAGTGTATCAGATGTATTAGTTTCTAGGGCTGCCATAACAATGTAAAAAACTGGGTGGCTTAAACAGCAGCAGCAGTTTATTGCCTAACAGTTTTGAATGCTAAAGACCTAGATCAAGGTGTCCCAGGGGCTGGTTCCTTCTTAGGGCTGTGAGGGAGAACCTGTTCCATGCCCCTCTCTTAGCTTCTGGTGGTTTGCTGGCAATCTTTGGCTTTTAGACACATTACCCTGATGTCTGCCTTCATGTTTACATGGTATTCTCCCTGTCTGCATAGTTCTTCACAAGGCATTATTTTTACAAGGACACCAATCATATTGGGTTGGAGCCCACCTTCCTCCAGTATGACTTCATCTTAAGTATATCTGCAATGACTATTTCCAAATAAGGTCACATTCAGAAGTACTGGGGGTTAGGACTTCAACATATCTTTTCTGGGCACACAATTCTGAAGTTGGCTTCTGTGACTCTCCCTTTTCTAAACTTATCTGTGGGACACCTAATTGTTCCCTGCTGATCAATGTTTACTTGCTTTAGATCAGGGTTTCTGATCCTCAGCACTGTTGACATTTTGGACCAGATAATACTTTGTTGTTGGTGAGCTGTCCTTCGCACTGTAGAATGTAGAGCAGCATCACTAGCCTCTACCCACTAGATGCCAGTAGCACCCCACCCCTTGAGCTGTGACAATGAAAATTGTCTTCAGACATTTTGAAATTTCCCCCAGATGGTAAATTCATCAGTGTAGGGAACCACAGCTTTAGGTGCAACCATACATTGACATGAGCTCCTGCTGAACCCTAGGATCAGGGACCCATTTTGCTCCTGGAGATTTTGCATTCCTCTGCTCTCCTACGTACATCTATTATCCAGTTTCACTCCCAGAAGGTAACCTTACATGCCTCCCAGGAGCTCCTAAGACCTTGTGCTCCCTAAAGACTGATCTCGCAGTTGCCTGAACTCCTCTTGTGCTCCAGCAGGACTGTGACCAGCCTGAGGGCAGGTGCAGCATCTGACCCACTTCTCTATCACTCTGTCTCCCTGCCTGGGGCCTGGCACCCCACCCCTGACCCAGTATATTTTTCAAATGAAAGAATCCTAGTGTCTTCTTATTCTGATGGTTTCCTATTTGTTACCAACATATCTCTTTTTTAAATAGGAAAATGACTTGATTGAGATATAATTCATATACAATTTCTCATGTAAAGTATACAGTTCAATACTTTTGGTATATTCAGAGTTCTGCAATCATTGCCACAACTTTAGAACAACTTCGTTACCCCCAAAAGAGCCACCATACCTATTCTCAGTCACTCTCCATTCTGCCCAATGGTGCCCAACTCTGAGCAACCAAGAACCTACTTTCTGTCTGTATGGATTTGCCTATTCTGGATCTTTCATAGAAATGAAATTGTATAATATATGTGATTGGCTTCTTAGCATGGTTTTTTTTTTCAAATTTCATCCATGTCGTAGCACATATCCGTCATTTGTTTCTTTTTATTTCCAAATAATATTTTAGCTTATGGATAAAACACATTGTATTTAATAGTTGGTGGACATTTGTATTGTTTCCACTATTTGGCTATATAAATATTAGCTTTTGAATATGAATGTTCATATGCTATGAACATTTGTATATAAGTTTTTGTGTACCCCCAAACTGGGTCATATAGTAACTCCATGTTTAATCTTTTGAAGAACTGCCAAACTGTTTTCCAGAGTGGCGGTGCCATTTAACATTCCCACCAGCACAAAAGAAGTGAAATTTAAATGGCTTGTTCCTGCCTTAACTGATAACATTCCACCACAAAAGAAGTTAAAATGGCCGGTCCTTGCCTTAACCGATGACATCACCTTGTGAAATTCCTTCTCCTGGCTCATCCTGGCTCAAAAAGCTCCCCCACTGAGCACCTTGTGACCCCGACCCCTGCCCGCCAGAGAACAACCCCCTTTGACTGTGATTTTCCTTTACCTACCCAAATCCTATAAAACGGCCCCACCCCTATCTCCCTTCACTGACTCTCTTTTCAGACTCAGCCTGCCTGCACCCAGGTAACTAAAAAGCTTTGTTGCTCACACACACATACAAAACAAAACAAAACAACCAACAACAAAAAAACATTCCCACCAGCAGGGTATGTGTGTTGCAATTTCTCTGCATCCTCACTATCACTTGTAGTTGTCTGTCTTTTTAATTATGGCCATCCTAGGGGGTATGAGGTGGTATCTCATTGCAGTTTCGATTTACATTTCTTTGATGGCTAAGGATCTTAAGCATCTTTTTATGTGCTTATTGGGCCATTTATATGCTTATTTGGAAAAATGACTATTCAGCTCCTTTGCCTATTTTTAATTGAGTTGTTTTTTTTATCATTGGGCTATCTGAACTCTTTATAGAAGAGTTCTTTATACATTCTAGGTAGGAGTTCTAGATATATGATTTGCAAAAATTTTTCTCCCATTCTACAGATTGTCTTTTCACTTTCTTGACAGTGTTCTTTGAAGCACAGAAGTGTTAAATTTTGATGAACTAATTGATTTCTCTTGTTACTTGTGCTTTTGATATCCCCAGTGTATCTTGAATAACACATACACTACAGGAGCCCCTCCCAGACAGTATTGAAATATCATTGCCTTGACTCTTCCTGATTAAGACAGACCAAATTCCTTAGGTGAGTGGGAACAGGGAATAATCCTACTTTATTAAATTTGTATCCTAAATAGTTCCTGGTGGTTGTCCTTGTCTAGTAAAGTGGTTGAAGACATGGGCTCTCCAAATGGGTGCCTAGGCTAGAATCCTCTCTGCCATGATTCCTGCTACCTTGAGCAAATTACTTAGACTCACCAAGCCTCAGTGATCTCATCTATAAAATGGGGGAAATGGTAACCAATCAGCATTGTTGTGAGGATTAATTGGGTAATGCATATAAGGTGGTTCACACAGACCTTGCACATAATAAACATGTTAGCTATGCCGTTATTATCCTTAGTACCTGGGACAGAGAAGGCTGTCTGTAAGTGACTGCTGAATCAATGATTGAAAGAAGTATTATTGTGGAGAACGACCCAATCTCCTATTTAGAGTCACAATCCTGGTGCTCAGAATGGGCAAACAGAAACATTCACTCCCTTAGAAAGCAGGTAGGAGAAACTTCTTCAGTTTTATGAGGGTAGGGCAGAAAAGTCCCTGTGGGAGTTGACATCAAAAGGATTTGCCTGCTATACCAAAGGGATTTGACAGAAACTCCACTGGAGGCTTCCCGCAACCTCAGCATTTCCCTTATCTGGGGAGGTCTGTAAGGGTCCTGGGGACAGCATCTTCTGCTTCTCTTGCTTAATTGTCTCCTAAAAATCCAAAGAACATAGATAATTGTTCCAGGAGGAAATAGTGCTGGGCTTTGATTCTTACAGCTGGCATCAAAGCAGTGTCAGCATTTGTTACAAAGTCCCCTAACACACGCTTTGTCCCAGTGCTCCTCGCCTTGGGTCATTATTTCATGACGTTTGTTAAGAAATACGCTTTCTTTTTCACAGTCAGAAGTTTCTTCCCCAAAGCCTGCATCTCTCCTTGGTTTGTCTCAGTCTGTCTTGGTGGGATTGAAGCTGAGTTCATAGGACACTGAACTCATGTCAATTTTTTTTTTTTTTTTGAGATGGAGTTTCATTCTTGTTACCCAGGCTGGAGTGCAGTGCCGTGATCTCAGCTCACTGCAACCTCCACCTCCTGGGTTCAAGAGATTCTCCTGTCTCAGCCTCCTGAGCAGCTGGAATTACAGGCATATGCCACCAAGCCTGGCTAATTTTGTATTTTTAGTGGAGACGGGGTTTCTCTGTGTTGGTCAGGCTGGTCTCAAACTCCCGAACTCAGGTGATCCACCCGCCTCGGCCTCCCAAAGTGCTGGGATAACAGGCGTGAGCCACTGTGCCCGGATGCTTACGTCATTTTAGTTAATAGATGCTCCTGAGTAAAGGCAGATTCTGGTTCTGGGGTGTTACTAATGATAACAGGGCAAATAATTTTCAAATCTAGGTGAGTTAAAAGATCATCACAACAAAGAAAAAATGTAAAATGAAATTAGTTATATTACCAAAAAATGCAGATTAAGACTACTTTAAATTCAGTTTTTCCTACTCTTTGGGAAGCTCAAAAATTATTTTCCATCATTCCCCAAAAGAGGAAAGCAAGATGGCTACTTTGCTGGAGCTGCATTTATTGGACTTCCCCAGTGTGTCTCCTTAACAATCTGAAGGTGCTGGGGTGATAGCTTCCACAGAACGTCTAGAGCTGGGGTTCTGGGGCTCACCTGCATGAGATATGTAGTATGTTCTATGAACAAGAAAGAAATAGGGGCTTAGAGATCCTTGAAATGGAAGGGGATGTGTCAAAGCAGCAAGGGTGAGGCTTTCCATATTGATGGATGCTGCCCAGGAACCCAGTTGGAGTGAGGAGGAGCATAGAGAACAGCAGCATAAAAGGTTACAATTTCAAAATTAAGAAAAAAAAGTAACATCAGAAAAGTTATGGCAGTTCCTCAAAAATTAAACCTGGAATTACCATTTGACCCAGCATTTTCATTTCTAGATATATACCCAAAATAATTGAAAGCAGAGTCTCAAAGAGATATGTGTATACCCATGTGCATTGCAGCACTATTCAAAATAGCCAAAAGATAAAAGCAACTCCAGTATTTATCATTGCATAAAAGGGTTAACAAAATGTTGTATCTACAGTCACCCCTTAGTATTTGTGGGAGATTTGTTCCATGACCCTTGTCAGATAACAAAATCCATGGATGCTCAAGTCCCTTATATAAAATGATATTGTATTTGCACATAACCCATGCATATCCTCTTGTATACTTTACATCATCTCTAGATTACTTATAATACCCAAAATAATGTAAATGCAATGTAAATAGTTGTATTGTTTAGGAAGTAATAAGAAAGAAGTCTGTACATGTTCAATACAGATGTAACCATCTTTCTTAACAAGTATTTTTGATCTAAGTTTGGTTGAAGCCATAGATGCAGAACCCACGAATACAGAGGGCTAACTGCACATACAATGGAATATTATTCAGCCATAAACAGGAGTGAAATTCTGACACATGCTATAACATGAATGAACCTTGAAGGGCCTTGAATAATGTGTAAGTGGTTTGGATACTATTGAACAAGCATTTTCACTTCCGTTGTAATATGATTATGACCTATGGCTCCTAGGCCACAGAGCTGAGAGGAGCTCAGACTAATATCAGGATAATGGTCACAAATCACACCCTACCCTAAATGCAGTACCAATGGGAACTCTTCCACCAGCTGCACATGCACAGTTCCTTATACTCTTCTGTCAGTGCCTTGTTTCTGAGTATGCCATGGAAACAATGGGTGGGAGGGCAGTGTAGGATATTTCATCTTTTACTTCTCTTAGATTGCAGCATCTTTGCCTTTGGATTCAGCATGAGTTCAATGGAACGAGGGATAATCCACATAACAGTCGTCATGCTGTCTTTGGCTTCACTTACCTCCCCAACCGGCCTGCCATCTCTGAATCTAACTTGTGCTCTTTGCCTTTAGGGTGAATTCCTTCCCAGAAGACTCTTGGGCTCTTATTGCAAATACATTCGCAGTAGACTGGCGCCTCTAAGTCTAGTCATACCTCGTTCCTATGGTAACCACAGAGTGGCCTCCAGCTGGGACTCACAGCCATGTTTGCTTTCTGTTCAGGTATGCCCTCTCAGAAATGGGTTCATTTCTCACACTGAATGCATTTTCCACCAGATGTATCATGAAGACCAATTAGATGCTTTATTGTATGAATCATCTTAAGGCCACACATTCTCATGGCAATATCATCCTCATCAAGGTGAAAATTCATTCTTAGTTAGGTGGTTTATGTAAAAAGTGCAGACATATATACCATATATAAACAGATATACAGTATATCTGTGGTGTTAAAATTTCATAGGGAGGGTAATTAGGAAAAAAATGTCTAAAAAGGCTACTGAAGGAGACAATGAAAAACATTTGAGAAACATTCTCAAGGTCCCAAGATAAAAGGAATATTTGTAGAAATTACAAATATACTGTCTATATAATTATCTTTATGTCCACACTTAAGATTTCCATTTAAAAGAAATATTTGTAAAACAAATGTTGAGATTTCTGTTTTAGAATGTGTCTACAGATGTCAAATATGCCAAGGAAGCCTCTTATATAGGCTATATTTTGGGTACTTCATATATTTGGAACTCTAGGTTCTTTTTTTTTTTTTTTAATGAAAACATGCAATTTCCCAAATGGTTTCATTGACTGGTTACCATCACTGAATTTTAACTGAAAGCCCTTTGGGCAGCTGTGATCAATTAGATTTTGATTATTGGCTAATTATATGCATTTAAAATATATCCAAGAGACAGATAATACAGTTAAGTATAATAATTAAACTAATATTATGATTAAAAATATTTTAATCTTTCATCAGTTCAGAAGAAATGTAAGAAACATGTTTTATATATACAATTTACAAAGAGCTTTCCTATAAGCTCCACTTGATAACTGTGTAGCTCATTTGATCCTCATAACAGCCCCATGATGTAGGGTTATTATTTTACCATTATTTGCCTTAGAGATAAGGAAACTGAGGATCAGTCAGCTTGATTGGTTTGTTCAAGATGACTTAGCTGCAATGGTGCTTATTAGACAGTTTAGGCTGCCATAACCAAATGCCACAGAGTGAGCGGCTTAAACAACATAAGTTTATTTTCTCACAGTTCTGGAGGCTGAAGTCCAAGATCAGATGTTCCCAGGGTTGGTGTCCTCTCTTCCTGGCTTGCAAACGGCTGCCTTCCTCACATGACCTATCTTCGGTGCAAGCACAGAGAGAAAGAGAGAGATCTCTGGTGTCTCTTCCTCTTAGAATACCAGTCCTATCAGATTAGGGCCCCACCCTCATGACCTCATATAACCTTAATTGCCTCCAGAAAGCCCTCTGAGTACTGTCACATTGATGGTTAGAGCTTCAGCATATGGGTTTCTGAGGGACACAGTTCAGTCCATAACTGAGATTTGAAGTCCTCTGATTCCTAAGCCTACTCTTTCTGTCCCATCCCACAACCCCTTCACATGCTCGCATCCATCCCCCGAGAAAGGGCCAGACCCCTGGCAGCAAGCCTAGAGCAGGCAGGCAGCTGTCTGATCCTGGGGTGACAGCTAGAGTCAGTGGGAGGAAGGCATGCATTTTCTGCATCAGGGGAAGGGAGGGAAGTGGACAAGCCAGGCATTGATCCCCCTCGCGTGGCCGCTGCCTTAGTTCAGGAGCTCATTATCTCTTGCCCTGATGGCTGGAAGAGTCCCCTGCTTACTTTCTCTACCCCAGCCTTGCTCCACTCCATTCCATCCCCCAAAGAGACAACAGAGTCCTTTTTCTAAAATACAAGTCTAACCACCTCGTTACTGTGCTTAGAACGATTCCTTGTTTCTCACCAGCTAGGCAAAGCCTAATTCCTTAATTCTTCATTTAAGAGGCTTAATATGTCCTTGGCCAGGGCTATATTTTCAACATGATCTCCTCACGCTTCTCTCCTAACATTGAGCATTCCAGCCACACAAAACTCTTTGTTCTCTTCAACACACTGAGAAAATGCACATTTTTATTTCAAAACTCAGTTCAGAAGGTACCACTTCTAGGAAGCGTTCCTAGAAATCCTCCCTAAAAACACAAGCAATTCTTGTTTTTCTGAAGCCATAATTTGATTATAAAGGTGGCATCTTAGTGCACGTGCCACTTATAAAAAACAGAAATGTATTTCTTAACAGTTCTGGAGGCTGGGAAGTATAAGATCCAGGAGCTGGCAGACTTGGTGTCTGGTGAGGGCCCTCTTTCTGGTTCATAAAAGTACCTTCTCACCTCACTTGGTGGAAGAATGAAGGCAACTCTTGGAGCTTCTCTTTTTTGGAGATGGAATCTCGCTCTGTCGTCCAGGCTGGAGTGCAGTGGCGCGATCTTGGCTCACTGTGCAACCTCCGCCTCCCAGGTTCAAGCAATTCTTCTGCCTCAGCCTCCCGAGTAGCTGGGACTGCAGGTGCATGCTGCCACGCCCGGCTAAGTTTTTGGATTTTATTAGAGGTGGGGTTTCACCGCCTTACCCAGGCTGGTCTCGAACTCCTGAGCTCAGGCAATCTGCCCACCTCGGCCTCCCAAAGTGCTAGGATTATAGGCGTGAGCCACTGTGCCCTGCCGGGGCTTCTCTTATAAGGACAGTAATCCCATTTACATTGGCTCCACCTTTGTGACCTAATCACCTCCCAAAAGGCCCCACGTCCTAATACCATCACATTGGGAGTTAGGTTTCAGCATAGGAGTTTTTAGGGCATGGAGAGGCACAAACATCCAGACAAGCATTTACCTTCTGCTGAAATTGTCTCAGTGTTTGCCTCTCCTAATGGAATATGGGCCACATGTACAGCAAGGGCTCAGCAAATGCTTGCTGAACAAACAAGTTTGAGGCAGGTTTCTAACTCAGGTAGATCGTTTCATCCTCTTCATCTCCCAGCAACCAAGAAAACCAGCCTATTGCCATGGGGGGGTCCTCCAACCCTGGCTATTCTCCAATGCTAAAGACTGACAGATAATCTCAATTAGCAAATTGACCCTTGTGGATTTTCTGCACTCATAGCAAATGTCTTCAGGAAAACTGAATTTCTCTCCATACCTGGTAATCACAACTTCATTCTCTCCTCTATTTGGAATAACTTCTTGTATGATTTATACAGTAGCCAAATTCCACGTAGCTTTTAGAACTCTGGGGGTCACTGAGGCTGATAGGAAGTCAGTCTTCCAAGCTTTTTTTACAGCAAGCCAAAGCTCCTGGAAGGTCAAACACCAAGTGCTGGTAAAACCCCTTTGGTCAGAGGCCACGCTTGGCTCTTAACTTACCACCTGCAGCCAATTTTCTCTTGAACTAATTGGTTGGCCAATGCATATGGCTGTTTTTCACTGACCAGCTGTTTAACTCAGTGGTCTATCACTCCCTTCCCTCCTTGAGATATACTAAATCTTCCACACATGCTTGCTACAGTGTGCTCCGATTCTACCCTTCATTCTCTTTCCTTTCTCCTACTCCTGGAGCAAGACCACCTTCAGGATTGATCTGATGGGAGAAAGAACCTACAGTGTAACCTCAAAATTATTCTGCTTATTATGGAAGAGAGGGATTGCAATCTGTAACAAAACTATCTTTCCTTTAGTGAAACACACGCACGTTCCCAAAGATTATGAAAATTATTCTTCATTTAAGACCAGAAGGTCTAGTCCACCCTATACCACAGGTGGCGAAGGTTTATGAATGGCTTCTGTATTCTGCCCAGCTTGCCCAGCCGCCTTTTGTTGGCATGGTGCCTTGGAACAAGACCCTCAGAGTGTTCCTTATGCTCATCCCTGTGGTAACAGAGAGCAACATTACTGAACCTTTGTTCTTGTATCCTTTCTTTTTGTCTCCTCTATATTTGATTCCCTGATTTCTTCTACTGAATATCACACCACAAAAATCCTCCACGTTTTTTACATAATCTTCATCAAGTGAATGACATTTTGGTTATTCTCCTTTTATTTACTAATTGCATGATCTTATTTTTCATTCTTGTATATAACACTTCAATGAATATATTCACAAATGTAGGTTTTTAAAAATTCTTTTCACTTCTCTAGGATTAATTTTCAGTAATGGAATGACTGGGTCAAAGGAGATCAACATTGCTGTGGCTCTTTCAGGTGATTATCATTTTGCTCTGTGTACACTGCCACCAGCTTTGTGCAAGGTACCAGTTGTAGAGCAAGATCACTGACATACACTTTCCATTTATCTTTACTAATTAAATAAATATAAAACAGGCCAGGTATGGTGGCTCACACCTGTAATCCCAGCATTTTGGGAGGCCGAGGTGGGAGGATGGCTTGAGCTCAGGAGTTTGAGACTATCATGGGCAACATAGTGGGACCCTGTCTCTACAAAAAGTAAAAAAATTAGCTGGGTATGGTGGCAAATGCCTGTGGTCTCAGCTACACAGGGGACTGAGGCGGGAGGGTCGGTTGAGCCCCAGGGTTTGAGGCTGCAGTGGGCTGTGATTGTGCCACTGCACTCCAGCCTGGGTGACAGAGTACATCTGTCTCAAAAACTAAAATTTACAAATACATATAAAACATTATTTTCAGTTCCATTTTGATTTCTGTTTAAGTCATGGCCAGCAGTTATTAAAGTATGGTCAACTTAGACTTTTTGGCATCACTCACCAAACTGCTATTTCCAGGTTCTCTTAAATTCCATGGATTTTAACTTTGGCCCATGACCTCCTTGACCTCTGGAAATGTGACATCCTGCACCTGCTGCATCAGGGCTCTTCCCTGGTCTTGCCTACACTTGTGTCTACACAGGTAACATCTCTCTAGATCATGTATCAGCTCTGCCATGAGAGATAAGCCTAAGTCTGCATTTTTTTTCCCTAGAAACGTGTTTCAACTCTTTTTTCCCAAATGTTTGGGATTATGGTTCTATACCAACGATGCCGTCAGAACCCAAAATAGTTTAAAATTTTTCCTTTGGAAATTGCTTTCAAAGCCATTGGCATGTTCTTGTGAATATCCTTATTGGTGGCAAAACTTGATATTTAAAAGGTAGATTTTATTTTCTGGAAGGAAACTAATTTTTTTTTTACATATGGTCTATATCAGAAAGTATCCTGTTAGAAACCTGGTTATTGTTTTAGCTATTTGCCAGGTGGAGGAGAACTGAAAAGCCAAAAGGGGGATACTGAGGTATCACAAAGGCAGTAGCTGCCAGAAGCTACCCTAGGGATGGGGGAACAAACGAAAGATGTAGGGATTACTAAAATGTAAACGCTTATAGGAGGGGTCTGCAGAGTTGGGGCTTAGCCCTCTAAGGATTAGGCACTTCTCAAATAGACCAAGGGCTCTGAGCTTGGAGCCTGCAGAAGAGGCTCCACGGAGCTGAAATTCTGACTTCAGAGGAGCAGGTGTGGTGGCTGCTGCTGTATTTCTGAGAGGCACCAGGAAGCTGGTTCTAAAAGTGTGGAATGATTGCAAACTAGAACGGCCTGTGCTCCTGGAATCCATTGCTGTGCTGCCAGGGCGAAGCAATGTTGCTGGTGGCAATGCTGATAGGATCAGGTAGCAATTGGCAAGGAGGAAGTGTCCTTCACTCCTCCAACGTTCAAACTGCTGTGGCATACCTGACAGGAAGAGCCTGACAGGAGCCAGCAAAGGGAATTGCAGAGGCTAGTCCCAGCATCAGAAAGCAGAGTGAAGAAGAGAGGATTGGAGTCAGGATGCAATCACTTAATAACCAGCAACCCACTGTGTACCAGGCACTCCAGAAGCATTTTAACAGCTCCTTTAGTTCTCATGCCATCCCTGTGATTGAGAAACTCTTGACTATTTTAGGGATGAGAAAATGGAGGCCCAGAGAGAGTAAACAGTAGTAGTGGCACTAGAATGAGAACAAACAGCTTGTCCCACTACATCTTCTAAAGCTGAGCTTCCTTCTGGATGATGAAGAGAGAAATTTTTTCTTTCCTGAGGGGAGCTGTAACGAGGGTAGATGAGGGGGAGAAGGGTGATATGGTTTGACTGTGTCCCCACCCAAAATCTCATCTTGAATTATAATCCCCATAATCTCTATGTATCTAGACAGAAACCAGGTGGAGCTAATTGAATCATGGGGTTGGTTTCCCCCCATGCTGTTCTCGTGGTAGTGAGTGAGTTCTCACGAGATCTGATGGTTTTACAAGGGGCTCTTCCCTGTTCACTCATCACTCTTCTCCCTGCTGCTGCCACGTGAAGATCCTTGCTTCCCCTTTGCCTTCCGCCGTAATTGTAAGTGTTCTGAGGCCTCCCTAGCCATACGGAACTGTGAGTCAATTAAACCTGGTTCCTTTATAAATTACCTAGTTTGGGCAGTTCTTTATAGCACAGTGAGAATGAACTAATATAAAGGGAAAGGGCCAGATGATGGCATAAGACTATGTTGTGTGCAATATGATCTTTCCTTGTGACCCACTGCCCAAATCCTTAGGAAATTCTACCCAACTCACAGAACATTTGGAGTAAGTGGATTTCTTGTGAAAACTGGTAACAGACCCAAACTTTGCACCAGGGAAGACATGAGGAGGAACAGAGACGGCATCTGTAGACTCCGCACAAGAGTGAGTGAGGGCAAGCCCTGTAGTTGCAGAGATCTCTGGAAGTTTTATGACTTCACTTATGTAATTGGTCTGTAGCTTAAGGCTTGAGATGCCCTGACATTTAAATTATGCCCATTTTGCAGATGGAGAGATCGAAGCCTAGAAAAGTTAGATAACATAACTAAGATCATATAGCTCTTAAGTTGTAAAACTTGGATTTGAAGACAGTTCTGCCCGATTTCAAAAATGAATGGATGAGAGAAGCCCCAATAGTACTGTTACTTACCGTTTATACAAAATGTATTACATACCTGGAATTATGCTAAGTGCTTATTTTGTTTAATCTCACAGTTCAGTGAGGTAGATATTACGCCTGTTTTACAGATTAAAAACTGTGGCTGAGACAGGCTCAATTGTGCCTTATTCACAGCTAGCAGTAAGTGAAGTTGGAATCCTCACCTAAGTTCACTGGAAATCTCATGCTCTTAACCAGTGCTTCTCAAAATGAGCCTGAGAATCACTGAAGGATCTTGTTCAATGCAGATTTCTATTCGGTAGATGTGGGGTAGGGCCTAAGATGGTGCATTTATAATCAGCTTCCAGTAAGCCAATGCCACTGGTCCATGAACCTTACTGAGTAGCAAGGCTCCTAGCAAGAATATCACACTGCTTCCTTAATCTGCCCAGCCCACCTCATCATTTTCAGATTGACTCACCATTGAGACTCCAAGAAGCCTCTTGGTCAAGCTCAGTTATGATGTGACACCCAGAGCTTGTCCTTCTTTCTCTTTCCTTCCTTTGAAATTTTTCAGAGTAAAGTAAATAACCAAACAAATCCATCATCTGGCAGGTCATTAAGAAAAACATGATTTTTCCCCCCTGTGACTACACTCAATTAATGAAGCTGTCATTAAAGCCCATGAACATGTCAAAAAATTAGTTTCAGGTGTTGGATTGTTTGGTTCTAGGATACTTTCTATATTTTTAATGAGGAGTATTTGAAATATCACCCTTCTCCTCCATCAGGGGCTTCCGGCTCAGGATACCTAAGAAGCCTGACATATTGGGGGTCAGTGGGGGTATTTATGGGAAGCATCAAACATCAACTCATTGTTGTCTCTTTCCATTACCAAAGGCTGCTCATTGAGAATGTTTTCAGAGCCATGGTATTTCTTTGGGGAAAAAAAGGGAAATGTAGCTTGTGAAAAGGGTTGACAACTTCAACAAAGGAACCAAAGAGTGCTAACCAGGGATCTCCCACTGATGGTGATGTTTCCATAAAATGGAAAGCCTTAAGGAAGATTCATTTTTTTTCTCCCTAAGAAAGAACATATGTTTTTAAACTTCTTGTTAAAGGAAATATTTTATTCCAAGAAGTAAATGAGGTGGGTTAATACTTTAAAATAATAACTGACATGTTTTACCTCTACAATTTCTCTTCCCTTCCTTTCTCCCCGCCACCAAGCCTCTCTTAAACTAGACTTCAGCATTCTCATCCCTCAAGTTGGATTGTTATGGTAGAAATGCAAAGAAAATAAAATATGTAATTTTGTTTTGTTTTGGAACTTTAAAGCTGGGCCTGAGCTTCAACAATAACTTTGGAAAAACACGTATAGAGTAATTGCTTCCCTTCCACACAGGGGAGCTACAAGTGTCTGGGCTGGAGCATTGAGGAAGTGAGTCAGGAAAGAAAAGTTAATTGCTGGTAGGGATGTCTGAGAAGGTACCTTGTTTTGTACTCCACTCCATGGGGTATGGGGGAGGGGGAAACAACAAACTGAGATAATGGTCCTGCTTGGCATTCATTATGTTCTGCTCTGTAAGAAGGCTTTGGGGACTTCTTATGTATCTTTTCAAATATCCCTTTCTATTCTCCATGTTGTGCATGTCAGCAATTTGGTAGTTTTTATTGTTGAATAACATACCATTGTACAAATATGTTATAGTTTGTTATCCATTCAGCTTCTCATGGACATTTGGGTTGTTTCCATTCTCATCACTTGCTTTGGCTAATGGAATGAGGTGGAAGTGAGGATGTGCTAGTTTCAAGCCTAGGCACAAGAGGCCATACATACTTCTAATTGCTTCCCAGAGATTTTGCCATCCCCATGAAAAGAACATGCGGGCTGGCCTGTTGGCTTAGACAGTGAGAGACACAGGAGTAGAGCTTAGCCTTAACCTGCCAACCTCCAGATCTGTGATTTAAAAATAAATAATTGTTTTAACCCACTGAGATTTGGGAGGCGGTTTGTTACACAGCAAGGGTTGACTGATACAGCCACTCTTCATCACTAGCGATTGAATGGATGCTCAGGACCTAGCTAGCTGGTACTCATTATGGTAGGCTTCCCTGCTTTTTGGGGCCAAAGTACTAACTGGACCATGCCCACTCTCTTCCAGCTGTTGCCATTACTTTATTCCCCTTGAAACGGTAACAATTTATATCAATTAGGGTGTCAGCTTGATGAATGTGCTCATGGAGTTGTCCTGCCACACTTCTAATTAAAAAAGCTCAGGCATCCTGGGTGCTCCATCTGGCCAGAGAGTATACAGTGTTGGGAGAGGGGCAACTTAATTGTGGCAATGGGGCGGGACCTGACCAGTTGCAGTTCTCTGTGAGGATTGCCCAGAGCAATGTGGAGTGGGGTGTAAAGTGAAAACCTCTGTTAGTATGCAGCACCTTAATACTGACCCCAGCATCCATCCATGCTTTTGGATGGAATCAACTTCTGCTTGTCATTCCTTTCCTCTTACAACTTAACTACATTCAATCTGTCAAGGATGACACTTCTGAGACTGACATTATGTAAGTCTCTTTATAGATACAATTTTTCTTGGCATTTTCAATTTGGTAGGGGAGAAGAGGAACAGCGTCAATTTGTAGTTTTCCACCTTTCCTGCAATGGGAGGTTCCAATTTTTCCCCTGTGTTTATTCTGATGTGTGTGTTTGTGTGTGTGTGTGTACACATGCACACAATATGTAAATATTTCTGTGTGTACATACATATAAGTATGCATACACATGTTCGCTACAGATAAATCAATACTTATACGTGTATGTAGGTAGATATATATACACACATGTATAGGTATGTATTTATACATCATATATGTATATGTAGATATACATATTATATATAAGATATTTGCTCATGATGTATTCATTAGTCTTCTAGTGTTTTCTCACCTCTGCCAAATCTGGAAGAGGCAGGCTAGATCACTCGTAACATTTGCAAGGCCTAGGGCAAGAGTAAAAATGAAGGCTTACTTATCAAATGACCACATATTTAGAAGCTATAAGTCAAGTTAATAAACTGTTAAGTAAAATGTTTTATCTTCTTACCTTGACAATTTTATCTTTATAATAACCAGAAAGGCCAGGTTCAAATGTAGAATTCTTGTATCCCTCAGAGCTCTGTACCATAAGTAATGGTATGGGAAAAGCTAGTACCTGGCCCAAGGTCTGCCCTCCTTATCTTCTCATCTGCCATGACCTGAATGTTGTGGCCACTCAGAATTTGATCATGGGTCTTTGAGATGTGACTGGATCATGAGGATGGAGCCCTCATGAATGGGAGTACTGCTTTTATAGAAAGAGGTCCTGGGGAGCTGCCTTGTTCCTTCCAGCATGTGAGGATTCAGTAAGAAGGCACCATCTATGAACCAGGAAGCAGGCCCTAACCAGACACCAAATCTGCCAGCACTTTGATCTTAGACTTGCTAGACTCCAGAACTATGAGAGATAAATTTCTGTTGTTTTTAAGCCATCCTGTTTATAATATTTTTTTCTAGTTGTACAGACTGAGATATCACTTCTTACTAGTGCACATGTTAACTAATGCATTCAAGCTGCATTTATACTCTCTGCAATGAGTCACTCTTGACTATACCTTGAGTCTAGGTATGGGCATTCCAACAACACAGTCCACTCTTGTGAGAATGGAAAGAGGCCTGTGAAGGCCAGGTAGGTGGCTTCAGGAATAACTGGGCATGGAATTCCAGGGTCCTAAACACCCAGAGTGTGGTCTATAAGCAGGGAGTGGGTCTAGGGCAGGACTCCAAATGGGCAAATCTCCTTGACCCCAAAGACATCTCAACTTATGGAGAAGAGCATAGCCAGCAGAGGACAATATATATATTGCTAACAGTGCTATAGTGCTAGTGACACTTCAATGAGGTATAAATCTGCCTCAATCATAATATATTATTTTTTCAATACACCAGCTGTGAATATTCTCTTTAGAATTTTTTTGCATAGCTATTCATAAGTCAGATTAGCTTACTTTCATTTGGATGCTACTTACTAGGCTTGGGTATTAAGTTTATATTAGATTTATTAAATTATTTGGGAAACTTTTCACTTACATATTTTGGAACAGTTTGAATAATTTAGATAGGATTATATGATCCTTAATAGTTTAGTTAGAGCTTCATTGTAAAATAACCACTCTATTCTTTTTAATTTTCATTTTTTAAAGTGGTAGATCTTTGAAAAACCTTTTTAATCTGTTGTGTTCAGGTAGGCTACTTTTTCTCGAGTCAATTTTGGTAATTTATACTGTGCTGGAAAAATTATCCATATCACCTAGATTTGAAATTTTATTGACAATATTTTACATAATATTTTATAATTACTTTTACTATTTTCATAACTATGATTATATCTTCTTTTTTATCCCTGATGTACATATTTGTCCTGCATTTTTTTCTTAGTCAAACTTGCAAAAGTGTTGGGCTTATCTATCATTTCTGCTGGTATTTTGTTTTGTGATTATTTCAGCTTTTTGTCTTTATTGATTCCCTCATATTTCTTTTACTTTGTTTCTGTTTTAATATCTTACATTGAATACTTAGTTCATTTGTGTTGACATTTTTGAATACAAACATCTAAGGCTAGAGAAGGGTGCAGGGTCGTAAATAGGGAACGAAGCCAAGGGTCAGGAGGAGGACAGAAAAAGAGGTGAAGAGAAGGGGTAGGGAACCACCTGAGGGACTTGGAGTGTTAATGACAAGTGGCATAGAATGTCTACAACTTAGTTGTCTGGGTCACATGTCACAAAACACTGCCATCAGGACACTCTGCCTGCCTCCACAGGTGCTGCATCCAATTCTTGTCTCCATTTTGGCCATGAGCACAACAGAAATCCGAATCAACAATGTATATTGCATTTTTGATCCAAGACTTCTAGTTTCATAGTTCAATAAAAAAATTTAAGTAGGAACAACAAAAAGTTCTGCCAATTTTTATATTGTGAAGTAAGGATTAAATATACATGCATAACAATTTACTAACAGCTATTTCACCAGACTTAGGACATTCAAACATACAAAAGTGAGAAGGTGAAAATCACAACATAAGTTTTATTGAGTTTACAATGTGGTTTGCAGAATCCCAGTTCTAGCATCACAAGGCAAAATATAAAAGGATGAGTTTGAAGCTGAGTTATAATAGCTTAACAATCATCTCACTTGCTGGACATGGGGGAAACTTGGTGAGCCCTACTTGATTTAGGTTTAGGTCCCCAATTTTGTGTTCTAGAAGTAAGCATGAAATGGAGTTTGTAAGTCCATCACAGAGACTATAATGCAGCTTTGATTTATCCCAATCCTTGAAAATTAAGGTGAATTAACAGTGCCAACACCTGGCAGTGGCAAATACCAATCCTCCCAGGAAGAAAGGATAATGTATGTCACAAATTTTTTCCCAAAGAAGTTTTGTAAAGAACGGCATCCTGGACTGAATAAAAACAATCCAGGAACACAAGGAGACAAAACAATAAGAATGAAAGCTACTAGAAGCAAAACTGATAGGGCTTCATATATTGGAGTTATCAGATATAGACACTTAAATAATGGTGATTATGATATTGAAGGAAATAAAATGCAATTTCTTGAGCTTAAGCAGAGAATTGAAAGCTATTTTATTTATTTATTTTTTATTTATTATTATTTTTTTATTATTATACTTTAAGTTTTAGGGTACATGTGCACATTGTGCAGGTTAGTTACATACGTATACATGTGCCATGCTGGTGTGCTGCACCCACTAACTCGTCATCTAGCATTAGGTATATCTCCCAATGCTATCCCTCCCCCCTCCCCCCACCCCACAACAGTCCCCAGAGTGTGATGTTCCCCTTCCTGTGTCCGTGTGATCTCACTGTTCAATTCCCACCTATGAGTGAGAATATGCGGTGTTTGGTTTTTTGTTCTTGCGAGAGTTTACTGAGAATGATGGTTTCCAATTTCATCCATGTCCCTACAAAGGACATGAACTCATCATTTTTTATGGCTGCATAGTATTCCATGGTGTATATGTGCCACGTTTTCTTCATCCAGTCTATCATTGTTGGACATTTGGGTTGGTTCCAAGTCTTTGCTATTGTGAATAATGCCGCAATAAACATACATGTGCTTGTGTCTTTATAGCAGCATGATTTATAGTCCTTTGGGTATATACCCAGTAATGGGATGGCTGGGTCAAATGGTATTTCCAGTTCTAGATCCCTGAGGAATCGCCACACTGACTTCCACAATGGTTGAACTAGTTTACAGTCCCACCAACAGTGTAAAAGTGTTCCTATTTCTCCACATCCTCTCCAGCACCTGTTGTTTCCTGACTTTTTAATGATTGCCATTCTATCTGGTGTGAGATGATATCTCATTGTTGTTTTGATTTGCATTTCTCTGATGGCCAGTGATGATGAGCATTTTTTCATGTGTTTTTTGGCTGCATAAATGTCTTCTTTTGAGAAGTGTCTGTTCATGTCCTTCGCCCACTTTTTGATGGGGTTGTTTGTTGTTTTCTTGTAAATTTGTTTGAGTTCATTGTAGATTCTGGATATTAGCCCTTTGTCATATGAGTAGGTTGCGAAAATTTTCTCCCATTTTGTAGGTTGCCTGTTCACTCTGATGATAGTTTCTTTTGCTGTGCAGAAGCTCTTGAGTTTAATTAGATCCCATTTGTCAATTTTGGCTTTTGTTGCCATTGCTTATGGTGTTTTAGACATGAAGCCCTTGCCCATGCCTATGTCCTGAATGGTAATGCCTAGGTTTTCTTCTAGGGTTTTTATGGTTTTAGGTCTAACATGTAAGTCTTTAATCCATCTTGAATTGATTTTTGTATAAGGTGTAAGGAAGGGATCCAGTTTCAGCTTTCTACATATGGCTAGCCAGTTTTCCCAGCACCATTTATTAAATAGGGAATCCTTTCCCCATTGCTTGTTTTTCTCAGGTTTGTCAAAGATCAGATAGTTGTAGATATGCGGCATTATTTCTGAGGGCTCTGTTCTGTTCCATTGATCTATATCTCTGTTTTGGTACCAGTACCATGCTGTTTTGGTTACTGTAGCCTTGTAGTATAGTTTGAAGTCAGGTAGTGTGATGCCTCCAGCTTTGTTCTTTTGGCTTAGGATTGACTTGGCAATGCGGGCTCTTTTTTGGTTCCATATGAACTTTAAAGTAGTTTTTTCCAATTCTGTGAAGAAAGGCATTGGTAGCTTGATGGGGATGGCATTGAATCTATAAATTACCTTGGGCAGTATGGCCATTTTCACGATATTGATTCTTCCTACCCATGAGCATGGAATGTTCTTCCATTTGTTTGTATCCTCTTTTATTTCCTTGAGCAGTGGTTTGTAGTTCTCCTTGAAGAGGTCCTTCACATCCCTTGTAAGTTGGATTCCTAGGTATTTTATTCTCTTTGAAGCAATTATGAATGGGAGTTCACTCATGATTTGGCTCTCTGTCTGTTGTTGGTGTATAAGAATGCTTGTGAGTTTTGCACATTGATTTTGTATCCTGAGACTTTGCTGAAGTTGCTTATCAGCTTAAGGAGATTTTGTGCTGAGACAATGGGGTTTTCTAGATATATAATCATGTCATCTGCAAACAGGGACAATTTGACTTCCTCTTTTCCTAATTGAATACCGTTTATTTCCTTCTCCTGCCTAATTGCCCTGGCCAGAACTTCCAACACTATGTTGAATAGGAGTGGTGAGAGAGGGCATCCTTGTCTTGTGCCAGTTTTCAAAGGGAATGCTTCCAGTTTTTGCCCATTCAGTATGATATTGGCTGTGGGTTTGTCATAAATAGCTCTTATTATTTTGAAATATGTCCCATCAGTACCTAATTTATTGAGAGTTTTTAGCATGAAGGGTTGTTGAATTTTGTCAAAGGCCTTTTCTGCATCTATTGAGATAATCATCTGGTTTTTGTCTTTGGCTCTGTTTATATGCTGGATTACATTTATTGATTTGCGTATCTTGAACCAGCCTTGCATCCCAGGGATGAAGCCCACTTGATCATGGTGGATAAGCTTTTTGATGTGCTGCTGGATTCGGTTTGCCAGTATTTTATTGAGGATATTTGCATCAATGTTCATCAAGGTTATTGGTCTAAAATTCTCTTTTTTGGTTGTGTCTCTGCCCGGCTTTGGTATCAGAATGATGCTGGCCTCATAAAATGAGTTAGGGAGGATTCCCTCTTTTTCTATTGATTGGAATAGTTTCAGAAGGAATGGTACCAGTTCCTCCTTGTACCTCTGGTAGAATTCGGCTGTGAATCCATCTGGTCCTGGACTCTTTTTGGTTGGTAAGCTATTGATTATTGCCACAGTTTCAGATCCTGTTATTGGTCTATTCAGAGATTCAACTTCTTCCTGGTTTAGTCTTGGTAGAGTGTATGTGTCAAGGAATTTATCCATTTCCTCTAGATTTTCTAGTTTATTTGCATAGAGGTGTTTGTAGTATTCTCTGATGGTAGTTTGTATTTCTGTGGGATCGGTGGTGATATCCCCTTTATCATTTATTATTGCATCTATTTGATTCTTCTCTCTTTTTTTCTTTATTAGTCTTGCTAGTGGTCTATCAATTTTGTTGATCCTTTCAAAAAACCAGCTCCTGGATTCATTAATTTTTTGAAGGGTTTTTTTGTGTCTCTATTTCCTTCAGTTCTGCTCTGATTTTAGTTATTTCTTGCCTTCTGCTAGCTTTTGAATGTGTTTGCTCTTGCTTTTCTAGTTCTTTTAATTGTGATGTTAGGGTGTCAATTTTGGATCTTTCCTGCTTTCTCTTGTGGGCATTTAGTGGTGTAAATTTCCCTCTACACACTGCTTTGAATGCATCCCAGAGATTCTCGTATGTTGTGTCTTTGTTCTCATTGGTTTCAAAGAACATCTTTATTTCTGCCTTCACTTCATTATGTACCCAGTAGTCATTCAGGAGCAGGTTGTTCAGTTTCCATGTAGTTGAGCGGTTTTGAGTGAGATTCTTAATCCTGAGTTCTAGTTTGATTGCACTGTGGTCTGAGAGATAGTTTGTTATAATTTCTGTTCTTTTACATTTGCTGAGGAGAGCTTTACTTCCAAGTATGTGGTCAATTTTGGAATAGGTGTGGTGTGGTGCTGAAAAAAATGTATATTCTGTTGATTTGGAGTGGAGAGTTCTGTAGATGTCTATTAGGTCTGCTTGGTGCAGAGATGCGTTCAATTCCTGGGTATCGTTGTTGACTTTCTGTTTCATTGATCTGTCTAATGTTGACAGTGGGGTGTTAAAGTCTCCCATTATTAATGTGTGGGAGTCTAAGTCTCTTTGTAGGTCACTCAGGACTTGCTTTATGAATCTGGGTGCTCCTCTATTGGGTGCATATATATTTAGGATAGTTAGCTCTTCTTGTTGAATTGATCCCTTTACCATTATGTAATGGCCTTCTTTGTCTCTTTTGATCTTTGTTGGTTTAAAGTCTGTTTTATCAGAGACTAGGATTGCAACCCCTGCCTTTTTTTGTTTTCCATTTGCTTGGTAGATCTTCCTCCATCCCTTTATTTTGAGCCTATGTATGTCTCTGCACATGAGATGGGTTTCCTGAATACAACACACTGATGGGTCTTGACTCTTTATCCAATTTGCCAGTCTGTGCCTTTTAATTGGAGCATTTAGTCCATTTACATTTAAAGTTAATATTGTTATGTGTGAATTTGATCCTGTCATTATGATGTTAGCTGGTGATTTTGCTCGTTAGTTGATGCAGTTTCTTCCTAGTCTCGATGGTCTTTACATTTTGGCATGATCTTGCAGTGGCTGGTACCGGTTGTTCCTTTCCATGTTTAGTGCTTCCTTCAGCAGCTCTTTTAGGGCAGGCCTGGTGATGACAAAATCTCTCCGCCTTTGCTTGTCTGTAAAGGATTTTATTTCTCCTTCAGTTATGAAGCTTAGTTTGGCTGGATATGAAATTCTGGGTTGAAAATTCTTTTCTTTAAGAATGTTGAATATTGGCCCCCACTCTCTTCTGGCTTGTAGGGTTTCTGCCGAGAGATCCGCTGTTAGTCTGATGGGCTTCCCTTTGAGGGTAACCCAACTTTTCTCTCTGGCTGCCCTTAACATTTTTTCCTTCATTTCAACTTTGGTGAATCTGACAATTATGTGTCTTGGAGTTGCTCTTCTCGAGGAGTATCTTTGTGGCGTTCTCTGTATTTCCTGAATCTGAACGTTGGCCTGCCTTGCTAGATTGGGGAAATTCTCCTGGATAATATCCTGCAGAGTGTTTTCCAACTTGGTTCCATTCTCCCCATCACTTTCAGGTACACCAGTTAGATGTAGATTTGGTCTTTTCACATAGTCCCATATTTCTTGGAGGCTTTGTTTGTTTCTTTTTATTCTTTTTTCTCTAAACTTTCCTTCTGGCTTCATTTCATTCATTTCATCTTCCATTGCTGATACCCTTTCTTCCAGTTGATCACATCGGCTCCTGAGGCTTCTGCATTCTTCAGGTAGTTCTCGAGCCTTGGTTTTCAGCTCCATCAGCTCCTTTAAGCACTTCTCTGTATTGGTTATTCTAGTTATACATTCTTCTAAATTTTTTTCAAAGTTTTCAACTTTTTTGCCTTTGGTTTGAATGTCCTCCCGTAGCTCAGAGTAATTTGATCGTCTGATGCCTTCTTCTCTCAGCTCATCAAAGTCATTTTCCATCCAGCTTTGTTCCGTTGCTGGTGAGGAGCTGCGTTCCTTTGGAGGAGGAGAGGCGCTCTGATTTTTAGAGTTTCCAGTTTTTCTGCTCTGTTTTTTCCCCATCTTTGTGGTTTTATCTACTTTTGGTCTTTGATGATGGTGATGTACAGACGGGTTTTTGGTGTGGATGTCCTTTCTGTTTGTTAGTTTTCCTTCTAACAGACAGGACCCTCAGCTGCAGGTCTGTTGGAGTACCCTGCAGTGTGAGGTGTCAGTGTGCCCCTGCTGGAGGGTGCCTCCCAGTTAGGCTGCTCGGGGGTCAGGGATCAGGGATCAGGGACCCACTTGAGGAGGCAGTGTGCCCATTCTCAGATCTCCAGCTGCGTACTGGGAGAACCACTGCTCTCTTCAAAGCTCAGATGGAAATGCAGAAATCACCCGTCTTCTGCATTGCTCAGGCCGGGAGCTGTAGAGCGGAGCTGTTCCTATTCGGCCATCTTGACTCCGAAAGCTATTTTTAAAAACAATAGTGGGTATTTTGGATATCAAAACCAAAATTAAGGATTCAGTGAATGGGTTTAACAGCTAATGAGAGAATTAATACATTGGAAGATAGTTTGAAAGAAAGCATCAGACTGAAATACAGACAAGTAGCAAAAACACAGAGTGAAAGATAAGAGGCCAGTGGGGGGTATAGGCATATCCTATATAGTTCTGTATTTGTATTACTGACATTTGTATAAGGGTTCACCTGAGAAACAGAACCAACAGGATATATACATAGAGATTTATTATGAAGGATTCACTCACAGAATTATAATAGAGGTTGAGAAGTCCCACAATCTGCCATCTGCAAATAGAGGCCTGGGAAAGCCAGTGGTGCAGTTCTAGTCCAAACCTAAAGGCCCTAGAATCAAGAACACTAATGTCCAAGGGCAGGAGAAGATGGATGTCTCTGCTCAAGAAGAAAGACTGAATTTGTCCTTTCTCTGCCTTTTTGTTTTATTCAGGCCCTCAGTGGACTGGAAGATACTTAGTCACATTGGTGAGGATCTTTACTCAGTTTACTGATTCAAATGCTAGTGTCTTCTCATTTATGCAGCCAACAGACACATGAAAAAATGCTCATCATCACTAGCCATCAGAGAAATGCAAATCAAAACCACAATGAGATACCATCTCACACCAGTTAGAATGGTGATCATTAAAAAATCAGGAAACAACAGGTGCTGGAGAGGATGTGGGGAAATAAGAACACTTCTACACCGCTGGTGGGACTGTAAACTAGTTCAACCATTGTGGAAGACAGTGTGGTGATTCCTCAAGGATCTAGAGCTAGAAATACCATTTGACCCAGCCATCCCATTACTGGGTATATACCCAAAGGATTATAAATCATGCTACTGTAAAGACACATGCACATGTATGTTTATTGCGGCACTATTCACAATAGCAAAGACTTGGAACCAACGCAAGTGTCCGTCAATGATAGACTGGATTAAGAAAATGTGGCACATATACACCATGGAATACTATGCAACCACAAAAAAGGATGAGTTCATGTCCTTTGTAGAGACATGGATGAAGCTGGAAACCATCATTCTCAGTAAACTATCTCAAGGGCAAAAAACCTAACACCGCATGTTCTCACTCATAGGTGGGAATTGAACAATGAGAACACTTGGACGCAGGAAGGGGAACATCACACACTGGGGCCTGTTGTGGCGTAGGGGTAGGGGGGAGGGATAGTATTAAGAGATATAGCTAATGTAAATGACGAGTTAATGGGTGCAGCACACCAACATGGCACATGTATACATATGTAACCTGCACGTTGTACACATGTACAACATTGTACACATGTACCCTAGAACTTAAAGTATAATAATAAAAAAATCAAAAAAACAAATGCTAGTGTCTTCTGGAAACACCCTCACACGTACACCCAGAACTAATGTTTTACCAGTTATCTGGGCATCCTTTAGCCCAATCAACTTGACACATAAAATTAATCATCACAACATTCCAGTAGGCAGAGGAGAGAAAGAATAGAAATGAAGCAATATTTGAAATGCAGTGGCTGAGAATTTTCAAAACTAGCAAATTAAATAAATCCAGTGTTTTAAGATTTTTCTGCAAACTTCTTGCAGGATAAATATTCCACATCTAGCATGTCAGAGTAAAGATGCTAAGAAACAAGGAAAGGAAATAATCTTAAAATCAGCCACAAGGCAGGCATATTACCTTTAAAGGCACAACAATAAGACCAGCAACTGACACATTAACAGAAAGAATGGAAGCCAAAAGACAGTGGAATAAGTGCTAAAAGAAAATAATTGTGAACCTTAGAATTCAAATCATCCATTGTATTAGTCTGTTCTCATGCTGCTAATACATATCAAAGATTGGGTAATTTATAATGGAAAGAGATTTAATGAACTCACAGTTCCACATGGCCGGGGAGATCTCATAATCTTGGCAGAAGGCAAAGGAGAAGCAAAGGCACATCTTACGTGGTGGCAGACAAGAGTGCTTGTGCAGGGGAACTCCCATATATAAAACCATCAGATCTCATGAGACTTACTCACTACCAAGAGATCAGTATGTGGGAGACTACCCCCTTGATTAAATTATCTCCACCTAGCCTCATCTTTAACACATGGGGATTATTACAATTCAAGGTAAGATGTGGGTGGGGACACAGCCAAACCACATCATCCATCAAAAACATTCTTCAAGAATAAATGTGAAATACATTTTCTAATATAAATGGAGAAAGTTCATAACCAGTAGATCTAAACTAAAGGAAATATTAAAAACTGGAAGGAAATAATACCAGGTTGGTAATATAGGAAGGAATGAAGAGACATAAAAATGAATAAATATAATTATTGTATAAAACTACCTAAAATAAATTTATAAATTATATGATAAAGATCTCATGAGTCAGAAGGAGATAAAGTGTTGTAAAGTCTTTACATTGTCCAAAAGAAGGTAAAAAATGCCACTTAAAACTGAATTAGATAAGTCGATAAGCCATGATGCAATCTCTAGGGTAATCACCAAAAGAATTATAAAACAGCATTTGGTGTCCCAGCTAACATAAAAGAAAACTTGGATAATTCGAACACTTCAAGAGAAAGTAGGAAAAGAGAAAAAAATACATGGGACACAGAGAAAGAAATCCTAAAATCATAAAATTAAAACCCAAATGTATCAGTTATTATAATGAAAATGAATTAAATGCTCTGATTAAAAATAAAAGATTACTAGGTACTACTAAAAAACTTTATGCTTTATACAAGATATAGATAAAATATAAATATATAGAAAAAAGAAGAGATATTATGAAAATACTCAAAAGAAAGCTGGTACAGCTATAGCATCACAGTTAAAGACTTCAATACCTTACAAAAGAAAGGGGGACACATTATAATAATTAAAGATTTAATTAACAAGGGTGGTCCTAAAAAGGCATGTTAGTGGAAAATTTACATGTTGAAATACGTACATTAGAAAAGTAAAAAAGACTAAAAAACCAATGATCTGAGAATCCAACTTAAATAGGAAAAACAATATCAAATTAAATTTAAAAAAATAGAAGAAAGGAGTTGGGCCTGGTGGCTCACACCTGTAATCCCAGCACTTTAAGAGGCCAAGGCAGGCAGATCACTTGAGTCCAGGAGTTTGAGACCAGCCTTGGCAACACAGTGAAACCGTCTCTACAAAAAATACAAAAAAATTGGCTTGGTATGGTGACACATGCCTGTAGCCCACCTACTTGGAAGCTGAGGTGGAGGATCACCTGAGCCTGGGAAGGTCAAGGCTGCAGTGAGCAGCTGTGATCATGCCACTGAATTCCAGCCTGGACAACAGAACAAGACCCTGTCTCAAAAAAAAAAAAAAAAAAAACAACAAAGAAAAAACAAAACAGAGATTAATGAAATAATAAACTAAAATGGAAGTCAGCATAGCCAAAAATTGGTCTTTTGAAGAGGTTAAAATAATTCTATAAAACCCTAGTGAGACGCATCAAAAACATGAAAGAAAACAATGTAATGAATGAAAAAAATGTAGTCACTTTATATCATTCAAATGTTAAAAAAAATAGAGTATTAAGAAATTTAATGTTCTTAAAAATAATGTAATTAATCTGAAAACTGATCAAATTTTTAGAAAATGTTATCAAACTTATCAAAACTGTCACAAGAAGAAATAGAATATCCAGATAGTCCTGCAACTGTTAAGTAGAATACATAATTTAAAATCTTACATGAAGAAAACTGCAGTTCCAGATGGTTTCACTGGTAGATTCTACAATGGTCTAAGGAAAACATAACATCAATCTTAAACTCTTCCAGAGACTATAAAAAGAGAAAATATCCTCCAACTTGTTTCATTAAGCAGTTATGATTTTGATACCTGAATTTGATAAGGACATTACAGAAAATAAAGTCAATTTCATTCATAAAAATACATGCAAAAATCTTTTTAAAATGTTAGCAAACCGAATCCAGTGATAAATAAAAAAGTGATAAAATATCACAACCAAACAGAATTTAACCAGGAATGCATTATTGGTTTAACATTCAAAAATTAGTTAATGTAATTTGCCACATGTATGGTTTGAATGTTTGTATCCTCCCAAAATTCAAATGTGGAATCCTAATCTCCAGTGTGAAGGTATTTGAAGGTGGGGCCTTTGGGAGGTAATTAGATCATGAGGGTAAAGCCCTCATGAATGGGATTAGCGCCCTTATAAAATAGTCCCCAGAGAGATCTCTCCCCAACCCCACCTTCCACTGTGTGAGATTACAGGGAGTAGATGGTTGTCTATAAGGAAGCAGGCCCTTGTTGGACACTGAATTTGCCTACAACTTGATCTTGGATTTTCCAGCCTCTAGAACTGTGAGAAATAAATTTCTATTGTTTATAAGCCATCCAGTATATGGTATTTTGTTACAGCAGCCTAAAAGGACCAAGACGCCACATTAACAGAATAAAGGAGGAAAAAATTATGAGATAATTTCTGTAAATGTAGTAGGACCAATTGATAAAATTTGACCAATTGATAAAATTTGACCAATTGATAAAATTTAACTCCCATTTATGATAAAAATGCTAAGCAAAATAGGATCAGGAGAGAACTTCTTAATCAGATAATAAGTACCTAGAAAATGCAGCAAACATACTTCATGTGTAATACTGAAAACCTTTCCTATGAAGTCAAGAATAAGACATGGAACAATAGGGCATGGAAGTCAACTGTTACTACTTCTATTTTACATTAAATTGAAGGATCTAGTCAATGCATTAGGGCAAGAAAAAATTAGAAACTAAAAGTATAAGAATTACAATGGAAGAAAAACTACAATTATTCACAGATAATATAATTATATGCCCAAAGAAGTCTAAAAGAAATTATTTAGAGTTAATAAATGAATTGAACAAAGTGCTACTAGGTGAATATAAAATATCAATTGCACCATATATGAAAATATATATAACTTAAAATGAAATTAAAAAGATATCATTTGGATTAACATCAAAATATTAAATATATGTGATAAAAATGTCTAAGACCTTCACTCAGAATATCATTATAGAAACAAACTAAAGACATAAATATATGGGGGAACATGTCATGTCTGTGGATTTTAAGACTCAATTTAAAAAATATATAACCCCCCCGACTAATCTATAGTTCCAATGCAATCCTAATCGAAATCTCAATGTATTATTTTTAAACATTTATTTTAGGTTCAGGGGTACACATGCAGGTTTGCTATATAGGTGAACTGTGTGTCACAGGTTTGGTGTAGAGATTATGAACATTAACAATCTGATTCTAAAAAGTTTTATGGAAATGCAAAAGGCCAAAGATAACCAAAATAATCTTGAAGGAGAAAAAAGTGGGAAGACTTGTGTTATTGGATATCAAAACTTATAAAGCTGCAATTAAGACATTATTGACATAAAGATATTCAAATAGTTTACTCAAATACAATATCCCACAAAATAGCTCTATGGACATAGAAACAATTTGTGACAAATGTGGCTCTGAAAAACTGGGGAAAGGCAAACTTTTCAATAAATGGTGCTGTGTCAACTGGCTGTCCACATGGAAAAAATAAATCTCAACCCCTGCCTCACTATGTACAAAAAATGAATCCCAAGTGAATAGTAGATAGAAAGCAAAGACAGTACAGCTTCTACAGGAAAATCCATGAGAACATCTTCCTAACTTTGAGGTAGGAATGACTTTTTAAACAACACACATAAAACAAAACCAAAAAGGGAAAGATTGATAGATTGATAAGGACATATTAAAATTAAGAATTTCTGTTTATCAAGGGGCACTACTAAGAAAATATGAGACTATATTTAGAACATACATAATGAGTAAGGGGCTCATATTCAGAATGTGTGTATGTGTGTGTGTGTGTGTGTGTGTGTGTGTGTATATATATGCATGCAATAAGAAAAAGACAATCCAAAGGAAAAATGAGTGAGATAGTTGAGCAAGCACTTCACAATAGCATATCCCAAATGACCCATAAATATATGAAAAGACCCCCATCCAACTTTTACCAGGATCCAAGCCCCCATTCTTTCTGTAACCTAAAGATGATATGTAAGTTTCTGTATCTCACTGGGAAGTTGAGTCTTCATTCTGAAGGTTCCTATGTATACACATTAAATACATTTGTATGCCTTTGGCCCCCATAGTTACAGCATGTGAGCATAACTCACCAAAGCCACTCTGTTCTTCTGCAAGCCTCAGTGAAGAGAACCCAGGAACCTGACGAGCCAGTAAAAGGATACAGGGCCTTGCTATGTTGCCCAGGCTAGTGTCAAACTCCTGGGCTCAGGTGATCCCCCTGAGCTACTGCACCCAGCTTGGATTCAATTTTAGATTGGAAAAAAACACAACAGCTCTTTTGGGGAAACAATTGGAGAAAGTAGACTTTGAACCATATATTGGATAACATGACTGAAACAATGTTGAAAATACATAAATACAACCTAAGACTAACCTAAATGATATTGATAGAAGAAAACGGGAGAGAGCTTAATGACACTGGATTTAGCAATGATTTCTTAGCTATGACCCCAAAAGCACAGGCAACAAATGCAAAAATAGATAAACTGGACTACCTCAAACTTAAAAACTTCCATTTATCAAAGGAAACGACAGAATAAAAAGACAACTTATGGAATAGGAGAAAATATTTGATATATATGTGATAAGAGTTTAACATCTAGAGATATTTGATATATATACATATCACACACATATATAGGTTTAACATCCAGAATATAAAAAGAACTTCTACAACCCAACAACAGCAAAAACCACATTACCCAATTTTAAAATGGGCAAAGAACTTGAATAGACTTTCTTCAAAGAAGATATACAAATGGCCAACAAACATGAAAAGATGTTCAACATCACTAATCACTAGAGAAATGCAAATCAGAACTACATTAGATATCACCTCACACCAATTAGGATGGCCACTAAAAAAAAGTAACAGTTGGCAAGGACATGGAAAAATTAGAACCCTTGTGCACTGTTGGTGGTAATGTAAAATGGTGCAGCTGCTATGGAAAATAGTATGGTGGTCCGTCAAAATTACCGTATGACCCAGCAATTCCACTTCTGGCTATATATCCAAAAGAATTGAAAGCAGGATCTTGAAAAGGTGTGTGTATACCCATGTTCATTGCAGCATTACTCACAATAGCCAAGAAATGGAAATAACGCAAACGCCTACTGATGCATGAATGGATAAAGAAAAGGTGGTATATACATACAATGGAATAACATTCAAATAACATTCAGTCTTTAAAAGAAGAAAGGTGGCTCACGCCTGTAGTCCCAGCACTTTGGGAAGTTGAGGTAGATCGCTTGAGTCCTGGAGTTTGAGACCTGCTGGGGTAACATAGTGAAACTCTGTCTCCACAAAAAATTATACATAAAAAAATTAGTTGGGTGTGGTGGTGCACACTTGTAGTCCTGACTTCTGAGGCAGGGTGGCTGGGGCTGGGGCAGTAGTCTTGTTGGAGCTCAGAAGTTCGAGGTTACAGTGAACTGTGATCACACAACTGCACTCCAGCCTGGGCAACCGAGTGAGACCCTGTCTCTAAAAAAGAAGAAAATCTTGCCACATGCTACAACATGGATGAACCTGGAGGACACTGTGTATACTGAATGAAGTAAACCATTCCAGAGGACAAATACTGTGTGATTCCACTTACATGAGATATGTAGGGTAGTCAAAATCATGGGTACAGAAAGTAGCAATAGGAAGATGGTTTCCGGGGTGAGGAAGGGGGAGGGAGTAACGGGAAGTTGTGTTTGATGGATATAGGGTTTCAGTTTTGCAAGATGAAAAGTTCTAGAGATCTGCTACACAACAGTGTGAATATAGTGAATGATACTGTACACTTAAAATAGTTGAGAGGGTGAAATTTATATAGTGCAGCTTTACCACAATGAAAATAAATAATTTTTTATTGAAAAGAGTGTATGAAAAGGCACATTCTCATTAGGAATCAGGAAAATGCTAAATAAAACCACAATCAGGTGCCACTATATATCCATCAAAATGGCCAAAACTAAAAAGATGGATAATATCAAGTTTTGGTAAAGATATGGAACAATAGAAATTTTTATTCATTGGTGGGAGTGGAAATTATAATTGTTTGGAAAACTCTCTGGCATTGACTATAAAATTTAAATATAGGTATGCCTTAGAAACCAGCAATTTCACTCCTGGGTGTACCCTTGTGTTAGTTTGCTAGGAATGCCACAACTAAGTGCCATATACTGGGTGGCTTACAACAAAAATGTATTCTCTTACAGTTCTGGAGGCTAGCAATCTGAAATCAAGGTGTTGGCAGCGTCTTGCTCTTTTAGAAACCTCTAGGGGTAGATTCTTCCTTGCCTCTTCTAGGGCTTGGGTCCTTGGCTTGCGGCAGTGTAACTCCAGTCTCTGCCTGTGTCTTTGTGTGGCCGTCTTCTTTCTCTGTGTCTTGTGTTCAACTTTCCCTCTCTCATAAGGACACGGGTCATACTGGATTAGGGGTCCATCCTAATTACTTACATCTGCAAAGTCCTATTTCCAAATAAGATCACATTCACAATTACTAGGAGTGAGGATTTCAACATATCTTTTTTAAGAACACAAATCAACCCACAATAATACTCAAGAGAAATGAATGCATATGTGTACCTTGAGACATGTATAAGCATATAAAAATATATGACAGCCTTATTTGTAATAATCCCAAACTGGAAACAACTCATGTTATTAATGAATTATGGCATGGTCATATAATAAAATACAAGAATTTCAATGAATAAATTATAGCTAATTATAGCTATACACAACAAGGTGTGTTGCACAGTCTATTAAGCTAAGAAACTAGACACAGAAGAACACATATTGTATCATTCCATTCATTACAAGTTTAAATGGAAAGATGTAACTATGCTTTTTAGGGATGCATGAATAGCTGGTAAAACTAAAAAGAAATTCTAGAAAATGATTACCATAAAAGTCAGGATAGCAGCTACCTTGGAGGGAAAGAAGGGGCTACACTTGGGACCAGGCACGAGAGGGGGCTCGTGGGTGTTGCCAGTGTTCTAGTTCTTGACCTGGATATTGACAACAAAGTGTTCACTTTGTGATAAATAATTGAATTACATACTGAATTTGTTTAGTTTTCTCTGTGTGTTTTATTTCTCGTTTGTATGCACACACACACCGTTTTTTAAAAAAGGAATAAAGCAAAGAGTGACTCCAGAAGGTTAGTGGAGTTGAGGCCATCTGGGCTACATTTACAATCAAATGAGCCAAACCAAAGCAAGGTATCATTAAATTTGTTAGAAACAACATGTTATTCTCAGTTCTGTTCTGTTGAATAACTTGGGTGGGTGTGGCCCTGCCTGAAATATCTTCTGAATACAGTTTTGAAAATGTTAATTCAATAATATGTTTTTGAGACCCCACAACGTGCTGGACATTGTGATGTGTTTTTCCTCTGAGTTGTGTTTTGCAAAGTTCAGAGGAAATACAGTCGATTTTGGTTTGAACTGCTTCTGCTCTCAAACTTCTGCTTGGTGAGCATCTCCTCCCTCACACCACCCCCACCTTGGCCCACACTCCAGTGTGAACAATGAAAACTTGTGAAATACTGTGTATTAAAACACACAGGATGCACATATTAAAAAAATATGGCCATCTGAGAACAGGGTGAGAAAGGCTGTTGGAAAAATCTATGGCAGCCTGAGGTGAGGAATGGATGTACATGTTCTCTGAATATTTAAGTTTAGATAAAGAATATAAATGTTATTGCTTGAAAGCTACCCAAAAGCCCAACATGTCAGTCTCCCTGGCCCCTCCTTTCTCTAGAAATATAGAGGTCATCAAATCTCAATTATTACAGCTATTTAACAGAGAACTAGCAGACTTAGAAGACACTTAAGGAAACAGGTTTTCTTTCTTAAACTTATATTATCTTCCATGCCTAGCCTGAAATTAATTGCATATGATGTTGGTGTCTTGTTTAATTGTGTATGTTGGGACTGATCCATCTGTGGAATATGGTAAGAGTAGATTTCCAGGAATTGGGTTTGCCCCATCCTAAGTAAATCCGTGTAGCAACAAGCCAAGCCAGCTGACTCCAATCAACTTGCCTTCATAGCCTTTGTCTCTTTTTAGAAACCTTGAGTTTCAGGAGAGTTGGGACCCTGTTTCTTTCCTTCACCAATGTATACCTACTGAGTAGAGTGTTAGGCATGCAGTAAACTCCAAAGCTTGTTGATTTGTTGGTTGAGAAAATGAATGAGCTAATACTTGACAAAACACGTTTCCCTGGAATGAACAATGATATTTCAGAAGGATTCTGACTTAAGTTGTATTTAAATCAAAAACAAAAACAAGAGCAAAAGCCTCTGACTTTTGGACATTCATTCAATCAACCAATTTTTATTGAACACCTACATAGACCCTAGTGATATATAGTACTTTTGATGACAAGAAATAGAGGAAAATAAGAGTAGGCAGTGTTGGGAGAACAGTTTTAAATAGAATGATCAAGGAAGTCCTCACGGAGAAAATAATGTTTCAGTAAGGACCTGAAGGAGGTGAGGGAGCTGGCAGAAT